>NC_000008.11:101339222-101964222 GCF_000001405.40 Homo sapiens
CTCACAATTGGTGAACCTATATTGACATACTTATCACCCGAAGTCCAGAGTTTATCTTAAAGCTCACTCTAGGTGTTGTACATTCTATGGGTTTGGACAAATGTTCAATGGCATGTATCCACCATTACGGTACCACAGAGAGTTGTTTCACTGCCGTATAGATCCTCTGTGCTCTGCCTCTTGCCCCTTCTCCCCACAACCTCCCAACCCCTGCTAACCACTGATCTTTTTACTGTCTTCATAGTTTGGCCTTTTCCAGAATGTCATATCGTTGGAATAACGGAAGCTTTTTCAGATTGGCTTCTTTAACTTAGTAATACGCATTTAAGTTTCCTCCATATATTTTCATGGCTTGATGGCTTGTTTCTTTTTTTTTTTTTTTTTCTTTTTTCTTTTTCTTTTTTTTTTTTTTGAGACGGAGTCTCTCTTTGTCACCCAGGCCGGAGTGCAGTGGCGCGCTCTTGGCTCACTGCAAGCTCCGCCTCCCAGGTTCACACCATTCTCCTGCCTCAGCCTCCCTATTAGCTGGGACTACAGGAGCCCGCCACCACGCCCGGCTAAGGCTTATTTCTTTTTAGTGATAAATAATAGTCCATTGTCTGGATGTACTACAGTTTATCCATTTACCTATTAACATCTTGTTTGGGCAATTACAATTAAAGCTCCTATAAACGCCCATGTGCAGGTGTTGTTTTGTTTTTTTATTTTTATTTTTAGAGACAGGATCTCACTTTGTTGACCAGGCTGCTGTGCGGCGGCTCTTCACAGGTGTGATCAGAGCTATAGCCTCAAACTCCTGGGCTCAAATGATCCTCCTGCCTCAGCCTCTGAGTAGCTGGGGTTATGGCACGTGTCACCGTGACTGGCTTATATGCTACATTTTATGTGGATGTAAGTTTTCAGCTCCTCTGGGTAAATACCAAGGAGTGCAGTGGCTGGATTATATGGTAAGAGTACCTTTAGTTTTGTAAGAACCCCCCAAACTGTCTTCCAAACTGGTTGTATCATTTTGCATAATCAGTAGCAAGGAATAAGAGTTCCTGTTGCTCTACACCCTCATCAGCATTTGGTGTTGTCAGTGTTCTGGATTTGGGGCATTTTGTTGTACAAGTTATCAATACTTGCCTTATGGTTCCAGGTCTTGTATTTCACTATGCCACTCAGATTGTATTTTAGTTTTCACTTCTATGGTCTTTTTTTTTTTAATGTTGAAATCTCTGTCCTATTTGGGATTTATTTTTATATGAGGAGTAGGACAGGAATCTAGCTTTATGTTTTTTCCAAGGAGCTGGTCAGTTTTCCCACAATTTCTTGAATAATCTAACTTGTCCAACTAGTTTGGAATGCTACTTTTATAAGATAATAAATAAGCCAGATAGACTGGATTAAGAAAATGTGGCACATATACACCATGGAATACTATGCAACCATAAAAAATGATGAGTTCATGTCCTTTGTAGGGACATGAATGAAGCTGGAAACCATCATTCTCAGCAAACTATCGCAAGGACAAAAAACCAAACACTGCATGTTCTCACTCATAGGTGGGAATTGAACAATGAGAACACTTGGACACAGGCAGGGGAACATCACACATTGGGGCCTGTTGTGGGGTGGGGGAAGGGGGGAGGGATAGCATTAGGAGATATACCTAATGTAAATGACGAGTTAATAGGTGCAGCACACCAACATGGCACATGTATACATATGTAACAAACCTGCACATTGTGCACAAGTACCCTAGAACTTAAAGTATAATAAAAATATGTATATATATAAGAAGATAATAAATAAGCATAAGTGAGTGTCTTTGTGGATTCCGTCTTCTGTTCACTGAATCTCCTGATTATTTACTCTCCAGAAGAAAATGGGACCTTATTCATTTATAGGCTTTAATGTCTGTTAGTCTCTCTCACTACTTACTATTTTATTTCCCTCAGAAATTTTCTTTGCATTCATTCCTTTTAATTCCAGTATCATTCTATAAAATTCCTACCATTAAAAAATACTATTTTATTGAGGTAACATAAAATGTACAAACTAACTTAGAGATAGTTGACTTTATATTACTATTTTCTTTTCCAAGAATAAGATAAACTTTCTGTTACATTATGCAGTCATTTAAAATTTTTCTGTGTATATATTTTCTACATTTCTTATATATTACCTTTTTTTTTTTACCTGCTGTGGTATATAAGGTAGTTCTTGTATTATATTTCCCATCTGGTTATTGTTTGTTTATATTAAAACTATTGTGTACTTTAATAAAATAACCACTTTTCGATGCTTTCTCTAGTTCCCAGATTTGGGGGTAATCATCTTGAGCTATCTAAAAATACAGTTGCAGTCTTAATAAATCATGATCATTTTGCCTTGTTTCCAATTTTTATATCTCTTCTTTCCCTAACTGTATTGGATGGTGCTTCTAGAACTCTGGGAAATGGCAGTAGTAACCTGCGTCTTCAGTCTTGCTTTTTTTTTTTTTTTTTTCTCCAAGGTCTTCAGCACTGTGACCCAGTCTTGCTCAGATTCTGACGTCTTTCTCTTTGGTGTGTGGGAAGGTCTGTGGTTGAGTCAAGGTCAGAGCTTCTTTGCCTTGTTTCTAGGCCATTCGGAGAAACTACACCTTAAGGTAAGGGAGTTCTCCACAGGGACCAGTCACCTCCCTGGAGTTATGCCCCGGGGTTTGAGTCCCTGCAGAGATGCATGACTTGAAAAGAGTAGCTGCCTGAGACAGAATGTGGGTGTTCCTGTTCTCCCATCCAGGTGGTTTCCCACCCAGTTATGTCATTGCCAAAGACACATTTTTTATGTATTAACTGTAACTCATTTGCCATTTGTACTTTACATGTGTGCTTATCCAAATAGTCTGTTTTTCTAATTATAATTTAAGTTTTTAAAATTCTGGAACCAAATTATATACCTCTATAAACACCCGGGCCCCGGCATAAAGTCTTGCATTCAGTAGATTCTCAATCAATGATTAACTGAAGTTAATTATATGAGGCACTTCGAAATGAGGAAAGTACACTTCATATAAGACACAAGTTCGTAGTAACTATGAGGACAGTCGTCTTAGTCATCTCTCAGTGCTGTTTCCAGATCAAAGAGATAATGGATGGAAGAAAACTTGGAATATTTGTAACATTGCTAAGGCTGACTTTCCATTCCACATACCATATTGTAATGAAATGATGATTATTGTTTGTTTTCTTAACTAGAACTTGAGCTCTTTGAGGACAGGAACCAAGTCTTATTTATCCCTAAATTCCTAAATTCTTGGCACCCACTCCAGGTCTTGACATGTAGTGAGTACATAATCAATGTAGAACTGAACAGAATTACAACCAACAGCATGTCTTCTGATATGAGGCCAGTTATGCTCTTGTCTGAAGGTCATGAGGTACAGCTTCTATTCTAAATGGCCAAACTGGACCAACCACCAAAGATGGGACCTGGCTCCAGGGACAGCAAGCATAAGTCCTTGGAGCTCCCTAGCTCTAGTTTCTGATGGTTCATCTGATAATTAATTACACGCTTCTTGGGGCTATCTCTACTTCTGTTCAATTATTTTATCCTCTTAACTTTTTTTTCTCACACATTTATGTAAGCAACTTGTGGGGATTGGGATATCATTGTATTTTTTAAAAAGATTTCCTTGCTCCTAGCACAAAATATTGTTTCTTCTGCTGACCCAGGCTCATCTAAAAGTCTTTTTTCTCCTCTTCTATTCCTAGACTGATCTCTTTACTTCCTCTGCTAGATTCTTTTTTTGCTACCCTCTGGATTCCTGGGCCAACTTTTCGTGATGCCAATAATTGCCAGGCACTGTGTGAGGCACTTAACATAGAGAAGGTATCACCACACACATTTGCAGATGAGGATGCATTTGCAAGTTTTCTTTTTCTATTCTCTTCAAGTAAGGCAAGACAGTTTGGCTGCCGGGATTTTAGGAGGTGTGCAGGGTCTCCATGGAGAACACTGGTGAGAGAATGCACTGGTAACTTTACCTCATCATGTGAAGAATCTCACTGAATTTTAAACAATTATTAGATTACCTAGGTGACTTACAAGCACTTGGAAATGTGCATATTAAAAGTACCAGCATCTGTAGTTTTCTGAAGTGCAGATCTGCTTTCGGGAGTTTCGAAAGCACATCCTCTGCCTTTGCTCTGCCTAGATGAAGACCTTATTTGAAGACCAAACTTTGTGCGAGACTTTATCATGAAAGCCTTCGAGGACCTTGGGGAGGTCCCAAGAGAGCAAAACTACAGTGAGTCTTACTGGGAAGAGTCTGCTTGGGGCTTGAGTCTTAATGGATAGGAACAATGATTGCTAAATTTTTGACTGATGTTCCTTATCAGTAAAAACTGAAATTAAGAAACATTTATGCCCATGCCTCTGTATTTGTATGTCTATTTCAAAATCATACACATATATGACTACAGCATTATCTTACATAGGACAGAAAATATATACAAAAATGGAGGATTTTAAAAGATGAGAGAAAACTGAAAAAATGATATTTTAATAATACTTTTAATTATTATCTGTACAAGACCAAATTGTAGTGTAAGTTGTATAATTGAAAGTTTATTATTATTATTATTTTAAAATATTATTTCAACATAGCAATTCAGTATCTGGGCCTATCGTTAATTTAGGTTTTAGTAGCTATCTGAGTTTTAGAAATGTACCTCATAGAGATACGTAAAGCCAAGTGTTGCCAATGACACAAGAAGTGTGTCGTTGGCAACACTTACTGAATCATGATGTTTGTTTTTTAACTTTTCATATTGCCCATTTTCACACATGAGAAAATGAAAGCCCAAGGAGATTTGGAACTTTTCAAGGACCCCTAGCTGGAATCAGATCCTGGGTCTCCTAACACCCAGGACACTTCTTCCACATTGCAAGGAAAAGCGTTTCCCAGCCCTCGACATCTTGCTTTGCGGATACTTTCATGTCTTTTCACACGTATGTGTGGGCTTCCATCTTTCTTCAAGTAATTGTAGGATTTTTCAAGGCAAGGACCGTGACTTTATTTTTTGTATTCCCCCAGTACCTAGTGGACAGTGGGTAGAAAGAAGGAGAGAGAAAGGAATCTGCTTCCACGCTTCCAATGGAGAGGTTCCACTAACTTCGGATTCCCAGTGTATAGACATTCTCTTCTTGGGAGAAAAGGTAACTCCCCACACCAGAGACTTTCTTTTTTTCTCAGCTCTTCCCATCTGAAACTGTCCAATAGATTTCTGGCACCCTGCACCCAGCATATGAATATCAAGTATTAAACTAACTTTATTTACTTTTTTGGTCATAAACACTGAGATAGTTTTTTCCTTGCTTGCAATTGCTTATTAAATCATACACTTTTCAAGACTGGAGGTCTTTGGTGGTGGTGATGGTCAGGCACCACCATCTCAGTTGACCAAATTGGAAAATATGCTAAAGAGCCTCAGCAGCCATGGTTCCTCTGTGTGCAATGACTCCATCAGCCTTTGATGCAAGAAAAGAAGAGCTTGGGCTGGCGCGGTGGCTCACGCCTGTAATCCCAGCCTTTTGGGAGGCTGAGGCGGGTGGATCATGAGGTCAGGAGTTCAAGACCAGCCTGGCCAAGGTGGTGAAACCCCATCTCTACTAAAAAAGCAAAAAAATTAGCTGGGCGTGGTGGCAAGCACCTGTAATCCCAGCTACTCAGGAGGCTGAGGCAGGAGAATCGCTTGAACCCAGGAGGCAGAGGTTGCAGTGAGCTGAGGCTGAGATTGTGCCACTGCACTCCAGCCTGGGCAACAGAGCAAGACTCCATCTCAAAAAAAAAAAAAAAAAAGAAAAGAAAAGAAAAAAGAAAAGAAAAGAAGAGTTTGTTAAGTATAGAAGAGGGAAAAAAAGAAATACACTTATTAAATCATACACTTATTAAATCCTAAGCACTGCACAGCTAAAAGTTCAAGTGGCAGATTTAAAAGTGATCATCTATTCAAGTAAAATCCAGGAACAAGACTAACCAGGATTTAGCATGCTCCTGCAGGAAGCCTATGAAATGATCCCCCCAAAATCTTAGGGTGCTGTTTCCCCTGTTTCCTGATATTTTTCTTCTTGTTCCTTATGACGTGCTGATTCCAAGAATTCATGCAATCACACTTCACTATCTTCCATTGGCTTGAGAGTCAGCTTCAGGTAAGGCCAAAGCTTCTTTAGAGACAGAAGAGAATATGGGGTCCAATTCCAGTGAGGCTGGCACAGTTCCAATTCCATTTCAGTTCAACAAGACTGAACTGGAGCCCTGTGATAGAAAGAAATTGTTTTATTTACCTAACACTCTTGTTGGCTTCTAGCAAATTCACCTCCTACCATTTTTGGGGTAATTCCTCCTCCCTGACTTCAGCAGTGCAGTTCTAGTCATGACTGCAATCATCACACTTCAATCTGATCACTTCAGAAGTAGGGATGTGACTCAAACCATGCCAAGGAGTTTTCTCCCCCACCCCAGGGAGACTTTTGAAGACTGGAGGTCTTTGGCAGTGGTGATGGTTGGGCACCACCATCTCAGTTGACCAAACTGGAAAATACACTAAAGAGCCTCAGCAGCCATGGTTCCTCTGTGTGGAATGAGTCCATAAGCCTTTGGTGCAAGAAAAGAAGAGCTTATAAGTACAGAGGAGGAAAAAAAAAGAAAAAGAAAGCTGAAAGTTCTTGTTAGCTACAACCTTGGCCTTTCCTAATCACGTAAACCGCTAAATGATGGCTAAAGTAGTTTGAATTTAGTTTCTATTACTTACAATTAAAACTGCCCTGATGATGACAACTCTCCCTTAACATGTACTTGGTCCTATGGCCGGTGTTGAGGAAACAAAGATGCATATGATTCTGTATCTGTTCTCAAGGAACTGAGAATCTGTGAGGAGAGAAAGATACCTCAACAAATAAGCACAAAGCAATGTGATATGATAGAGGGCATGAAGACAGGGGTGGCTGTGAGGGGGAAACAGCTCAGGAAATGCTAACACTGAAGATGGAATTTTGAAGCAGGCCTTCAGGGCTCTGGAATCAAAGCAAATAAGGACTTATTAGAATGAGCATTTGTAACCAGTCCCCTGCACTTTCTAACTAGGCAATTTACTTAACTTCTCAGTGGCTCCGTTCCTTATATGTAAGATGAAGATCACAGTAGTACCTGTCTCACAAGTTTTGGTGAACATTAAATGAACATTGTATAATGCTTATACAATGTTTAGTACAGTAACATCTTTGCAAATGTTAAAGATTACCATCATCCTTACCCTCAGGGCAGTGACCATTACCATATATTTTTAGGATTGTATCTCCTAAATATTGCCAGTCAGGGCAAAACTACTAGGGGAGAAAACATCTTATGCTTTGCTTGACAAATTCACTGCTTCATAAAGAGGAACACTTACATCACCTCCCGTATACATATGTGTGGTTTCTAGGTCACTGGCTTTTTGGAGAGGAGAACCTCAGAAGAAGAGATACTTGCTTGGAACTTAATGAAATTAGTGTAATATCTGATAGAATCTGAAGGGAGATAGAAAGCTCATGAATTTACAACCTTTTATGTATGGTTTTTGATAACCTTCTGCTTGTTTTTCTTCACAAAATCCATGGTGCTGGTTTGATTTGTTCAGCTTTGCAAATTAATAAACTATGAATAAAAAAGCACGGTGAGCTACAGTTGCAAATTTGACTCTTTAATGGCCATTCTCAAAATTCTAAGACCAAAGGAATCTAGTCCTGATTTTTCTTGTTGGATTCTCCTGGAAACGATAGCATGAAGAGATTCTAATGAGCCTTGGTGATTGGGTGATTAAGTTTTGTGTACTGCGAAAATCCAGGTACATGTCTTATGTTGCCAACTATTGTAATTTAGCAGAAAGAGCATAGAACTGGAAGCCTGGCTCTGATGACAAAATAGATTGAGTTAATATGAATGCTCCTCCCACTATAACACATAGAAATGCTAGATGAAATAAAATCACCACCTCCTCTATGGTAAGTACATGGTTGAACTGAGAGGAGAAAGGGAGGAAGGGAGGAGGAGAAAAGGGAGAAAAGAGAAAAGAAATCCCCAGGTGCTTGAATTGAAGAGGGTATTTAAATCAGGAGCCATAAATGAAAAAAATATAAAACAATTGTGACGAAATGTTAACTTTTATCCAACTGGTGACTACATAGGTGTCTGTTATATTATCGTATTTATTTTTTCATCATTGCAATATTTTGTGATTGAAAATGGTGATTTTACAAAGAAGAAGAGAGAGGAGAAGAAGGATTTGGATTTGGTGCATGTGAGTCTAATGCCAACTCTGCATGACCTTGGGCAAATGATCTGACTCCGTCTCCTCATCGGTAAACTAAGGACAATGACATCTACTTCAAACGTGATTTCAATATTAAAAGGGTCAACATATAATGGCCAGCACATAGGCTCAGCATCCTCACTTTCCTGTTATCCCTTCTAACCTGAGGAAGAGCCTCATGAGTCACGCTCTTGCTGAGTCTTTCTGGAACAAGGATGATGTCAGGCCACTGTGGACACATTGATTCCTGATCTGTAACACTTATGACCATCAGAGGCCATTGCAACCTCTTTTCTCCTTTTATGATACAAACATTTTCTAAAAGTCCAGGCTAGTATTATAGAATGCTTTTCAATTTGGTTTGTCCAATTGTTTCCTCAAGACTAGATTCAAGTGAAATGTTTCTGGTGAGAATCCAACAAAGGTGACATTGTATTCCTCTCAGTGCATCCCATCAGGGGCTCCATAAGTTCTGCTCACCTCTTTATGGATGATGTTACATTAGCTTTTTCGGTTAAGGAAATGGCCACTAGATCTCTCTGTTGTAAAGGTAGCTTTTCCCTTTCAGAATTAGTGAAGAATAGATGTGGTTAGACTTTTAGACTATGTTAATGTATTGTCCTCAGTAACATTTCACACGACGGTTTTAACATCAATTAATGATTTATACACGAATTATTTCAAAGGGGCAGTAATGTTCTTTGGCTTCCTTTTGTCTGATTGCCTGGAGCCCACATGGCTTTCCAGTTTCCTGTTTGATTCAGTCCATCCCTTGAGTAACAGCACTCGCTAATCCTTCACTGTAAATCTGAACTTCATTTACTGTCTTGTCTTCCTGATTCACCTGCTCCTCTTGCCTGTAATCCATGGTCTCATCTGGTTAGTGGTGGGTCTCTTGCTTCAGAGGTTAGCATTGTTAATTGTATACCTGATACGTTGACTGCAGTCCTTCTCTACTTAGCTGTACCTCTACTTTGCCAGGGACAGCCCTGCACAATGGGAAATGGTATTTGGGGGACTCTGTCTAGCTTCCAAGCTTTCAAAATAAATTTTTTATCCTAGCTTCAGAGTAAATAATAAACACACACACATTCGCTCACATTTACCCATCCTACTTGTGATGCATTCTGTTTCTATTCAATTTCATTTTTTAAAGTGCTAGTCAGGCCACTTGATTTCATAAGCTGAAATGGCTGGCAATCTTGTACTTTGAAAAATACTGTGTGAGAGCTTAATCCCCGCTTCCTATGAATACAGAGCGCTCGTTGGGTGACCATTTTGCCCCTGTCTTATTTGAATTTGAATTATGGAACTTGAGGGCTGAAAGGGCCCTTTAAAAAGTCATCCAGCCTCATCACTCATTTGGTGCTTGAACTCCTTCAACAATATCCCTCCTGCTTGCAATATTACCAGCTTCTCTTTGAACATCCAGCGATGTGGAATTTACCATTGTCCCAGATACTCCGTTCCTTTTTTGGGTAAAGTTCCAGATCTTGGTTAAGGTCTTTTCTCTGTTTAGACTCCTAGAGGCTATGTAGGCCAAGCCGACTCCCTGTTCCACCTAAGAACTTACTGGAGACAGTCATCGAGCCTTCTGAGTCCTCCTTTCTCCAAGTCCTTCAGCGGAACCTCAATGGATACCACATGGTTTCTACATTTGCAGCCACCCTCCTCAGAGCACTTTGTCAATATCCTTCCTGAACTGTGACTCCTGCTTTGACACATTATTCTAACTCTTTTCTTCTCTTGTTATGCTAACTTCGTCTTATATTGATATCTAACTTTTCGTGGTTCTATGCCTTGTCTGCCTTACTAAGTTCTGTCCTTTATTTATGGTGACGGCATTTTGTACAGTGTAACTCCAAAGTAAGAAAGTCTTTATTCCCCGGTCAAATAAAGGTATATCCAAATGAATGATGTGTTTCAGGAGTTATGCACTTATTCCAGTGATGCCTTAATCACCCACCTTACCCTTTAGAAATTGTATTCACCCTGGGAGAGAGGGAAGGAGAAACATTTGGGACAAGATGCAGAGGAGACTTCCAAGTTCAGGGTTGACTTCATGTATGCAGCCTGTAGCATCACATGGGGCCCCTTTCGCAGAAGGGCCCTGCACTAGGTTTAAGGCTTGGCTGTCATGGTTTGAAATTCTTGATAATGTTATCTTCGAGCCTGTGTTTTGTAAGTAAAGTCTGATGGCACAATGGAACATGTGCATGATCAGAGGAGAAACATGAAAGAAAGAAAAAGCTTTATGTTTTAGTACATTTAATAGCACATTATTCCTGCTTTTTGAACAACGGAGCCTTGTTTTTATTTTGCACTAGGCCTTTTAATTACGTAGCCAGTTTGAGGTAAGGTTCTGTTACTTAACCTGAGTGGTAGGTACACAGGTGTTTATTTTATCATTATTATTCCTTAGCCAATTCATATTTGTTTTATATTCTTCTGAATGTATGGTACTTTTTATAAGAAAAAGAAAAAAGAAAGAGAAAAGAAAAAAAGTCAAAAAATGCTCTCAGAGCCTAAGACTCTTTTCTATAACCTCATGGAGGGTTAGTCTTTCTTTTGGGAAATGAATTTTAGTTTTGGAAGCAGCCAAAAGTATTTTGATGATGATTCTGGACAACGACTTTGATGGAAAATGTAACTTTAATTCACACATAAAATTATTACTCAGACTGATTTTATCATGAGGTTCATAAACTGGTTCTAAAAAAAACTCTAAACAAATGTTATAAACGTACTTTGTAACACAGAGCATCACTAGATTGCTTAAAAGCTTCTAAGTTAACTGTTTTGAATACAACAGTGATCTTTGAAAGCATCACTCCTCATATGATTGCTTAAGAATTAAGACAAACCACTTTAAATACATTTCTCCACACAGTTCTTGAGCACTATGAAAATGCAATAAATATTTATTTCACAATTTGTTTTTCTAAACAAATAGGGAAAATTCACTATGCAAGGCAGAATAAATGATGTATTACTCCATTTTCATACTGCTAGAAAGATACTACCAGAGACTGGGTAATTTATAAAGAAAAAAGATACTCTTCTGTGAAGCCTCTATGTCCCAATATTCTAGGAACTCCACCTCCTCTGTGTTCGAACATTAACAGATGGGACCCAGGCCGGGCATGGTGGTTCACACCTGTAATCCCAGCACTTTGAGAGGACGAGGTGGGTGGATTACGAGGTCAGGAGTTCGAGACCAGACTGACCTGCATGGTGAAACCCTGTCTCTACTAAAAATAAAAAAATTAGCCAGATGCGGTGGCGGGTGTCTGTAATCCCAGATACTCGGGAGACTGAGACAGGAGAATCGCTTGAACCCAGGAGGTGGAGGTTGCAGCAAGCCAAGATCGTACCACTGCACTCCAGCCTGGGTGACAGAGCGAGACTCTGTCTCAAAAAAAAAAAAAAAAAAGCCAAAGAGGTTTAATTGACTCATAGTTCCACATGGCTGAGGAAGTCTCAGGAAACTTACAATAATGACAGAAGGGGAAGCAGGCACGTCTTACGTGGCAGCAGGCAAGAGAAGAAAAAGGGAAAGGGAAGAGCCCCTCATAATTCCATCAGATCTGGTGAGAACTCACTCACTGGAGCAAGTTCTCAGAGAGGAAAAACCACTGCCATAATCCAATCACCTCCCTCCCTCCACACAGGAGAATTACAGGTCCCTTCCTCCACACATGGGGATTACAACTTGAGATGAGATTTGGGTGGAGACACAGAGCCAAACCACATCAAATGATCTTTCACTTATTAAAAGAAAGGTGGGTCGGGCGCGGTGGCTCACGCCTGTAATCCCAGTACTTTGGGAGGCCCAGGCAGGCAGATCACCTGAGGTCAGGAGTTTGAGACCAGCCTGGGGAACAGAGCAAAATGCTGTCTCTACTAAAAATACAAAAAAACTTAGCCTGGCATGGTGGTGTGTACCTGTAATCCCAGCTACTCAAGAGGCTGAGGCAGGAGAATTGCTTGAACCTGGGAAGTGGAGGTGGCAGTGAGCTGAGATTGCACCACTGCACTCCATTCTGGGTGACAGAGTGAAACTCTGCCTCAAAAAAAAAAGAAAAGAAAAGAAAAGAAAAGTGTATTTATTACTTGGTTATAATGTATGTGGAAAACATGAACATATGATGTGCAACTTGTCCTAAATTAACAGCACACTCCACCTGTAGATTTGTGATAAGGTTAGAACATAAAGTTCTTGACTCTTAACTAATCAGCACCTTTTCTTCTGCTCTGCTTGATATTCTGTAGGACTGTAGGTTTATTTTTCTTATTCCTGACAATTTAATCATTCTTGCTTATTAATTTAGATCAAAATGGTCAAACCACTTCCCCTCCTGTCTGAATACAAATATAGCCTCTACCACCTTTAACCTATACATCATGCTCTGGGTAATGACTTCTGGCAATAATGACACAGGGGACATAATTACAGTCAACCCTTCATATCTATAGGTTCTGCATCTGTGGATTCAACCAACCACAGATCAAAAGTATTCAGGAGAAAAATATGGATGTATGTATTAAATGTGGGCAGACTTTTAAATTTGTCATTATTTTCTAAACAATACAGTATTAACTACACAGCATTACATTGTATTGGGTATTATAAGTAATCTAGAGGTGATTTAAAGTATACAGGAGGATGTGCATCGGTTACATGCAAATGTTACACCATTTTATATGAGGGACTTGAGCATCTGTGCATTTTGATATCTGAAGGAGATCCTGGAACCAATCTCCTGTGGCTGCCAAGGGATGACTGTATATGCTAACGACATTCATGTGCTACATTTATTCATGCTGCTGGTGTCTTATTTTCTCTGGAGGAGGAGTAGGACAGAAATATTCAGGTGATTAAATAAAGCACCGTAGCCTATGAGCTTTGCCATCTGTCTTGAGTGCCTTCCTGCTTGGCCAAGTTAGCAGTGGGCCTGAACCCGCCACCTCCCTGCTCACCAGGAAGAGAAGGTGTTAAAACTCTGGAACGGTCATCAGGAAGCTGGTCTCCAGGGCTAAAGACAGAGAATGTGCTGGTGCCAGCTCTTGCCGGCTTGCTAGAACCCATTGTGCACATCTCTTCCCAATTCCATATTCAGTGACCTCATGTTGGTAGTTAAAAATTGGCCATAGTGCGCAGTGGCTCACGTCTGTAATCCCAGCGCTTTGGGAGGCCGAGACGGGTGGATCACCTGAGGTCAGGAGTTCAAGACCAGCCTGACCAACATGGTGAAACCCCCTCTCAAAATACAAAAAATTAGCTGGGCATGGTGGCAGGTGCCTGTAATCCCAGCTACTCGGGAGGCTGGGGCAGGAGAATCGCTTGAACCCAGGAGGTGGAGGTTGCAGTGAGCTGAGATTGCACCATTGCACTCCAGCCTGGGCGACAAGTAAAAAACTCCATCTCAAAAAAAAAAAAAATTTGGCCATGGTGGAGTTATTTATACTAAGGGAACTAGCAAATCCAACCCTGTTCTTTTTGGAGAGCCTGTGTTGAACATTTACCAGCACACAACTGGCTGAAGCCCTGAGCACTGAGACCAGAGCCTGTTGGGAGAGGAGCAGCAGCAGGTCCTGAGAAGGCTGGGCTGATGTCCCTTTCATCATGATTTCACTGGTCACACTGCAGGAAAAAATCCAACACAGGGACCAGGTGGCAGGACTGCAGCTTGGCTGACCCTTGCAAGCTAAGGATAAACTGAATTTATTAAATATTTTCCACTCAACTGTTTTGGGAGAAGAGAAGCATTTGTTCTTCCATGTGTGGGCCTGGCCTGTCATGAGAACTCAGGAGATGTCAGTGGGTGTCCTCCAGTGAAAATAGATTCCTGTTTTTTATAAAAATCATATGACCTGTTTTAATATTAGTTATCATTTCTAGTTCTCCTGCATCTTAATATTAAAGAAAAAAACCCAGAAAACTAAGTAGAGAACTAAATTTTATTTGAAAAAAGGAGGAAAAAAGTATAAGAAAAACCTTAACAAAAATTGATATAGAAGATAAGGGTTACATAGCCTTTTTACCTGTCTTTATTTTGTTGTTAAGGTGTATCCTTAATTTTCCACTTGATTTTCCATGTGTTTACACATCCTAATGGAATGTATAAGTGGAAACCATTACAAATGATACGAGCACTGTCATCTTCAGTGATTTTGGATAGATGGAATCTGCTGGTTAAAGATAAATATTGTTGAAGAAACCCAGCACTAAATGTATATATGTATATTGGATGGAATCTATCCTAGCTGTTATCACCTCAGCTGATTTGAAGTCTAAACATGTAGCTTCCATTCCAGCTGACATTATCTGAACTGAACAGAGAGGATGATGGATGGAATCCACTTAAAAAAATGACACAGATGAAGTAATACCTAGAAACTTGGAGTTTTAAATATTGTTTTCTCCTCAAAAATGAAATAATTTGCTTTCTCCTTTCTAGCAAGACTAATATTCAATTTCTAGTCTCATTAAATTGTCATTTTCTTTAATGTTCAAAATTGACATTTTTGGTCACATGAATTGTATTCACATTTTGGCCAGGCACAGTGGCTCACGCCTGCAATCCCAGCACTTTGGGAGTCCAAGGCAGGTGGATCACCTGAGGTCGGGAGTTCGAGACCAGCCTGGCCAACATGGTGAAACTCTGTCTCTCCTAAAAATACAAAATTAGCTGGATGTGGTGGCGCATGCCTGTAATCCCAACTACTCAGGAGGCTGAGGCAAGAGAATCACGTGAACCTGGGAGGTGGAGGTTGCAGTGAGCCAAGATTGTGCCATTGCACTCCAGCCTAGGCAACAAGAGCACAACTCCATCTCAAAACAAATATATATATATATATGTGTGTGTGTGTGTGTCTGTGTGTGTGTATATATATATATATTCACATTTAAAATTTTGAATATATATTTTCTAAAGTCACATAAAATTCCCACTACAGAAATGTCTGGAGATTCCTTTTTATTTTTTTATGGATATAGATAGAGAAGAGTCTGGGTTAGCAGCTGGAGGAAGTATGAGAGATAGGTAGCATTTAATTAAATGTGTTCTGGATGTTTGGGGAAAACATTCTGGGTTTATTCAACATTTAGGCAGCTGCCATCTTTGAAGACTATAGCTAATATTTGTCTCTAGAGAAGAAAGCTCCTAATCCCAGAACTTATTAAATACTAAATACCTTGTTGAGGAAAGATTGAGGCTGAAAATGTCAACTCTAAAATGTCAGAAAATTCTGAAGTTTCCATAGCAATGTTAATTTGCTCCTCTCATAAGCCATTTTAATGTTAGTAAAAATGCTGTTAGCAGACTGGGAAATGCAGCTCCCTCTGAGTGATGTTGAATAAGCTCATCTTAATTAAGCTACAAGACTCCTCCATTTCCTGGCTGGACACAGAAAAGACTTCATTGGATCTATAGAGCAAGAAAAAGAAAGCCCTTTGTGATCCTGATGGATGGCATCTGTGGCTGAGAAGCATCAAGAGGAGAGAAATGGTCGTGGAAAAGCTCTGAGCTCACAAGGCTGGCCATGGCTAGCCTCCACTGTCTTAGCATAAAGTAAGTTAACAGTGACTGAATTTTAGGGCAGCTGCGCCCACTGTGGAAGTGTCTTCAGGACTCTTGGAATCCAGGGAGGGCTACACAGTGATAGGGCTTAGCATCCTAAGGTCCATAGTCTGCTTTAATGGGCTAAATATTAAAGTTTTGCTAAGCTATCCTTAATTCCCAAATTGCTCCTGAAGCTGTAGTCAATGCCATTGGTTTCAGAGCTACTCTTTTGTCCTGCTTCCAGTAACCATTAGTATATGTGTAACTGCTGAAAATGGCACTCAGGTTAATGGCTAAATCTAAAATAAACCTTTGAGATCATTTGTTCCAAGTGGCTGAAAACTGGCCTGGGGAGGGGAGTGCCCAGAACATGCACAAAACCACCTGGCAAGCTGGGGGCAGAATGGAGACTGTATTTGATTCCCTGACACTTGCTAGCAAATTGGGTATTCCTGGACACATCATTTAAATCTTTGGCTTGTATCTTGGTCGGGCGTGGTGGCTCACGCCTGTAATCCGGCACTTTGGGAGTCAGAGTTATCTTGAGCAAATAACCTGAGGTCACAGGTTCGAGACTAGCCAGGCCAACATAGTGAAACCCCATCTCTACCAAAAATACAAAAATTAGCCAGGCATGGTGGTGAATGCCTGTAGTCCCAGCTACTTGGGAGGCTGAGGCAGGAGAATTGCTTGAATTTGGGAGGAGGAGGTTGCAGTGAGCTGAGATCACATCACTGCACTCCAGCCTGGGTGACAGAGTGAGACTCTGTCTCAAAAAATGAATAAATACATAAAAATAAAATTAAAAAATAAATCTTTGGCTTGTATCTCATGAGAAATGGAGATAGAAATGTCAGAGGTGTTTGAACCAGAGCAACTCCATCTTGAATAGGGGCTGGGTAAAATGAGGCTAAAACCTACTGGGCTGCATTCCCAAATGGCTAAAGCATTCTAAGTCACAGGATGAAATAGGAGGTCAGCAAAAGACACAGGTTATAAAGACTTTGCTGATAAAACAGGTTGCAGTAAAGAAGCTGGCTAAAACCCACCAAAACCAAGATGGCGATGAGAGTGACCTCTGGTGGTCCTCACTGCTACACTCCCACCAGCACCATGACAGTTTACAAATGCCATGGCAACATCAGGAAGTTACTCTACACGGTCTAAAAAGGGGATTCACCTCTTGTTTAGTATATAATTTTTAAAAACCCATAAAAATGGGCAATCAGCAGCCCTCAGGGCTGCTCTGTCTATGGAGTAGCCATTCTTTTATTCCTTTACTTTCTTAATAAGCTTGCTTTCACGTCACTCTATGGACTCACCCTGAATTCCTTCTTGCACAAGATCCAAGAACCCTCTCTTGGGTTCTGGATCCGGACCCCTTTCCTGTAACAGTAATAGCTATTTCACATTTTTTAAGTGTCACATTAAATGGACTAATAAATTCTAAATACTTAATCTGGTATTTGGCCTAAAACACTATGATTTACTTATTTATACTCCCCTCTCTGCTCCATATCCTGTTTTCCCTAGCTAGATATATATGTTGTTTCAAAAGAATTTAAAAAGGGATGCCTTTTACATATTGTTTGTTTTCTTCTCTTCAAATTCTTCAAATTCTTTCTCTAAATTGCCCAGTAACTCCAAATTCTTTGCTTATCTACCTATCTAGAATTTTTTTGTTAAGGGAAAACAATAAATGTTGTTAAAGTGATGTCTAATTGTTTCCTTGCAGCCAAAACCAACTCAACTGCTACATCGTTTTTCTTTGAATCTTTAAATAATTTCAATTTGGATCAAGTCCAGATAAGTGGAGGTTAAAGGCATATTCGTTAAGGAATTGATCAGAGGTCCTCCACAGACTCCAACCCAGTGATTCTTGCCATGGCTGCACCTTGTGACCCCCTGAAAACCTCTACTGATGCCTTTAAGAATCAAGAGCCTTTAGGGGCTGGCGCGGTGGCTCGCGCCTGTAATCCCAGCACTTTGGGAGGCTGAGGCAGGTAGATCACCTGAGGTTAGGAGTTCGAGACCAGCCTGGCCAACATGGAGAAACCCTGTCTCTACTAAAAATACAAAAATCAGCCAGGTGTGGTGACAACACGCCTGTAATCCCAGCTACTCAGGAGGCTGAGGCAAGAGAATCCCTTGAACCCGGGAGGTGGAGGTTGCAGTGAGCCGAGATCGCGCCACTGCACTCCAGCCTGGGCAACAGAGTGAGACTCTGTCCAAAAAAAAAAAAAAAAATCAAGAGTCTTTAAACATTTCACATCATTTGACTCAGAAATTCCACTTTAGGAATCACTCTATCCTAAGAAAATAGACAGATGTGGACAAAGATATATGCCCAAAGTAGCGCACTTATTTTTATATATATAAAAAGCATCTTTGAAGTCAATTAGAGGCATAGGGAATGATGGTATAAAATATGTATCTTTAAACTACTGCAGATGCTTTAAAAATTAGACTTACACTATGGTGTTAGAAGTCAGGATACCAACACCCTTGGGGTAAAGATAGTGACCAGGAGGGGGCATCAAGAAGGCTTGTGAGGTGCTGGTCATATTCCATTTCTTCATCTGGGTGCTGGATGTTTGTGTGTATTTACTTTGTGAAAATTCATCAAGCTGTATTCTTTTGATATATATATTTGTTAAAAATGATGGCAAAATACACCTAACATAAACTTTATCATGTTAATCAGTTTAAGTTACAGTTTAGTAATGTTAAGTACATTCCCATTGTTGTGATACCAATCTTTTCATCTCGCAAAACTGAAACTCCAAGCTCATTTAACAACTCTCTTTCCTCCCTCCACCTCAGCTCTGGCAACTGCCATTCTACTTTCTGTTTCTATGAATGGGACGACTCCAGGTGCCTCATATAAGTGAAATTATACAGTATTTACCTTTTGGGGAACTTATTTCACTTGGTATAAAGGCCTTACGTTTTATCCATGTTATAGCATAGATCAGAATTTCCTTCCTTTTTAAGGCCAAATAATATCCTATTGAATGGGTGTACCACATTTTGTTTATCCATTCATCTATCAATGGACATTTGGGTTGCTTCCACCTTTTGGCTGTTGTGAGTGATGCTACTATGAACATGAGTATACAAATATCTCTTTGAGACCCTCTTTTAATTCTTTTGTGTATATATCCAGAAGTGGAATAGCTAGAGATATATGCACGTTTTATATGTTTGTTATACTTCAATAAAATATAACTTAAAAAATACTGATTCCTGAGTTTCACCTCTAAATATTCTCAGTAAATGGTCTGGAGCCATGAGTCCTGGGCATTAGAGTTTGCAAAGCCTCCTTAGGGATTCTTACATGAAACCAAAGTTGAGAACCCCTAACTCAAAAGATGCATTTAGTACATTTTCACAGACTACTTGGAGAGGGCTGTGCAGAAGTAGGCATCAGGGCCAATGTGTCCAGTCTTCACATCAGCTTTTGCGTTGTGGCTTTTCTGACCCAGCTCTATCCCTTCAATCTTTTAACTGAGAATCATTCTCCTCACAGGGTAAACTGGACCATGTGTGTCGGTCAATGTTTATGCCTCCCATCATTTGCAGGTAGGGGAGATGACACACCTGGGTCCTCATGTCAGCCCTTGCCACAGTGAGTGGACAGGGCTGGTCTTTCTACCCATAGCACAAGTAGGTAGATGCCTCCATGATGAGATGAAAGGAATAGCCAGGAGAGCCTCCCCAACACACAAATACACACACATACACACACACATTTTCTCCTAGTGGCTACCCAAGAGTCTTCACCTCCTTTTTTTGCCTCACTTAAAGTCCTGACAACAAGTGAGAACCACTTTTAAAAGCCAACTGGCCCTTGCAGGGTTATACATGCACTATCAGCTATTCAAACCATATTGTGAGTTAGTTCAAAGAGATGCTTTTCAATAATACAGCTGGGATATCAGAACATGAAAGCAGGGTTTTCCAGCCCAGTACTGTTGATGTTTTGGGCTTGATAATTCTTTGATGTGGGAAGCTGTCCTGTGCATTGTAAGACATTTAGCAACATCTCTGGCCTCCAACCACTAGAGATGTCAGGAGCACTCCACCCTCAGTTGTAATCACTAAAAATGTCTCCAGACATAGTCAAATGTTTCCTTATTGATGGAAGAAAAGAGGAAGAAGAAATGTTGCAACACAGAAAATTTAGAGGCAGTTGGGCCTGGAAAAGATTGATATCCTCTTACTTCTCATGATCCACTTGTGTCTCAGCCCCAGAAAACCCTCCTTCCTGTTATGGGAATGAGAGACAGGTGCACCATGGGAAATAAGGCACTAAAGACAAAGTCCAAGTGTTACAAAAGAGTGTCTTGCGCCTACATGGAAGCTGTGTAATTTGGCACTGATTGCTCTCCTCCCAGCTTCCTTACTGCCTCCAAAATGTGAAATGTTGTGAGGTTAGGACTTATTATGGAAACCATTCTGCCCCACCCCGTCCCCACAAAAATATTACCAGCTTTTCATGATGACAAAGCTACCTCTTGTGAATGCCATAAATGTGGGTAATTCATTGACACACATCTTGTCATTTATCACATTTAAAATCATATTACATATTTCCAGAGTTTTAAAATTTAAATTTGCAGCTGGGCACAGTGGCTCATGCCTGTAGTCCCAGCTCTTTAGGAGGCTGAAGCAGGAGGATCGTTTGAGCCCAGGAGTTCAAAACTGGGCAACTTGGTGAGCCTGCATATCTACAAAAGATTTTAAAAATTACAGAAAATTTAAATTTGTCCCAATTCTAAAGGACTCTGTGTTGCTAACGTGGAGGTGTTTTTTTTTTTTTTTGAGATGGAGTCTTGCTCTGTAGCCCAGGCTGGACTGCAGTGGTGCGATCTCGGCTCACTGCATGCTCCGCCTCCCGGGTTCACGCCATTCTCCTGCCTCAGCCTTCAGATTAGCTGAGACTAGGCGCCGCCACCACGCCCGGCTAATTTTTTGTATTTTTAGTAGAGATGGGGTTTCACCTTGTTAGCCAAGATGGTCTCAATCTCCTGACCTCGTGATCCGCCCGCCTCAGCCTCCCAAAGTGCTGGGATTACAGGCGTAAGCCACTGCGCCCAGCCACGTGGAGATATTTTTAAGCACTACATACAGATGGAAAGCAGAGGAACAGTGCTGGCTGAGAGCTGAGCTCTGCTTTCAGGGGAGACCCTGAACCTCTGACCCAGACTTCCAGCCACTCTCTTCCTCTCGGACTCTTTTTTTTTTTTTTTTTTTTTACCTTGGAGCAGGAATCTTAAAGGCAGCCACATGCAGTGGCTCACGCCTGTAATCCCAGCACTTTGGGAGGCCGAGGCGGGTGGATTGCCTGAGATCAGGAGTTTGAGATCAGCCTGGGCAACATGGTGAAATTCCGTCTCTACTAAAAACACAAAAAATTAGGGGGGCATGGTGGTACATGACTGTAGTCCTAGCTACTTGGGAGGCTAAGGTAGGACGATCGCTTGAGCCCGGGATGTCGAGGCTGCAGTGAGCGGAGATTGTGCCACTGCACTCCAGCCTGGGTGACAGACGGAGTCCCTGTCGGGGGAAAAAAAAAAAAAAAAGAATCTTAAAAGCTACTTTCCAGGACCGTCTCTAACTGACAGAGCCTGTTTCACGCCTTTTTCTTCTTCCATTCTGTCCTCTTCACCTGCGGCTTCTGCTTTATTAGGGTTATGGGGCCCTAAGCCCCTCTTTTGTGAGGAACATTCAGCCAACACTTTGTTGCAGGCAGGGGAGTCGGCTGGCCTGAAGGTGCAGACACCACCCCAAGCTCCAGTGTCCTCTGGCCGCTGCTCCGCCAGCTCAGCTCATGACCCTCACGGGCAGCCGTCTTGCAAAGAAAGGCGATGAGTAAACAAAGCATTTGCCACAGGAGTTTGGCTCAGATTTAATAGAGGACGTGTGCAGTCTTTCAGTGTTCCTCGGCCCACAAGCTTTAACCACTGTACAAACTGATTTAGAACACTAAAGCTCCACTGTTTGTTTAGTGACTTTATTGACTCAATTCCCGCCTCTCAGGCAGGTGGCCCCGGCAGGCAGCCCCGTCATTGTTCTGACTGGGTTCTCCTCAGTGACACCGTGGCCTTCCTGCTGAGAGTTCCTTTCTTTATTTCATTTTTTCTGGTCCTTAAAAAGTTGGGCAATCAAGTCACAGTTACAGGTGTAGTGTTTCATTTTGAAAGAGGTTTAATTCACTCCAGTCAGCATTTGCAGCGGTCAAATTGGGTTTGTGGTGTAATACGGACTTTTCCACTTTCCCCTTGGCTAAAGCGAAGGGCTGATTTCCTGGGTGACCGTGAGGAGTGCCGTTACTATTGTGGCGTATTAACTCTTTCTGAACCTCGGGCCTCATTTGTCAGTGGCTTTCAAGGTGCCCTAATGTATAATTAAGATATACAGTAAGACAGATGCAAAGCGTTTGCAAACTTCCTGTGGTGCCTGGCTCCACTATTGATTTGGCCCAAAACAAAAAATATTTTCATTGTTCATTGCAAGAACAACATCATTTATTAAACATACACTGTGCAAAGTACATTGTCTAGTGAGGTTTTTCCTTAGATGCATTGGCTTCTTTGAGCATCACCATAAACTTTTGTGCTGGGTATTACTGCTGTCTTTTATCAGACAGGGACAGTGAGGACCGGAAAGGTGAAGTGGCTTGCCCACAGTCCCTTCATGTCTGGAGGCAGAGCAGGAATGTGATCCAAGTGACCTGACCACTTCCACTCATCAAGGAGAAAAGGAATTCCCACAGGCTTTAAAAGGCGGTCACAGTCACATGAGTGGTCTGGTGAGCTATGCCTATAGTGGCACAAGTGGGTTTGCTGGGCTCGTGCCTCTCAGAGGCCACTTGGCAACTTCTCCCGGTGGCACAGCGCTGTCCTTGGACAACTACCTCAAGCTTTCTCATCAGAGGACAGAGCTCTTGTGTCACCTGATCTTGTTGCCGGTAAGGAAGTTGGGAGCAGCATATATGCACACACATTCTCTCAGACACACAGCCACATGCCCATTCACACAATGCACATTTGCATAACCACACGCACACTATCAGGCACACAGACATGCACACTCACACATTCACTCGGACACACACATACACTCTCAATACACTCATACATATACCCACGCACCTGTCCACCCTCGATACACTCATAACCCACACACCTGTCCACCCTTGATACACTCACACATACACCCACACACCTGTCCACCCTCGATACACTCACACACACACCTATCCACCCTTGATACACTCACACATACACCCACACACCTCTCCACCCTCGATACACTCACACATACACCCACACACCTGTCCAACCTCGGTACACTCACGCATACAACCACACACCTGTCCACCCTCGGTACACTCACACATACACCCACATACCTATCCAACCTCGGTACACTCACATAGACACACACACCTATCCAACCTCGGTACACTTACGCATAGACTCACACACCTCTCCACCCTCGATACACTCACACATACACCCACACACCTGTCCACCCTTGGTACACTCACACACTCATTCCCACTTTCATTTATACAATCATGCATGCACGCATGATACATCACTCACATATGCTCACAAATGCACTCATGCAGTTACAACCCCCCATGTGCACAAATTCATACCCATACACTCATTCATACTTTCACTCACACATACATGCACATTCATTAACCCACAAACTCACACACATGCACTCACATTCACACACACACTCCTGCATGTGTACATCTCTTGCTTTCCTGCATAGAAACTGAGTACACACTGGGGTGCAAGATCAGGAGGCCAGCACCCAATATAATAAACTGCCAGAGAGGCGGGTGGTGTGCTGTGAGGTTTTGTGACTTTCCAAGGCCACTTGAAATAATCTGAGAATTTACAGCAAGGACAGGGAATTGTTGTAAAGAAAATTGGTCTGTATTCTAACATTAATTGCCCCCAGCCTTCATGAATCAGATTTTTGGCACCAGCACCTTAGCTCAAAGCATACCCTTTGAGGCCTCATGCATTAGCTCTGAGACCTTGAGCAAGCAGCCTACCTTCTCTTTGCCTCTATTTCCTTATCTGTAAAATAGGGATAATAACAGTGCTTGCCTTATAGTTATGAATATTAAACAAGCCAGTATATGCCAAGCTGGTGGACCAGGGCATGCACAAACTGATTGTGAACAAATGTGTTCACAATCCGTGGGGTTTTAATGGCTTGGGTTGGCCTACCATTATGAACCAGTAACAATGGGTACTAAAGACACACATTAATTTTGAGACTTCATTATGGAAATGAGGTCTCAGGAGAGATGAACCAAGCTTTGAGGACTTTCTGTCCTAGTGGCTCAATCTATGTAAACTTTCATTTGAAAAACTTTCAAGGCAGAACAGGGATTTTTCCTTCTGAGTCTCAGAGCCGTTTTGACTCCCTTAGGCAGTGAATCACCATCTGCCACCTGGGTCAGATAGGGAGAATCACAGACTGCTGGAAAGATCAGGATTGGCACTTTGCTATCTCCCAAACCCTCAGTTAAAGGAATCCTCATCTTGTGAGAATTTTGCAAAACCCAATTGGAGAAGGAGCCACGCAACAAATAAAAATCTTATTTTTGGGCTCGGCTTACTTGTAAGTAGGTAGAATCTATGAATCAACGCATTTAATCTGTGATTCAAACAGATCTCTTTGGCCAGGTGCAGTGGCTTATGCCTGTAATCCCAGCACTTTGGGAGGCTAAGGCAGGTGGATCATGAGGTCAGGAGTTTGAGACCAGCCTGGCCAACATGGTGAAACCCCATCTCTACTAAAAATACAAAAATTATCTGGGTGTGGTGGTGTGTGCTTGTAATCCCAGCTACTGGGGAGGCCGAGGCAGGAGAATCGCTTGGACCTAAGAGGTGGAGGTTGCAGTGAGCTGAGATCGCACCACTGCACTCCAGCCTGGGTGACAGAGCAAGACTCCATCTCAAAAATAAAATAAAATAAAATAAAATAAAAGCTCTCCTTTTGAAAGTTATAGAAGAAACTGAAATTATTTTAATTAAGAGTAGTCAGACCCATGACACTATTTTGTTCTATTTCTTTCCTTTGATCAGGTCTGGGATCATTTTTCAAATCTTCCAATCATTATCTTAGTCACCTCCCCACCTTCCTTTTCCTGTGTGTTCATCTGCTCAGGCACCCTGGCAGTGGTTGCTTTGTTAACAGCCCTGGGCCACACCTTCTCTCTCCTTTGCTCTGTGGTGGTCTACGTCTTGATTCCATGTGAATGGCTCCTTTCAGAAAGTCCCACCATAATCAAACCAACTACACGTGGTTCCTCTCTTTTCCAACCCACCTCCCACCCAAGTTAGGCCAATGCCTGATCAGAAAGGCACTATTTATTCGCCTTAGAATTTCAACTATTTCCTTATCAGAGCACTCATCTCATCAAAGGAGAGACCAAAAAGAGGCTATTTTATAGTCTGTGGAAGTAAAAGTTCTTCTCTCTCCTTCATCCTCTAAGAGATAAATGGAGATTACGCAAGTGATTTTCCTTTATAATTTGCTTTTTGTTTAAAATTTCCCCCATGTTTACAAAATAATTCCTATCTATGCCTAGAGAATTATTGGAATGAGAGTCACTGAATGCTAATAATAGTTACTTAGGGAGGTGGCATCCAGGGTGATTTTTATTTAAGATACTGGTTCCTGCTCTTTAGTTTTCTGTATTGATTGACTTAAAAATGAACATGTAAAGTTTCGTTAAAAAATAAGGCCATTTAAAACATTTTTTTTTTTGGTTTATCTTAGAGATGGGAGTCTCTTTATGTTGCCCAGGCTGGACTCGAACTGCTGGGCTCAAATGATCCTCCCCGCTCAACCTCCAGAGCAGCTGGGACTACAGGCGCACATGACCATGCCTGGCTTAAAAGAAAGCCATTTTAAGAAGGAATTTTTAAAAGCACACACACAGCAACAATGCCGTACTTTTTCAAATGATTTTGTGTGTGTGTTAGTTTCTGAATACCTCACTCAGCAGACCAGTTAACCTTACAGGCCATGTTAACACATTTCTTCTCAAGCTCCGTTCAAGGCACGTTTTGAAGGCAAAAAGAAAGTTTCTATGGATGTGGAGGAAATATTCCCCTTCATTTCAGAAGGCATAGTTGAATTATATTATCAGCTCAGGAAGCCTTTGTAAAATGTACCTAATGGGCTTTTTTTTTTTTTTTTTTTTTAGATTTAGATTTTTTTTTTTTTGATCAAACTTCTTTAAAGACAACCAAAATGGTCAGTTGGGAAAACTGTTCAGAGGTTACAGCATGTGGGCTCTTCCCAGCATCTTTAAAAAGAAAGAGACTAGCCAGGTGTGGTGGTGCATGCCTATAGTCTCAGCTACTCGGTAGGCTGAGGCAGGAGGACCATTTGAGCTCAGGAGTTCGAGGCTGCAGTGAGGTATGATCGCTACACTGCACTCCAGCCAGGGTGACAGAGCAAGAGCACATCTTTAAAAAATTAATAATAACTAATAAAATAATTTAAAAGAAAGTGAGTCCTGCTATAAATAAATGTCAGTTTTCCCTTGTTGAGCATCACCAGCTACGCTTTGGATATGCATTCTTGGAGTTGATTTCAACTTTTTTTTCTTTTTTTGAGGAGCATGCTTAGATTTCAACTTTTAACTGAAGTGTAATATGCATGGAAAAGTGCAGATATCATAAATATACAACTCAATTAATTTTTAAACTAAACATTCTTGTATAACCATCACTCAGATCAAGAAACAGAATCTTATACACCTGTGTATCTACAAAGATTTAAAAAATAAAAAAGGGGGAAAAAAGAATCAGTATACAATATATTAGTGCCCCAGAAGTGCCCCTCATATCTTCTTACAATCACTAACCCCCCACCTCCTCCCCAAGGGTAACCATAATCTTTTTATTATTATTATTATTACTAAGTTTATTTTCATTGTCTCAGGTCTGCTGAACTCTGGATCCAGGCTGTGTCAATAGGGTAGTGTGATGCCTCCTGTACCTATCTGTGCCTCCTATAGTCCTTTCTATTTTATTTCATTTTTGATAGTAGAGACAGGGTCTTGCTCTGTTGCCCAGGCTGGTTTCAAATTCCTGGGCTCAAGCAATCTTCCTGCCTCAGCCTCCCAGAGTGCTGGGATTGCAAGTGTGAGTCACCACATCCAGCTAAGTCCTTTCCCATCTCCCAGGAAGACTATGAGAGAGATTTGGGACCCAAGTTGATAATATCAAATACACTGAACTTGACTGTGTTCACCGTGTTCTGGCTCTAGAGAAATGAGAGTTGCTAGTGAGGGCGGTGCCATTCTGTGTATCTTCTGTACCTTGAAAGTCTCTCAGAAATCTTGCCCCTGGTCTTCTTGTTCTAAGGACACAACAGCTTCCCTTTTTCTCTGGAGATGAAATCCAGATCTTTGATTTTGGAACCAAATTTGGACTCTTGACTCTGGAACACTAATTTCTTTAGCAAGTTGTTTCCTGGAATCAATCCTAAGGTATGGGTTTTTCAAAAATGCCTTGATGAGAGTGCATAATTGAGAGGCGCCGTAGGTGGTACAACACTGTCTGGCTTCGCTACTTTGAAACTCTGCACCAGGTTGATCTTGTCCATGGCTCTGGCTTGATTCTAAAGTCTCTGGTTCTGGTCTTTTCTGGAATCCATGCCTAGCTCTTCAATTCTGAAACCAAATTTGGATTCTTGACTCTTCTGTATTGATTTATAAAGCAAGGTTTTGTTTGGTAGAATAACCTGAGCAAGGTTTTGGATCGAATGTAGTGGTGAGGATTTTCAATTGTTCTGTGAGTTTGGTGCGACTGCACCTATAATTTGTTGCTACCATCTTGTGTGAAGAGGTGTCTTTGGTCATGCTGGAAGAGAGTCCTGGAAGCTGAAGTAATGTGTTGGAGACCCATGATCTCAAATTCTTAGTTTTGCCAGTTTTGTACTTTATGTAGGTGCAGTATTGACTGTTTCCTGTCTAGCTTTTCGTTCAAACTCATGCTTGTGAAATTCATCTAATTTTGCATGTAATTATAGATAATTCATTTTCTTTTTTGTATGGTATTCTGTGCAAATATATTACAATTTATTTATCCATGCTACTGTACATGGTCGTTTGGGTAATTTCAGTTTTGAGCTATTATAATTAGTACTATGCACATCTAGTACATCACTTTTGGTAAACATTGTAAACATTTCTGTTGGGTATGTGCATAGGAGCAAAATAGGGTATGCAAATGTTTAGCTTTGCTAGATACTACTCAACAGTTTTCTGAAGTAGTTGTACCAATTTACCACCAGCCATACATGAGTCCCAGTGGAATTGGAATAGAAATGTAGAATTTTAATTTTTATAAGATTTGTGCTGAATGGTAACTGTGGAGATACCCTGAGCCCAAAGATGATGAGGCAGAGGAGTTTTTCCAAAAAGTTCGAATCACCATTACTTTTTCACATTCATTTTCAGGTCAAAACATCCCTGCATGTCAGGTGTGCTGGTGCATGCCTGTAGTCCCAGCTACTCAGGAGGCTGAGGCAGGAGAATTGCTTGAGCCCAGGAGTTTGAGGCTGCAGTGAACTATGATCACACCACCGGACTCCAGCCTGGGTGACAAGGTGAGACCCTGTCTCTAAAAAAACAGTGAAATAAATAATAATAATGATAATCATAATAAATCCCTGTAAAATAGACAGAGGTATGCCTTATGCCGTTTTCTCTTGAAGCTGAGGAAATAAGACAAAAGAGATCAAAATGTTTTTTCTAAGAGCCCTACTAATCCTGTATTTCCCACTCTAGCTCCAGAGCTTTGATTTTAGGTGCATGTGCCTACCTGTGAATTTGTTACAGAAAAGGCATGCTCAGGCTGAGGCTGGCATTTCTATAACATTGCTAGTTTCAAACAACAAGTTTGAATGCCATGAACCCTCATAGCATGTGAGGGTTTATTCAGCTGACAATTAGCCAGGTAGAAGGGGCATATTCAAAAACTCACTTGCCTGAACTTGGAGCTTTTCTGACAGTTTTTTCTTTGTTTGTTTTCGAGACAGAGTCTCACTCTGTCACCCAGGGTGGAGTGCAGTGGCATGATCTCAGCTCACTGCAACCTCCACCTCACAGGTTCAAGTGATTCTCCTGCTTCAGCCTCCCGAGTAGCTGGGATTACAGGCATGCGCCACCACGCCTGGCTAATTTTTTTGTATTTTTAAGTAGAGACAAGGTTTCACCATGTTGGCCAGGCTGGTCTCGAACTCCTGACATCAGGTGATCTGCCCACCTCGGCCTCCCAAGGTGCTCAGATTACAGGTGCTGACAGTTTTAAATGGAAAAAGGAGCCTGTCCAGGTTTCCTAGCCTGGTTTCTCATCAGACTCAGCTGGGCGGCTTTTTAAGCTACAGGTTTCCCCATCCCCACTCAAGGACAATTGAATTGAGGTCCTCGGAATTGGGACTTGGGAATCTGTATTTTATAAAGTTCTCAAGCGGTTCTGATTTAACTGGAGGCCAACAGCAAACCTTTGATTGGAATCACTGTTGCTCTCAGTTTTTTAAAGAGGATAACCATCCAATACACTTAACCGAAATCCTGAGAACAAGAAGAGAAAATAAATTTAAAATCAGACTTTCCCCCCTTCTTTACAGCATTCTATCAAAATACAGTGTTTTGGGCGTCCGGCTTCCTTCTGCAACAGACGTGGGTCACGCTCTCTCTGGCTCTCTTTCTGCCGCCATCTTGATTCCACGTTCCCTCCACAAAATGCCTGGCGAAGCCACAGAAACCGTCCCTGCTATAGAGCAGCAGTTGCTGCAGCCCCAGGCTGAGACAGGGTCTGGAACAGAATCTGACAGTGATGAGTCAGTACCAGAGCTTGAAGAACAGGATTCCACCCAGGTAACCGCACAAGTCCAGTTGGTGGTAGCAGCTGAAATTGATGAAGAACCAGTCAGTAAAGCAAAACAGAGGCGGAGTGAAAAGAAGGCACGGAAGGCTAGGTTCAAACTGGGTCTTCAACAGGTTACAGGAGTTACTAGAGTCACCATCCGGAAATCTAAGAATATCCTCTTTGTCATCACAAAACCAGATGTCTACAAGAGCCCGCTTCGGATACCTACATGGTTTTTGGGGAAGCCAAGATTGAAGATTTATCTCAGGAAGCACAACTAGCAGCTGCTGAGAAATTCAAAGTTCAAGGTGAAGCTGTCTCAAACATTCAAGAAAACACACAGACTCCAACTGTACAAGAGGGCAGTGAAGACGAAGAGGTCGATGAAACAGGTGTAGAAATTAAGGATATAGAATTGGTCCTGTCACAAGCAAATGTGTGGGGAGCAAAGGCAGTCCGAGCCCTGAAGAACAGTAATGATATTGTAAATGCTATTATGGAATTAACAATGTAACCATCTGAAAGCAACTTTTTTGGTGTCTCAGATGAGTAACTGCAGCTTGGTTTGAAATTTGTACTGTTTCTATCATAAATAAAGTTATGGCTTCTTGTTGGATGAAAAAAAAAAGACAGTATTTTGCCAAATTAAACAGAAAAGAGAGTTCAGTGGAAGATGGCTCTGATTTCAGGGTAATAATAATGGTAGGTAACAATTAAATGGCATTTAAAAATTTGCTGAATGCTTGCTACGAGCGGTGGCTCATGCCTGAATCTCAGCACTTTGGGAGGCCAAGGCAGGCAGATCATCTGAGGTCATGAGTTCGAGACCAGCCTGGCCAACATGATGAAACCCTGTCTCTACTAAAAATACAAAAATTAGCTGGGCATGGTGGTGCACACCTGTAATCCCAGTTACTCAGGAGGCTGAGGCAGGAGAATCACTTGAATCCAGAAGGCGGAGGTTGCAGTGAGCTGAGATTGCACCACGGCACTCCAGCCTGGGTGACAGAGTGAGACTCTGTCTCAAAAAAAAAAAAAAAAAATTGTTGAATGCTTTCACATATTTTATTTCACTTAATCACTCAAGATCTCTTTAAGGTAGACATAATAATCCTCAATCTACAGAAGATGATATTGAGGCTTGGGGGTTAAATGCCTCATCTAAGGACACACATGCATGAAATGGCATAACTAGGACACAAACCCAAGTCTCCTGATTCCAAATTTTACCTATTTCTCACTATCCCCCAGTGCTCTGGGAGTCAGGAAGCTCCCTCAAGGCCAACAGGAATTGAGTGTTTTGACAACTTTGAATGAGCGCCATGAGTCTAACTGGACTCCATTCCATTTGCCTCCCCTCCCTTTCTTTGCTCTTCTCCCTTCCTTCAATATCCTTTTAGTGTCTCCCAAGCAACAGGTCATTTGCAATGTGGCAGGGAACCAGAGATTAAAGAAAAAGTCCTTACCCTAAAAAAATTCATAGTTTAGTGGGGAGATAGACAAATCATTGTGTGGTGATGCACTAAACGTCAACCCAAATAGGTCAAAATGGGAAGGGAAAATTATGCCCTGATCACCCATCCAAGTGGCCATGTAAATTTATAAGAAGGCTACATTCCCAAAGGTAAGAAGAACTTGCTTTGATGTACTCTCACTTCAAAGGAGGCTGTTTTATTTGGAAACAATTCCTCTGCCTTCAATATCCTATGAGTATATCCCTCAAAATGTGTGTTTAGATCTTTAATTCTATAACATGTGTTTACCTTTTCCTGATTAAATTCAGAAGAATGCCATCTTATTAGTGGTTCATTTGCATACTCTTTCAGGAATGATCAATGTTCAAAGAGGTATAGGGGCCTTAAAGAAGTATGGGAGGGCCAGGAGTGGTGGCTCACACCTGTGATCCCAACACTTTCAGAGGCCGAGGCAAACAAATCATGAGATCAGGAGTTCGAGACCAGCCTAGCCAGCATGGTGAAACCCCGTCTCTACTAAAACAAAACAAAACAAAACAAAACAAAACAAAACAAAACAAAACAGCATAGGGATAGGCTTAGAGATTTCTTTCTAGGTCGTGTGTATAGGAAAAACAACTTCCAAGATGCTAGGGAAGTAATTCTGTTTGTAGTCAGCAACCAGGCTGGATAGAGCATGGGTAGGTAGATGAGTGTGTTCGCAGGTGTGTGGCAGAGGTCAGTAGCAGACAAATTTTCCAACATACTACTTCAATAATTGTCTTCATTAGTAGCAATAAAGTATACATGTTGCTTTCAAACACCTAAGAATTATTCGACAATAATAAATAGTTGCTAGGTGCTCCCTGGGTACCAGCAGCTTCTTAGGCACAGGGTCCATAGTGGAAAAGGAGACAGATACGTTCCTGCTCCATGCTTCTCCAAATAGACTACTGATGACCAATCAAACATTCCTAGAAAATTGAGTGTGAGCATTGCTCTTAAATCTAACACTTTCCATCATTGCTTAACCCACTTGACATTTCTGAAGCCTCACACACTCTTGATGGCCCATTTCTGAGTATTAGTCTCCTTCTCATCTTCATTATGTCCCCTCTGAGCAATTGTGACATCCTCTCCCCTTCCCTCTCTGCACCAGGGTCTCCAACTTTGAATCCAGTCTCATCTTTCAGTTTTCCATCGATGTTATCTTTGTTCTCCTTTCCAACTATAAATAACGATAACTGACAATTGCATGGGCTTTTAAAACATTTACAAAGAAAGTTCCATCCATTATCTGAATCAAAAATCATTGAAAGCCTCATTGAGTCCTGGCCCCAGCCCTCAAGGAGAGCGCTGAGGTTCATCCGAGACAACACAATCATCGTGTGATGGACTCACACTGTCTTCTAATCCTTGATTCTGGTTCTTTCTGTTTCATGGGGGTTCCTAGGAAGCACACCTTGGGATGAAGGTTCACATGTAGGAGGTTTATAAGGAATATTTTTGGGGCCAGTGCCTGTGGAAAATAAGGGGAGGAAGCAGGATTGGGCAGAGGAAGAAGTCGCGCTGCAGTACAATCTCAAAGAAAGTCTCATTTGACCTGACTTAGAATTCTGAAGATGGGATGACTCTCCTGAACTGTCTGCTTGTGAAGTTAGACTGACAGCTGAGGGTCGTGGGCTGGCAGCACCCTCAGCAGCGAGGGGGGTGAGTCCTTCAGTCGTGGATGGGCATCTGGGTAGTGCATCATGGCATCCACAACACGATTCCTCATGCATGACATTCACTCAACATAAATGACTTGACTTGCTGTCTTGAGCCTCAGTATCTAGAGCAGGGAGCTCATGGAGAAGGGAAGCTGAGTGCCTGGGGCCAGGACCACTACCCTTGGTGGAGGCAGAGCAAAAAAAGAGGCTAGAATGAGTCTGATCAAATCCCAGCAGATAAATGAGCAAAGGCCGAGGTCAGAGCAAAGCAGGCAACCATATTTCCTACCTCAAGTGTTTTCTATTTTATTTTATTTTATTTTTTTTACAGATTCCCACAAAGGCTGTCCTGGAAATTCACCAACATCACCGCTAAAATGTCTAACCACATTGTCAACTGTGCTGCCTGGTCAAGGACTGAGGACCTGTCTCAGAGTGATCTTCCTTAATCACAGATCTAGTCATGACCTGGTTTTGCTCAAAATGTTTCAATGGCTCCCGATTGCCTGGAGAATGAATTTCAAATTTCTAAGTAGACTCTTCCAGCTCTTCAAACCTATCCTCATCAGCCTCTCTAGCACCATCTCTGGTGACTCCTCTTGTGGCCCTGGGAGAGCCACACCAGGCTGCTGTTCTCATCTCCTTCAAATGGGCAGCCTGTTGTCCTAGCCCTGTGGCTCTGCCTTTGCTGATCCTGTCACTTGAATGATCCTCTCTCTCTTCTGGGTCTGGTAAAATCTCTCTTCTGTAAAGCTGTTGAGAATGCCTCCTCCATATCCAGCTGTAAGTAATCACTCTTTCTGAATGCTTTGTTTATACTGTTATAGTAGCACTTAGCAAACTTTACTGCACTTCACTGCATGCAAATCTGATAGGTCACTCTGATAGAATGTAAACTCCGTGAAGGCCAGCCTGGGCTCCTCCATGTCAGCAGAGCTCCATAAATACTTTAATGTTTTAAATGAGTAATGAATAAACCGTTTTAAAAAATACTTTCTCTTTTACTCCTATCAGATCTTTCCAGGAAGGATAAGCTGGAGAAAAATTGTTTCTACTGAGAATTCACTTTAATATAAGGCTCCCTGAGAAGAGGTTCTGAAATAAACAAAATAGCTGGCACCATCATGAGATCCTAGAAATGCTCCTTGGACAAACCTGAAGGTCCTCAGGAAGTGAGGTGCCTAATGCCGTAGCCTTGGGTGATTTGCTGCGATGCTCTCTCTGTTAGAAAGAAAGTTTAAAAAATAAAAGCTTTTTTTTTTTTTTTTGAGACAGAGTTTCTGTTGTCCAGGCTGGAGTACAGTGGCACAATCTCAGCTCACTGCAACCTCTGCCTCCTGGGTTCAATTGATTCTCCCACCTCAGCCTCCTGAGTAGCTGAAATTACAGGTGCCTGCCACCATGCCTGGCTAATTTTTTTTGTATTTTTAGTAGAGATGGAGTTTTTCCATGTTGGCCAGGCTGGTCTCGAACTCCTGACCTCAAGTGATCCACCTGCCTCAGCCTCCCAAAGTGCTGGGATTACAGGCATGAGCCACTGCACCCAGCCAGAAAAGCTTTGACATACTTCTTTCAAGTGATTTTCCAATGAGAAACTCGAATATAATTAATGTGTATCAAAAGGAAATTCATAGCATCCATTTTCTCCTGTGGCTGTTACCTAGCCAGAGACCTTTGGCAACTACTATTTCAATATTCTTTACTTTGCTCTAAGACATCGATGTGATCTAATGAACAATTATGAATTTATTGACACCAGGAGACTGGGCTCTAAAAGGACAAGCAAGTGCTTTGCTAAGCAACCCTAACAATCTCTGCCGACGGAAAAAAAGACAGTCACTGCAGCCAGGAGTGCTTAACCCCACATGCTGTTCTCAAGAAGGGTCGACACAACCATCACAGAATGGGAGACCCAAATCCCCTCCCACAAAAACCTTTTGGCCACTCAGCACTTACCACGTGCCGGGCACCATGAGCTTGAGCTCCATGCTTGCAAGTCTCATGTAATCTTCACAGGAACCTAGCAGATAAGAAGAACTTTCATGACTTGCATTTTACAGATGAGGTCCTCAGAAGTTAAGGAACTGCCCAAGATCATGGGTGCTCTCAGCTGCAAGGCAGAACTGGAATAGAGTTCTGAGTAACTGAACCCCGTGCCCTAAACCTGCTCCTTGTGAACTTTACTGCATATTAGAATCATCCTGGGATTGTGGAAAGATGCAAAATAAATCAAACAACAACAAAAACAAACAAATATATGTATTGTTACATGGTGTGAGGGGCTCTCTAGAAAAACACAGCACAGAAAAAGAATAGTGATGTGTGGAGAAAGGGTAGGTTGCAATGTTAAATAATGTCAGAAAAATGGCTAGGGAAATAATCAGTGAGATTACACATTAGGAAAGATATGAAAAAAATGGGGGAGCCGTGTATGTATGTGGGGGGAGAGATACCCAGACAGGTGCTATGTGGCAGGTAAAAGGCCCCTTTGTAGAACAATTGGCCAGTGCAGCTACAGAGACTACGGGTGGAGGGTGGGGGTGGGGGGTGGGCGGAAGATGAGGTCAGAGAATCATATGAGAGTTTGTAAACCACAGTGAGACTCCTCCCCTCTTACTATGTAAGTCTACTGGTTAAATTACTGATATTCCACTTTTTACAAACATTTAAAACATATAAAACCACATTAAAAACATATCTTCAAAGTTGGAATACCTGAGCCAATGTTTGGGACAGAGAAGGGAGGGGCTGGAGAACCAGGAAAAGATGAGTGCGAGGAGCAGCAGGGCCCAGGGAGGGCTCCAGGGAGCCCCTGACCACCCAAAGCTGTCATCTCTCCTAAACTAGAAAGAGTATATCGTAGGGGCTCATTGGAAAATCTAAGCTCCCTCATTTAAAAAATAAAAATGGCACCAGGGATTTGTGTTTTCTTCCCAATGTTTCTCTTTACGAGAATTCAGCATTATTCCCCCCATTCTTGCTTAGTTTCTGCCTTGCCACCTCCTACCTGGTTTCTTGGGTTTTACTCTGCTCTTCTGCTCATGCTGTAGGCTGTTTGACCAGCCACAGTCCCTCTGTTTATCTCTTCACCTTGATCTCCGTGTCCCCACTCCTAACTCCAATTATGCTATTGTCTTGGGTGGTGGCCACATTCCTATTGTGGCCTCCGCCCCACCACATCCCTGCACCACATCCCCCTTTCACATCCTCATCCCACCCGTTTCCTGGTCTTGGTCCCTGTGGTAAACTGTTAGATTGAGGGCCCCAATAAACCACAGCGCAAAAGAGTCACAGCTTGTGTAGCACCTCCTGCATTGACTCTGGAATGGGCGATGTGACTTGCTTTGTCCAAAGAAACATTAGCAAATAGGATGCAAGCAGGAACCCCACTGGTGCCCATGCATGAAGTCATCTGCCATATTGTAATATTGCTCAGGTGGTTTCTTGAGTATTGATAGGCTGCACGGAGAGAGGCACTGAAGCATGAGATGCCACCTTGGACTATCAGCCGGAGCCAAGCTCCAGATGAAGGCAGCCGTGTGACTGCATGTGTACTGCAGCACGTGAAGCAGGAAGGCTGCCCAGTGGAGCGGGTTCAGCCCTCAGACTCATGAAAAATTAAGAAATTCTGTATGTCTGTATTTGTTTTAAGCCGCTAAGTTTTGTGGGTTTTTTGTTCGTTTGTTTGTTTGTTTTTTAAACATAGCAATAGATAAACAAAGCAATCCCCATCTCATCTGGACCAAACCTCTTACTCCCAGGCCTGGCAGACCATCTCCACATCTGTGACAGCCTGAGTTGCTGCATGTCTATGCAATTTCACTAAGACCTGCTGATCCAGCTTCACCTGAACTTGGGGTTACCACAACATCTGGCTTTGGACAGATTGGCATTTGAACTTTCTGAGCAGGAAACAAATTGAGAGAAAACTGGGTGTACAAATATTCATTACTTTCATGCTGTGTTATGACCTGTGTATGACTCTCCTCGTTCAATCCTGGGCCTACATTATATCTGTGATTCTGCTGAGTCATTGTTGGGAAATGAATTCCTACTTGCGTTGTCTATCAGCCAGTGAGCACAGTCCTTCTGGTTCCCTTTCATAAATACACTCTTTCCTCACATCCTTGAGGGTGAGAGAGTGTTGGCAGCTTCATTTATTTACTTTTCTTAACTCTTTCAAGACAAGACTCAAATTTTTAAAATTTAGTTCCAGAAATAGTTGAGAAAAGCTGATATTTTACTTTTCAGGAAGAGAGTGACTTCCTCATTTCTGAAGGACTGCTTGCACACTTCTGCTAATACATTTGCTTCTGGTGCACTCAGTGTGTGCTGAAGGGCTCAGGAATTTGGGCGGAGTGGTCTCCATTTGAAAATTGCCCACACTGTGGCCTGAGTGTTGGATCGTCAAGTGTGACGCATCTGATAGGAGAGACCCTGGACCTTGAGCCCCACAAGGGCAGTGGTGGCTGGTCTAGTCCATCACTGTATTCTCAGTCTTTAGCACAGGGCCGAACACAGAAATATGCCTAATAAATATTTATTGCATGAGTGAATAGATTACCTTTATGAGAAATGTCGTGCCTTGGAAATGATGTTCAGTATCCTGTAGGAAACCACTTATCTTGATAAGCTAAAAAAATTACAATAAAAAAGCTGCTGCTCCAAATGTGGTAAAAACAAGTTCAGTGTTTTCTTTCAATTTCTATGTCAAATGTTAGTGTGAAAACAAGTTTACTATATGACCAAGTGAACTCTGCAGAACAAGGGCCAAGTCAGTAAGCAATGAATTGTACATGTGCTTCCTCTGCATTTCATTTGAAATTTGGAAGCAAAGATAACATTTCAAAACCGGAAGTTTTTTTTCAGGACCATTTTTCCTACGAAAAGTAACATATGTTGGGCAGCAGGGTGGCTCACACCTGTATAATCTCAGCACTTTGGGAAGCCAAGGTGGGTGGATCAGTTGAGCTCAGGAGTTTGAGATCAGCCTGGGCAACATAGTGAAAGCCTGCCTCTATTCCTTCCTTCCTTCCTTCCTTTTTCTTTCTTTCTTTCTTTCTTTCTTTCTTTCTTTCTTTCTTTCTTTCTTTCTTTCTTTCTTTCTCTCTCTCTCTCTCTCTCTTTCTTTCTCTCTTTCTTTTCTTTCTTTCTCTTTCTTTCTAAGCAAAACGTGTTTGCTTTAAATGTTTTATAAAATACAGAGAAGTAAAAGTGAACAAAATTAAAATGACCTCTAAAAACAATTTTTTAAAATTGCTGCCTATCCTAACTGTATACAACAAAAGTGAGATCACAATATTTCACAATCTACTTTATTCCCTTACCAATATTTCATATATCACTTTTCATTTTGCTGAATATTCTCTCACTTTATCATTTTTAATGGGTAAATTGTGTTCCTCTACTCTGTTTAGTGTGGTGCCAAATGTTTATTAACCTTCTCTAATTTTGGATATTTATATAGTTCACTTTTTTTTGGCTATTATAAACAATGCGATAATAAACATACTTGTAAAAACATCTTTGCATGTATCCATGATTATTTCCCAAGGCCAAATTCTAAGAAATGAATTTCCTGAGTTGAGTGGTTTCCATTTAAGTCTTTTGATACATATTGTTAAATTTCTCTCTGGAAAAATAGCCCCTTTTCTATACCTCACACATAACTCCTGCACACTCATCATTCACCACTGATTATTATTATTATTATTATTGCTTTTGGGGTTTGTTGTTGTTGTTGTTGTTTTGAGACAAGGGCTCACTTTGTTGCCCAGGCTGGAGTGCAGTGATGTTATCTCAGCTCTCTGCAATCTCAGCTTCCCAGGCTTAGGTGATCCTCCCACCTCAACCTCCTGAGTAGCTGGGACTACAGGCATGTGCCACCCTGCTAATTTTTTTTAGAGATGGGGTCTCACTATGTTGCCCAGACTGGTCTTGAAATCCTGAGCTCAAGCAATCCACCTTCCTCAGCTTCCCAAAGTCCTGGGATTACAAGTGTGAGCCACCATGCCTAGCTGCTTTTGGTTTTATTGTAAGTATAATCATGGGTGAAAATAAAAGCTCGTATTTGAAAACTCTGTGTTGTCAGTGAGATTAGACATTACTCTATTTCTTGGATTATTAGTGAGATTGGGTATTTTAATATGTTTATGAACCATTTATGTATCGTGCTTTTGCAAGTGCCAGTACACGTCTTGTGGCTATTTTTTTCTATTGGAATGTTTTCCTTTTATGTATTGATTTTGCATATGCTCTTTGCATAGAAATGATACAGACTTCTTGTCATATAATTTGCAAATATTTTGCCTGTGTGGTCATTTGTCTTTTAGTATTGTCTGTAGTGATTTCGACATAGATTTTTTTTTTAAGTAAATAGTCTAATTGCATTATCTTTTTCCCTTTGTAGTTTCTGTCTTTGCTGCCATATTTAGAAGGGCTATTTGCACCCCTACTATTTAAAAAACCTCATATTTTCTTTAAGTACTATTGTGATTTCTTATAATTTTCATTTTATATTTAACCTCTTTTGGCCCTGCTCTTTAAGATGTCTTTTCTTTTTTTTTTTTTTTTTTTTTTTTTTGAGACGGAATTTCGCTCTGTCGCCCATGCTGGAGTGCAGTGGCGCGATCTCGACTCACTGCAAGCTCCGCCTCCCGGGTTCACGCCATTCTCCTGCCTCAGCCTCCCGTGTAGCTGGGACTACAGGCGCGCACCACCATGCCCGGCTAATTTTTGTATTTTTAGTAGAGACGGGGTTTCACCGTTTTAGCCGGGATGGTCTCGATCTCCTGACCTCGTGATCCGCCCGTCTCGGCCTCCCAAAGTGCTGGGATTACAGGCGTGAGCCACCGCGCCTGGCCAAGATGTCTTTTCTTATACTCTCTTTGGGGTTCATTGACTGTACTTCACCAGTTTCTTAAGATGAATGCTGAGAGTACTGATATCCAACTCATCTTCTTTTTTAATATGTTCACTTAAGGTATGTATGGCTCTCTAAGCATGACTTAAACTGGATCTTAGAAGTTTTGGTATGCGTGACTTTTCCATTGTGATTTCTTCTTTAACCCATAGATTATTTAATGTGTAGTTTTAAATGTCCAAATACAGAGAGGATTTCCAGCTAATCTTTTTTTGAAAAAAAAATTGGTTTCTAGCCTACTTCCACTCCTGAGAACGTATTTGGTATGATTTCCATCTTATACCATAGAGACAATTTTTGTTTATGTGTCATGTGAAAAGTACACATAACTCGTGCACACTCATCATTCACCACTGATTATTATGATTGCTTTTGGAGTTGTTGTTGTTGTTGTTGTTTTGAGACAAGGTCTCACTTTGTTGCCCACGCTGGAGTGCAGTGATGTTATCTCAGCTCACTGCAATCTCAGCAGTGGAAAGTCTCCTACAGCAACTGTGGCTTTTTCTGTTTCAGTGCTATTCAAAATGTGTTCTGCTGGCCAGTGGTAGTCTCCAAACTGTCACCTGTCCAAGAGCACATAAGTTAGTGTGTTCTTGGAACGCACTGTAAATTGAAACAACCATTTAGCAACTTTATTAGCAATTTGACATTGCTGTGACATCTATGCATTATGATTAGCGAATCTGTATTTCGTGTGTGTGTTTTTCATTTTCTCTATTAGTCAATTTTTATTGTGATTTTATAGGAGTATTAATCTGCAGCAGATTAGAAAATTTTAAATGTTCCTTCACCACAGATACTTTGAAAAACTTTTATTTTGTAGTTCTGGTAAATTTTGCTCTGTGTATTTTCACCTCTGTTATTAAAGACATACAATCCTAGAAGTGCAAAATCTTCCCAGCATACTGCACATTTTTATCATTATGAATTATCTCTCTTCATCTGTAATAATACTTTTGCCTATATGATATATAATATCATGAAAATCTAATTTTCATGATATTAATATAACTACTGCAGCTTCCTTTTTCCATTCGTTTCTATATCTTTGCACTTTATTTTATTTTATTTTATTATTTTATTTTATTTGGACAGAGTTTCACTCTTGTTGCCCAGGCTGGAGTACAATGGCGTGGTCTTGGCTCACTGCAACCTCCGCCTCCTGGGTTCAAGCGATTCTCCTGCCTCAGCCTCCCGAGTAGCTGGAATTACAGGTGCCCTACACCATGCCCACCTAATTTTTATATTTTTAGTAGAGATGGGGTTTCACCATGTTAGCTGGGCTGGTCTCGAACTTCTGACCTCAGGTGATCCACCCGCCTCTGCCTCCCAAAGTGCTGGGATTACAGGCGTAAGCCACCACACCCGGCCTCTTTGTGCTTTAGATGAGTGTTTTGTAAGCAACATGTTGTAATTTTTTTTAAATCCTGCCTGACAAACTTTATCCTTTAATTGGTCGTTTTAGTTTACTTATATTAAATGTAGTTATTAATGTGTTTAGATCTAATCTGCCCTTTTACTTCTCCTTTTTCTTACTGATCTATATTCCTTACTTCTTTCTTGCCTTTTTTGGGACTCCATATTATTTATTATTCCATTCCCCTCTTCCATTAGCTTGGTAGTTTTATATAATTTTGCTTTTCTATTTGTGCTTACCTCAGTGACTACAATATACATTCTTCACTTAAAGTCTAACGTTGCTTGATATTTCTACTCTTTTCCAAGGTAATGCAAGAACCTTAGAAGCTTTTCACTTCGTTTATTCCCTCATGACTTATATGTAATTATTGCTGTTTAGTTCTTTATGTATATTTTACCCTAAGGGATTATTATATATATTACATATAAAAATATATTATTATTGTATTTTACCCTAATCCATTATTATTATTGTTTTATATAGTCAATGGTCAATTAAATTAGTCACATTAAATTAAATTAAATTAGTCACACCCTTTTTGTGCTCTTTATTTTTTCTTGCATCTCTGATTTTCAATCTGAGTTAATTTTTCTTCTGTGTGAAGAACAACCTCTTAGTTTTGATCTGTTGTAACATAACATGTCTCACTTCTTTTAGTGACATTTAGAATTATTCTTTGGCAATTGTTTTCCTTCAGTATTTTGAAGATACCATTCCATCGTCTTCTAGCCCTTGTTACAGTTGAAAAGTCAGGGAACAGTTTGTTATGCCTTGGAAGGTATCTCTCTTTTTCCCTGGCTACTTTCAATATTTCTTCTTAGTCCTTACTTTGAGAAGTTTTACTATGATAATTTTAATTTTATTTTTCATGCTTTGAATTTTGAGTGCTTCTGAAATCTGTGGCTTGATTTTCTTTCATTAGTTTTAGGCAATTATCAGCCATTATCTCTTCAAATATTGCTTCTACTTCATTTGGGCTTCTCCTTACTTTGAGAAGCCCCTTTTATACATATGTTAAAACTTTTTGCTATATCCTCTGTTTTTAATGCTCTTTTTTGTGTTCTTCCATTTTCCCCCTCCTTTCTGTGCTTTATTCTGAGCTATCTTCCAGTTTACTAAATCTCTCTTCAACTTTGTCTAAATTCTGATTAAATTCATTCATTGAGTTCTTAATTTCACTTATTTTTAGTTTTAGAATTTCCATTTATTAAGGGTTTTTCTAGTTTCTAACCCACTACAAAATTATCAGTCTTGTATTTTATCTCAAATAAAGTAAGCACAATTATTTTAAATCTGTGGTAACTCTATTTTCTGTATCTTCTCTGGATCTATTTCTATTGTCTCATGTTTTCCATGAGTTTTAATAAAATCATCTGGTATCATTGTGTGCTTGGTTATTTTTTTAATTGCGTTTCAGACGCATATGCAATATACAATAATTTGAGGCTGACAAGGTGCAGTCCTTCCTCAGAAATTATTTATATTTACAGGCATACTTCATAGATATTGTGGTTTCAGTTACAGACTATGGCAATAAAGTGAATATTTTAACAAAACAAGTAATACAATTTTTTTGTTTCCCAGGGAATACGTAAGTTATGTTTATACTGTCCTGTAGTCCATTAAATGTACAATAGCATTTTATGTAAGAAAACAACATGCATACATTGATTTTACAATACTTTATTGCTGAAAAATGCCAATAATCATCTCAGCCTTCAGTGAGTCATAATCTTTTGTGCTGGTAAAAGGTCTTGCTTTGATATTGATAACTACTGATTGATCAGGGTGGTGGTTGCTGAAGGTTGAGGTTGCTGTGGCAATTTCTTAAAATAAGTTGACAATGAAATTTGCTGAATTGATTGAGAGGTTTCTCTCTAATGTACCATAATGTTTGATAGCATTTTACCTACCATAGAGCTTCTTCAAAATTGGAGTAATCCTCTCAAACCCTGCTGCTGCTTTGTCAACTGAGATTATGAAACACTCTCAATCCTTTGTTGTCATTTCAACAATGTTCACAGCATCTTCACCAGGAGTAGTGCATTCCATCTAAAGAAACCACTTCTTTTCTTATCCATTAGAAGCAACTCTTCATCTGTTCGAGTTTTATTGTGAGGTTTCAGCAAGTCAGTCACATCTTCAGACTCCATTTCTAATTCTAGTTCTCTTGCCATTTCTACCACATCTGCAGTTACTTCCTCCACTGAAGTCTTGATCCCTTCAAAGTCATTCATGATGGTTGGAATCCACCTTTTACAAACTTCTATTAATATTATTATTTTGACCTCCTCCCATGAATCATAAATATTCTTTTTTTTTTTTTTTTTTGAGACAGAGTCTCACTCTGTCACTCAGACTGGAGTGCAGTGGCACTATCTTGGCTCACTGCAAGCTCTGCCTGCTGGGTTCATGCCATTCTCCTCCCTCAGCCTCCTGAGCAGCTGGGACCACAGGCACCCACCACCATGCCCAGCTAATTTTTTGTATTTTTAGTAGAGACGGGGTTTCACCTTGTTAGCCAGGATGGTCTTGATCTCCTGACCTTGTGATCTGCTCACCTTGGCCTCCCAAAGTGCTGGGATTACAGGCATGAGCCACTGCACCCGGCCTAATCATAAATATTCTTAATGGCATCTAAAGTGGTGAATCCTTTTCAGATGCTTTTCAATTTACTTTGCCCAGATCTGACAGAAGAGTCATGCTTTATGGCAGCTATAATCTTACATAATGTATTTATTTAATAGTGAAACCTGAAAATCAAATTATTTCTTTGTCCAAGAGGTACGGAATGGATGTTGCATTAGCAGCCATTAGAACAACATTAATATACATCCCTGTACATTTCTGTTGGAGCTTTTGGGTGACCAGTGCATTATCAATGAGCAGTAATATTTTCAAAGAAATTTTTTTTCTGAGAAGTAGATCTCAAAAGTGGGCTTTAAATATTCAGTAAGCCATGCTGTAAACAGATATGCTGTCATTCAGGCTTTGTTGTTTTATTTATAGAGCACAGGCCGGATAGCTTTAGCATACTTCCCAAGGGCCCTAGGGCTTTTGGAATGGTAAGTGAGCATTGGCTTCAATTTAGTCACCAGCTACATTAGCCCCTAAGAAGAAAGTCAGCCTGTTCTTTGAAGCCAACATTAACTTCTCTTTAGCTATGAAAGTTCTAGATGGCATCTTCTTTCAATAGAAGGCTGTTTTTTTCTACTTCAAAAATCTGTTGTTTTAGCACGCCAGCTTCATCAATGATTTTAGCTAGATCTGAATAATTTGTTGCAGCTTCTCCATCAGCACTTGCTGCTTTACCTTGCACTTTTACGTTATGGAGATGGCTTTTTTCTCTAAACCTCATGGACTAACCTCTGCTAGGTTCCAATTTTTCTTCTGCAGTTTTTTTCACCTCTTTTAGCCTTCATAAAATTGAAGAGAGTTAGGGCCTTGCTCTGGATCAGACTTTGGCTTAAGGGAACGTTGTGGCTGATTTGGTCTTCTACCCAGACCACTGAAACTTCCTCTACATCAGTAATAAGGCTTTTCTCATCATTTGTGTGTTCATTGGAGTAGCACTTTTAATTTTCTTCAAGACCTTTTTTTTTTTTTTAACATTCACACTGGGCCAACTATTTAGCACAAAAGGCCTACTTTTCAGCCTATGTTGGCTTTCAAAATGTCTTCCTCTAACTAAGCTATAATTATTTCTAGCTTTTTATATAAAGTGAGAGATATGCAACTCTTCCTTTCACTTGGACACTTAGAGGCCATTGAAGAGTTATTAATTGGCCTAATTTCAATATTGTTGTGTCTCAGGGAATAGAGAGGTTGAAAGAGAGGGAGAGAGATGGAGGAACGGCCAGTCATAGCAGTCAGAACATACACATTTATCAATTAAGTTCACCATCTTATATGGGTACAGTTTGCAGGGCCCCCAAACAATTATGATAGTAACATCAAAGATCACTGATCACAGATCACCACAACAGACATAATAATAACAATAAAGTTTGAAATATTGCAAGAATTACCAAAATGTGACCCAGAGACATTAAGTGAGCACATGCTGCTGGGAAAATGGCACTGATAGACTTCCTCAATGCAGCGTTGCTACAAACCTTCAATTTATTAAAAAAAAAACAATATCTGGAAAGTGCAATCAAAAGAAGTCCAATAAAACAAAGCACATAAAACAAAATATGCCTGTACTTCTAGGATGTTGCTTAGGGTTATAACAATCCAGGATCAACCCAATACAATCAGGGTTGGAAATGACTGGAAACTGTTCAGTATGAGGGCTTATCTACTTCCACACTCACTATTCAGGCATAGCCCTTCAGGAATCCAAACCAATGTACTGGGAGTTTACTAGAGGCTTTCCTTTCCAAATTGTCCTTTACTCCAGTTTTCATTCTCTTAGCTCCTTAAGGGTCTCAAAAGTGTTGTAGTCTACAGCCTCTCAGCCATCTACTTTGAAACTGGCCAACACCTCCAGGGGTAAAGCATCCCCAGATGCTGTGTTTACCTCTCTGAGTTTCCTTCATCTCTTAGATCTTGACCTTATTATTTTTCACTGACTTTTTGGCTCTCAGATACCTTCAAGGAGGTGTATTTTATACTTTTTCAGGTTTTCTGATTGTTTTTAGCAGGAGCGTTGATCTGAATTGCCTAGCCTATTATTGCTAGAAGACAAAGGTTCTTTTTAAAACTTAAATTCACTTGGAATGTATTTAATTTGGGGGTGAGTTATCATGTTATTTCCAACATCATTACTTGAGTAATATTTTCATAATGATATAAACCATTACCATTATCATACTCTAAATGATTGTATAAATATTTGGGTCTGTTTCTGGAATTTTTATTCTGTTCTGCCCCTCTTTATATTTTTACACCAGAACCAAGAACCATGTCATTCAGTACTTACAGTCAATTGCCGTAATTGTGTAATACATTTTAATATCTGGTGAAAGAAGACTTCCTTAGTTCTCTATTTTTTTTTTACAAATTTTTTTTTGGGGGTGTTTTTACCTTTGTTGTTTTGGATAAATTTTAGATTTTTAATTGTATCTATTCCCAAAAATTCCATTAAAATTTTGATGGAAATTTTATTAAATTTACATATTAATTTGAGAACTCACAATTTTCGATATTGAGTTTTTAATGCAGCAACAAGGCATAAATCTCTATTTACACATATCTTTTTAAATTTATCCCAACCTGAGGCCAGGGAGCTGGGCTTTCATGCTACGAAACCAGCTAATCATAAGATAAGAGTGGCTTGGGGAGGTGCAAAATTCCTGGTACTTCTGGCTCTGTGCATGTGCGGGTAAAGTGTTCCAGTAACCTGAGGGAAATATTCCAAAGAAAAGTTCATAGTCACAAGTCATTGGAGGTAAAAACACACAAAAGCCAGGGAAACAGCACACATAAAACAGTCAAGGGGTCCAAGGGGATCTGGTGGGGTCAATAGTGTCTGTTATAACGTGTGTCTATTTTGGCATGTGTACATTTATCAGTCAAAAAATTTCATCAGTTGTGCTTGTTATTGTTTCTGGAAATCTGCCATGCCTACTCAGAGTGGCTTCTCCAGTGCTGTTCCCTGGGTAAACACTAGATTATTTCAGTTTCCTTCTTCCTTAACTTGAGTATTACCTACAAACAAAGTATTGTAAACTTTACTTTGCTGTACGCCAATGTCTTTAACTTTTTACATTTTAGCACAACTTTGACTCTACAAGTTCCCCCAAAATGTTTTGAAACACAAAATAATGAAAAAAAAGACCCCAAAACCAGTCAAGTGGAAATACTGGCAACAATAGAAGAGCATGGGGTTGTGGGGTGGAGGCTGGCAGCTGAAAGAGCAGGGAAGGCTATGGAGGCTGTGACAGATGGGGGTGTCATGAGGTGGGAAGGAGAGGCAAGATGGAATGTAAGAATTACACGTGTTTTGCCACACACATACACATGTAACACACATACAAACAGATGAATCCACAAAACCCCACATAGAGCAACCCAGAATATGGTAGGCCCGGTTTGAGCCTTTGCTATTATCACTACAGAATTAATATGTATTAAAGACTCATAAGAAGATCCTTTGAATGAAGGAATAAGGAATAAGGAGTCTTGTAGGAAAACAGTCATCCAAAGAGAGGGAAGTTAGACTCTTCTAGAGTCAGAAAAGGAGAATGGTTTAAATGTAGCACATCTGTCATCAAGCTGTTCTTTCAGCTCAGGACTGAGTCTACGTTCTAAAGGAAGGGAACTGGGCAAAAACTGAATGACCTCTTCTCACAAAAGGTAATATGTGACAATGGGAGCACCATCCAGCTCTACATGGGAACCCTTGTAATGAACGAAGGTAAGGGACTTATCATAGCATGTAGGCTTAGATGCATCCATCTGCAGTGGGCATAGCTTCAGATCATCAGAGGGTTCTGGTATACCCTGGCTTCTGATACATCTGCAGAAAGTGGGTATCAGGGGCTCCACAAATAGAAGAAGAGGTGTTAGCATCAGTGGAGACCCCATGAAGCTTGGGAATATCAAAGACTGTGATGCAGGCATCTCTCCAGGAAGCTGGAGCAGCACAGGACGGGAGGAAGAGAGTGGATGTTGTGTAGCCCATGTTCATGAACACATGTGAGATGCTTGCTGGAAACAGCTGGGAATGTGGTGAAGCCTGACTTTAAAGGAGAGAAGTCTACAGTTTCTTGTGTTAGTTCAGGTCCCCCAAAAAGTAGACACTAAGTCAGGATTAGATGAGCAAAGCATTTATTGAGGGCACTGCCTGTGAAGGAGAAGAAGGAAGAAGCCAACAACGCTGGGAAAACCATCAGACCATGATGTAGGTCTGACCCCTGTGAAGGAGGATTAAGTAGGAAGAGTCTCAGACTGTAGCCTTATTCCAAGAAAGTTTCAGCCAGGCTTCTGGGGAGTTCTTGAGGCAGCATCTCCTGGTTGAGGAGACCCAGGTCCTGCAGGAACGCCACCATGTTCAATCATTGGCTGGGAAGAGAACATGAGAAATCTGGCCTTGGTACAACGTGCAGAGGGACAATGTTGGAGCCATCAGACAACATCCCACTGCAGGAGATGAAGCAGCTCCTCTTAATGTTCATCACAGTTTCATGCTAGCAGATGGGACCCAAACAGGGAAATACTTGTTATAGTTTGTGAAGCCATATTTTGAACCCTGGATCTGTGCTGATCTAGATGAAGAAACTTGGGTTGCAAAGGGTTAAACTTTTTGGAACTTAAATAATTATACTCTTAGCTTTCAGAAATCCTTCATCCAGAACTATAACCTTCTTCCTCTGTGATACCCTTCTTCCTTGTGATGCCTATAAACTGAGGCATGTCTAGAGTGGGGTATATTAGAACGCATCAAAGAGGTCCTGGAATTGCCAACAGCTTGTGCAGAGGTCATCAGAATGAAATTTTTCTGGTCTCGGTATATTGAAAGATAATAGATTGCTTAAATGTGTCTAAATGTACATATGTTGGCTAGCGAGACAGAGGTGAGGATATATGAAAGAACCCAGGTAACAGATGAGAAGCAATCAACACCCCCTACTCCAGCCACTCAGAAATGCCAAGGGTTTGAAAGTTGTCTGAGGATTCAAAAGTTGTCTAAATAATAGAAAAACTGCTCAGCATGTCCAAAATTCCAGAACATTGGTGGCCCCTCCCCTAGAAAGGATTTTAACGGACTGAAAATCTGGCCAATATGCATTTACGATGACACCATTTGTCTGGACTGTCAATTCAAGAATTATTTGTTAAACTAGTGCTTCAGCCACAGCAGGTTGAGCATGTTTACCAACACACAGCACCCCGGGGGTTACCCCTGGAAAGTGAGAGAGGTAAACATAGGGCAGGTAAAAGGAAGTGCCTAGGTGGTGGCAACTTACTGAACCTGTTATATCAAGAGGTAAAGACAGCCAAAAACATAAATAGCACCTCTATTAAAAAGCTGAGATAAGTTTATGCCTGATAGATCACTAGCTGTGATTTAAAGGTGTTCTTCTTTAATCTTTTGAGGGTGACATCAGAGAGATTATCCTGTTTGTCCCACAGCATAATCTACTGGGGCCTCTGTAAAAACCAGATTGCTGGATCAGATGTACAGTGGTTATAATTTAATGATTCTCAAGTGAATGAATGAATGTGAGGAAATTCTAAGGCAGCCATTTGTACTAGGCTTAGCTCATCACATTTTTATTTGTGGTGCAGGGCTCTTCAGACAAGAAGACAACTTCATGAGCACTGCCCACGCATCTTTACCTGCTTGGCTCTAGGGCAGTTCCCTTTTATGCAGGGTATTGAAGCAGAGGCTGGAGCTCCTGGAAGAACTGAGGTTGTCTAAACCCTATCCCAACTCAAAGAAACAGGTAGCTCTGGTTGGAGGGATGGGGGTTTGAGAGATGAGTGGAAACCGCAGGTGACCTGTGTCCATCCTCCTTCTCTGTCCCCATTGAAATCTCCAAGGCCCCAATTCAGGGCATGATGTGAGAACCACTGTGGCCAAGGAAATCAGTCTACTTAGAGTTGGACTAGATGACTAGTGGTGTCCTTCCAGCCCTAGGACTGCATAGTTGGCTGTGTGACTCATGCCACATATGTCAGTCTGAGTTCTCTGGTAAACACAGATTGACCTGTCTATAAGGCAGCATGGTGAGCTGGATAGAACATGAGCTGTGGAGTTAGAAGGCTTGGGCTCCTCTGGTCTTGACTCTGACATTTTCCAGGTGTGTGACTTTGGCAAATAACTTCTCCAAGACTCAGTTTTTTGGCCTTTGAAATGGGGAAAATAACATCTACCTCAAATAATTGCTGGGAAGCTTCAGTGAGATGCCCACATGGTCTTGGCAGAGACAGGACAGACCTGCACACACACACATTCTCTAGGAGCTCTTGTCTGGTTTCCGACACTCTTTTGTATCTTGGCTCCCCACATTCCCCTTAAGGCTTCTGCCTTTGGCCACCCACTTTGTTTATACCTTTGGAGCCCAATATCATTGGATCCTAGAGACACAAGCCTTATAGTCACCCTTTAACTCAACCTACAACCATGAGTGTAAGGCACCAGGACACTCCTCAGACTGTCCTTGCAGACTCTAGCTGCTGGAGAGGAGATTGGTTGGAGTCTCCAGGCCCCAAGGCCCTCTTGGTTTCTGGCCTAGCTCAGAGTTGGCTTTTCTGCTGGAACTTGGGTTCTGAGCCTTCCCAAAACTGAGAGAACATGTCGTGGCTTCACGCTCCACACTCCAAAGCTTTCTGCCATTTAGATCCAGGCAACTGAATTATTCATCCCAAATAAGCATTGGTTCCGACCACAAGCCACTGGGGGAAGTTTGCAGAGAATGGCATGTACAGAGAGGACCAGACATTAGCTGGGACCCAAGGGTAAGAAGACAGATTAGGCTCACCCCAAATGAGCCATGACTGCATAGAACAAAAGGAAAAGGCACAGAGGATCCACTCCTCTAGCTAGGCATGATGGCATGCATCTGTAGTCCTAGCTACTCAGGAGACTGAGGTGTAAAGATCCCTTGAGCCCAGAAGTTCAAGACTACAGTGAGCTATGATCGCACCATTACACTCCAACCTGGGTGACAGAGCAAGACGCTGTCTCTAAAAAATAAATTTTAAAAGAGAGTGAAAATCCACTCCAGCTATGAGCCTGGAAAGCAACAAAATTTTAAGGAGGAAAGAGCAGTGGCCCGAGAGTCGAGAGAGCTAAGCTCCTATCTGGCTTGACTAGAATCCAGCTGTGAGTTACAGCTTCTTGATTTCCTCATCAGTAAAATGAAGAGATTAGATGAAGCAATTCTTATAGGAATGAACCTAGGAATACAGGGCCCTGAATTTCCTGCATTATTTATTCTCTAGTGTCCCACCCATACAGGCACATGGGGAAATGGATGGAAAGCCAAGTCTACCAATCTGGCTTACTTGGCAGAAGAGATCCTCAGTTCTTAAATCTAGTGGAAAGAATACCTTGGACTTATCACAAAATGTGTGCTAAATAAGGCGCCACTGATACCTACAGTACATGTTTTTATAATTCCTTAATCTCAGGAGACTGGCTCCCTTCTCTTCATTGTGAAGGAGTCAGCAGGTGTGAAAGGGTGCAGGGTACCAAGTTATAGAGAGAGCAGGTTTGTCAAGCCCATCGGAGTGGAAACTGGGTAATTTGATCTGGGAATATTAGATAAGCAAACAGATCTGTTAATGGTAGAAAACAGTACTGGTTCCACAAACTAAGAAGGGAGATTGGACCAGACATAAAGTCACCCTTTCCTCCTCAGAGGCAATGGTTTCTACCTTATTATTGATAAATATGAGACTGGCATTTACCTCTTACGTGGAACATGAGGCAGTATGGTGGCAGTGAGTTCCACATGTCGAGAAGCCTGGCAGCAAACAAGAATAACAGAATTTAGCAGAAAGAAGGTGAGCAAACAAGAAGCAAGAACCCCAGTGATTCTGAAGTAGGGAATCCAGGGAGCACCTTCTGGGCTTGCCTGGAGGGTTTTGGGGCAGGCAGGATTGGCCCTGGAGTCCTTCTCACTGGCGTCTCACTTGGCCTTTCTAATGTGTATGAGGAACTTCACTGGATCAAATCACTTACGTAAAAACTTTTTATATTCTGTGTGCCACATAAGCATCTTATATCAGCCTTCCTGTGTTGAAGGCTGTCTTCAGAAGCTTTCTAAAGGCAGAACCAACCAATTAATGATGATGATGATGATGATGATGATGGTGATAATGATATCTAAGTGCTGGAAACTCTCCCAAGCACTGTAAGTATATTTTTTCATTTAATCCTCACAACAACTCCTTGAGGTAACTATTATTATCATTATTTTACAGTAGAGAAATTGAAGCTCAAAGAATTGAAGGAATTTACTCATGGTTACAAGGCTACTTGGTGGTGAAGCTGGGACTCCAACCCAGGATTATTTGCACCCAAATCCATGCTCTCAGTTAATATGCCATACAATGCAGCCAACAGTGAACAGAAGGCATTTGATGAACACTTACCAGTGACCAACATCTCTCAAGCACTTTACCTCTAAAATCTCATTTAAATACAGTAGTCCATAAAGTAGGTGCTATTATTATTGTTCTTATTGGCATTACAGGAGAAGACAAGGAGGCTTGACAGGTTTAGCAACCTGTCCAAAGTTACATGGGAACGCAAGCTTGTCGCATTGCATTCCCTAGATTTTGGATGCAACCCTGGGCAGCTTGTCACTGAGTTAAACTGAGACAGTAACGTCCTGACTCTCACTGACTCTGCAGCACCTGTATTGTGTGTTGTAAATAATCCAATTTTCCAGGGTAAATCCTATTTGGTAAGTTCAATTTTATTTCATTTTATTTATTTTATTTCATTTTATTTTTTTGAGATGGAGTCTCGTTGTGTTACCCAGGCTGGAGTGCAATGACGTGATCTTGGCTCACCGCAACCTCCGCCTCCCGACTTCAAGCGATTCTCCTGCCTCAGCCTCTGGAGCAGCTGGGATTACAGGTGCCCACCACCATGCCCGGCTAATTTTTTGTAGAGTATTTTTAGTAGAGAGAGGGTTTTACCATTTGGCCAGGCCGGTCCTGAACTCCTGACCTCAAGTGACCCGACCGCCTCGGCCTCTCAAAGTGCTGGGATTACAGGCATGAGCCACTGCGCCCAACTTTCAACTTTATACTTTAACTGCCTAAGGCCCTTCCCACAGGGGTAATGTTTGGTACGTAGTGGACTGCCAACAGTTTGGACATTGGAGCAGTTTCATCTCACCCCTACTTATGCTTGGGTTTGGAATATTTATTACGCGCTACCGGGAACTTCCCAGGCAAAGGCAATCTGCCCTGTGTAAATTGAAGGGGGAGGAGCTTTATCCCCACATGGAACTTTGTCTAAAGCTTTTCAAAACTGCTATGTTGCCAATGCAACATTTATTTTGCTCCTATTTAACCTCTTGCCAGGAGGTTAGTAGGGGCCAACCTCAGAACAATGCTGGCTCTTATAAGTTGAGCCTCTGTGTCATAAAGGGCTTTAGGATTTCCTAACACTAGACCTCCATCTGACGAAAGTTCTAGTCTAGTCCAGGCTTCCTGTCCCCAGACGTTGTATTGCCTCACCCCTTCCAGATCTGCACTTTTGAAAAGACCCACTAAAGCGTTTCTAATGTCCACCTCCATTTCCTTCAGCAATTGTGGATATAGGCTTCCTGGAGTGTTATCAGTATGAAGAATCTCGAGCAATTTCTGATGTAATCTACCCCTTCCCAAATCCTCCTCACCAGCCCATTGTCATTTGATTCCAGATTAAGAAAATATCAGTTCTTCCTCACAAATGGTGTGGGGTGCTGGAAGGGTTTCATGATATCTTTGTCCTTATCTGTTGTAGAACACATTATCCTTTGGCATTTGAGGAAGAAATTACTTTTGCATCCTTAATCGTGGCTTATTGTTAATTGTTTTTGTTCCTTTGTATGCTTCAAAATGGCTATTTGCCTCTTTCTTCCTATAACTATACCTTGTCTTTAAGAACCAGGACCTTGGCCAAGTCAGTTCACTCAGCATTAATGTCCTCATCTATCAAGCAGTTGGATGAGACCAGGGGCCAGCAACCTTTTACTGGAAACGGCCAGATTGTAAGTATTTTAGGCTTGTGGCCCATATTATAGGCTTGTCTCCATGGCAACTACTGAACACTGCCATTGTCGTGTGAAAGCAGCCGCAGACAATACACAAACAAGTGAGCCCGGCTGTGTTCCAGTTCAACTTTATTTATGGACACTGAAGTTTAAATTCCACATAATTTTCATGTTTCCCGAAATACTATATTTTTCCAACCACTAAAACTTGTAAAAAGCCATTCCTAGTGTGTGAGATACACAAAATCAGGCAGTGGTCCAGATTTGGCCCTGGACAAAATGATTTCCTCCTTATTCAAAGTATCATGACACCCCAGAGCCAGAGGGGGCCTTAGAAACAGACAAGCACGGTCACCTTGTGAGCTACAGAAGGAAACCGCAGCCCAGAAAGGTGAAGTGACTGACACACACCTATGTAGCTGGCAGGGCAGTAGAAGCTGAAGTCAGGCCAAGAGCCTGACAATAAAGTCTACGACAGTGCGTCCCTCCAGCATTGTCAACACATACGCTGGGCTCCATTTATTAGCAGAATGAGATCATTTTAGAGTTACAAGTTTGGGAATGACTCTTTACTCCTGCCTGGAAATAGCATTTTATATCTTTGTATTTCAGTAAAAACATGATTGTGAGCACTTTGTCTGAATGAACATAGAAACTCCTCACTTTGGTAAAACTCCAAAGAATTTTTGTTGTTTATGATTTTTTTGTTGTTATGATTAAGGCCAAATTAGACAACAGCTTAAATCAAGCCAGTGCAATTTACAGAAGCCCAGCATTTTTCAGGCTAGTCAAGTGATATAGAAAACCAACATTTGTGATACTTGAACTGAAAAGAATTTAAGTAAATTTATCTTGAAAATTTGGGGGGATGAATTGGACTAAAATATTAGATGGAAGAGTAATCACAGACACACACATACACACACACTCATACACACACATACACTGAAATACACACACACACACCTACACACATACACTCATGTACACACATACATTCATACACACACATACACACACGTACACACACTCACATACACACATACAGACTTACATACACACTCACATACACACACACACAGAAGGGAAAATTTTGGTTCATCCCCCTCCAAAGACTGGTAAAATTAGCAAGAATAAATTGAACACTAGGTGAGCGTGGTGTAGTGTATGCCACCTCTGTTCTCCCAGGAGCCCTACAAGGTATTAGTGATAAATAATTGTTTATTGCAACAAGATGGAGTCAATCACAGTGCAGGCACCTTAAACTATGAGGCTCCATTTTAACATCTGTCAGTCATCATCCAAATGGATTGACCAGGAAACAAGATAGATCACTGCAAAAGCCTGCTTTCTGCCCCACTCCCCTTTTGCTTGCTAAAAATGGAGAAAGTGTTTTGGAGGGCTGTGTGTGTGTGTGTGTGTTGCTGTGGGGGTCAGGCAGCTGCTTTAAAAATTCAGTGCTTTTCCTTCCATTTTGGTGACCAGAAGGGTGGGAAGCAGAAGTTGGAGACAAGAAGGAATTTCATAAAAACAGCCCATCAAAACAAGTTTTAGGATGGTAGTGGAGGGAGGAGATCACCCAGAAAAAGACGGTTCCAGGAATTCCCATCTGGAACTTGGTTTATACTTCTTGAATATTCACACTGTTTCTTAACTTCCAGGAAAGTCTCTGCATTAGCAGCCAACTCTGGCAAGCACTGTCTAGGGATCCAGGGAGATTTATTGCAAAGAGAGAGATGAGAGATGCCTTGTGTAGCTTTTCAGATGGACCACATCTTCTCATGTCATCATGCAGGCTCACTCTCCTTCCTGAACCCTTCCCTGAGCCTTTTGCACTCACACCTGGGAAGAAAGGGGATTAGAAGTTCCAGCAAAAACAGCCGCAAATGATGCGTGTTAAGGCCTCTATCTACCAGACAGGAAGGCGGCAGCATAACTAGTCAGGCCCTTGTGATTCGGGGATTCAGCAAGAGGCACTAAGGCTCCCAGACAAGAGTCTAAGATCCACTGTTATTTGTGGAACCCTGATCCTGCAGGTTGCTAAGCCATTTTCCCCCGTTCCCCAAACTTTGCAGGAGCTTAAGGCTTCATCACGCAAAAGGAAAGGATCCCTGCTTTACACTTTGCAGAGTAGGAAATAAATGGCTTAGCTTTCCTTCTAGGATAAAGAAGATTTGGACTTGGTCAGTCATCTCTAATATAATGGCATGCCTTCCCTGTTCCCTTAACTACACCCACCATGCAGTCCATTCCTGAAAAGGAGATTCTAGGCGTTCCACATCTATTGATACAGAAGTCCTGTGCTTTCTCACTTTCTGCTCGCCTAACTCTGTTCTTGGACGTACTGAATTCCTAACCTCTCGGTATTGTCTTCCTTTTCCTACCCACTTCTAATCTTTGGACCTTTATTCATGTTTGTTTATTCACTTATTATTGATTTCTACCAACAATATGAGTGCTGTCATGTGTAAATGCTGTGCCAAAGATGTATGTGATGGAGAACAAAACAAAGAAGGTTCCTGTGCTCTTATGATTTACAGCCTAGCAAGGAGGAAGACAGTCAATAAAGAATTATCCAAGCACTTACAGCCTTCTGAAGTGGTGAGTGCTGTGAAGGCTAGTGGCTCACTAAATATAAATAGAAAGCCTATTAGTGCCAGGCTGAGGACAAACAGGGAACAAGACAGAGCCCCTTCTCCCATCCCTATTTTCATGGAAACAGACCTTTAATCAAACAATCACACTCATGAATGGTACAATCTGAGTATCTAACAGGGGAGCTTAACATATGCCTGAGAGTGATTGGGTGACTTCTGGGAGGAAGTGGCACTGAAGCAGAGACCTGCAGGTCAGGTAAGAGGTGATGGAGCCCTGCTAACTCTCTTGGCTTCTCTGCCATGTACCCACCAGTAGGTGTGACTCCGGGCACCTCTCCACGGATGTGAATTCTGCACCTGCCTTTTGCCTTTATCTGGTCTTGCCAATAGACCACACAGACTAGTCCAAATGCTCCCTAGGACTACACCAATGCATGAGCCTACCTGACCAGCATCCCTGGCCCCTGACAGTGGGTATTGACATGTGGGACTGCCGTGGCTTTGCTTACCACCTAGCGTGGGCCCTGCACACAGTACCACTCACTAAATAGTAATATTGAATATAAAGTAATTAATTTCAGTTTATTTGATAACTGGCTCCAGTTGTTGATGGGTGGGGCCTCTTCTCAAATTATTCCCACATTCCTTTGCTCTCTAGGAAGAACTTCCTGCCAGCACGCTGCTACCTGCCTTAGTTATTACTATCCACAAACACAAGGCCAATCATTGTATTGTATTTTAGCTCTGGGGTGGGTGTCTCACTCATTTGGTGAACCTGAACCCCACAGCAGTCCACTCTTCCTTGGCCTCTGTTGAAGCTGGAGGAACAATAGGGCTCCATTAGTTTGTCTGTAACAGCAGAAAGGACAGGGAGTGAGCAGGTGCACAGAAGCATGGCTGCTTACTCAGGGCAGAGCTTGGGTGACAAGTCCTCCTTCCCCCATCACTGTTTATTCTTTTCAGTTCTCACTTGCCTGAAGCATTGGCTGGGCTCGGTGAGCTAAGAAAAGTATTGAGCCCAGAGGAACACAAAGTTCTTGCTCCAGTTGCCCCAGTGGGTCTCTGAGTAAGCCATTTAATGACCTGTTGTTCCTCACTGTGAAAGAAGAGTCATAGGACAACCTTTAAACTGGCCTCCCTGGGAGGTGGAGGGGAATCCTCATTAAGGTAATTTGAAAGTATTTAGCAAAGATGAAGTTCAGGGTCAGTGCTCAGTGTGGTTCCTAATAAAACCCTCGGTACTTTCAGAAAGAGCAATGCTGAGGGAGGTCCACGTGCCGAGAGAACAGGCACAAAAGAGGACCAGGAAGGGGCAGGGCCTGCCACAGGAGCCGGCCACATGTGCCCAGCCTTTTCTTACATTTCAGAGATTTCATGGCAGTGTTCCTGCAATGGGAACAGGCTGAAAAATCTGATCATGCTCAAGTAGTCACCCAGTTCTCATCTTGGGCTTTATTGTGGGACTGTAATTGGTGTCCCTGGCCAGAAGGTAGGTGTCCTCTTTGATTTTAACAACTACTTCCTCTGATGGCCTTCTTTGGCCCCAATTCTTGAGTGAGTATTTTCTTCCTTTTGGACATAAAATCTGTGATAACTTGGGAACATCCGGGAAACCACCCCAGCTGCTTGGGTGTGAGCTTCAGGAAGAAGAGTTGCATTAAATTGTCTACATGATATAGCCACATTTTAGAATTAAAATAGAGAAAATTAGGGGGAAACATACATGGTCCCATTAACCTAACACATTATTATTATTACCACTTTGGTGTATTTTTCCCATCTTATTCCCAAATGTGTTTTGGGTTTTTTTGTTGTTGTTTTTTTGTTTTTTAAGATATGGGCTCCCACTGTGTTGCCCAGGCTGGAGTGCAGTGGCTATTCCAGGTGCGATTGCATGACTGCTCAGCACGGGAGTTTTGACCTGCTCCGTTTCCAACCTGGACTGGTTCACCCCTCCTTAGACAATCTGGTGGTCCCTTGATGCTGGGAGGTCACCATATTGATGCCATGATTAATGCAGACACCAGGTAGACATAGCTCACGACAGTCCAGAGCACCTAGGCTCAAGCGCCCCTCTTGCTTCAGCCTCCTGAGTAGCTGGGACTACAGGTGCACACCACCAAACTCAGTCCAAATGCTTTTTTTTTTTTTTTTTTTTTTGAGACAGTCTCACTCTGTCACCAGGCTGGAGTGCAGTGGCGCGATCTTGGCTCACTGCAACCTCTGACTCACTGGTTCAAGTGATTCTCCTGCCTCAGCCTCCTGAGTAGCTGGGATCATAGGCACGTGCCACCATGTCCAGCTAATTTTGGTATTTTTAGTAGAGACAGAGTTTCACCATGTTGGCCAGGATGGTCTCGATTCCCTGACCTCATGATCTGCCTGCCTCGGCCTCCCAAACAAATGCATTTTTTTTACAGTGCTATCATAATGGGCATTAAAATCAGTGTTCTGTTTTACTTTATGTTTCTATCTAGTCATCATAGAATCTATTTGAAGTCTAGATATTATTTATTGAAAAATAGATTGGATTTATCTTAATTGTTCCTTAGATTTTGCATTTTCTTGCATCCAGTCTTTCACTAGTGGACTGGCACTGGACAGATCAGTGTTGTATGAGATCCATGGTATAGTTCTAGGAAAGGGCCTGAGTCACGTGGCAGGGTAGCTCTCTCTGCTGAAGCTGGCTCGTATCAAGGGTGTCTTCTTGGGCCTGAAGCTAATTGCATGTCAGTCAGGCAATGCTCCATATCATAGATAAGATTCTGGTTGCAAAAATCAGTATCTCAGTAGAGTTAAATTTACCAAGAAAGGGATGTTTGTAGTAAAGACAAAGAGGTATTTGATGGCATAGAAGAGGGTCTCCAGGCAGGCCTCAGGGAGGGCCTGGACTTGCAAAGCCATCAGAAGCCTGTCCCATTTCTCCTCTGTACACACATCTGCTTCATGCTCTCTCTATATATATAGTTATATGTATATACCTAGTATCTTCTGGAGGCCAACCCTGTTACTACTATGAATGATGTATCCCTCCCCCTGTCCAAGACCAGCCCCTCCAACTGTGCCCTGCATCCTATTCCTTCTCACCTTCTCAAGGACATGACTCCTGAAACTCTCCCCTCCCTCTCTTGCATCTCAATTTCCTCCATCATTCATGTCATTTTGCTTGTCGGCAAACACGTTCTAGTATCTTCCAACTTAAAGCAAATAACAAACTACCCTTAGCCCCATGCCCCTCTCCATTTAACATCCAATCTCTCTGCTCCTCTTGACTGACCTCAAAAATCTCAAGAGAATTGTCTGTACTGCTGTCTTCATTTCCCTATCCTTCCTTCTCTTCTCAGTCTTTCTAGTTGGATTTGCATCCTTCCAGTTCCACTAAAATTTCTCTGGTTAAGATCACGATGACCTACATCTGCCACGTCTGTATCCTCCTCTAACCCAGCCTTTCAGAAATATCCCATATGGCTGGCTCTTCCTTTCCTGAAACATTCTCTTCTCTTGGACTTGAGGATACCGTGTATACTAGATGCTCTGGTGTGCTACCGAGATCCCTGCTGCAGGACCAAGGAACTTGTTGCTCTGGCTGCCAGCTTTGTTGGTGACTGACAGCTCAGGGCTAAGTCTATCTCCAGGAATTGCCCTCAGATGGAGGAAGCTGACTTGACTAAACTTACTCCCCTGTTGCAAGAATAGCCTGCACCTAAGGACTGGTTGATACCGAGGTATGAGTTCCAGCTCCCCCATCTCAGTTTGGGACAATTCTAAAGGATCATGCCAGTTCCAGAGCTGCCCTTTGGATGGGCTGAGGCTCCACTGTAATGGGATCACATTTCAAGCCTCTCTCTGTCCCATCCTGCTCCCCTTACTTCCTTATAGGTGCTGTTCCTGTGGCTTTCCCAAATCTCTCTCTCTCTCTGTCTCTCAAACTTTGTTCCCAGGGACCTGCCCTAATATACCGAAGTCTCCTGGTTTTCTTACAATCTCATTTTCTGTTGCCTGAATGTCTCATAAGTTCATTTAACTGATTATTTTTTCTGTCTCAACAACTTTAAAATACCTCTTAAATTTTTTATTTGACTTTATATTTTGACCAGCTTAGGTTCATAGAAAAATTGAGCAGAAGGTACAGAGATACCCCGTCTACCCCTGCAGCCACACATGCTCAGCATCTCCCAATGTCAATATTCCTCACCAAGTGGTACATTTGTTGCAATCAATGAACCCGCATTGGCACATCATTATCACCCAGAGTCCCTAGTTTACATTAAGGCTTACTGTTGATGGGCAATCTCTGGGTTTGGGCAAAGGTACTATGGCATGTATCCACCATTACAGTATCATAAAAAGTATTTTCACTGCCCTAAAAATCCTCTGCACTCTGCCTATTCATCCCTCCCTCCCCTAACCTTTAGCAACCACTGTGACCTTCTCCAGACTGTTATACTATTGAAATTGTACAGTATATAGCTGTACAATTTCACATTGTCTTCTTTCCCTTAGTAATATGCATTTAAATTTCCTTCATGTCTTTTCATGAAAATACATTTTTCTTTCTCCCCCTCACTCCTTCTGTTCTCCACCTTCTTTTCTTTGTTTGTATTATCTGGCTGTTACACAGGTGCTAAATAGAGAGCTGATAAGATAGTGGTCCCACTCCCTAATGGTTTTTTTTAGTAACAACTACACTTGCCAATGACTGTGTTCAAGTTTTCTGAAATCTAAGGGAGAAGGAAATTACAGAATGGATTTTATCCACTGGGTCAAGTGAAATTAATGCAGCAGCAACTGACTCATTTATTCTTCCATAATTAAGTAAATAGAATTTACCCATGGGTGCAAGTCTGAAGACTTGATACACCAATCAAACCAGTAATTGTGAAATTATGTATGTACTTTGCTACTATTTTGTTGTAAGTACATTTCATTCTTTCTCTTGATTCAACTCAAAAATAAAGAAATAAAAGACCAAATGTTTGGATTTGCCACAGCTGTAAACTTCTCACTGCGGAAGGGGGTAGTAGAGCATTTTTTCACAAAGAGCTTCATCACCTGAGACATCAAGAAGAAACTGGATTCCTAGACAATTGCATCCAAATGAGATTACCTAGATAATCAGAAATTACATAATGTACATTTTGTATCCTGTTGCATATTAAATGTACATATACAACCAATGTTGGTCTCTTAGTTTGACAAACATACCGTGGATAGGTAAGATGCTAACATTAGGAGAAGCTGGATGAAGAGTATAGGAGACCTCCATGCATTATCTTTGTGACTTCTCTGCAAATCTAAAATTGAGAGTTTAAATAATACAGTTTCATAGGTAAGCTCAATTTGATTCGTCAGCTGTTGAGAGAACGTACCTCAGTGTTGTTGAAATTGGGTGTTTGGTGACTCCAGCCCTTCAGAGGTTAATGGTGAACACTGAAGTCAGAGAAAAGGTCTTTGAGCAGTTAATAGCTTTTGTAAACTTCTCATATATAAGGCAGAACTATCTTCAGGCCTGCTGGCAGCAGGTGTGCATGAAAATACTGAAAAACTGGAAACTGCTGAGAAACATGGACTACAGCAAGCAGGAAAGGAAACTACGAAAGGAGGCTACCAAAAAGTGCACAGCTGTTTGGGGGACATTTGGTATAGCGGAGAACGATTCTATACACTTTAAGAAGTGAGGCTGAATTGTAACACATATCTCAATGGAGGGCATTCATAATGATGTTCTTGGATGACAAAGAAAGGTTCAAGCTATTTTTGGCTTAAGCAGGAAATACTGCTTAAAATTTCTGCTCTTTTCTGCTCGGACACCTTCAGAAATGCAATGCAGATGGGAGAGAATGGGCTTTGCAGTTGACATCCCAGCCCATCTGACCTTGGGCAAATTCCTTAGTCTTTTGAGTCTTAGTCTCTCCATCTATTAAATAAAAATAATGATACATATCCTGTAAAGATTGCTGTGAAGATGCCATATTAGAATCTTTATAAAACAGCTAGCAAAAGCCTGGCACTCAGCAGGTGTGAAAGGTTCAGGGAGATAAAAAATGCACTATCTGAGATTAAGTCCAGCTGCTCAGATCACCTCTCTGGCTGCAGCACTTTAAGCCCCCCTCTGCATTCTGTCTCTGAGGACAGGATGGATCTATGTGGGTCAGGTCAATGACATTGACAGGTCACAGTGATCAGGATGAAAATTATCTGGTGAAAAGCCAATAGGTTATTAAAAGCTCTGGCATCTTTGTGGTCCTGCCTTTTAGGCTTGACTTTGTGTCATCTTCCCTCTGCCTCCTTTCTCCCTCCTGGAGACCCCATGAGGCTAGTAGAGTAGACAGGTCTGGGGCCCCCACTGGCCTCCAGCTCCAAGAAGGTTGCTCAGGCCAGCTCTGCTCTGAACCTTCAAGAGAAGCACTTTTTCAGTAGACAGAGTTTTCTTTTGAGTAATCTTTCCTGATTTTTCTTACCATAAAAGTAATAACCTCTAGAGGGCCAAGATCAGAGGTAAGGAAGCTATTAGCCTGGTCTCAACCTAGGCCCACTGGGCCTGCCTATTCTGGAAAAGAGATTCTTCTGCTCCATGAGGTCCATCCTCATCCAGGGCCAAAGGTCCCAGCTGGTCATCTGCACAGCTCCCAGAATCCTCAGTGTAGGCAGCTAGTGGAGGGTTCTCTCATGACTAAGGGTCCTTTAGGCCCCTCCTACCTGCAGTCATTACTTGACTCCCTAGAGGGTAATCTTTTACCTGCTCTGGCTTTTACGACCAGTCCATATCCCTGGTCTGGGCTGAGCCCTGGCTTCTCAGTGTCCCCATCCCCATACTGTCCTCTAAGCCATGCCTCCAAGGACCTGATATTGGCCTATTGCTTTGTGTCTGTTTCAGTTCCCTGGTGAGAAAAGCATACCCTACATCATAGAAAAGTCTCTGTTCAAAAGGACTCAAAGACAAGAAATGATGCTCAAACAAGAAGGTACCAGGTATCATTAAAAATCATAAGTATGGGCCAGGGATACAGTGGCTCATGCCTGTAATCCCAGCACTTTGGGAGGCTGAGGTGGGTGGATCATGAGGTCAGGAGTATGAGACCAACCTGGCCAACATAGTGAAACCCCATCTCTACTAAAAATAAAAAAATTAGCCGGGCATGGTGGCATGAACCTGTAGTCCCAGCTACTTGGGAAGCTGAGGCAAGAGAGTTGCTTGAACCAGAGAGGGAGAGGTTGTGGTGAGCCAAGATCATGCCACTGCACTCCAGCCTGGGCAACAGAGTGAGACTCCATCTCAAAAAAGAAAATCATAAATATGAGCTGTCATGTGAATCAAGACATAAATGATGACAGTAGTCACGCATATTTTTTCTGACTGTCCTTGCATGAGTTGGAGATTTAGAAAACAGAACTTTTTGAATTTGGCCTGTTTTCCTTGAAAGTGCCCATCTCATTCTAGCTCTTGCCTGGCTATTGATTTCCTGAGGCCCTGCTCATATGTCCCCACCTGCCTCATCCTGGGACTTAGATCTGAGGAGATCAGCCACTTCCCCACACACTTAAAACCAATTTGCGGCTGCCGGGCCCTCATTTGTGATCACAAATGTACTGTGTCCTTTCAAGTCTAAAAATAGGGTAATAATAACCCATAAGATTTTGTTGATAGCCAGTGTCCTGGTTTGAACTACTTATAAAACAGAAGGCAACATCCAAACAAACTGAGCCATGAAGTTGTGGGTCTCATCTCCTAAGGAACTGGTGACATTCAGCTCATCTCCTTTCTTGGAAGGAGGGACAGGTTCCCTCACGTCCTCCCCTCTCCCCTGTCAGTTCTCTTCCCATAGTTTAGTGGCTTCCTTACTCCTGACAGCCCCTTTCATTTGCCCCTTTCCTATCAGGTTCACCCTTCATGGTGTGACCTGTCCTCCCCTCCAAACGGTTGTTGAGCACTTTGGCCCCCAAGGGTACTCTTGCCAACATCCCAACATCTACCTCGCATTAATCAGAACCAGACTAGGCATGGTAACTAGTCCGGAAGGGGAGAGTGAATAGACATTTTTTTTTCATTTTCTCTTGAGGCCTAGTGTGGATAAATGATGCAGGAAGATGAGAATTCTGTCTCAGCCAAGCAGTGGGCAATTGTCAGTGCACATCGGAAAGGTGAACCCAATGAAAGGCTTTGGGACATCAAGCCCCACAAGCGAAATATGAACCTATAGGAGAAACTAACTAGAAACATGAAGAAATCACTGTGTACAGTTCAGATGCTAAAAAATAGGGCAAACCAAGGGGAGAACACATTTGTCTTCAGCATTCCTTTCTTCACCTTCCTCCATGCCTTCTTTACCAGGGCTCGAGCCCCTGCTTGGCTCTATTCCACTTGCCTGAAAGCTGGTCCCATAAGCTCGTTCTCACTATGGGAATAGAGAACCCCAAACATTTGGTAGTGCTTGAATCAGAGGAATGATTAATGGAGAATTGAAAAGATCCTTAGTGTTTATTTATTTAAATTGAACATGGCCCAGGGAGATGGAGAGTGGGACTTAGTTACTGCAGGCTGACTGCTGTTGGTTTATTCTGTGTACCTAGTTGGCCCAAAGAAAGGGGGCAGCCTAGACACTTGCAGAGACATTCTGGGCTGCCAAATCATGAGGGTGAGACTCTCTGAATCCTTAACCATCTTCTTTTCATCTTCAGATGCTTAGATGCCTGAATAAAGGCAAGGTTCGACATGGTGGAGATACCATCATGGCTAAGACTCTTCTCTGTCCTTGAGGATCTCATGGTCGAGCAGGAAGCAGACAGAGAGGTTCATTTTCTATGAATGGTTCAGCAGGACTAGCTCAAGATAGGACAATCATGGGAAGAATAGAAAGGGAGACAACCAGATGGAAAAGGACTATCGGAGGGTCCTCTTCTCCAAGTTATCCTGAGCCTGGCTCAAGAAGTCATAAGTCCTGCCCATCTGAGCCTCCAGAGCTCCACCCAGGTGGGAGGATGGAATAGGGCAGAAACCCAGCTGGTCCCCTTCACCTTTCTTGGGGAAGCATTCTTTTGGGAACGTCACCTTCCCTTCCCACAAGTCCCCCCTGCCTTTTCAGTACATAATCCTTAGGCTTCCTGGCCCTAAGGCCTGCTGTGATTCTGTTGAAGGCCAATTGACCCTCTCCTCGACACTTGAACTAGAATTCTTTAGGGAGACACCAGGGCATTTTATCAGAATGTTCTATACAAAGGCTGAGCAACAACTGTGTTTGGGTAACATTACCAGGCTGTCAGCACCAGCCAAATGCTTGGTCTATGGTGGCCAGAATTTGGAAGATGGATAAATCCATCATGCCTCCCTCCTTTGTCTACATTGGCCTCTGGACAAAATGCAAGATCCTGCAGTTCCTTGAACTGTTATCCTACAAATACTCCATGCTTTCTTCTTGATTCTTCCTTTCACTATCACTACTGACCTTCCTTTCATGTGCCTTTGGAAACATTTATTTATGGGGATCAAACTCTTCTGCATCCGCTACTTGATTTGCACAAAACTTCCTCTCCTTTCTTAGCTAAAACCTGGCTCTCTCCCAGGGACTACTTTTTGCTGTCCATTTAGGGGAAGATGGCTCCTCTGCCTCCCCCATTTGCTGCCTCAACACTCTCAAGCAAACCCCTCCTCCTTTCAGACTTGTGGCATTTGATCTGGCTCTCTGGGACTCATTGAGGTCATCTGTAGATTATCCACTCATTTCCTTCCAGTCATTGAGGACTTTGTCTTCTGGCTCACACTTTTCCTTTCCCCCTAAATTCTACCATCATCACAGGGAACTGCCACATCACATGTCTAAATAGCTTTGTAGACAACCCATTCAGCATCCTAGCATCCAGGTTTCCGACGTCCTCAGTCCCAGCAGTCTTTCCCGTACAGTTTTAGTAGCCTGCCTTCAGGACACACTGGAGAACTTCCATCCCTCTTCCCTCCTTCACTCCTTCCCTCTTCCCTCTCATCTCCCTCTCTCCCTCCTTTCTTTCCTTTCTTCCTGCCTTCCCAGATTTATTGAAAGTCTCTGCTGAGCACTGTGATCAGCATAAAACTCCAACAGCAGGAGACAAAAAGGCAAACTCATAGGTGTATCCAAGTGTTCTTGGTCTGGGATAGTAGCCCCTCAGTTGTTCTTCCTCATCTGTGTGGAGCCAGAGTGCCCACCCAAGTTCTAGCGTTCTTGTCCTCCCCTGCCCTCTCTATTATACTCACTTCCTGGTGCTATTATCTGGTCTGAAGGCTTTACGTATCACCTTATACTAACACCTCCCAAATTTGCATTTCCAGCCTGAACCTGTTCCCTAAGCTCCAGTCTTGTATGTACAATGGATGGCTTGACATCACCACATAACATATCTCAAAACAAATTCTTCATTCTCAACTTTCCCGTTTACCTCCCCATACCTCCAATGTGCTCCTCCTCCAGGTTTCAGCTCAGTAAAATGGCAACTCCCTCCTTCCAAGCTCAGGAGAGAACCTTGGGGTCATCCCTGTCTCCAATCCTTCTCTCACATCCACTTTCAATCCATCAGAAATCATGTCGATTCTACCTCCAAGATACATGCTGAATCTGACCACTTCTTTCCTTAGATTTACCACCTCCACCTTGCCCAAGTCACCTGCATCTCTCACTTGGATGTTTGCAGATGCCCCCTGACTGCTCTATGGCACCCATACTTGCCCTTCTGCAGTCTATTCTCAACACAGCAGTCAGAGGGATCCTGCTATGACCTGAGTCAGGTCCTCTCATTTTACTACAAATGCTCCCATGGTTTCCTGTCTCACTTGCTGCGGTGGCCTTCAGGTCATGATCAGCCCAACCCAACCTCACTGCCTTACTTCCTGCTGCTGCCTCCTCATGGCCTCACCAAGCATACTCCTGCCTCACAGCCTTTGCCCTTGCTCTTCTCTTGGGATAGGACACGCTTCCATCAGAAATTTACTCAGCTCCTCTTTCCATTCCTTCATGCTTTTACTCCAGCGTTGCCTTAGCAGGAAGGTCTGCCTTCATCACCTGATGAGACCAAACAACCAGCTGAGCCCACCTCCCAAAATGTCTCCTGCTTTATTGCTCTCCTTACCACCTATTGTTGTCTAAAATATGCACTTATTGGCTTGGTTTTGGTCTCATCCACTAGAATGCTAGCTCGATGAAGTCAGAGGCCATGTCCCCTTGATTTACAGCTGCACCTCCAGGGCCACGGACAGCAGGCACTCAGGGGATGTTTTTGAATGGCTCAGTGGATAGAAGTTAATTGGGGCACTGTAAGGAATCGTGAGGTGCAGTGGTCATCTAGATCTAAAATTCTCATTTTCAAGCCTTCCTTATCCATGGAATCCTTCATTTAAGTGAAACCAAAGAGTTGAAGGGGCAGAGGACAGTTGGGGAATCTGGAAGCCCATTCATTGGTTTCCCCTTTCATTTTGCAAGGAAGTCCCCAACATACCTTGGCTGAACCTGTAGGGTCTGAGGAGCACAATTTGAAGACCAGTGATCTAGGAGATAATATTGTGAGTTTATAGTGGTTTAGAGACTGTTTGTCCTTTGGCTATGATTTTAGACACATTATATGTGTTCTTTTACGACGTTCTCTAATTAAATACCTTTATCTCAAAAGAAGTTCACCCTCCTTCTGAGGAAATAGAATTTATTTTGTAACAGTCAACTTTATGATGTAGTTTTCTGGAACACAATGTAGTAAAAAGCAGGGACTTTTTTTGGCAAGGCATCATTAACAAGGATCAAGGAGAAATGCTTACATTTGACTTTTTGGTAATCGGTGAAGAATAAAAGAACTAGATATTCATTTTCCAACAAACATTTATGAGAGACTCTCTTGTGCCAGGTACCTGTGGGTGCTGGAGATTCCACTGAGAACAAGGATGGGAGTCATTGTTCCACGAAGCTTACATTTCAGAGGGCCAAGAAGATAGAAGACACTATATGAATACATGAATTATTTATTTTCAAATACTATTGTATTCTGTAAAGAAAGTAAATGAAGACTACGTCATAAAGACTGACTTTGGATTTGTCAAATAACCATAGACTTATTCACTGTTCATTGTCATAGAATGACATTGAACTTATTCCAGCTAATTTCCAGATCTCAAGGCTGAATAGTAAAATCCAGTGTTCGGGATGATTGTCTAGAGAAGCTGAAATATTACATTATATTCCCTATCCTCATTTTTGAGAAAGAAGGGAGTAAAAATAGGCAGGAGAGAGGAAAAAAGGAGGAAGGGAAAGATTAAGAAACTATGTTCTAGAAAAACATTTTACAGGGTAGAGAAAATCTCATCAACCAAAGCATGCCCCTACTAAAGAATTCCAGCTAGTCAAAAATTCACTGTCCATATTAAAGCTGTGTCTTATTGCTTTGACTATTTAGCTAGAAAAACTAGGAAATAGTGTTTATATTTAGAGTCTTTACTTTTTTTTTTTTTTTTTTTTGAGACAGGGTCTTGCTCTGCTACCCAGGCTGGTGTGTGGTGGTAAGATCATAGCTCACTAGAACCTCGAACCCCTGGGCTCAAATCAGTTCAGCCTCAAATCCTTCCACTTCAGCCTCCCAAGTAGTTGGAATTACAGGTATGACCCACCATGCCTGGCTAATTTTTAAAACATTTTTTGTAGCAACGAAGTCTTGCTATGTTGCCCAGGCTGGTCCTGAAATCCTGGTCTCAAACATTCATTCCACCTGGGGCCTCCCAAAGTGCTGGGATTACAGATGTGAGCCACTGTGCCCAGCTATTTATTGTATTTATTTTTCCTGATTTTAAAAACATTACCTTCCCTTTTTAATAGAGGAAATTCCACAGTGGTTTTTATAAATATTGTTTTGAATTCAAGTATATATCATTCCATAATCTAGTTCCTTTTGGATTCACAAATGACATCCTTATCATCTGTGGTCTTTATATAACTGGGAATATGTCTGTAAAAATGACATATTTGTAAAAATTACAAAATATTTTAGATCAAAGTGATCCAATTTATTTCAAATGGATTGAAATTATCAGTGACTTTAAAAAGAGTTCTGGGTACATCCTGGACCATATAAATTGCTTTGATTTTTCTGGATTGGCTAATAAGAGGAAAATGCTTCCTTCTCAGAGGAAATCCAATCATAGCACATGTGACCCAGGCAGGCCCCACAGGATTTCGATGCTATCTTCTTCCCATCCGTAAATACAGTTTTTAAAGTCAGGGATAAGGACATAAGCCTGAGCTTTAGGTGAAATTGAGGCTTCTCTAAAGCAAATTTCTATCATATTGGAGTCCATGATGAACACCAAGTAGTTTCTGGAATGTTCCTGATGTGGTGGCAGCAGTCTAGGCAGATATAAAATCAGAACAGTGTGACTAGTAAAATGCAGAGTTTTAAAATGTGGTTCCAGTGGAGATGCCTGAATGATGGTTGGGATTTGGTTCATCCTCTCCTCTACCATCAGACACTCACATAATAAACACCATACTATAAAGAACTCTGCTTTGATCTCATTGTATGTTGACATTTTTTGTATATTTTACCAAAAAAAAAAAAAAGTAGACAGATTACACTGTTAGAATACAGAACCCTCTCCTGGAGCAATCAGAACACCTCTATCTAGTATAGCTGTACGTTGGCAAGAAGAGTAAACTGTTATCTCCACAAAGAAGCTAAGTCTTGGTCATGGGGAATGGGCTTAGAGCTTCCCCACTGAGTCCACACCTGGGACAATAATAAAAATAAGAAGACAATGGCAACAATTGATGCCAACACCTATCGTGCATTGAGTGCTTGCTCTGTGCTAGGCATTAAGGTATTATGCTTAGCACATTACTGGATTATCTCCATGTATTCTTCCTCAAACCTGTGAGGTCAGTACTATTGTTATTCTGAAGTTTAAGATGAGGAAACTCAGAGTTAAACTATGTGTCTTGCCCAAGGTCATTTAGGACTCCTAAGTGACTGATATTTGAAACATAGTCTATCTGATTGCAGAGCCCAAGTCCTTAACCACTAACCTCTACACAGTCCAAGGTCAATGAATGTAACTGTCATGAGCAGTAGGGGTTGGGTTAACTGCCCGATTCAGAGTCAGAAATATCAGGTCTGCTAAGAAGACAGTGGACAAAGAATACAGCAATTTCGAATGTACTCATCAATTCATTAATGATCATTTTTACATGCTTGCTATTTGTTCAGCTAAGCTATCTCCTCTCATGAGCTCTTTAACTCATTCAGCAAACATTTGCTGAGTGCTTTATCCTGGGGATAAAAAGATAAGCAAGTCCCTGTCCCCAGAAGCTCCAGCCTAGTAGAGAAGTTGTGCTGATAGATATCAAAGAAAATCGTCACTAACCCAAGCAAACAAAGGAACAAATCAAACCCCACCAACCCTGGGGGCTAGTTTCTTTTGGATTCTTTGGACTGCTCCCTTACCACTTACAGAGCCTGGTGTGAGAGGGAGCTTGCCTACGCCTGTGTGAGGGAAACGGATTTCTAAGCTCCTGTTGTTGATGTGTGCTGCCAAATGGTGCAGATCTGCAGGAGACGGCACTTTATTATTTGTTAGCGAGTTGTGGTTATTCAAAGATAGACCCAGATCTTAGTTAGTGGAGGGAATGAAGACTGAAGCTGCTCTACACGAGTACTTAGCAGGAATTGGAGTTGGCAAGTGGAAAGAAGACAGGCATGTATTGACGGGCTTCCAGGTGAGACAAGCTCTGAGACAGCACAGAAATTTAAGGGGTTCTCTGGAGGGATAGAGCTGAAGGCAGGCAAAGGTTGATAGAATTTTTAGGACACTATTATTTCACACATGCTTTTAAATTACTTCCTGTATTATAATTGACTGCAATTGAATTTTTTCTCCCCGAATCTTTAGTAAATGTCTGACATGCTGGTGTTTCTTGAGGGAAGGATTGGGAAGAGCTGCTTTGAGCACCCAGGAAGCAGCAGGGAAGATGAATGCAGAAATGAGACCTGCAGCCCACATGTGGTCACAGAAACCTTGTAGAGGGGGGCTCAACTTGCCAGGCTACGATGGTGATAAGGTGTGTGGGGAGGACCAGGAGTCAGGCCAGAGCTGAGAGGGCGGAGTCACCTGCTGAAGCAGAAGCACTTCTGAAGTCTAGTTGACTGAGGTTACTCTAGAGACAACTTGGGGCAGAGGAGGCAATTTGAGCTGTAAACTAGGATCTGTGAAGCATCTGGCATGTGCCCGGCACATCAGTCACAGCAAAGTGGGAGAGAGGAACACAGATGCAGACCATTTCAGTGGGATCCAATAAGTGCAGAGAGCACAAAGGGGGTCCTTCAACAACTGCGAGGGCTCCCTGGATGAGACTGTGCCTAGGTTGGGCCTTGAAGGATGAGCCAGAGTAGCCCAACAGAGAAAAGGGGCAGAAGCATCCAGGCAAATGGAAGAGAGAAACAGAGCTACACGGGTGAGGAATAGCAAGGACTGTGGGAGGAATAGCCAGGAGCACTGCAGGGTTGAGAGTCAGCAGGGCTGTGGGAGAGATGGGAGGAGTGGGTAGAGGCCAGGTCATGGCAGGAAGGTGTGTCCTGGGGAGGTTGGCCTTCTCTCAGGCTCTGTCCCTGAACTCCCTGTAAGATGTTAAGAGCAGGACTGGGAATCTGCTACCCGGAATGCTGAGGATCATTTCCCTGTTTCTCTCTCTGGTTCTCTGCAAGTGTCCATTCCACTCTCTCCCACGATATCTGCATTCTCTGGTGTGCATTACATGCAGAAGGCAGAAGATTGCCAGCTAAATCTCTGTGTTTTTACCTTGGTCTCACCATCTGGCCATTGCTTGTCTCCTTTCCTCTTCTCCCCTCTCTCTGCTTCTCCTTTTCCTCATTCTCTTCCTCTTTTTCTCCTCCCTTCTCCTCCTCTTCTTTTTCTTCTTCTTCTTCTTCCTCCTCTTCTTCTTCTACGTCTTCTTCTTCTTCCTCTTCTTCTTCTCCTTCTCCTCCTCCCCTTCCTCCTCCTCCTCCTTCTCCTTCCTGTTCCTCTTCTGTCATTCTCTCTCCTTTCCTCCCCTCAACCCCACCCCACACCCTCCCTGGGAATAGGCTCTGATTGATTCTCTGTGGGTCAAATGGACATCTGTAGTCCAGTCGACCAGGCCCAGGGTGCAGGGTCATGACTGCCTCTGCCATGCGGTTGATGAGCATGACTGCCAGGAGCCCACTTCTTGTGAATGAATGTAGGGTGGGAAGTTAAGAGGGTGTCGCAAACTGGGCAAACTCCCCAGAGCAATCTCTTCTGGAAAGGGCTGTCTCTGTTACTCCTTTGTATCTGCACATTTCATATAGTGCTGAGCACCTCTGTGTGATTCTTAGAAGCTGCAGACTGGTTGATCGATTGCAGAAGCATCTTCACATCAGGAAAGAAAACCTACCAGAGCAAGGATAATAAAATCAGTTACAAGGCAGTATTTGAGGACCACGATTTCTCAGCATCCTCAGGTAGCCCTGGACACAGAGCAGGCTAATCGATGGATGGTCTCAATACTGCAGCTCCAGTGTTTTTCTGTCTTCATCCCTCCTGTTTTCCTGCCCTTTTACTTTCTACAGTTCAGAGTACAAACCTCCATTCTTCATTAGCACTTCACTCTGTCCCTTCCAGTCTCCCCATATCAGGGTCCTAGAGGGAAAGAAGAAAAGCAAGCAGTGGGCAGCACCACAAGACCTTAATCTGGTTTTGGCCTCAGCGCAATCTACCTCTGTGACCTTGGGCCAATTATTTGATCTCTCATAGCTTTTATTTTCTCAGCTATTAAAAAAAAAAGAGGCTATGATGGTTTGCAGTTGTTTCCAGGAGCCTTAGGAATCTGCAGAAGTGTTTGATGGGCAGCCACAGGTAGGAAGGTTCATGAGAGACTCATTCCTAACTTCAACTGACAGGGCACCTAAGATTTTACAGTAACAGGTTTAAGATTGAGAGCTCTACTGCAAAACAGGACCAGTGGATCTCTAAGGCTCTTTTTTAATATTCCTTAAGAATTTTGTTAGGCAGCAAGGAAAGTGTTAAAAGAAGCCTTTAAAAGAGAATGGTCTGCTTTTCTCTCATATAAAAGAAATATGGAGTTCAGGGTCAGGCTGGCTGCCCCATAATATCAGCAATGACCCTGGCCTCCCTCTTCCTTCTTAATCCACCATCTTTAGCCCTGGCTTAGCATTGGCTACTGGCTTCCATTCTCACACTTGCTATATATACATACATATTTTTGAGACAGGGCCTCGCTGTATTGTCCAGGCTGGAATACAGTGGTATTATCTCAGCTCACTGCAGCCTCTGCCTCCTGGGTTCAAGTGATTCTTTTGCCTCAGCTTCCCGAGTAGCTGGGACTAAAGGCATGAGCCACCAGGCCCGGCTAATTTTTGTATTTTTAGTAGAGTTGGGGTTTCACCATGTTGGCCAGGCTTGTCTTAAACTCCTGACCTCACGTGATCTGCCCACCTTGGCCTCCCAAAGTGCTGGGATTACAGGCGTGAGCCACTGTGCCCGGCCACCATGCTTGCTATATATTTACTGAACACTTATCTATATGTGCTTGAATGCCCACATACACAAAAATCCAGAGATCTCCAGGAATTTCTCCAAGCACCCTGTCCGTGAAGTTTTCTATAGGCAGAGTGAGAAATTCTCACCCCGGGGTACTTTCCTACTTTGTTTATATCTGTCAAGCATTATGTTTAGCACATTGTGTTATATGTCATCTCTCATGTGTCACGTGGACCTGGGCTCCATGACAGTGATACCGTGTCTCACTCCTCTTTGGGTTCCTGGTGCCTAACCCTGTGCTCAGCATCCAGCAGACATGGCTGGGTGGACGGGTGAGTGAACGGATGAGTCAATGCATCATTCCGTCTTCAACGTCCCACAGCCCGTCTCTAACAAATGAGAATTGGATTATTTGGTCACATTGGTTCCCAAGGAGGAACAGGACACAGCCGATTATCTATGGGTCTGGAGCTCCAGGAGAGGTCTGAGCTGGAGATCGATTTGGGAATCCTTGACTATATGTGCAAGTTAATTTCTGGGGCAGACTGAGATCACAGAGTGGGCCAATGGAGGAAGGGAAGGCTAGGGAACGCCTCTAGAAGTGAGTAGAGGCTGGGTGAGGTGGCTCACGCCTGTAATCCCAGAACTTTCGGAGGCTGAGGGAGGTGGATCACTTGAGATCAGGAGTTCGAGACCAGCCTGACCAACATGGTAAAACCCCGTCTCTACTAAAAATACAAAAATTAGCTGGGTGTGGTGGAGCACACCTGTAGCCCCAGCTACTCAGGAGGCTGAGGCAGGAGAATCACTTGAACCCGGGAGGCAGAGGTTGCAGTAAACCGAGATCGTGCCACTGCACTCCAGCCTGGCAACAGAGCAAGACTCCATCTCGGAAAAAAAAAAAAAAGTGAGTAGAAAAAGAGGATGATGCAAAGGAGGCTGAGAAGGAATGGAAAAATTGGAAGAGAACTGAGGCAGGAGAGGGCTTCAGAAGGCATCATGAGCAACAGCATCAGAGGCTGTGATGAGGGCAATGGGTCCACCTGCTCTTCCCTGCCCTGCCCTCCTGACCGGCTTCGAGAGCTAAAAGACACCAGCTGCACCCAGACACTGCTCCTCATGCTCAGCACCCGGAAGGAGCACATTTCCCAGAAGGCCAGAGATATCTATTCCCCCCACACAGCCACATTCAACTGTCACAACCACACCTCCTCCATTATAAGGTAATTTTGTATATAGCAAAAGAAATTACAACTAAAATATATAAATATATGTAAGGCATGGAAGGCACTCTTGCTTCCATGCTGGTGTAACCTCTTGGTTACACCAGTGTTAACCAAGTGTATGCCAAGAAGCACTGATTATAGGGATTGTTAATAAATATGCTGAGAAAAACAAAACAAAACAAGAGTCTTGTGGTTAAGTGAGAACCAGGAAGTCAGAAGCAGCTGGCTGAGCCAAGGGCTGGAAGATAGAAGCTCATAATCAAGAGCAGAAGAAGAAACTCTGGGATGCAGCCTCAGAGCATTAGAGCAGAACAGCAGCCCACAGTATAAAAACCACGACAGAGAGAAATAAGATGCTAAGAGAGCACTGGGGAGGGAGAGATGATTCACACCAGGGAGACGTAGGGCCGTTTCCCAGGTCTGCAAGCATGCCTAGCATACATTCATATGGCGTGAATGACTTAGAGGGGATTTGAGCTGCACTTGGAAGAATGGCAGATAGGAAGGTGGGAAGGTCATTCTGGGCAGAAGAAAACATTTGAACAATAGCTTGGAGTGTGGGGTTAGTTGTGGCCGCCAGTAGTTGGAAGTGGGAGTGTGAGGCTTTAGTCCTTGCACTCTCAGCCTCTCCCCAGGGAAGGAAGAACTACTTTTAGGCTTGTGCTGTTTCAGGGTGCAGCCCTGGAATGAAACTGGACCTGCTTCCCATATCAATGCCAGCTTTTGACTGAGAGTGGGCTGAGTCCTGGGCCAGGCAGCCCAAATTCCCACCTGGACAAAGCAGACACCCAAACTCTCCTGGCCCGGGCCACCTGCATGGGGCCTGCTGGGCAGAGCTCGGAAACTGTGTCTCCATTGCTCTCAGCTCAGACTGTCTCCATTACGTTAAGCTGCAGGCCCCCAGGCAGGGCCCCCGCTGCTTTGTCCCTGGCTGCTCCTCTGAGCCAAGAACGACAGTGATGCCAGTGTCTCCACTGCTGCAAAGGTTCTCATTTTGTTCTGAAGGACAGTACCCCCAACGACTGGCTGTGCGCTCTGTCACCTATCGGATGTCTTCCGCTCAGTCCACACTGCCAGGTCAAGGGAGCAGGAGCTGCTGTGTCCTTGGTTTACAAGACTTGAGAGCTCTTCAGTAGGAGGGAGTGTATGAAAAATACATAGTAAGGATGCCTAAGGAGAGTGCAGAAGCCCAGCACTGAGCGTCCTGGAAAGACTTCAAATAAATCTGCACATTCAACATAAAAAATAAAACAAAAATAGACAGCTTTTCTCCAGTTCCATAGTCACCTGTGAGAGACTGATGAAGGCTAGGAGACATTCATTAAAGAGTGAGAATCATTTTCTGGGTTCCTTCAGTGGTTAATCTTTCACTTTTTGGCAGTTTCTAAGTTCATAACAGTTTTTATGTCTATGAAATCAATTACCTCAGTCTGCAAGTCCCCGTGCACTTATTGTGAAATATAATGAAAGCGTTGATAAAGGTGTTCAGAGAAGATGAATACATCTGGTGAAATACAAATCTAGAGAAATAGGTTGGTGAACTCCTCCATCCCAGTTACTCCTTCCAGTGAGTGAATACTGCTCACGAGAGTGAATAGGTATTTCAGCAGCAAGACAAGAAGATTTCCCAGGCTGCAGTCTTGGCTCTGCTATCTATCTGATGATCATTATAGGTTGACCTATCTAACTCAGTTTCCTCATATGTCCAATGAAGACAATCACATATGCCTTAAGAGTAGTTGTGAAGATTCAGTGATATAATGGCTGTAAAGCACTTAGCACAGTGCCTGGCACAACTTATAACTCAATAACAAGAAGACAAGGAATCTAATTTTAAAATGACAAAACAGTCTGGGCAACATGGTGAAACCCCAACTGTACAAAAAAAATGCAAAAATTGGCTGGGCGTGGTGGCAAGTGGCTGTAGTCCCAGCTACTCAGGATGCTGAGGTGGAAGGATGCTTTGAGCCTGGGAGGTTGAGGCTGCAGTGAGCCAAGATTGCACCACTGCACTCCAGTCTGGGAGACAGAGTAAGACTCAGTGTCAAAAAAAAAAAAAAAAAAAAAAAAAGAAAGACTGGAATGGACATTTCACCGAAGCTACATGAAACTCTAATAGGTGCACAACAGATGTTTAACATTATTGGTTATTAGAAAAATGGAAACTGAAACCACATTAAATACCACTTTCTGCTCACTTTAAAGTCTATAATTTTAAAAATAGACAATAACGAGAGCTGGAGAGGATGTGGAGAAACTGGAACCTCCCTACATTGTTGGTGGGAATGTAAAATGGTATAGCCACCTAGGAAAGCAATTGGGAAGTTTCTTTAAAAGGTTAAGCAGAATTGCCAGCAGCATTTCCACTCCTAGTTATCTGGCCAAAAGAAATGAAAGGATATGTCCACACAAAGACATATGTTCATGACAGCATTATTCATAATAGCCACAAATTGCAAACAATCCAAATGTCCATCACTCAGTGACTGGATAAACAAAGTGTGGTAATTCATATAATGAAATATTACTCAGCAATTAAAAAGAGCAAACTACTGATACATACTACCGCATGCATGGACCTCAAAAAGATTTTGCCAAGTGAAATAAGCCAGAAATTCATTTACGTAGCATTTCTGGGAAATACAAATCTATAAAACAGAAAGCAGATCAGTGTTTGCCTGTGGCAGGTGGGTGAGACTGGAAATTCTAAGTGGACACGAGGCAGTTTTGAGGCTGATGGAAATGTTCTAAAACTGGATTTTAGTTATGGATGCACAACTCTTTAAATTTACTAAAAGTCACTGAATTAAACACTAAGATAGGCAACTTTTACAGCATATAAATTATACTTCCACATAACACTTTAAAAATTGTTACAAAGATTATATGGCAACTCAAAGAAATTGTGTGATATGTTAAGTAAAAGCAAAAAGTTAAGACAAAATACAGCAAAACCCGTAAGTATTTAAAATACAAAGTACATAAATGATTACAACCATGAATGAATCAGAATAAAGATGAGGGCTGGGTGCAAGGGCTCATGCCTGTAATCCCAGTACCTCGGGAGGCTGAGGTAGGAGGATCGCTTGAAGCCAGGAGTTTAAGACCAGCCTGGGCAACAAAGTGAGACACTGTCTCTATAAAAAAATTTTTTTAAATTTAGGCAGTCACGGTGGTTCATACCTGTAATCCCAGCACTTTGGGAGGCTGAGGCGAGAGGGAGGATTGCTTGAGCCCTGGAGTTTGAGGCTGCAGTGAATCATGATTGAGCCACTGCACTGCATTCCGGCCTGGGCAATAGAGCAAGAACTTGTCTCTTAAAAAAAAAAAAAAGAAAAAAGAAGAAGAATAAAAATGAAAGAACAATGGAGCCATAAAAGTTGCCATATCAGTAAAATGGAGAAATTTTTTGGTCTTTTAACAAAATATTATTTAATCATTTTATTATATTAAAAAAGATATACTGAGGCAGATTTTTTTTGTGTGTTCTGTCTTCTAGCTTGCAGGAAGTGGAGAAGGAGATAATTGCAGGTCCTTGTTTTTGAGTTCTTTTCTTCTACATTGCTAGAGAGCTTTACAGACATTAGCTCATTAATCCCCAACAATTCTTGAAGCAGACAGAGAATAATATCAGATCCCCACCTTGCTTATTCCAGCTCATTTAAAGGCATGTTGTTTTTGAATTTATTATGAGGATTTTATATGAAGGAGTTATAATCCTATTTTATGTATATACATTGTCATATATATATACACACACACCAAAAGAAATGGATTACACTTTAACTACCTCCTCTGAACTAGGTTATTTCTCCCCCTCTCCTATTGTTTTCTTAGCCCTTCCGAACTAAAGCTGAGGGGTCATGTTACCTTAGCCTCCAAACAACAAAAAAACAAACACCAAGCTTGCTAAGTGCCTCTGTTGGGCTGAAATGGGAATTTCTCTTTTTGAGGTATCCTTAAGTTATCTGGACAGTAGAAACGAATGTTTGGGCAGCAGCTTATCTAGCTGATCAATGGCATTTCACTTGGCATTGGTTAGGTTCTACTTTCTCTCCCTCACAAACAGGTGAAGTCCCATGTTATGGAACAAATGATTTCTAAATAACAAATTCTGAAGAAAGCCCTTGTCACACATGCATTCCACTTGTGCTGTCCCCTTGACTACAATTCCCTGTCCTACCTTATCTGACAAGTGACCTTTCTTGATCTTTTTAGACCTAGTATTTTTTATTTTTATTTTTTATTTTTTTAGGCGGAGTCTCGCTCTGTCGCCCAGGATGGAGTGCAGTGGCACGACGTCGGCTCACTGCAAGTTCCGCCTCCTGGGTTCATGCCATTCTCCTGCCTCAGCCTCCCGAGTAGCTGGGACTACAGGCATCTGCCACTATGCCCGGCTAATTTTTTTGTATTTTTAGTAGAGACGGGGTTTCACCGTGTTAGCCAGGATGGTCTCGATCTCCTGACCTTGTGATCCACCCGCCTCAGCGTCCCAAAGTGCTGGGATTACAGGCTTGAGCTACCGCGCCCGGCCTAGACCTAGCATCTTTTATAACCATTTACCTTTTTCTCCTTTACTTTTCTTTGAGTACTCCCCTTCCCTACATCGTAGAGCATCTTCCTTCCTGTGCTCTCATGGTACAGATTTCTATTTCCGTCAGTATCACCCTGTGTTGTAAAGAACATGGGCCTATGCGCTTGTCTCCTCCTCTTAGATGTGAGTTCACTGAAGAAGAGTTAAGTCATAATCGTCTTTGAATCCCAGCACATCCTGATGATGATGATGATGATGAATGTACAGGTTTGCTAGCGCTGCTGGAACAAACACAACAGACTGGGTGGCTTAAACAACAAATTTATTTTTTCACAGTTCTGGACGCTAAAAGTTCAAGAGCGGCACATTGGCAGGACTGATTTCATTCTGAGGCCCCTCCCCTTTGCTTGTAGATGGCAGTCTTTCCCACATGTTCTTCACATGGTCTTCCGTCTGTGTGCATCTGTGTCCTCATCTCCTCTTCTTACGTGACATTGGTCAGATTGGATTAGGATCCACCCACTTGACTGCATTTCACCTTGATTACCTCTTTAAAGGCCCTATTTCCAAATCTCCAAATACAGGCACATTCTGAGGTAGTGAGGATGAGGACTTCCACATATGGAAGTAATTTGGAGGGGAGGGGGCACAATTCAGCCCATCACAGTGGTGATGAAGATGATGATAGCATCTACGATTTATTGAGTGCTAGCTATACTCTGAGCATTTGACTTTCTACCTGCTATCTCTTTTAGTCTTCGATAACCCTAGGTTACAATCAATACTATTGTCATTTTTGGTTTATAGATAAAGAAGGAAAAAAAGGAAGGCTTACAGAGGTGAAGTCACTTATCTAAGGTCAAAGAGCTGATGTGTAGTGAAAATGGGATTCAATCCCAAGCTATTTTGCTTCCAGAGCTACCCTCTAAATCACTCTACTCTACTACCTGGGACATAATAGGTACATAGAGCATGTTTGAAGAAAGAATGAGCAAGGAAATGAATGAAATAATGAATACCACAGCCACGTAACATTTAGATTCAGTTGCACCACAGACTGTTGCATAGTTCTGAAAACCTACAAAAGATATACATGTAAAAGTTTGATAGATGATTATCCTATCCTGAAAGATAAGTTTATTCTTGTCTTCTTTTTTTTTTTTTCTTTTGGGATGGAGTCTCACTCTGTCACCCAGGCTGGAGAGCAGTGGTGCAATCTCGGCTTACTGCAACCTCCACCTCCCGGGTTCAAGCGATTCTGCTGCCTCAGCCTCCTGAGTAGCTAGGATTACAGGCGCACGCCACCACACCTGGCTAATTTTTTGTATTTTTAATAGAGACAGGGTTTCACCATGTTGGCCAGGCTGGTCTCGAACTCCTGATCTCAAGTGATTCACTCACCTTGGCTTCCCAAAGTGCTTGGATTACAGGCGTGAGCCACTGTGCCCAGCCCTATTCTTGTCTTCTAATACAGGCAGGTTAGAAGGGATTCTATCAAATTTAAAATTTAGCACTTTTTGTTTAAAAAAAATAAAATGCGATTATACAATCAAAGAACATTAAAGCTGGTAGAAGTTTCACAAATCATTTGTTTCAGGCCAGGCACAGTTGTGCACACCTGTAGTCCCAGCTACTCAGGAGGCTGGGGCGGAAGGATCGCTTGAGCCCAGGAGTTCATGGCTATAGTGCGCTATGATCATGCCTGTGAATAGCCGCTGTTCTCCAGCCTGGGCAACATAGTGAGACCTCATTTCTAATAATTTTTTAAAAAGGTATAATAAATTAAAATTTTAAATAAAGAAAAAATCATCTGGTTCAAACTCCTTTTTCTACAAATGAGGAAATAAAGGCACAGTGATAGTAGCTGGCTTGCCATTACTGTATTAGACTGGTGAAACATTATTAACTATGCATTATTATTCTCATTATTTATCCTCACTGTGCTCCTAGGTGTGGAGTAATCAAATTAGGTTTTTCTTTGCCCCAAGATCATTGTAGAGTAGTTGGGGTGTTAGACAAATGAGGAGACAAGAGAAGATATTAAATCAGCAGTCCTTCAAAGCAACCCACCAAGTTCCATTTTCCTATTTGTCATTTTTCCCCACTGCAACTCACCCAAAGTAGAGAAAGGAGTATTTTATTTCATAAACTGGCTGAGAGGAGTATTCCTTAACCATGGTTAAGGAAAAGCAAAATTCTGCAAAATTCCCAGGAAGATTAAGTATGTCACGGGATGGTGACAGGGAACTGACCTGTGTTCATAGCTACACAGCTTTTGGCATCATCTGCTGGGATGCTGGGCCCTGCAAGCAGAATCTTGGAAAATCACAAATAGAGACAAAAAGAAATTGTTTAGCCCAACTTCCTCAGATGAGAAAATGAAGTTGCAGTAGGTAAAGTGACTAACTCAGGATCAATCAGCCAATTAGTGAGAATATTGGAAACAATGGGCCTCTTCCACAGATAAATTGGGCAGGTTTTGTAAAGTTTCACTCACACCCAGCAACTTCCATAAAGTCAGGCAGTGTTTTCCAAAATGTACTCTGCATACCACTAATGGTTACACAAGACCTCTTTAGCTCTTTTTAAAAAGCAAGCCAACATTTTTTTCTTTTAATAGTTATGTATTGGCCAGGTGTGGTGGCTCATGCCTGTAATCCCAGCACTTTGGGAGGCTGAGGCAGGAGGATTACTTGAGCCCAGGAGTTCAAGACCAGCCCGGGCAACATGGAGAGACCCTGTCTCTACAAAAAGTTAAAAAGTTGGCCGGGCGCGATGGCTCACGCCTGTAATCCCAGCACTTTGGGAGGCCAAAGCGGGTGGGTCACGAGGTCAAGAGATAGAAACCATCCTGACTAACATGGTGAAACCGCTACTCTACTAAAAATACAAAATTAGCCAGGCATGGTGGCTTGTGCCTGTAGTCCCAGATACTTGGGAGGCTGAGGCAGAAGAATTGCTTGAACCCATGAGGCAGAGGTTGCAGTGAGCCGAGATCGTGCTACTGCACTCCAACCTTGCGACAGAGCAAGACTCCATTAAAAAAAAAAAAAAGTTAAAAAGTTAGCCAGGTATGGTGGTGCATGCCTGTAGCTCCAGCTACTCAGGAGGCTAAGATGGGAGGATTGCTTGAGACTGGGAGATCAAGGCTGTAGTGAGCTGTGATCATGCCACTGCACTCCTGCCTGTGACAAAGCAAAACCCCTGAAGAAGGAAGGAAGGAAGGAAAGAAGGAAGAAAGGAAGGAAGGAAGGAAAGAAAGAGAGAGAGAGAGAGAAAGAAAGAAAGAAAGAAAGAAAGAAAGAAAGAAAGAAAGAAAGAAAGAAGGAAAAAAAGAAAGAAAGAGAGAAAGGGTGAGTGAAAGGGAAAGAAGGATGGAAGGAAAGAAAGAAAGACAAAGAAAAAGAGAGAGAAAGGAAAAAGAAAGAAAGAAAAAAGAAAGGGAAGGAAGGTAGGAAAGAAGGAAGGCCAGTCAGGTGCGGTGGCTCATGCCTGTAATTCCAGCACTTTGAGAGGCTGAGGCAGGCAGATTGCTTGAGTCCAGGAATTTGAGACCAGCCTGGGAAACATGGCGAAACCTCATCTCTGCAAAAAATATAAAAATTAGCTGGGCGTGGTGTCAAGCACCTGTAGTCCAGCTACTTGGGAGGCTAAGAGGCTAAGGTGGGAGGATTGCTTGAGCCTAGGAGGTCAAGGCTGCAGTGAGCTGAGATTGCACCACTGCACTCCACCTGGGCGACAGATCCAGACCCAGTCTCAAAGAAAGAAAGAAAGAAAGAAAGAAAGAAAGAAAGAAAGAAAGAAGGAAAAAGAAAGAGAGTCTTAATAACAAATTTTATACAAAAATACTCTAGGTTAAAAAAACAGTGAGTTGATTTTTTAAAATACACTCAATAAATAATATTATAGACACAATGCTATGATAATATTGCAAAAAACATGAAGCGGTAGAATGCAAAATATTAAGGTGTGGGACACACTGAACAGGGATAATTCTCTCCTTTTTATAGATTCATGAATGGGTGGTGCATGGAGAGGACATGGGATTTGCTCATGAAGAGGATGAAAATATTTTTACATATAGTTCAGGGATTTGGCCTTACACTGTAGCAACCCTATTCCACAAACACTAGGCCTGCTTGCTGTTTGACTGGTCATGGAGTTTTGATGATTTTGGGGTTGCCATCAAACAGAGCTTTCTCCTCCTTTCAATAAATATTGTAAATACATTGTGAGAACAGCAGTTGTCTTAACATTTTATTGACGTACTTACATGTTTAGTGCTGAAATGATAAATCAGAAAATCAGAAAAAAATCCCACTGCAAATGTTCTCATGGTAATCTGTCACTTATCAGATCCTGGTCTTTTTTTTTTTTTTTTTTTTTTTGAGACAGAGTCTTGCTCTGTCACCAGGCTGGAGTACAGCAGTGTGATCTCGGCTCACTGCAACCTCTGCCTCCCAGGTTCAAGCGATTCCCCTGCCCCAGCCTCCCAAGTAGCTGGGACTACAGGCTCATGCCACCACATCCAGCTAATTTTTTTGTATTTCAGTAGAGATGGGGTTTCACCATGTTGGCCAGGATGGTCTCGATCTCCTGATTTCATGATCTGCCCACCTCAGCCTCCCAAAGTGCTGGAATTACAGGCGTGAGCCACCGTGCCCGGCCAGATCCTGGTCTTTTATCTGAAAATTGGCAGATTGGACAGCAACCAGTCTACACTTGTTCTCTAGAGCTGCTGTTCTGACATGTTTACTGCGAACAAATACATTTTGTTTTTATAGGGTGAATAATATCCTGAAATGGCACCTTAGGCTTCTCATTGCCCAATTTAAGCCAGTCCAACATATCCTCAGCCTTTAATTCCTTTCTTTATTTTAAATGTCTCATTAAGTCCTCAAAATTCACAAAGTTGAGTAATGAATGAAGGTAAGGCTTTTCATGGAGATTTTCTGTGGCTGTTGTTGTTGTTCACAGAGTTCTCACCTTAAAGATTTGTATCTGGAACATTTGTAATCAACTAGCAGAGGCTTAATCCCCCTTCAGAGGAGGATCAAGCATTAATCTTCAGATTTCAAGTGTGTGGGTCCCAAACTCTGGGCCCGGAATCCTTAGTCCAGTTGCCAGAGGTCCACGGGTAATCCATGAAACCTCCCACTCTTATAGCATGTAGTAATGTTTTCTCTGAGACACTCTGTCAAAGGAGAATTCCAAAACAAGTTGGAAAGATGTGAGCCCAGCCCTGGGGCCAGAGCTCTCAGCCATGTGAGTGGTAAGCAAGACTACAGTGAATTACAAGCAATCCCTGGACCGGCTTTCAAATCTTCCCAGGGAACAGCATGTCCCAAGGTCCTTTTAAGGCAGTCTACCCTCTCTTGTGTTAAATGCAGTTAAGACATCTTCCTGGTCTTAGAAATATATCCTCCTTCTTAACTCCTGAATCAGCCTTGGTCAGAGGCCATGAGACCATAGTAACAAAGAATTTACAAGTGTTCAAACTGAATGCAGGCTGCAGTTAGGGGCACCCAGGTAAATACAGCTCCAAGCTTGAGACAGATCTTATGTGCCTGCTACGTAGCAGGCACTCATCACAATCCTTGGTGTCTCATCCTCACCTAGCCCAGCGCTCTCATTATGCCCTGGCTCCCCATACTCTCTAGTTTCACATGAGATATTCTGGTTCCCAAAGTGGAAGTTGCAGTTTTTGTCTGTTTTCTGCTCCTGGATGACTCTCCTCCTGCTCTGATCTGTAGTTCCCAACAGGCCTTTGTTCCTCCTCACCTCTTTTGTTCAACTCTCTTCACTTCTACTGTCACCTTCTTCCCATCCCCATGGCCCAAAGTGCCCCTTTCACCTCTTCTTTAACTGGACACAGGGCTTTTCAGTTAAAACACTTCAGTGCTAGCTCAGGAATTCTACACAACACACTTGAAGATCCAGTTGCTTAAAGTTGACAAGTTGACATTCTGTGTTTACCACAGAAGGAAAACTTCCATATACTTGTAGGGGATCTTAGGGCAAGCCATTTCCATTTTTTTTTTTTTTTTTGAGACAGAGTCTCACTGTGTTGCCCAGGCTGGAGTGCAGTGGCACAATCTCGGCTCACTGCAACCTCTGCCTCCCGGATTCAAGCAATTCCCCTGCCTCAGCCTCCCAAGTAGTTAGGATTACAGGCACCTGCCACCATGCCCAGCTAATTTTTGTATTTTTAGTAGAGATGGGGTTTCACCATATTGGGCAGGCTGGTCTCAAACTCCTGACTTCAAATGATCTGCTCACCTCGAATGCCCAAAGTGCTGCGATTAGAGGTGTGAGCCACTGCGCCTGGCCCAGGGCAAGCCATTTCCTAATGAATTGTGGTTGGGGATATAGCCCTTGGAGAGTATCTTTAAAAACTGTAAGAAAGCCGGGTGCGGTGGCTCACACCTGTAATCCCAGAACGTTGGGAGACTGAGGTGGGCAGATCACCTGAGGTCAGGGGTTCGAGACCAGACTGACCAAAATGGAGAAACCCCATCTCTACCAAAAATACAAAATTAGCCGAGTGTGCTGGCTCATGCCTGTAATCCCAGCTACTAGGAGGCTGGGGCAGGAGAATCGCTTGAACTCAGTAGGCGGAGTTTGCGGTGAATGGCGATTGTGCCATTGCACTCCAGCCTGGGCAACAAGAGCAAAACTCTGTCTCAAAAAAAAAAAAAAAAAGGGGTGGAGCCAAGATGGCCGAATAGGAACAGCTCCAGTCTACAGCTCCCAGTGTGAGCAACGCAGAAGATGGGTGATTTCTGCATTTCCAACTGAGGTACCATGTTCATCTCACTGGGGAGTGTCGGAAAGTGGGTGCAGTGCACCGAGCATGAGCCAAAGCATGGCAAGGCATCACCCGGTAAGCGCAAGGGGTCAGGGAATTCCCTTTCCTAGTCAAAGAAAGGGGTGACAGATGGCACCTGGAAAATCGGGTCACTCCCACCCTAACACTGCACTTTTCCAATGGTCTTAGCAAACGGCACCCCAGGAGATTATATCCCATGCCTGGCTTGGAGGATCCTACACCCACGGAGCCTTGCTCATTGCTAGCACAGCAGTCTGAGATCAAACTGCAAGGCGGCAGCAAGGCTGGGGGAGGGGTGCCCGCCATTGCCGAGGCTTGAGTAGGTAAACAAAGCGGCCGGGAAGCTCGAACTGGGTGGAGCCCACCACAGCTCAAGGAGGCCTGCCTGCCTCTGTAGACTCCACCTCTGGGGGCAGGGCATAGCCAAACAAAAGGCAGCAGAAACCTCTGCAGACTTAAATGTCCCTGTCTGACAGCTTTGAAGAGAGTAGTGGTTCTCCCAGCACGCAGCTGGAGATCTGAGAACAGACAGACTGCCTCCTCAAGTGGGTCCCTGACCCCCGAGTAGCCTAACTGGGAGGCACCCCCCAGTAGGGGCAGACTGACACCTCACACAGCCGGGTATTCCTCTGAGACAAAACTTCCAGAGGAACAACCAGGCAGCAACATTTGCTGTTCACCAATATCCACTGTTCTGCAGCCTCCACTGCTGATACCTAGGCAAACAAGGTCTGGAGTGGACCTCCAGCAAACTCCAACAGACCTGCAGCTGAGAGTCCTGACTGTTAGAAGGAAAACTAACAAACAGAAAGGACACCCACACCAAAACCCCATCTGTGCATCACCATCATCAAAGACCAAAGGTAGATAAAACCACAAAGACTGGGAAAAAACAGAGCAGAAAAACTGGAAACTCTAAAAATCAGAGTGCCCCTCCTCCTCCAAAGGAACGTAGCTCCTCACCAGCAACGGAACAAAGCTGGATGGAGAATTACTTTGACGAGTTGACAGAAGAAGGATTCAGATGATCAAACTACTCCAAGCTAAAAGAGGAAGTTCGAACCCATGGCAAAGAAGTTAAAAACCTTGAAAGAAAATTAGATGAATGGCTAACTAGAATAACCAGCGCAGAGAAGTCCTTAAAGGACCTGATGGAGCTGAAAACCAAGGCATGAGAACTACGTGATGAATGAAAAAGCCTCAGTAGCTGATTCGATCAACTGGAAGAAAGGGTATCAGTGATGGAAGATCAAATGAATGAAATGAAGCAAGAAGAGAAGTTTAGAGAAAAAAGAATAAAAAGAAATGAACAAAGCCTCCAAGAAATATGGGACTATGTAAAAAGACCAAATCTACGTCTGATTGATGTACCTGAAAGTGACGGGGAGAATGGAACCAAGTTGGAAAACACTCTGCAGGATATTATCCAGGAGAACTTCCCCAATCTGGTAAGGCAGGGCAACATTCAAATTCAGGAAATACAGAGAATGCCACAAAGATACTCCTCAAGAAGAGCAACTCCAAGACACATTTAATTGTCAGATTCACCAAAGTCGAAATGAAGGAAAAAAATGTTAAGGGCAGCCAGAGAGAAAGGTCGGGTTACCCACAAAGGGAAGCCCATCAGACTAACAGCTGATCTCTTGGCAGAAACTCTACAAGCCAGAAGAGAGTGGGGGCCAATATTCAACATTCTTAAAGAAAAGAATTTTCAACCCAGAATTTCATATCCAGCCAAACTAAGCTTCATAACTGAAGGAGAAATAAAATACTTTTCAGACAAGCAAATGCTGAGAGATTTTGTCACCACCAGTCCTGCACTAAAAGAGCTCCTGAAGGAAGCACTAAACATGGAAAGGAACAACCGGTACCAGCCACTGCAAAAACATGCCAGATTGTAAAGACCATCGAGGCTAGTAAGAAACTGCACCAACTAATGAGCAAAATAACCAGCTAACATCATAATGACAGGATCAAATTCACACATAACAATATTAACCTTAAATGTAAATGGGCTAAATGCTCCAATTAAAAGACACAGACTGGCAAAATTGGATAAGAGTCAAGACCCATCAGTGTGCTGTATTCAGGAAACCCATCTCATGTGCAGAGACACACATAGGCTCAGAATAAAGGGATGGAGGAAGATCTACCAAGCAAATGGAAAACAAAAAAAGGCAGGGGTTGCAATCCTAGTCTCTGATAAAACAGACTTTAAACCAACAAAGATCAAAAGAGACAAAGAAGGCCATTATATAATGGTAAAGGGATCAATTCAACAAGAAGAGCTAACTATCCTAAATATATAGGCACCCAATACAGGAGCACCCAGATTCATAAAGCAAGTCCTTAGAGACCTACAAAGAGACTTAGACTCCCACACAACTTTAACACGCCACTGTCAACATTAGACAGATCAATGAGACAGAAAGTTAACAAGGATATCCAGGAATTGAACTCAGCTCTGCACCAAGCGGACCTAATAGACATCTACAGAACTCTCCACTCCAAATCAACAGAATATACATTCTTTTCAGCACCACACCACACCTCCTCCAAAATTGACCACCTAGTTGGAAATAAGGCACTCCTCAGCAAATGAAAAGAACAGAAATTATAACAAACTGTCTCTCAGACCACAGTGCAATCAAACTAGAACTCAGGATTAAGAAACTCACTCAAAACCGCTCAACTACATGGAAACTGAACAACCTGCTCCTGAATGACTACTGGGTACATAACAAAATGAAGGCAGAAATAAAGATGTTCTTTGAAACCAATGAGAATAAAGGCACAACATACCAGAATCTCTGGGACACATTCAAAGCAATTTAGAGCACTAAATGCCCACAAGAGAAAGCAGGAAAGATCTAAAATTGATGCCCTAACATCACAATTAAAAGAACTAGAGAAGCAAGAGCAAACACATTCAAAAGCTAGCAGAAGGCAAGAAATAACTAAGATCAGAGCAGAACTGAAGGAAATAGAGACACAAAAAACCCTTCAAAAAAATGAATCCAGGAGCTGGTTTTTTTAAAAGATCAACAAAATTGATAGACCGCTAGCAAGACTAATAAAGAAGAAAAGAGAGAAGAATCAAATAGATGCGATAAAAAATGATAAAGGGGATATCACCACCGATCTCACAGAAATACAAACTACCATCAGAGAATACTATAAACACCTCTATGTAAATAAACTAGAAGATCTAGAAGAAATGGACAAATTCCTTGACACATACACCCTCCCAAGACTAAACCAGGAAGAAGTTGAATCTCTGAATAGACCAATAACAGGCTCTGAAATTGAGGCAATAATTAATAGCTTACCAACCAAAAAAAGTCCAGGACCAGATGGATTCACAGCCGAATTCTACCAGAGGTACACGGAGAAGCTGGTACCATTCCTTTTGAAACTATTCCAATCAATAGAAAAAGAGGGAATACTCCCTAACTCATTTTATGAGGCCAGCATCATCCTGAAACCAAAGCCTGGCAGAGACACAACCAAAAAAGAGAATTTTAGACCAATATCCCTGATGAACATTGATGCAAAAATCCTCAATAAAATACTGGCAAACCGAATCCAGCAGCACATCAAAAGGCTTATCCACCATGATCAAGTGGGCTTCATCCCTGGGATGCAAGGCTGGTTCAACATATGCAAATCAATAAATATAATCCAGCATATAAACAGAACCAAAGACAAAAACCACATGATTATCTCAATAGATGCAGAAAAGGCCTTTGACAAAATTCAACAACCTTCATGCTAAAAACTCTCAATAAATTAGGTATTGATGAGATGTATCTCAAAATAATAAGAGCTATCTATGACAAACCCACAGCCAATATCATACTGAATGGGCAAAAACTGGAAGCATTCCCTCTGAAAACTGGCACAAGACAGGGATGCCCTCTCTCACCACTCCTATTCAACATAGTGTTGGAAGTTCTGGCCAGGGCAATTAGGCAGGAGAAGGAAATAAAGGGTATTCAATTAGGAAAAGAGGAAGTCAAATTGTCCCTCTTTGCAGATGACATGATTGTATACCTAGAAAACCACATTGTCTCAGCCCAAAATCTCCTTAAGCTGATAGGCAACTTCAGCAAAGTCTCAGGATACAAAATCAATGTGCAAAAATCACAAGCATTCTTATACACCAATAACAGACAAACACAGAGCCAAATCATGAGTGAACCCTCATTCACAATTGCTTCAAAGAGAATAAAATTCCTAGGAATCCAACTTACAAGGGATGTGAAGGACCTCTTCAAGGAGAACTACAAACCACTGCTCAATGAAATTAAAGAGGATACAAACAAATGGAAGAACATTCCATGCTCATGGGTAGGAAGAATCAATATCATGAAAATGGCCATACTGCCCAAGGTAATTTATAGATTCAATGCCATCCCCATCAAGCTACCAATGACTTTCTTCACAGAATTGGAAAAAACTACTTTAAAGTTCATATGGAACCAAAAAAGAGCCTGCATTGTGAAGTCAATCCTAAGCCAAAAGAACAAAGCTGGAGGCATCATGCTACCTGACTTCAAACTATACTACAAGGCTACAGTAACCAAAACAGCATGGTACTGGTACCAAAACAGAGATATAGACCAATGGAACAGAACAGAGACCTCAGAATAATGCCACATATCTACAACTATCTGATCTTTGACAACCCTGACAAAAACAAGAAATGGAGAAAGGATTCCCTATTTAATAAATGGTGCTGGGAAAACTGGCTAGCCATATGTAGAAAGCTGAAACTGGATCCTTTCCTTACACCTTATACAAAAATTAATTCAAGATGGATTAAAGACTTAAAAGTTAGGCCTAAAACCATAAAAACCCTAGAAGAAAACCTAGGCAATACCATTCAGGACATAGGCATGGGCAAGGACTTCATGTCTAAAACACCAAAAGCAATGGCAACAAAAGCCAAAATTGACAAATGGGATCTAATTAAACTAAAGAACTTCTGCACAGCAAAAGAAACTACCATCAGAGTGAACAGGCAACCTACAGAATGGGAGAAAATTTTTGCAATCTACTCACCTGACAAAGGGCCAATATCCAGAATCTATAACGAACTCAAACAAATTTACAAGAAAAAAACAAACAACCCCATCAAAAAGTGGGCAAAAGATATGAATAGACAATTCTCAAAAGAAGACATTTATGCAGCCAAAAGACACATGAAAAAATGCTCATCACTGGCCATCAGAGAAATGCAAATCAAAACCACAATGAGATACCATCTCACACCAGTTAGAATGGCGATCATTCAAAAGTCAGGAAACAACAGGTGCTGGAGAGGATGTGAAGAAATAGGAACACTTTTACACTGTTGGTGAGACTGTAAACTAGTTCAACCATTGTGGAAGTCAGTGTGGCGATTCCTCAGGGATCTAGAACTAGAAATACCATTTGACCCAGCCATCCCATTACTGGGTGTATACCCAAAGCATTATAAATCATACTGCTATAAAGACACACGCACACGTATGTTTATTGTGGCACTATTGACAATAGCAAAGACTTGGAACCAACCCAAATGTCCAACAATGATAGACTGGATTAAGAAAATGTGGCACATATACACCATGGAATACTATGCAGCCATAAAAAATGATGAGTTCATGTCCTTTGTAGGGACATGGATGAAGCTGGAAACCATCATTCTCAGCAAACTATCGCAAGGACAAAAAACCAAACACCGCATGTTCTCACTCATAGGTGGGAATTGAACAATGAGAACACATGGACACAGGAAGGGGAACATCACACAACAGGGCCTGTTGTGGGGCGGGGGGAGGGGGGAGGGATAGCATTAGGAGATATACCTAATGTTAAATGACGAGTTAATGGGTGCAGCACACCAACATGGCACATGTATATATGTGTAACTAACCTGCACGTTGTGCACATGTACCCTAAAACTTAAAGTATAGTAATAAAAAAAAGTAAGAAAATGGTGTGAAAATACATGTTTAATATATAAGAATGTATCTTGTGCTACGTTTTTGGTATCATCATTAAGAAGTAAGAAGCCTCTTAAGAGAGGCTTGTATGTTTCCTGACCAGTTCCAAGCTTCTGCTAAGTAGTCAACAGATCAGGTGAATTCATCTCCCCAGCTTAGCTCACTGTCCCTGGTAAGGACATGTGGCAGAGATAGCCCATCTGCAGGCCAGGGAACTGTGATGCAGTCTGGTTCAATGGCTAAGCCAGTCAAATCCTTTTCTTGGGGATTTAGCAAAGACATCCAGAGGGAAGTTAGTTCCAATGGCTGGACCCGGGAGATCACACAGATTTGGGTGCTGAACAGCCATTTTGGGCCATGTGTAGACAAATAACAAGAAATACTGAACTGGGAAGAAAGAGGATAAAAGAGGCAATGTACAGACAGCTACTTTGCTGTAAGCAGAGGAGTTGGAAATGTGAAAGAGTGTAGCATGGAGCTGCCTTGATTCCTGCTTTTCCTGAGGCTGGGTTTCTTAGCTTTTCCAGGGCTCCCAGGCATACATGTCCTTTCAATAAACCTTACTTTTTCTGTAACAATTTGAGTGAGTCTGTGTTCCTGATTAAAGCCACAGTAGATCCTCTGAGGAAGGTAGTCTTTATGGGCACTAAGCAGGGTGCCCATCAGAGCTCTCTCTAAGGGCAGATTGGTTAGTGACCACTTCTCAGTATTGGCTTGGACATCAGCCCAGGGGATGCAGCCCTCTTACTAGATATGTCTAATGTTACATGACCAGTTCCTGGATTCTGCTGTGGGAAGTTCCAACTTCCAGGGATAGGATCCACTACTGAGGTTGGTAAGGGGACTACTTAGGAAAGAATCAGTTCCAGCCATTTGTCTACCCTCAGGTTACTCCACTTAAAATAGGTCCTGGCAAAAGGAACCTGACTGGGCCAAGTTGGGTCTCATGCTCAACTCCTGGGGGGAGATCGGGTAGCACAACTTGATTGGCTTTCTCAGCAAGAAAGACTGCCCTCAATGGAAAAATGTAATTTCCCTAAAGGAAATCGAACCATTGCTTTCAGAATAAAGGGAAATGGACTCTAGCAAGTAAAACAACAAATGCTCACCACGGTGGTGGAACTGAGATTCAAACAGTCTTTCTACCACTTGCCAATCGGAGTAGTAACAAACGTGTCTTTATACAGAAACAAAATCCGTCTCCCTCCAACTTTGCCTTATTGGTCCTGGTTTTCCAGCTTGGAGTCCCACAGCACCAGCCTATTCTTTCTGCCCTCTGACTGTCCTTCAGTTACATGAAGGCAGTTAGCATACTCTCTCTCCTTGATCCCCCGGCCCTGGTCTCAACTCCTAGCTTTAAACATTCTGGTTCCTTAAACTCTTCCTCATGGAATGTGGTGTGAGTTAGCTTCTCCACTCTGGTTGTTCTTTTAAAAACCAGCTTCAGATTTTGAATTTTCCCACTTCAAATGTGGTGACCAGAGGAACCCAGGGGCAACACTTCAGGTATGTTTTGTCCCAAGTAGAGTAGAGCAGAGCATCTCAGAATCTTAAAACCCTAAAGATCAAACTGTCATTTGTTTCCACATCCTGTCTGACACAGGTGCTAGTGCTGATGGCTCCAGTTCTGTATCTTGGCATTGCCATTTGTTAGCTGCGTGACTCAGGTAAGTTATTTGACCTCTGCAAGCAGGTTTCTTTACCTGTTACCTGTAATCATAGTACATATTTATGGTCACTGTGCTTATTAAATGAGACAATGCCATGCAGAGTGTTGGGCACAGTGTGTAGCCCACTGAAGGCCCTCAATATACTTTTATTTTATTTTATTATTTTTGTGATGGAGTTTCGCTCTTGTCACCCAGGCTGGAGTGCAATGGCGTGATCTCCGCTCACTGCAACCTCCAGCTCCTGGGTTCAAGCGATTCTCTAGCCTCAGCCTCCCCAGTAGCTGGGATTACAGGCGCCCACTACCACGCCCAGCTAATTTTTGTATTTTTAGTAGAGACGGGGTTTCACCATGTTGGCTAGGCTGCTCTTGAAATCTTGACCTATCTGCCTTGGCCTCCCAAAGTGCTGAGATTACAGGTGTGAGCCACTGCACCGGGCCTCAATATACTTATTACAATTACCATTTATTATTATTCCTTTATAAAATCCACCCCAAGTAAGTGGCTATCCAGCCTGTCCATAACCACTGAAAGAGGATCAGCCAGAGGAGTCATGTCTGTCCTTTAGAGTTTGCACAAAGGCACACAAGGGATGGATCAGTCAAAGAACACAGCATTCAGGATTTATCTACACTACTAGAAGGAAATATTATCAGGGAAATGACAGCAGGACTTCGTGGGAAGATGTGGAACGCCACAGGGAAAGGAAAAGGCTTTGGGGTTCTTTCCTCTGGGAGGTAAAGTGCAAGCTAATTTTGCTTTGGTGTTTTTTTGGGATTTGCAGGAAGTAGTCATTATGTCAGAATCCATGAAGATTGAGTTCCAATTATCAAGGGGTGAAAATCGCCAAGCAAATATTTGTCATTGATAAGATACTTCATAATCAGAGTGGCTTCTCACACCCATAGTAAGCTCTGCTGGCAGGGCTTTCGAACTTGAATTCCCTGCTCCGACACTAATTAGACAAATAAAACAAAGCAGGCCTGGAGTAAATGTAGCATATGCCCTAGAAAATGCCCACTGTCCTTTGCCTCACTACAACATTGCTACTGAAGGTGTCTCAGCATGGCTGGGGAGTGGTAGAGGTTAAGGTCATTGTCTCTGGAATGATAATCAGTGAAATAAAAGACAAAGACATGATTTAAAGTGTGTGAACCACTGAGAGGTCATCAAGGAGATAGTTAAAAGAACAGATTTTGGAATCAAATATAATAATTAGACTTCATGAAGTCTAATCTGTCCATGAAGGACCAACTATACCTTGTCCATCATGGTATCGTAAACCCCTGGCGTTGTGCCTGAGTCAGAGCAGGAGTTCAAGAACTATCATTGATGGAATGAACTGTCTAGTTTCAGATCCTAGCTCTGCCACTTATAACAGTATGACTGTAGGCAGGTCCTGGAACTTCTCTCTGCCTCAGTGTCCTGGTTTGTAAAATGGGATCATGAAAACACCTGCCTCAGAATCGTTGTGAGACTCAAAGAGAAAATGCAGACAGTTCAGCATAGCACATAGTAAGAAGCCTGTAACCTCAAGTTGTTCTTGTTCTGACTTTACATTATTATTATTACTATTGATTTTTTTTTTTAAGAGTGACAAGGTCTTGCTCTGTTTTCTGGGCCAGAGTGCAACGGCATGCACACAGGTCACTGCAGCCTCAACCTCCTGGGCTCAAGCGATCCTCAGCCTCCCACGTAGCTGAGACTACAAGCACTTGCCACTGTGCCCAGCTCTAGTATTACTGATTTTTAAATAAATTCTGGTAAGTAGTCTGTAAAATAATAACCTTCGTATTACACAAATAAAGAGTTAAGTTGCCACAGCAACACCTGTTTTACCACTAGCAGTAATCAACAATGAGACTGCTAAGTTTTTGTTTGCTTGTTTGCTTTTTGCCAGTCAAATTTTAAGATCCTCTTCTTTGCTGTAATTAACTCTTCGGACTGGCGAGGTGCTTTCAGTGGAATCACCAGCTGCTAATTCTTCTTTGCCTCTCCCATCTCACTGCTGGGACTTCAGTGATGTGCACCCTGGACTGCGTCTTAGGGCCTCAGAGCCTTGAGAGGACACAGAAGAATGGAAAGTACCTACCATTTAATTGGAGCTGACAATTTCGGCTATGAAAAGAAACAATGTAAAAGAAGAGGGGGTTTTATTTTTTAGAAAACTAACTTGGTAAATTAAAGAAGAAAAGATTAATTACTTGGAAATTTTCAGAGTTTTGAGGATGTTTTAGCAGTGTTTCATATTACGTTATAATTTTCAAGTCCCAGTCTCCCTGAGTTTGACTTTTGTCTTCTCACCAACCATGAGTATGATATAGGGTAATTCAGCTGATACTATCAAAAAGCCCTTTGAATTTAAAAGGAAGTCACGTTAACAGAGGTGGGTCTGTGTCTATGTGTGTGTGTGTGTATATATATATACACACACACACACACACACATTTTATATATATATATATATATAATATTATCCTAATCTATTTTTTTTTGTTTTTGTTTTTTTTTTTGAGACAGAGTCTCACTCTCTTGTCCAGGCTAGAGTGCAGCCTCAGCTTCCCAAGTAGCTGGGATTACAGGCATGCACCGCCACACCTGGCTAATTTTTATATTTTTAGTAGAGATGGGGTTTCACATGTTGGCCAGGCTGGTCTCAAACTCCTGGCCTCAGGTGATTTGCTGGCCTTGGCCTCCCAAAGTGCTGGGATTACAGATGTGAGCCACCAAGCCAGGCCCCTAATCTATTCTTTTATACATGAAAAAAGAATCTGCTTATTTACAATCACTTACTTTTTAAAATTATGTTTTACCAAAATAGTACTTTTAATTTTTTTTTTTTTTTTTGATGGAGTCTTGCCCTGTCACCCAGGCTGGAGTGCAATGGTGCGATCTCTGCTCACTGCAACCTCCGCCTCCCGGGTTCAAACGATTCTCCTGCCTCAGCCTCCTGAGTAGCTGGGATTACAGGTGCATGCCACCATGCCCAGCCAGTATTTGTATTTTTAGTAAAGACAGGTTTTCACCATGTTGGTCAGGCTGGTCTCAAACTCCTGACCCCGTGATCCGCCCTCCTCAGCCTCCCAAAGTGCTGGGATTACAGGCTTGAGCCACCGCACCCGGCCAATAGTACTTTTAACTTTCAAAATGTACACATCATCTACAATTTATTGAGGAAAAAAAACCAGTATTTTGCCTTTTTCGGTGTCTTCTGCGGCAATGCTGAGAGAAACAGCCAATATTTCTGGACAATCTCAAGCAAGGCATCACCCTTCAAGAAGCCTGTCTTCTGCTCTCGACAATATTATGGCCTCTTTAAAAAGGAAAAGAAAAGAAAAGAAAAAAAGCTGTCCGAGGAGGAGAGGGATGACTTTTCACATCTATTATCTTTGGCATTTTGTACCAGTCTGGGGTTTCTCAAGTCTTGAGACAAAAAGCACACATTCATTTTAGACATTAAAAAAAAAGTTCTGAATGCCTTTGCAGTTTCTTCCTTGAGCTGTCTTCAGGGAACTATTTATTTTGCTTCTTTACCTTGCAAATAGCTAACGGCTTCCAGCCAGGGCTCAACCCAACCCTTTTGTGCCCTGAAGTCATCGGTGCGTCTTTAAAAGAAAACCGATTCTTTGGAATGCTGTGCGTGCACATGCCTGTCGGACCCAGCAGGCCCCACCTGCAGAGCAGGTAAACCAGACCCTCCTGCCGGCCTCTGCAGCCACATTCCAGCCAGGCAAGCTCTTACTCTCTAATTGTTACCTGTCAAACAGGTCACCCAGGCACTTGGGTCTGGTCCAAACATGCGCATGTTCCCACGAAACCCTAAACCTGCAAACCTTTGACCTTTCCATAGTTCCGAGTTCCCTCGATTATTTCAGCCAGGGCTGATTTAAATCCGAAAGATGACTTTTTAACAGCTTCTTTTTCCTCCCTCACCCTGGATGGTAAGGCTGATCGTGCGCTGTGTGGGGTTTCTGGACTAGCACACTGTGGCAATTCAAGATGGCGTGAAGGCAGAGGTTGGGGGAGTGAGGGCCCCTAAAATGAAATCCACTCAGGGAAGCCGTGAGCTGTCCACCCTGATCGCATGGAGAACAAATCCCCTAGGGTGGATAGAAACAGAAGTGACTCACAGTGAAAACTCTCTTCCTCCCCTTTCTGGCCCTGGGCTGGGCATGGCGACTGTGCTGTGAGCTCAGTCCAAAACTTGCTACAGGTAAGCCTGTGGGCAAGTCACATGGGTTGTCTGGGCCTTGGTTTCCCCTTTCGAGGAGGGAGAAGGAGGGAGGTCCCCTGTGTAAAGTCTCCCAGCACCAGTTCAATGTTCTTTTCTCCTATTCATGCCACCCAAAGTAGGGGGATCATGTCCCAGAAATGCTCGTGCCTTTCACCAGTGTTATAGGGGTCCTTTGCCAGGGGACCTTCAACCAGCTGAGGGCATGTGTCTAGGGACTGCCCTCAAGTGTGGAAAATACCTGGGCTTCCTTCCCCTTCCTAGGGACATGTTGGTAGAATACAGGCCCGCTTAACCACAGCTTCCCTTCTGGATTTCACCTCATGAGTTCATACTTTTTAATTGAGAGGCCATTTTTTTCAACTGTTCCAGCAGTGCTGTCTACCATGTTTATTCTACCCATAACAAATTCAGAATCAAAACTACAGGCTCACTGAATCGAAACACTTCATTTTACGAGCACAAAAACTGAGGCCTAGAGAGGAGGTATGAGTGGCCAGATGTCTCTCAGCTGGTCAGTCTCCTCGCTTAGCCGACCGTGGGAGGTGGTGAAAATTGCAGGCTAGCAAAATCATTGTCAGAGAAGTGCCATTGGAAGGTGCTTCCACGACTGCTCCGTTTAGGGAATTTCAAAAATCCAGGCAAAGAACCCAAGCCTCTCAAGCAGGTTTCTGACAGTGTGGGGCTGTCAGGCCAGTTTGCTGGGGATCTTTCTTCTCTTGGGCCGGACAGGTTATTCTACCAAGAGTTCAGGATCGCTCTGTGCAGAGCAGGAACTGGCACTTCCTACGCTGTTTGTCCAGCTGAGACTTGTCCGCCAGAGCCAAACTGGCCGGCTGGACTGGCTCCCGGGAGCGAAACTTCCTCGAGGCGCTGGGGTGGGGAGGCTGTAGGCTGCAGGCCTGCTTAGCGCCCTTCTCAACAACTGCTGTCATCAGGGAGAGCGAGCAGAGTGCGTGCACTCCGGGCGGCGAAGCCCCAGCAGAGGCCTGCCTGGCTGTGCTCTGGGTGCCACTCATTCATGAGGGCTGCGCTGCGCTGCGGGCACCACGATTCCCACGGAGGGGCTGTAGGTACTTAAGGGGCCCTCAGACGTCAGGACAAACGGACACTTCTCTTTGTGAAGTTGTCCAAGCACAAGAGGCCACAATGTGGTTACTACTTTTTTTTTTTTTTTTTTTTTTTGAGATGAAGTCTTGTTCTGTCGCCCAGGCTGGAGTACAGTGGTGCGATCTCGGCTCACTGCAAGCTCCGCCTCCCGGGTTCAAACGATTCTCCTCCCTCAGCCTCCTGAGTAGCTGGGATTACAGGCGCACACCACCACGGTGGTTACTACTGTTTATACAACATAACTAATTAGCATGATTTTCCTGCTTCTGAACACAAAATTTTCCACAAATACTAAACTGTTTTGCCGTCAACTTTGATTCAACCCCAAAGCTCCTCATTTTAATGCTTTTTTCTGGCTTACTGCACCATGGACTAGCTGTGAAACACAGAGCAAGTTACATCAACTCTCTAAGTCTAAGCTTCCTTATCTGCAAAAGGGGAACAATTGTCCTATTTCCCTAATAGCATCATTGTGTAGAATAAATGAGATAAAGTTCCCTGACTGGTATGGGGCCTCGCACATAAAAAGTCTTTAATAAATGTTAGCTATTTTTGCTCTTGTTGATATAAAACTTATTAAAATATTGACCCACCTGTCCCAGTTTCAGAATGGTATGTCTGACAATCAAAAAGTAACTTCAAAATAACTCAAAGTTGGCTGGGCGTGGTGGCTCATGCCTGTAGTCCCAGCTACTTGGGAGGCTGAGGTGTGAGGATCCCTTTAGGCCAGGAATTCGAGACCAACCTGGGCAGCATAGTGAGGACTCTGTCTCAAAAATAAAATTAAAATAAATAAATCAAAGTTAAATAAATCAAAGTGCTTTACTTGTCATTCTCCAACACCGTGAAGGGAAGGTTCTGATTTCCTCAGAGGCCATAGCAGTTCCCTGTCCATGCAACACCTTCAATTCTAGGCTGTTTTCCCTGCCATTCCTCACAGTACTTACTGCCTCTACTTGCCATTTGTTGGCATGGAATCAGGGATTTTAAATAGACTTTAGCATAAAAGAATACAAAGCGTGATTAGAAAAGGCTCTCTGAAGCCGGGCGTGGTAGCTCACGCCTGTAATCCCAGCACTTTGGGAGGCCGAAGCGGGCAGATCACCTGAGGTCAGGAGCTCAAAACCAGCATGGCCAACATGGTGAAATCCTGTCTCTACTAAAAATACAAAAATTAGCTGGACATGGTGGCATGCACCTGTAATCCCAGCTACTCAGAAGACTGAGACAGGAGACTCGCTTGAACCCAGAAGATGGATGTTGCGGTGAGCTGAGATCGCGCCACTGCACTCCAGCCTTGGGCAACAGAGAGAGACTCCTCCGTCTCAAAAAAACAAAAACAAAACAAAAAGCGAAAATGCTCTCCGAAGGAGAGAATACTTTTGGATTATGGTTTGAAGTCTTTTCTACCCTTGGCTCAGTGAGTTCAACTGCCTTCATAGCAGTGGCTGTGTCAGTAACTGCTCCTCTCTGACCTTTTTCTTAGCCCACCATGCTGATGACAAAGCAGGCTTTCAGAGACAGGCAAAGAATCCAAAGACGGACAGAATCCACTAACTAAGTGACCAACTCTCAAATCCTCAAATGGTGACAGTTCTTTTCAATGTCATGGCTTTTCTAGAATAGGAATGGCCCAAGGCCACCCACAGCCTACATCCTGGCCACTAGGGATGGGTAGGGATGCACTAGTCAAGTGAGAAATCCTGGACATCTGACCCAGGGGTTAGTAAGGAAGTAAATCAGTTAAGGTCCTGAGAGGTACAATGATATTAGGTTGATGCAAAAGTAATTGTGGTTTTGCACCAACCTAATATAACCAACAAATATTTGCTGAATCCATGCTGACTGAACTCACCACACCTAATAAATCACAAATCCCATCATCTCTACCTCCTAACTCCCTCTCAAATCCACTGACTGCTCTACATCCTCATTGCTTTGATCCCCATTTACGGCAGCAATATATTGCATTTGAATGAAGACAACAGCCTCCTACTTGGTCTTCTAGCAGTGGTTTACGTGGTTTTTGGTAGTCTCTGCTGAGGTTTATCTTGCCAGTCTCCCCTCTAGACTCTCCCCATCCCTGATCTAGGAATGCTGTAAATGCTGTTCCCTCTGCTTGGAAGACTTTCCTCCCCTAACCCCTACTCATCCATCAGGTCTCTCCTTAGCCATCTCTCTCTCTCTCTCTCTCTCCTTCATTCCTTCATTCCTCTCTCTCTTTCTTTCTCTCTCTCTCTTCCTTCCCTCCCTCCCTCCTTCTGTCCCTCTCTTTCTTTCTTTCTCCTTCTTTCTTTCTTTCTTTCTTTCTTTCTTTCTTTCTTTCTTTCTTTCTTTCTTTCCTTCTCTCTCTCTTTCTTTCTTTCTTTCTTTCCTTTTCTTTTCTTTTGAGACAAGGTCTTGCTTTGTAGCCCAGGCTGGAGTACAGTGACACGATCTTGGTTCACTGCAACATCCACCTGCTGGGCTGAAGCAATATATATATATTTTTTAGCAATATTTTCATCTCAGCCTCCCAAGTAGCTGGGACTACAGGCACTCACCAACACACCTGGCTAATTTTTTTTTAGTAGAGATGAGGTTTCACCATGTTGCCTAGGCTGGTCCCGAACTCCTTGGCTCAAGCGATCCGCCTGCCTTGGCCTCCTAAATTGTTGGGGTTACAGGTGTGAGCCACCACACCTGGCTGACATCACTTTCTACAGAATGTCTACACAGTACCAAAACTGGGATATGACCTTGTTCCCTCCAACCCAGTGTCTAAGCAGCAGGATGCCAGGCATGGCTTCCACCTGGTCACCGTGGCACACCATGCCTAGCATAGTGCTTGATCCATCATAGCTGCTCAACATGTGTTTTCTCACTTAATCAGTGTAACCATCCTAGAATATCAGCATGGCCATGCCCACTTGACAAATGAAGAAACAAGTTTAGAGACATGAAGTAACTCCCCCAAGGTCATCCAGCTAGTATAGGATAGAGCCCACATTTTAATCTGGGTCTCTGGGCTGCTGAACCCTGTGCTTTTAACTTCTACAAGATGCTGCCCCAAGAATATTCAATTCACTTCATAATTAAATGGAGGTCAGACAGTTAGTTAATGAGGGCCTGAGTCACTAATGAAAGAGATCAAAAGGTCTGGCTCCCCTGAAATTCAGATTCAAGCAACCGTCTGACTACCCTGTCAGTATTTTTGCTTTTAGTTTCGATGCTAGCATTTAGAAGGTTTCATGAGAGAATAGGGTCTAGGGGACACAGTCCTCCAGATGCAAGAATGCAGGGAGTAGCTTAGAGAGAATGCCATCCTGAGACGAGGAGGTAGAGCTCAGGGGAGGCAACCAAGAGAAGCAGCCCAGGTGTATGTTAAGGGAACAAGAGAATGTAATACCCCACCTCCCCTGGGACCCCAGACCTTGGAGCTCAGAGGAGAGAAGGTAAACTTGATGCCAAACAAGGACTGTCCTGGGCCCAGTGATGGTTAATGACATAGCAGAGGGGGCTTAAATTTGGGGTGCTGGAAAGGACATGGAATGAGTACAAACCAAATACTGTCTAGTGTTTCACTCACGTGTTCCTGAGAGGAATTCAGATTAAATGTTTGAGTTAGAGCAGAGAAGGACATGAGGACATCAGATGATCCTGTCCTGCCCCAGAAGAGAATGAGAGTCTACCTCATTTGGCCAAGGGCTTTGGTGGGGAGTGAGCATGAAGAAGTCTTCCCACCTCCCCTTTTCTCAAACTAGCTGTGCCCATCTGCACCCTCTTCCTGCAGGCCTCTCGCCATATCTCAAAAAATTGAGGAAATCAAAAACTTTCTGCTCTCGGCGGGGCAAAAGGACACCAAATCTGTCAAAATCAAGGGAAAGAAGAATAATGTGAAATTTAAAGTTTAACACAGCAGATACCTTGCTTATTACAAAGATGAAGCAGAGAAAATGAAGGAGTCTCTGCCTCTGGGGGTTTGGTAGTAAGGTGCTGAAATGAACCAGACACATTGATTTGAACTGTATTAACATTTTTAAAATCAAAAAGAAAAAAGTATGAATAGAAACAGACAATTAACACTAAGCATGGCCGGGCGCAGTGGCTCACGCCTGTAATCCCAGCACTCTGTGAGGCCGAGGTGGGCGGATCACTTGAGACCAGGAGTTTGAGACCAGCCTGACCAGCATGGTAAAATGCTGTCTCTATTAAAAATACAAAAAGTAGCTGGGCATGGTGGTGCACACCTGTAATCTCAGCTACTTGGGAGGCTGAAGCTCGAGAATCACTTGAACCCGGGAGGTGGAGGTTGCAATGAGCCAAGATTGTGCCACTGCACTCCAGTCTGGGTGACAGAGCAAGACTCTGTTTCAAAAGGAAAAAAAAAAAAAAGACTCTTAAGCATAACAGTAATCACTTGTGTTGTTTTGGGTCCTCCCTCTCCTGCCTTCTCTTTGCCCCACAACCATTGCCTCCTGGATCTTTGGTTTCTGCTGAAGATGAGATTCAAGGCCCTGGGCAAATAAATAAGATTAGAAACTTACAGAAGGTAGCAGGTTTATTGAACAAATGATATGAAAAAGGAACGTCTTCCTTAAACTAGTCATCGTAAGTCCTTTCTAGACAAAGCAAGGTAGGTAGAAAATAATGAAATAAAATAAAAATTAATATTGAAATTAAAAAGGGAAGGGTGATGATGCTGTTTATAAAAATTCTTTGAATATAGAAATATAGAACTTAAACCTACTGAGTCATCAGTAGCACCCATTGGGTCAGCTAAAGAAAAAAGCGTGTCAGCATATACACCATGGAATACCATGCAGCCATAAAAAATGATGAGTTCATGTCCTTTGTAGGGACGTGGATGAAATTGGAAATCATCATTCTCAGTAAACTATCGCAAGGACAAAAAACCAAACACCGCCTGTTCTCACTCATAGATGGGAATTGAACAAGGAGAACACATGGACACAGGAAGGGGAACGTCACACTCTGGGGACTGTTGTGGGGTGGGGGGAGAGGGGAGGGATAGCATTAGGAGATATACCTAATGTTAAATGATGAGTTAATGGGTGCAGCACACCAGCATGGCACATGTATACATATGTAACTAACCTGCACATTGTGCACATGTACCCTAAAACTTAAAGTAAAATAATAATAAAAAAAATAGCATGTCAGAAGGGGAAACATTCATTACAGAAAGAACAAATGATGATCTTCAGAAATCAGTTTGGCCTTTAAGAGTGAGCATTATATAAGAATGCAAAGGCCGTATCCCACGTGGAAATCATTGCTCCTGTTTGTGGAAGCAATGTGTTTAAACTTGAATGTCAGAAAACTACATGAATCAACAGTGACTGGGTGAAGCAATTGAAATGCATCCAACTTCCTACCTGTAAAAGGTAATAATGTTTCACAATTATGTATGATAATAACCTTTGATGGCATGAGAACACAGCAAGGCTGAAAAAATCGTGTAAAATGGAAGTGACTTTTTGAAACTGACTCTCCTGAAATTCAAATTCAAGCAAACGTCTGACCACCTTCTTAGGAGGTGGGGGCTCCTTGAGCGATTGCTGTTTGGACCACACTAGATTAGCCTTTTTTACTCAAAAGTAAAAAGTACTTAGCCATAAGTACTCAAAAGACATTTTGAACGCTGTGTTCTGAAAAATATTTTTACAATGATTAAAAAAGAAGTTCAGATGCAGATGCACATTTTTTATTTTAGTTTAGATGCTAGCCATTAGAAAGTCTTATGAGGGAATGGACACACACTCGTACACACACACACACACACACACACACACACACACACACACACACACACAACACAGAGGCTTTGTGCTGCTCAGTTACTTCAACTGAAAGTCCTTCCATGGAAAAAGTCATTGAAGATCCACCTGTGTTCAAAGCACAGGTATACCATGGGATAAAATTGACGAAAAATAGCCAAGAAAAAATAGCAGCTCAACTTCTCTTCAAAAGAGGGAATGAAAAGTTACGCTGTTCAGATTCCATTACTATATGTAAATATACAGAATAAATTCAGAGAGTATAATTCCTATGCTAGCAAAATTTCAAAGAAACTTTGTAAATTAATACCAAAGGAAACATTTTTTACCAGTCTATTGTGTGTTCTAGAACTTGCCGAGGGCTTTGTGAGATACAAAGGAAATAAGACATCGTCAAGTCCCTCCAATTTAAATCTAGTTGGGGCCGGGTGCGGTGGCTCATGCCTGTAATCCCAGCACTTTGGGAGGCCGAGGTGGGCGGATCACCTGAGGTCGGGAGTTCGAGACCAGCCTGGCCAATATGGTGAAATCCCGTCTCTACTAAAAATACAAAAATTAGCCAGGTGTGATGGCAGGCACCTGTAATCCCAGCTACTTGGGAGGCTGAGGCAGGAGAATTGCTTGAACCCAGGATGCAGAGGTTGCAGTGAGCTGAGACCGTGCCACTGCACTCCAGCCTAGGCAATAAGAACAAACTCCATTTCAAAAAAAAAAAAAAAATCTAGCGGGTAGACAAAACAAATGTACCTTAAAAGATGAACAGTTCAGGCCGGGCGTGATGGCTCACGCCTGTAATCCCAGCACTTTGGGAGGCCGAGGCGGGCGGATCACGAGGTCAGGATATCGAGACCACCCTGGCTAACACAGAAACCCCGTCTCTACTAAAAATACAAAAAAAAAAAAAAAAATTAACCGGGCTTGGTGGTGCATGCCTATAGTCCCGGGAGGCTGAGGCAGGAGAATGGCATGAACCCAGGAGGCGGAGCTTGCAGTGAGCCTAGTTAGCTCCACTGCCCTCCAGCCTGGGCGACAGAGCGAGACTCCGTCTCAAAAAAAAAAAAAAGATAAACAGTCCAAAGCAATGGGTGAGGGGGAAGGAGGGTTGTGTGGCTCAGATGCCGGGGGACAACATGTGCTATGGGACTAGACAGAGAAGGATTCACAAAGTAAGTGAATCTAAAGAAATTACCTGGGGTTATAATGTCCAGTTCTGGCCAGGATGCCCAAATAAATAATCATCACAAGGGTACTTGATGAATATCTCCAGAGCTTGTTACACTTTAGGGCTTACCATCTGCAAAGTGCCTTAGGTGTGTTATTCCATCTAACTCTTACACCAACACCAAAGGGGGTCCCTACTACCATCCCTGTTTTTCAGATGAAGAAGTGAGGCACAGAGAAGGTGCTCATCTTTCCTTAAGTGACAATATCACAAGCAGCCTGCAATATTAACTGCTATACTAGCCAGAGAGTAAATGCTCAGTAACTGCAGAGGCTTCTGGTCAAATGGAAAAACTATCACAAGTCTCAGTGTTAACCTACATATTTCTGCTATAGTAACAACTACTTTAAAACACAGAAATCTGGTTTGGAAATCTCGTAGATATCAGTGCATTATATAACGCAGCTATTGTACAAAGGATTTTCAATGAATTACTACCACTCAGGATGTTTGCCAATGAAATGTTGAGGTCTTCTCAGCATTCCATTCAGCTTATGATGCTGATTGTAACAAGCAGAGTTTTGGCAAAATGTCATTCTTTCCTAAATTGGAATGTCTGATTCTGCCTAGCTTTGTTAGTAGAGGTTAGGTTTAATGCATGCAACTGGATTTCATCTTTGGCCATATTTAGCCTGGAAGAAGATCTGTTAAGAGCCACCGAAGTTAGTAGTCTTTTACCTAATGGCATTTAAAACAAGCCAAGACATGGCTACATTTCACAGAGTTTTTGCTTGAGGTGACCCAGTGGTCCCTGCTAGTGACTGCCCTTCTGTTAAAATTCAGCCTGAAAGGGTATCAGGATTAAATGAAACTAAGATCCCAAGATTCCCAGCTTTTTTTGTAGCATTAGGAATCTGATTGTTTTCTTGCTGCCATTCGCACATATTGTTTGGGCTTATTATTATAGTCAAACAAATACAAAACACTTGGACTTTTTTGCGTATGTTGCATACATATGTTGGAGTACGTGTATCTATTATACAGAAACACATAAATAATGAGACATAAAATATATATCTTATAGGCCAGAGAGACGATTTTTATCGCAGATAAATTCTCATTCTGGTCCATAAGGAGACATAAGCAAGGATGATTACTGCAGAGCTGTAGTGTTGGGGAGCTGGAAGCAATGTGGGTGGATGTCACTGGGGGCATGCATGGAAAATGTGGGAGAGCACAGACTGGAATACTTTGCAGCAGTTAGGTGCAACTGACTGGACGTACTCACAGCAACATGGATGGAGTAAAACATTAACAATCAGAATGAGTCTTGAAGACAATATATCTACATAAATTAAAACTGCAGGTATAAAAAGTGGCAAAACAGGCCGGGCGTGGTGGCTCATACCTATAATCCCAGCACTTTGGGAGGCCAAGGTGGACAGATCACGTGAGGTCAGAAGTTCGAGACCAGCCTGGCCAACATGGTGAAACCCCATCTCTACTAAAAATACAAAAAATTAGCCAGGCATGGTGGCAGGTGCCTGTAATGTCAGCTCTTCAGGAGGCTGAGGCAGGAGAATCCCCTGAGTCTGGCAGGCAGAGGTTGCAGTGAGCCGAGATCGCACCACTGCACTCCAGCCTGGGTGACAGATCAAGAGTCTGTCTCAAAAAAAGAAAAAGCAGCAAAACATGTTTGTGTAAGAATGCATATAAACACATGTATGTACCATAATTCATCAAAGACATTAGAATGGTTGGTTGCCTCTGGAGGAGAAACAAGAATAAAGAGGCAATGTATAAAACCAGAAAAGAGTCTTGCATGGGCCAATGAAGCCACTGTGCTTGAACTGATGAAAAAGGCAGACTCAACTCTCTGCACCTGAGGTCCAAAAAGCAGAGAAGAAATGCATGCAACTCAAAAAGATTTTCATCTTGGGTGCTCAGCCCTGTGGCTCCTGAACGAAATGTTTGAGAGGGCAGTTAATGGTTACCAGGTGGGTTTCCTAAGCACTTTGGATGTGCTTGGATGCTCTTTAGGCCAGAGGTTCCCAGTCATGGCAGCACATTAGAGACGTGTGGGGACATAGTAAAAAATGCCACTGCCGGGCCCCACCCTCAGAGATTCTATTGTGCCTGGGCATCAGCATGTTTCAGAGCCTCCAGGTGATTCTAACGTGCTGCACCCAGGACTGAGAACCATTGATTAAATTTCTGCATTTTTTTCCTAGTGGCAAATGTTGCATTCTTTGGCATTTGAAAAGAGACTACTGAAATCAAGTTATTTTCCTTTAGCCAAACATTAATTTCATTATTAACAGAGAGCACCCAAAATAGCAAAATTAATTTATTCATTTGATCATACATCCAAAACTTTTTGCTGGGCCACTGTGTGTTTAGGCTGGGCACTGCATAATTCTATGAGGTGCTTCCACAGTGTAGTCTACGCAAATGGAGCCCCCTGGAGTTACTCAGTGCACAACCTGCCCCATAGTATGTAGCAGCCGGTCTGAGGGTCCACTGTGTGTCATGCATTGAACTCAGTGTCTTGACTATACTAGTGAACAAGATGATACAGTCCCTGCCCAATGGACCTTCCAGCTTCTAGGGAAGGCAGTCACACATGTGACTCTTGGGAAGTGTGACTGTGCTGTGGAGGGAGGGGTACTGCAGGAGCTCATGTTAGGGCTCCTCACACAGTCTGGAGGGGGCAGGGAGGGCTTGCTGGAGAAATTGAAATTTGAACCAAAACATGACAAATGAGTACTGGAGCTGGGGGAGAAGAACAGTGTTGTACACCCAGAGGAAGCATCCCTGACAAGACAGGGAGAGGTTACTGTGCTCCTAACACAGCAAAGCAGCTGCATGCAAAATGGGACTTCAAAGGAAGACAGGGCCTGCTGACACAGGGTCTAGTGGGCCAAGTTAAGAAGTGTGGACTTTATCTCATGGGCGATAAAAAAGGAAATAATCATAGATGAGGCTTGAAAGAACATTCTGGAAACAAGTGGAGTTGGGCGGCAGGGAGCTGAGAGTGGATGCGGGGGCTAGTTATGGGACTATTGTGCAGATCTGGGTAGGAGAGGGTGGTGGCTTGGATGAGAGCAGAGGTTTGGGGAGGGAAAGAGGTGGACACATGTGAAAGGTGTTTGGGAGAAACAGGACTGGAGAGTGCCTGGATCTGGGGCTGGGGGAGAGAGCTGGCACTAGACAGAGTCAGTTGGGCATTTGTTGAAAAAAGGCACAGAGAAGAGAGGAAGTCCTGGGTGGGAGGTCGGGGTGGGGAAGATGGTGACTTTGTTTTGGACATGTTGCTTTTGAGGGGCTGGTCTCACAGGCTGAGCTCCTGAGAAGTAGGTTCTGAGACAGAGTTTAGAGAGTAGGGTTATTTCTTAAAGTGCTCTCTCGAGGGCATCACAGAAAATGGGAGGAGGACACAGAAGTGCAAAGAGGGAGATGTTGAGCTGCAGGGCAGGCCTAATGACAGACTTGGCTCTGGCAGAGAGTACTCCTCAAAAACAGCCACATCAATGTGTGTTCTCACAGTGTAATGCTGGCTCTCCTCCATGGAGGGGTGGGGTTCAAGTTCCATACCTTTGAAACTGGGTGCAGTTTTGTGACTGTGTGACCAGTGTGATGTGGCATGACTTCTGAGGTCATATCATAGAAAGGAATAATAGCTTTCACCCAGCTCTCTCTCAGGTGCCTTTAGTCCACAAGTAAGAAGCCTGGCTGTCCTGAAGCCTCCATGCTGGAGAGGGCACATGGAGAAACCACACACACACACACACACGCGCGCGCACACACACACAAAGATGCCCAAGGAGCCCAGTGGCTCCAGCCCCAACAGTTTGTGTGCCCAGTCCAGGCACCAGACCTGTGAGTAGTTGGGTTTTAGATGCATCCAGCCCCAGCCTCCAAGCCATCCCAGCAGACACCAAGTGGAGCAGAGACAGACTAGCTCTTCGTTTTCTTCCCTCACCCCAACCCCTGTCCAGAATGCAGATTCATGAGCAAAGTAAATGTCATTGTTTTAAGCAGTTACATTTGGAGGTGGTTTGTTACACAGCTTTACATAACCAGCACATCAGCTCACCCTCAGGGAGCTCTGGAGCTAGGAGAGCCTTTCAGAGCTGTTCCAGGTTGAGCCAAGACGGCTGAGCTTCTATATTCCTGCACTGATCAGTGATTGAATATGAGCTTCCCTAAGAAGTGACATGACCTTGGACAAGGAGGTTGTTTCCAGTGGAGGCAATCCTGGATGATGACAGCACTTCCTGCATCTGGGGGCAAAAAGTCCCTTCCTGAAGGGGGAGTTGAGTGGCACATCACTGTGACTGCTATGGCCAAGGAGACAGCAAGTCAACTACGTAGCAGGAAAGTAGCTATTCAGGCCTGGAGTTTGGAAGGGCATGGTACTGGGAAATACCAGTTTGTATAGCTCGATGTGTTTCATCCTGTGGTCTGAGAACTGAGAGCAGCCTGCATCTGATCATCCTAATGCAGCCTCCCTGCCTGACCCAACAAATCAGTAGTCAGGATTATTGCCCAATCATCCTCATGCCCACTAACATTGAGAAACTCTGGATGAAGATGACATAAAAGCCAAGGGGGAGTAGATAAGGCATCCAAGGGAAACTACATAGGATGAAAAGAGAACCCCAGAGACACCACCATTTGGGAAGAAGATAGAAGTTGCAAAGGAGATGGGGTGAGAGTGAGGAACAGATGTGGCTTCCAGGGGGGGCAGTCAATAGTAGCAAGTGCAGAGAAGAGATCAAGTAGGGTGAGAATGCTGGAGTGTCTGTGGGATTTGGCAACAAGGAGGTTATTGTTGGCTCTAGCCAGGGCAGTTGGGGTGACTGTTGTAATTTCATGGTGCAGCCTTGGTGATATTTATCCTGAGCCTTTTGGCTGGGGCCTCTGGTGCAGAGGAAGGGACTAGAGCTGAGAAGGACCCCAGAGGACTTGATGGGATTGTTTAGGATGGGCACTCTGCTCAGAGTAAAAAGAAAGGGACTGACTAAGCAGAGGCAATGCAAAGTAAGATACAAGAAAGTAAACGAGTGATAAGTTAAAAGGAAAGGAAACAGCCCATCAGGGGAGACTAAGGACTAGCTAAAGGAGCTAAACCCAGAAGACTGTTTATTAAGCAAGTACCCATGAAGGTTTACACAACCAAAACAAGGCAACCCAGTGGAGGCCCTTACTAGAATAGTCACTTTAGTAGCCAGGAGAGCAAATGTGTTTGGAATCAACCAACTGGGATGTAGTTCCCAGCACCACAAGGCAGTATCTCCTAGGAAGCCATCTCATTTTGAGCATCCATTTCCTTATCTGTAAAATGGAGATGATCATGCCTAACTTGCTACTCTGCTGCAAGGACTGTAGCTCATTCATTTGTTCAATGAGCGTTTACTAAGCAATGCCACATGCCAGACACTACACTAGACACAGACTATATAACGGCAAACAGCAGAGACCAGGCCCACACCCTCCTGGAGTTTGTCATCTAGTGAGCAAGGTAAACATGAAATAGATTGTGACAATAGTAATGATGTCATGACATTTGTGATTAGTGCTATACGGAAGAAGAAAGACAAAGTATATTAGATGCCAAATAGTGCTTGGGACATGGTAGGTGCTCAGAAAATGGAATTTACAATCATCCTTACCATTGGGAGGATGTTTAATGGGACCATGTTCAGCAGAATTGTGAAAAGAGATACTTTATCTTTATCTTGTCTCTGCAGATTCTCTTTCTCTGCTGTTTTTCTCTTCTGAGGCAGTATGAAATTTCATTTTTGTCTTATTAAAATTTGTGGGTTTTTTTTAACACCATTAAATACTTGCAGGAAGAAGTGAACATAAAGGTGCTTTTCTTGTGAGGGTAATCGGTATAGTATATTGGTGCCTCTTTTTTTAAAAAAAATTTTGGAGCAAGGTTGACACAAAACTGACTCATTTGGCAGGAAAGTTTGCCAATATGAGTTAAGAGTGAGTCAGAGAGACATTTTACAACTTATCAGCCAGAAGAATCACTGATAATGACCTTTGTTGCCATAGCAAGTTCCTGTCAGCCATGGGATTTGATACTCTCTCCAACTCCATAACATATATTAGCTCCATTCTACAGCTGAGGAAATCAAGACTCAGAAGTTTTCAGCAGCTTATCCAAGGTCCCAGAACCGTGGCTTGCCCCAGGCCTTATTTTTCCCAAAGCCCTGTCCACCTCATCAAACTGTCTCCGGAAGAAGAAAGAGCCAGAGGGGTGCGAGATGCCAGTAGCCCCTGTGAGAGGCCAGCTATGGGGCCTGCATTTTACCCCGGTGACCACACAGTCAGAACAGTCACACTTACTTGCAGTGGCTTCGGGTCTCTCACACAGTCATCATTTGAAGTGCAGGACAGTGTGACCAGGCTCTGAGGGAAAGGTGAAGACAGCATGGCAGCCCGGTGAGCCAGGCCTGAGGATGCACAGGCTGGGGCTGGGCCCAGAAAGAGAACTGGGCAGGTATAATAGCCACAGGCTTGCCAGGAGCATGCATGTGCAGACAAGAGAGAGTAGGAGTGTGTGTATGTGTGTGAGGGAGAGAAAATGCGTGCCTGTGAATGTGTAAATGTGTGAGTGTAACGTGAGCTTGTGTTTTTGCACATGGATATGTCTGGGGGTGAATGTGTAAGAGAGCATGCATGTGTATGTGCGGGTACGTGTCTGAGAGTGCCTACATGTGTGCATGTGAAGAGTCCACCTGAAGAGGTTCAGAGTTAAGGTGATTTGCTGCCCTGGGTCACTCTGAAGTATATCTGTTCCCTGTTGACTAGGATGCTACAACCGCTTATAATGTTTTTTAGGGGGAGTCCGAAGAAACACAGTCCCAGAGTTACCCCGAGTCTCTAATCCCCCAGGAATGAAATCCCTGCACCCCAGCAGCTATCATTTAGAGCCTTTCTCAATTAGCAATCATAACGCCTAAAGCTTTGAACAGTTGTTGTATGTTTATCTTTCTCTTCAAGTTCACTCTGTTGGCTCTCATAACCAGCCAAGTTCAAACAACCTTCTGTCTGGCAGCCACGAAGACAGCTCCCCCAGCCCCCACCCCAAAGCAGTTATAACCAGACAGAGGTTGGAGCAGATTTCCATGATCTCTGTGTGTGTTCTGCTGCTTTTTTAAAAAACTGAGCTTTGTGATGTGCCTATCTTCATCAAGGATTTGCGGTGGCTTACAATATTAAAAATACACATCCAGCAGAAATACTTCAAAAACTCAGATCAAAACTCAATTCTAAAGAAGAGAAAGAGGTTCCATTGTGTGTGTTCTGTTGCTTCCCTTATGGTAAAATAAAGCCATGAGAGGTGCAACATTGGGTAATGGTTAAGAATATGCCTTGTCTGAGCAAGGTGGCTCATGCCTGTAATCCCAGCACTTTGGGAGGCTAAGGTGGGTGGATCACTGAGGTTAGGGGTTCGAGACCAGCCTGGCCAATGTGGCGAAATCCTACCTCTCCAAAAAAAAAAAGAGAGAGGAAAATATGCCTTTAGGAGTTACACACTCTGGCTTTTAATTATTGTACTGTTTGTTTTCTCTAAGCCTAAGTTTACTCATCAATAAAACAAAGACAATGATAGCCCTACCCTGTATGACTGAAGAATGGAATAAGATAATGTATATAAAGTGCTTAACACAGTGCCTGGAATACAGTGAGCAGTCAATTTAGCTAGGTGGTTGTTATTTTCACTGCCATGGTAGGATTTGAATGATATCCACGTTGCATCTCTTTTTGGTGGTATGCAGAGATCCAGGTGGAAATTCCCCCTCTCTTCTGGTCCGCTGGGAAGAGAGGTGAAATGAATACGGTACTAGAGCCCCATCATCCAGTAGCCAAGAGCAGATGTGTGGCCTGACTTTGTGTATGGCAGCAGGGTTGTTTAGGCTGCATGAGAGAGTACGTGATGGGATTTCCTTTAATTTTCTGTTTTTCAGTTTTGGTTTTGTTTGCAAGCTCTGCTGGGCATTTGCATGGGCTGGATTGGCTTGCAGGCTCTGTGATCACTAGGAATAGGGCTGAGCTGAGCCAAGGTGATGGCTTGTGTTCAACTGCAGGTCAGGTGTGGCTCCCTGGGGCATAGTCCTGGAAGACCTGTGGGCCTCCTTCTAAGGCCTCCTTGAGTTCTGTTGATCTTTGAGGAACAACAGATCTTAAGGGCAACTAATCTCAGAGAACATGGTAGCCTCTTCAACAGACCCAGCCTATAGCATAAACACCTCCATGTGGGTTTTTTACTCAACCCGAAATATCTAGACACACAGTCATCACATGCATACATTCCTGATGTCTCCATCAGGTGGGTGAGAGGTGATCTGTGATCTCTTTAAATGTAGTGAAGTGCTCAGGACAGTCCCACTGAGCCTTCCTACCCACTCAAGAACACTGCTACCTTCTATCTTCCCCTTGGCATTACCTCAGTTTCCCAGATTTCTGAGGCAAGCACCCTCTGTACAGGCCTGTGTGGGGAGTTACCCCAGGAGCTATCAATCAGATCCCACCCAGTAGTATTATCCATGTAGATGTCTGTCTCGCATTCTCACCCTCCACCCAACAAGTTGGATTCAAGGGTTGGAGCCGCCCATTGTCTATCTATGCATCCCCATCCCCACCTCCAACTCCAGGTCTCCTTTGTGCCTGGCACTGAGCAGGTGCTGTATAAATATTTGTTGAATCAGGGCATGAGTATGAAAGTAAGTGAGCAAAGGAAGGGCGCATTTCACAGAATGAGAAAATAGTAAAGCAGAAGTCAACCCTGCCAGTCTTTAGATTAAGCACCCATATAATACAGTCACGGACACAGAGGCCAGGACTCCCCTAAGCGGTGGAAGATCTCAGTGGCAGGACCAGAGTCCAGATGTCCCATTCTTGCTGTGACCCTGGGCTGCTGCGTGTTCCCTCTCTCAGTCTTCATCTGTCATTCTCAGAGAGAGACTCCAGAAAATGCCTGAGAAACAGCGGAGTCCACTTGGGTCTCTGTCAGCCCCACCTCTCATTGAAGTCAGTAGTTCATTAACCAGGATATAACTTGGGCTGGCCTCATTACAAAACCAAATCAATAAATATTGATTGAGTGCCCCCTATGTGGACAACCAGGTGAGAATGAGGGAAGACAGGAAACAAGAGAAGAGAGAAGCCTTGTGCATATCTGCCTTACAAATGGTTGGTCTGACACCGCAAGTCATGTCCCTAACACAGTCCAGAGGACATAGCAGGCATGCCTGTGGGCTTTCAGCACTAAAGATAAGGGGAGATGGTGTCTCTTCTGGCTCCAGAGAAAGCCCCTTTCCCCCTCAGGTGAGAGGGAGAGGAAAGAAAAATGTTATGTAAATAATGAGTCCACAACTACACCCTGTTCATGCACAAAATTCCAGGAATGATTAAACCTGACTGTGGCTCCAGGATAAATGAAATTTAGCGTTCCAATTGCCCTGTGCACTTACACGCACACTTTCTCTTTCTCTCTCTATGTCACACTGACACACACACAGTATGTTGGTGCGTGTCTATCAGCTTGTAACTGGCCCACAAGGAAGGCAGTTCTTCTGATGAGAAGGTGATACTGGGAGCCCTCAAAGACGCCCACTGTCCCTCCTCAGCCACTCTTTCATTGTGTCCTGGGCACATCGGTTAGCTGCTCCAGGCTTCTACTTGTCCATTTTAAAAAAGGGAATACTACCAGCCAGTCGTGGTGGCTCACACCTGTAATCCCAGCACTTTGAGAGGCCAAGGCAGGAGGATCACTGGATCACTTGAGGTCAGGAGTTCAAGACCAGCCTGACCAACATGGTGAAACTCCATCTCTACTGAAAAAAATACACACACACACACACACACACACACACACACACACACACACACACACAATTAGCCAACATGGTGGTGCTCACCTCTGTAATCCTAGCTACTCGGGAGTCTGAGGTGGGAGAATCGCTTGAGCCAGGTAGGCGGAGGTTGCAGTGAACTGAGATCATGTCACTGCACTCCAGCCTAGGTGACACAGTGAGACTCTGTCTCAAAAAATAAATAATGAAATAAATAAAATAAAAAAGAGAATACTCCTGAGACACATTCCTCCTGGGGAAAAAAGAAAAGAACTATAAATATCATTATTTATCTGCTTTACACTATGCTGTGACTATAATCGTGCTTCATAGATATAAATACTCCTTAGAAGTTGAAATACGGTATGCCTCACATAGTCCAAGTATTTTTCAAAGGCCAAGTCCATCCTTCAATATACCACTTTCAATGGTGGATAGACCAACTGGACAGATCAACAAGGAAATAAAAGACCTGAATAACATGTAAAACAACTAGGCCTAGCTGCCATTTGTGGAACCCTCCACCCAACAACAGAAGAATGCACATTCTTCTCAAGTGCAAATGGAACATTCTCCAGGATAAACCATGGGCTAGGCAACAAAACAAACCTCAATACATTTTAAAAGATAGAAATACGGGCCAGGCGCGGTGGCTCACGCCTGTAATCCCAGCACTTTGGGAGGCCGACACAGGCAGTTCAACTGAGGTTGGGAGTTCAAGCCTAGCCTGACCAACATGGAGAAACCCCAACTCTACTAGAAACACAAAATTAGCTGGGTGTGGTGGTGCATGCCTGTAATCCCAGCTACTCAGCAGGCTGAGGCAGGAGAATCGCTTGAACCCAGGAGGTAGAGTTTGCAGTGAGCCAAGTTCGCACCATTGCACTCCAGCCTGGGCAACAAGAGCAAAACTCCGTCTCAAAAAAAAAAAAAAAAAAAAAGGAAATACTACCAAGTGTGTTCTATGAACACAGTGGAATAAAATCAATAGTAGGAAAAAAGTTGGAAAACTCACAGAAAGAAATAGCCTGACATGAATGAAAATGAAGATGCAACATATGAGAACTTACGGGAAATATCTAGGGCAGTGACTAAAAGGAAATTTATAGCTCTGAATGTTGACATTAAGAAAGGACAAAAATTTCAGATCAGTAACCTAACCTTCCACCTTAAGAAACAGGAAGACAGCAAACTAAATCTAAGGCAAAAAGAAAGAAGAAAATTACAGAGACGAGAGCAGAAATTAATAAAATAGAGACTAGAAAAACAATAGAGAAAAATATCCATGAAACTGAAAGCTGGTTCTTTGAAAAGATCAACAAACTGACCAAAAGTCTGCCAGGTGCTGTAGCTCGCACCTGTAATCCCAAGACTTTGTGAGGCTGTGGAGGGAGGATTGCTTGAACCCAGGAGTTCAAGACCAGCCTAGGCAACAAAGGGAGACCCTGTCTCTACAAAAAAAAAAATACAAAAATTATCCAGGTCTGGTGGTACACACCAGTAGTCCCATCTACCTGGGAGGTTGGGGCAGGAGGATCCTTTGAGCCCAGGATGTCCAGGCTGCAGTGAGCCAAGATCGCATCACCACAGTCTAGCCTGGGTGACAGCGAGACTCCACCTCAAAAAATAAAAATAAAATAAATAAAATATATTGACCCAAAGTCATTCCTAAACAGAATTCACTGTGGATAGGGCCCTCAGACAACTTACTCATGCTTTACCATGGCCAAGGAGGTTGAGGCTTCGAGAGCTGGTGGTGTGGCCAAGGCAGAGGTAAGATTGGAAACCAAATGTCCTGATCTCCACCTGAGGCTTCTGACACTCTCCCTCCTCATTTAACACCTAATAGCAAATCAAATGCTTGTATGTCCACTTATATTTGAAATGCAACAGGAAAACCATTGGAGAGAATTTTACCATTATGTAAGATAATAAATATTCAAATAAGTCAAATCATTGTCTACTATTTTGTCTCCAACATAAATCAAAAAGTATTTATTTTTATTTGCTTGAAGTAGATTACTCTTCCAAGCAAGCTTGAAGTACATTACTCTTCCAAACGACCTATTTTCTCTGGTTGTTTAAGAACAACCGAGGACCGCAATAGATGTGGCAAAAGAGAATTTGAATAATGTGCCTATAAACAACTATTCTCCTGCAAATTCAGGTAGTTCAAGACCAGCCTGGCCAACATAGAAGTATTTTATATAAACTCAATTAATCTTCTAAAAAATTCTATGACATAGTTGCTATTACTGACTCCACTTTACAGACGAAAAAACTGAGATGGAGAAGTTAGGTAATATGTCCAAGGTCATAAGCAGCTGAGCTGAGCATCATTAAGTCTGTGTTCTTAACTATGCCACATAAACAGCCCCTTGAGAAACCCAGATTTAAGATCTGGCTCTATCAACTATTGTTTATGGTGATGATGATGATTTTAGCCTCTTTCTTTTAAATTCCTACTTATTTCCTCCAGCTGAAATCCTCTTCAGGAATTAGAGCAATTAGGAATCATAATATGATAAAATGTTAGAGCTGTGAGGGACCTTGGAAACCATATAAGCTAAGCCTCTATTTTACAGATGAGGAGACTAGGGTCTAGTGTATTTACATAGTTGTTGGGTGGTTGTTAATGATAGAAGAACGATTTACATATGGTACAATCAATCCAATAGCTCTGGTTTTGTAGTGACAGACCTCCAAACAACAAATTTATTTTCTAGATCTTTCTAAAATAAATTCTGGATCTTTCTGTAAAGGAAAGAGCCTAGCCCAAGTGTTCTGAACCCCGGCTGTCTATCAGAATCACCTGAAGAGCTTATAAAAGATACTCAGTGCCAGGCATGGTGGCTCACACCTGTAATCCCAGCACTTTGGGAGGCCGAGGTGGGCAGATCACTTGAGGTCAGGAGTTCAAGGCCAGCCTAGCCAACATGGTGAAACCCTGCCTCTACTAAAAATACAAAAAAAAAAAAAAAAAAAAAAAAAATTAGCCAGGCACAGTGGCACATGCCTATAATCCCAGCTACTTGGGAGGCTGAGGCAGGAGAATCACTTGAACCAAGGAGGCAGAGGTTGCAGTGAGCAGAGATCGCGCCACTGGACTCCAGACTGGGCAACAGAGCTAGACTCTGTCTCAAAAACAAAAACAAAAACAAAAAAAAACAGAAGACACTTAGGCCTAGGCTCATAGAACCAGAATCTCTGGGGGGACAGAATCTGAACTGCATGTTTTTTGACCACCCCAGGTAAATCCCATATACAGCAAAGGCGGAAAACTACTTGCTTAGCCCATATGTGATATACTCAGGTCGGGTGCGGTGGCTCAAGCCTGTAATCCCAGCACTTTGGGAGGCCAAGGCAGGTGGATCACGAGGTTAGGAGTTCGAGACCAGCCTGACCAAGATGGCGAAACACCAACTCTACTAAAAATACAAAAATTAGCCGGGCGTGTTGGCGCATGCCTGTAATCCCAGCTACTTAGGAGGCTGAAGGCAGGAGAATCGCTTGAACCTGGGAGGCGGAGGTTGCAGTGAGCCGAGATCACACCACTGCACTCCAGCCTGGGTGACAGAGTGAGACTCTTGTCTCAAAAACAAAAACAAAAACAAAAAAGTGATATACTTTTGCTGCTTGGCCAAACTAACACTTTATTTTGTCAAGGAGTCCGTTGGTGATTGTGGAACAGTTTTTCATTCCATAGGTAGTCCTTCCTAAGTAGGGTTTGGGCATCTCAGAAAAACAAAGTTAGTTAAGTGTTTTCTCAACCTACTGAAAAATAAAAGTAATTATAAAAGAAAAATTAGTGTGACTGTTGGTGTCTTGAACTCTTTTGTGAATAAAAAACCACTTCATGGCATGCAGCCACTTCCTGGTATTCCATAAACAAGACACTAAGTTTCAGAAGGTGAGGGTGGTAGAGGCAACACAAGCTTTTGGAAGTAATTGGCATGTGTCTGTCTAATCCAGTAAAGCCTTGCAGACCTACCTGATATCCACACTGATCTTGGCCTTGGCCTTCCCTCTCTCAACATGCAAAGCCATTCCTCTCCCAGGCCCACCATGTGGCCCCTAAGTTAAAACCAAGCTAAAATGGAAATATATTTAGTTGTTATAAAAAAATAAAATGTGGGCAGTCTCCCAACAGAAATAATCAGCCTGCTTGCCCAGAGGGCAAGTGCTAATGTATCAGAGCAGAGGAATGAAGTGGGGAGGAAACAGAAGGCTGTCTCCCAAGCCTGGTCCCTAACACCCTGTGCACTCAATAAACAAACAGCCATTTGAATCACTTTGGTTCTCCTTTTTTATTATTCTGCAGAATGATAAAGACCTAAAGCCTGTTTATATAGTGTTTTCATGGCTAGAGTTGTATAAAACTGCATTTTGTCAGTTTGAATAAGTCCATTTGAATGAGTCAAATTTTTTAAAAGCCTCGAGATCCAACAGAGCTGGAAGAAAGTAGGGGTGGGGGTTAAATGGTTCATTTGAGATGTTTGCCTTCAGTAACATGAGAGGGAAAGCAGAACAAATGGGCAGGACAGGCAAGGAGGGGCACGGGCTAACACCAACTCTGAAGGACACAGAGAACATGTTGGGATTCAACACCCACTCTAAGGCAGAACTCCCTGAAGCCTTGTGAGTTAATGAAAGCTCTTTGACAAACAACAATGGACAGGAACTAAAGCATCAGGATCCAAGGGAAACAATTATACATGGAAAACATAGTTGAAATGCTTCTTATACTTCTAAAGGAGAAACAAAGTGCGTGCTAAGAATATTGAATGTCTCAATGAGTTGTACCTAGGATCAGCTTGATATTGATGAGAAAATGTCAATAAAATGATCACAACATCACATTACGATCTTACCTTAGATTCTGAAATCTGTGAGTCTATATGAATTGTTACTCTACAGGCCCTGGTTCTCTCTTTTTTGCATATTTCATAGCACACAGGAAAACTCAGCTGTAACAACCTTCTATTCCCCCCACCCTCTCCACCTCTAGTCTTCCTTTCTAAGGTTTGGTCCTTCTGCTAATGACAAAGGGGGCACCAAGAGGGAGGGCTTTTCTCCCCAAGATCCTTTTGTTCCCAGCATGGGCTGGAGTCAGGGAAGGGGCAGGCTCACCCCTGTCAGAGACGGAGCATTGCAAACAGGAGCCTCTGCTGTTTTCCAAGTTGGAAAACCCTCCTGATGAGCCAGATCGTAAGCAGAGATAGGGATACCACTGGCCAAAGTTTCTCAACCACTCTTTATTTTTGGCTTGCATATTCACTGTCAAAGATTCTCATTGTTAAGAAGCAGTCTGAAGCCTTTTTATACGCATTTAAGCAAAGTGATGTGCTTTCCCTAATCCCTAGGAGAAGGGAGGAAAACCAATGTGTATTAAATTCTTAATACGTGCTAGGTCCCTTAAAAACACCATCATTTTAAACTCTGTCATTTGTGATGCAGTGAGGTCAGCATTATTAGTCCCCTTTACACAGATGGTTTCAAGCCCAACTGTGCCAGGCTTTTGAATTTTGCTCTTGTTCTCTGTAGCATGCAGCCTCTTTCTCTATTTTCTCCTTTTGGCCCATCATTCTCTTACTCAATTCTCTTGCCTTCTTTCCTAAGGGGAGGTTTTACCAAGGACAACATATTTCCCACACACTCTACTTATTCCCAATGACAGGGCAGTTGCCCCTGGATGAGGCTCCCTGAAGGCTTTATTAAAAGCTTGGGAATTTCTGATCTGAACAATTACAACCTGATGGTGTTTTACGACCAGAAGAGAGGATAAACCATAGTCCATTCCATGATATTTCAATCTTGCATCTCTCCTCTAGCTGTTCTTATGCTCCTTCTTGATAACAGGATGGCATTTCAGTTCCATCTTCGGTCATAAAGGCTCTGGAATGAAAGACAGCCAAGTCAAAATGCAGTGTGTGGCTTTTCATCGGTGACTTCAGTTTTCACATTTCTAAATTGAGGATAATCATGGATTGTTGTGAACAGTGCAAGAAGCAATGTAAGTAAAGAGCTTAGTATGGTGACTGCTCATAGAAGATGCCTCAGTAAGCATTTTCCCTCGTTTCCCTCCTTCTTCATCCCTGGAAATTGGAGACCAAGCGGGGGTGCAGAATCATATGTCTGCCAAGGGGATACAGTCGTGTTACAGGAAAGGGGTCCCGATCCAGACCTCAAAAGAGGGTTCTTGGATCTTGAGCAAGAAAGAATTCAGGGTGAGTCCATAGAGTAAAGTGAAAGAAAGTTTAAGAAAGTAAAGGAATAGGCTGGGTGTGGTGGCTCACGCCTGTAATCCCAGCACTTTGGGAGGCCGAGGCAGGCAGATCACGAGGTCAGGAGATCAAGACCATCCTGGCTAACATGGTGAAACCCCGTATCTACTAAAAATACAAAAAAAAGAAAAAAATTGGCTGGGCTTGGTGGCGGGCACCTGTAGTCCCAGCTACTTGGGAGGCTGAGGCAGAATGGCATGAACCCAGGAGGCCGAGTTTGCAGTGAGCCGAGATTGTGCCACTGCACTCCGGCCTGGGCAACACAGCGAGACTCCATCTCAAAAAAAAAAAAAAAAAGAAAAAAAGAAAAAAAAAGAAAGAAGAAATAAAGGAATAAAAGCTGGGCATGGTGGCTCATGCCTGTAATCCCAGCACTTTGGGATGCCGAGGTAGGCAGATCACCTGAGGTCAGAAGTTTGAGACCAGCCTGACCAACACGGAAAAACTCGTCTCTACTAAAAATACAAAATTAGCAGGGCGTGGTGGTGCATGCCTGTAATCCCAGCTACTTGAGAGGCTGAGGCAGGAGAATCACTTGAATCTGGGAGGTGGAGGTTGTGGTGAGCCGAGATTGCGCCATTGCACTCCAGCCTGGGCAACAAGAGCAAAACTCTGTGTCAAAAAAAAAAAAAAGTAAAGGAATAAAGAATGGCTACTACTCCATAGACAGAGCAGCCCCGAGGGCTGCTGGTTGCCCATTTTTATGGTTATTCCTTGATGATATGCTAAACAAGGGGCTGATTATTCATGCTTCCCCTATTTAGACCATATAGGGTAACTTCCTGATGTTGCCATGGCATTTGTAAACTGTCATGGCACTGGTGAGAGTGTATCCATGAGGAAGACCAGAGGCCACTCTCGTCACCATCTCGATTTGGGGGATTTTAGCCGGCTTCTTTACTGCAACCTGTTTTATCAGCAAGGTCTTTACGACCTGTATCTTGTGTCAACTTTGTATGTCATCCTGTGACTTAGAATGCCTTAACGGTCTGGGAATGCAGCCCGGTAGGTCTCAGCCTCATTTTACCCAGCTTCTACTCAAGATGGAATTGCTCTGGTTCACACAGTTTTGACAGTCTGGCCTCCAGTTCAGCCATCAGCAGGCTGTCGGGATGGTGAGGAAACTGAGCAGGTCAGTGGCTATGCATGTGAGGCAAGTCCTCTAGTCTTTGCCCTTTCCTCCAGCTCCAGTGGTATAGGCCCGGGATGACCACCTCACAGACTTCACTGATCATGTGACTAAGAACGGGCGGTAGACATTGGGGATTGTGGGAAGAGAGCTGTTGGGGCTACCAAGACTGGAGCTTGTATAAAATCCAACCATGGGAGTGAAATGGAAAGAATGTGGGTTTTGAATTCAACCAAAAATGCTGGTGTTTGTCTCCACTATGTATCAACTTTATCTTCAGACCTGTGATTTCACTTCTCCATCCCAACATTCACTGAGCTGCTAACACATGCCAGGCACCTTCTTACTCACTTTTTAAAGTTTTTTTATTTTTGTGGGTACATAGTAGGCATATATATTTATGAAGTACATAAGATGTTTTGATACAGGGCATGTGGTGTGAAATAAGCACATCATGGAGAATGGGGTATCCATCCCCTCAATAATTTATCCTTTGAGTTACAAACAATCCAATTGCACTCTTTAAGTTACTAAAAAATGTACAATTGAGTTATTATTAACTATATCAGGTACACTTTTCATATATAGTTTTTGTATATAGCAGGGCTTACATTCATAAACATTCTGGAAGATGTTGTCATATCCCAGTCTATTTTATGCCACTGCTTAGCATTTACTTGCTTAGCAAATAGCTGAGCCATATACTCACCCTCACATTGTTTATATTCCAGAGGTAATTTGAGGTGTAAGTGGGTTATCAAGCCTAGTATATATTGTCTTCAATAAATATCAGTTCCCTACTCCTTTAGCCTACGTCACTTTATTGTAGGCCATAGAGTTCAACTATTAAGTTGAATGACATAAAACTGACATTTAAAAAATCAAAAATGGTAAAATTATTGCAGAAATAGTAAAGCCCATACTAAAATTCATATGGAATCCCTAGGGACCTAAAATAGTCAAAAATCTTGAAAAAGAAAAACAAAGCTGAAGGACTCACACTTCCTGATTTCAAAACTTAGTACAAAGTTACAGTAATCAAAACAGTATGGTACTGGCATAAACACAAACATATAGGCCAATGGAACAAAATAAAGAGCCCAGAAGTAAACCTTTATATGTATATATGGTCAAACAATTTTTGAGAAGAGTGTCAAACCCATTCAATGGGAAAAGGACAGTTTTTCAACAGACGGTGCAGGGAAAAGTGGCATATCCACATGCAAAAGAGTGAAGTTGGACTCATCTAACACCATATAAAAAAGTCATTTCAAAATGGTTCAGAGACCTAAATGTAGAACTTAAAACTATGAAACTCTTAGAAGAAAACATAGGGCAAAAGCTTCATAGGCCATGTGCAGTGGGCTCACACTTGTAATCCCAGCACTTTGGGAGGCCAAGGTGGGTGGATCACCTGAGATCAAGAGTTTGAGGCCAGCGTGGCCAACATGGTGAAACCCCGTCTCTACTAAAAATACAAAAATAGGCCAGCGCGGTGGCTCACGCCTGTAATCCCAGCACTTTGGGAGGCTGAGGTGGGTGGATCACCTGAGGTCAGGAGTTCGAGACCAGCCTGACCAAAATGGTGAAATCCCGTCTCTACTAAAAATACAAAAATTAGCTGGGCATGGTGGGGGGCGCCTGTAATCCCAGCTACTCAGGAGGCTGAGGCAGGAGAATCGCTTGAACCTGGGAGGCAGAAGTTGCAGTGAGCTGAGATTGCGCTATTGCACTCCAGCCTGGGTGACAGAGTGAGACTCCATCTCAAAACAAAAATTAGCCAGGAGTGGTGCTGGGAACCTGTAGTCTCAGCTACTTGGGAGGCTGAGGCAGGAGAATCACTTGAACCTGGGAGGTGGAGGTTGCAGTGAGCTAAGATCACGCCACTGCACTCCAGCCTGGGCACAGAGTGAGACTCTGTCTCAAAAAAAAAAAAAAAAAAAAAAAAATAGCTTCATGACATTGGACTGGGCAGAGATTTTTTGGATACAACATCAAAGGCACAGACAAAAAAAGAAAAAAATAGATGAACTTCGCAAAAATTTTAAAATTTTGGGCATCAAAAGGCACTATCAACAGAGTAAAACAGAAACCCACAGAATGGGAGAAAATATTTGCAAATCATATATCTGATAAGGAATTGATACCCAGAAATCTTAAAAATTAATAACAACAACAAAAAACAACCAGATTCAAAAATGGAGAAAGGACTTGAACAGACATTTCTTTAAAGAAGACACACCAATGGCCAATAAGCAAATGAAAAGATGCTCAACATCACTAATCATTAGAAAAATGCAAGTTAAAACTATAGTGAGATACCACCTCACACCCATCAGGATGGCTAGTATCAAGAAAACAGAAAATAACAAATGTTGGCAAGGATACGGAAAAACAGAAACTCTTGTGTACTGTTGGTGGGAATGTAAAATGGTGCAGTCACTGTGGAAAACAGTTCCTCAAAAAATTAAAAATAGAATAACCATAGCCATTCTACTTCTGGGTATATACTCAAAAGAATTGAAAGCAGAGTCTCAAAGATGTATCTGTATATACCCACGTTCACAGCAGCATTATTCACATTGGCAAAAACATGGAAGCAACCCAAGTGTCTACCAACAGAGGAATGAATAAACAAAATGTGGTGTTTTCATATAATGGAATAGTATTCAGCCTTAAGAAAAAAAAAGTCTGACATGTGCTATAACTTGGATGAAACTTCAGGACACTATGCTAAGTGAAATCAGCCAGTCACAAAAGGATAAATACTGTATGATTCCACTTGTATGAAGAGGAGTAGTCAAAATCATGAAGACAGAAGCTAGTGTAGTGGTTGTCAGGGTTGAGGGGAAAGGACAATGAGAAGCTATGGTTTAATTTGTACAGAGTTTCAGTTTTACAAGATGAGAAGCGTTATAATGATGGGTGGTGGTGATGGTTGCACAACATTATGAATGTTTTTAATACCATTAAATCATATGCTTAAAAATGGTTAAGATGGTAAATGTTATGTGGTTTTTACCACAATTTAAAAAAAATACATTTAAAAGTGGTTAAATAGCAGCTATTGTATATGTCCTAACATAATATGGAAGGAAGAAGGCTTTCTTTAATATAATGCAGAAATAGCCGGATGTGGCGGCTCATGCCAGTTATTCCAACACTTTGGGAGGTCGATGTGAATGAATCACTTGAGGCCAGAAGCTCAAGACTAGTCTGGGCAACATGGCAAAACCCCTTCTCTACGAAAAATACAAAGATTAGCCAGGCACGGTGGTTGCACCTGTAGTCTCAGCTACTAGGGAGGCTGAGGTGGGAGGCTTGCTTGAGCTCAGGAGGATGAGGCTGAAAGTGAGCTGTGATTGTGCCACTGCACTCTAGCCTGGGTGACAGAGCGAGACTCTGTCTCAAAAAATAAGTGAATAAAAATAAAGCAGAAATAGTAACAATAACCTACCAGTGGAAGCTTGATTAGATTTGTTTTTCTTGACTTCCTAGGAAAATGATTCCATGCCTTGCTTTGTTAAACCTGGCTCTAAAAGCAAGGCGTCAAAACAGACTGTTGAACGCTCACTGAGGTAGAAAACCAAAGCCCACAGCAGTGTCCCACATTAGGAGCCAATGGGTGAAAATGAGGGATTGGAAAGGTGAAACAGCAAACGGAGGAAGGCTGACTGGCGCGCTGCCTGACTGGACAGCCTGACACAGCCACCAGCCTCAACCCGGGTCAGGGAGACCTGTGGGGCCCTGTCTCTTTCCCTGAAGCCAACAATAAAGTGACAGGCACCCAAGAGAATATACTGCCTGTCTGAACCCAGATGAAGCACCGTCAAGGGGGATTGCCAGAAAAACGTACTCTGTCCAAATGTAAGTTCCTTCCACAAAAATTGGGCAGCTTCTAGAATTTAACTCTATTAGCATCTCAATACCTCCAAACATTTGATTACCAGAGCTCATCAATAGCTGCTCTCAAGGGCAATTATCTATCATTATCAATGTATTGCCTTACCCTTTTAATTAGGATGTTAATGTCCAGTGTAAACAAAGCCTTCTTTGCTAATTTCAGCTGTGCACAATGAAAAGCCCTTTTTTCTTTTCCATCCCCTAGGGTTCTGTGGACTGAATTTACTCTAGTTCCTGAAGTGTGGAAAAAGTAAACAAGGTTTTGTTTGGATTCCAACCTTAAGTTTCTCTGGACTAAAACCCAGCAAAGTGGCAGAAAGTTATCCCAAAGAAAAAAAAATTGTCCCTGAGGTATGAAAATAATTTCAGAGAATGTTACGAAAACAAGCAAGAAAATCCCCACAAATCCAGAGGTTTTTTTAATAGTTAAAGAGATGAGAGGGGAAATGTTTGGCATATTTTCAATTGCTTTGTATTACCACAGAAAGGTAAACAATTTTAAAATCATGTTAAATTTTAGCTAAACAGGTATTCAGGTCATTAACAAAGGGTTCCTATCCAGATTAACTATTTCATACGGTTATATCAATTTCTGACACAGGGACTTAAAACAATCAATACAAAATTTCTGAAAGAAAGATGAGATGAAACAAATATCAGAAATTTAAAAATACATGCACATAAAGAAACAAAAATCATCTACATAAGTGATCTTAATATTTCTTTGTTGTCCTAGCGATCCATGGAGTGGTCTGGTTAGTGAAAATTGCCTTATCTCTGGGGAATGTGCTAAGCGTTCCCAAGGTACTGGTGTCCCTCACTGGACACAGCCAGCTTGACTCTGGAAGAACCGCCTGGCACAAAGCAATCAGGCAGTGGGCGTTCCCTTTGACAGGCTGGCTGTCTTTACATAGAACCTACTGGAAACATCACATCTGCCTGGCCTATTTTGAACATTGTTTTGAGGCTAAAATGGGGCAAGACTCATTCAATGGTTTGAAAGTTTAGGGGAGAAAATAATTTGAAACAAAAATGTCACAGTTCAGTGGTTAGATTGAGTGACTGTTGTATCCTTTCTCTCAATGTTGATTATTGAAATGAATTCTATTACATTTATAGTAGAAAAAATTAGTAAATGGAAAAACATATGATGCTACATAAGGTAACTTTATTTTTTATTTTTATCTATTTATTTTTTTGAGTCAGAGTCTCTCTCTGTCACCCAGGCTGAAGTGCAGTGGCACAATCTTGCTCACTGCAACCTCTGCCTCCCAGGTTCAAGTGATTCTCCTGTCTCAGCCTTCCAAGTAGCTGGGACTACAGGTGCCTGCCACCATGCCCGGCTAATTATTGTAGTTTTAGTAGAGACGGGGTTTCGCCACGTTGGCCAGGCTGGTCTCGAACTCCTGACCTCAGGTGATCCACCCGCCTTGTCTCCCAAAGTGCTGGGATTACAGGCATGAGCCACTCCGCCTGGTCCATAAAGTAACTTTTAAAAATCCTATCTTGGCCGGGCGTAGTGGCTCATACCTGTAATCCCAGCACTTTGGGAGGCCAAGGTGGGCGGATCACGAGGTCAGGAGATCGAGACCATCCTGGCTAACACGGTGAAACCCCATCTCTACTAAAAATACAAAAAATTAGCCGGGAGTAGTGGCAGGCGCCTGTAGTCCCAGCTACTCGGGAAGCTGAGGCAGGAGAATGGCATGAACCCAGGAGGTGGAGCTTGCAGTGAGCCGAGAGTGCGCCACTGCACTCCAGCCTGGGTGACAGAGCAAGACTCCATCTCAAACAAACAAACAAACAAACAAACAAAAATCCTATCTTGATTGCCCCACTCAAGGAGGTTTTTTTTTTACAATGGTTAATTCTTACTCCAATTTCCATTTGTAAATAGAGGTCTGGTTAATAAAGGGTAAACACATAAAGGCACTCAAAAAAATCTATAAAACCACTTCCATCTACCATCATCAAAAACTGATTGTTTTTTCCTTTTCTGTCTCTTATCAGCAAAATCCTTGAAAATTGTCTTTGATATATTTCTTATAAATGCCAAAAATACATTTGAATGTGCAAATATGTCTTTAAAAACACATTTTTCTTTGATTATAAAAAGTAATACAAGCCTACAGAAATTTTAGAGACTATAAAATAGTACCACCCCAAAGTATCACCCATAAACCTACAAACTGGAGTCAGCCATTGTCAATATTTCTGTGTAATAGGCAATTTGTCCCCAGACAGGGAGCCAGGATGGCTGGGAGAAACCTTGGCTTCCCAGGTTGAGGGGAATGCATGACAAAGCTCAGCTGAGTTTGCCACCAGACCTATTATGCTCCTTATAATGTAAGTGATTTACTTGAATATTACATAAACTAAAGGAATATGAGTGTGAAGACAAACAGAATTGTTCTTTTGCTTGTTTATTTATTTATTTAGAGATGGAATCTCACTCTGTCACCCAGGCTGGAGTGCAGTGGCACGATCTTGACTCACTGCAACCTCTGCCTTCCAGGTTCAAGCGATTCTCCTGCCTCAGCCTTCTAAGTAGATGGGATTATAGGCGCCCACGACCACACCAGTCTAATTTTTGTATTTTTAGTAGAGACGGGGTTTCACCAAGTTGGCCAGGCTGGTCTTGAACTCCTGACCTCAAATGATTCACCCACCTCGGCCTCCCGGAGTGCTGGGATTACAGGCTTGAACCACCATGCCCAGCCAGAATTGTTCCTTCTATGCAAACTAAATTGAATGCTTTAGAAAGACTCCATCAAGGTAAGATTTTTCGAATCAAAAGTGTTCTGCACTCAGTGGGCATTGCAATTGCCTGATTCCAGATCAAATGACACCCTTCCCAGGCACTACAGGCCAGTGTTCCAGGACGGTAGTGGGCAGGATTGGGGCAGGTGGCTGAGGCAGACACATGGGCCATCACAGATGCTCTCTTCAGCCCAGTAAATCAGGATCTGGAAATGAACACTGTGTGGACTTCAGCTCCCCACCATTTGAGATAAGATCACTCACTCATCTGGAGAATCTCCAAATCTAGAGGACTGAAGAGACTCCTAAGGGTGTCTGCTAGTTCCATACACTTTTGAGTCTACCCCGGATCTTTTAATTGAGGAATCTGTGGATGACATTGATTAATGCTTTAACTAAACACCAGCTTGTCTTCCCCTGCCACCCCCGGGAAAGTGCCCCACCTCTCTCCCCTACCCCACCATTGGCTTTTCCTTTTGGTTTTCCTGATTTGAAAAGTGCTGGAGGCAGTTTAGGAATGAGAGAAAAACCATCCACCAAAGCTGTGTTGGTCCAGGACCCCGAGGCAGAAATACTTCCAAGTGTGGGATGGAAGGGAACATTGAGACAGCATTCACAGATGGGGCTGCAGTGGGGTGCCAAGGCTGAGGGACATCTCCGTCTCTCCTGGGTGCCTGTATCAGAAGCTTCCGAGCTACTTTCCAGCAGGCAGAATGAAGGGGACAGGTAGCAGCCAGCTCACTTTCCATCGCGGTAACTGCCCCAGTGGTCTGAAGTGGCTCCTGCAGTAGACTCCACTACCTTTGCCTATCCAGACAATTTCCCTCTTCCCAGTCTTGATGTGGGGGCCCTACCCTTATTCCATTGGATGCCTTCTCCCTGGGCTCTGAGTATTGAACTAGGAGCAGAAAGTGGCGTGACAGTGCCCTGTGCCAACCATCAACTCATCCCCATGGAGAGCCAGAGGAACAGCCCCAGCTCCTGTTCCTCCTGAGCCCTGATATAAAGGTTCCCCTTTGATTCTGTCAGCTGCCCATATACTTCTATAGAAATCCATTTCTGGCCAGGCGCAGTGTCTCACACCTGTAATCCCAGCAATTTGGGAAGCCCAGGTGGGTGGATCATTTGAAGTCAGGAGTTCGAGACCATCCTGACCAACATGATGAGACCCTCGTCTCTACTAAAAATACAAAAGTCAGCCAGGCATGGTGACAGGCATCTGTAGTCCCAGCTACTTGGGAGGCAGAGGCTGCAGTGAACCAAGATTGCACCACTGCACTTTAGCCTAGGCGACAGAGCGAGACTCCTTCTCAAAAAAAAAAAAAAAGAAAGAAAAGAAAAGAAAAGAAAAGAAAAGAAATCCATTTCTGATTAAAGTAGCCAGAGCTATTTTTTTTTCTCTGATTGTAATTAAAAAATCCTAAAGGACACAGCTCACAGCAGTATGTGTATATATGTTTGTGTGTGTCTATGCATATGTGCATATACGCACAGTTTGTGTTTTGCCCTCAAAGCACAGCCTGGGTCTGTGCATTTTTACAGTCAATAACTCAATAAAAACATCAATTCAGTTTACTGCATACATTCCTTTCACTAACATGTAGGCTACTAAACTAGGTACAGAAAATACAAAAAGGAATAAGATGCAATTATACAAAAAGGCATAAGATGCAATTACCTTGCTTCAAAGCACCCCCTGCCCACGTTCGGCCAGGAGAAAAATCAGATACATTTATTACACTGTTTTAGTGAGCACCTAGTGAATTATCAGCCCAGCCCTTCTAAATTAGTGATCTTGGTGGTGGTGGTGGCAGTGAGGTGGGGGGGTTGTGGGGCAGGGACAACCTGTCCCATGGAATCAATACAATACCTTATGATGTATTGCCATTGTGATCAGCCCAAGTGGGTTTCTGTGTTTGCAATCCAGAGTTTTAACTTTATGCTTTTTTCAAAGCATAAATCCCAAGTGCCATGGGAATCCAACCTAGAGAATGACTAATTCTCTAGGGATGAGAAGAGGCCTTGTAAGGCTGCCCGTAGGAGGTGACATTTCATTCCTCTTTCATGCAGGACCACAGAATGTTCCTTTACCTTTCCTGTTGCTATCTCAGGTCTTATTCTTCATGCTGCGCTACTCCAAGTTTAGCATGGAATTCTCTAGGTGAGATTCTTTTAATTCTATTTCATAATAGAAAACAAATATGTGCAAATGTACGTACCTCTGTTTTTATAGGTAGGGTAACTTCTCCCAAGATACTTACAGAATTAGGTATTCCAGTATGGGCATGTTTTGCTTTTATGTGATACTGCATTCAGTAGCTTCCACTTCTACGTTCCATGAATGTAGAACATATTACCATCTTGGATTAGGATGTGAAGCAAGTCTGACATTCACAGTGTTCTTCATAGGAACATCCCCAGCGGTCACACTTAAAGAGTTTTACCAGTGCAGGCTTACACGACATACACAGTCATAAAGCCAAATCTTTTCCTGTCATGGTTGCCATGTCTAAGAATTCCGAGGTTCCCTCTAAATTCTCATTAACACCATTCATTCATAAAGCTAACTAGAGGATATTGTTTATATCTGAACTCTCATCAAAGAATAACACATCATTGGTAATTTTATTTTATTTTATTTATTTATTTTCTCGAGACAGAGTCTTGCTCTGTCACCCAGGCTGGAGTGCAGTGGCATGATCTTGGCTCACTGCAACCTCCATCTCCTGGGTTCAAGTGATTCTCCTGCCTCAGCCTCCTGAGTAGCTGGGACTACAGGCACCCACCACCACACCTGGCTTTTTATTTTTATTTTTATTTTTTATTTTTAGTAGAGACGGTGTTTCACCATGTTGGCCCCGCTGATCTCAAACTCCTGACCTCAAATGATGCACCCACTTCGGCTTCCAAAATTGCTGAGATTACAGGCGTGAGCCACCGCACCCAGCCCATCACTGGTGATTTTAGAGGACTTGTCTGATTTGAAAATTTAGGAAGGGAAACGGGACATACTTATGTTGGCTTCCAGCTTTCCTTCCTTCTTTTGAACAAAATCTGCCTATGGGTTTGGTCTCACATAGTGTCAGTTTGCAGGTTGGGGACTGGAATTCTGGACTTCAACATGCAGGCTCAATTCTGCTCTCTTATGAAGTCACAACCTCAACTGTACCTCTCTCAATTGTATTTGACATTTGTAATTGTCTTTTGTAGTTGACATTTTGGCCTCCACCTTTAATCTTTATTTTGTTTCTCACCATGTTAGAACATAGGTAGGAAAAAAAGAGTGCAATTTATTGGGGGTCCCCTTGGAGACTCCAACAAACTATTTCTCTAATTTTTCCAGCCCTGTCTTCAACATGCTGAGTTACATTGTTTCTCAATGCTGGTTGGGGAGGATATATTTTGTTTTCTATGGTCAATAGATACTTTTTTTATAAATTCACCATCTGTAACAGGCTTAAATGTCCTGACATCAAATTTATAACTACATTGTTGCAGCAACTTTGCTTGTAAAAACAAACTCTTGAAGTGGCTATCCTCTTTCAGTTTGGTAACATTTTCATTCTGTGTTGTTTCATTTATCCTACCTCTTAATGTAGTTTTAAAAATGGCAATTGTTCATTTGTGTTCTTTAAATACAGTGATTCTTTACATAATAAACACATAGCAATTTTCTTTATTTTCATAGAGAAAGAGGATCTCTTGTAATTTCTTAAAATAGGTGATCCTTTTAGTGTGGCCTTTTTCCCCATTAATGATAAAGACATAGCTCAGAAAAAAATGTTAGAAAAATAGTAGAAGAGTGATTTTAAATGGCAGCTGACACCCAGCCTGAAGATTGTGGAGATGCAGAGCGTGGTAGAGACGGAGCAAATAGGAGGTGTCTATCTTTGCTTAAGGCCATTATTGCCATGTGGGCCCAGTGTTGTCAGATCATGTGGTTTTTTTTTTTAAAGAAGATAAAATCAGACTTTTAAGTGACATTTTATTTTAAAAATACTGTCTCAATTTTAAAAAAAGAAATCACTAAAGATATCAACAAAGTACATTTTAGGGCAGAATTCCCTATTCCCTCCCCTACCCCCAGGCTGCCAGTTTGTCTTTTTTTTTTTTTTTTTTTTTTGAGACGGAGTCTTGCGTCTCGCTCTGTCGCCCAGGCTGGAGTGCAATGGCATGATCTCGGCTCACTGCAACCTCCGCCTCCTGGGTTCAAGCGATTCTCCTGCCTCAGCCTCCTGAGTAGCTGGGATTACAGGCACGCACCACCACGCCTGGCTAATTTTTGTATTTTTAGTAGAGATAAGGTTTCACCACGTTGGTCAGGCTGGTCTCGAACTCCTGACCTCAGGTGATCTGCCCTCCTTGGCCTCTCAAAGTGCTGGGATTACAGGCGTGAGCCACTGCGCCCAGCCTAGTTTGTCTATTATCAGAGACAACAGAGGGCCTCTAAGGTTGTTTGGCATAGGTGGCTGCCTATATCATAAAATCTGTGGCAGGGAGGGTTGGGGCCCCTCTTAGGGACAGGCTGTCTTCCTTTCAAAGAGCTGAGATGCCTGCAGCAGGGAACGGAGCGGGTGGGGACAGTGGGCAGATCCTGGCTAAGGACCCATTTTGCATTTTGCCTGGGGCAACTCAGGCAGCTGGTGACTCACTGGAGAATTTTACTCTCAGGCTGTTCTTTCTCTCCCTCCTAATCTGCCTGTTCTCGCTGATTCTATTTTTTAAACCAGAGAATTTCAGACTCAGTTGAGATTCTGTAGATTGGTAAATTGGTAAATTCCTACCAGCTGAAGGACACAGCTAGACAGCTGAGACAAGGACACAATCGATTTAACCAAAAAGGCAAAATGCCTTGGATGAAAATAGAGCAGCCAGGAAAAACAAGAAAGGATTGCATTTATTATGGAAACATATAATCATTAAAGCATACCAAATATCTTGTTCGAAGTAGCATGCACTAATAAAAATAAAAGGAAAAGATTAAAAAAAGGAAAAAAAATCCAAAATAAAAGACCTATGAAACACTTTAAGCTCTCCTGTTAAGACTGATTTGACGTTCTAACAGGATGCATACTTAGCTACATATTACACAATATCCTCACACCTATTTTATTTTTATAAGCATCTTGTTTGAATAAGGTGTATTTAAAACAAGTTTTTTTTTTAAGCTTTGGAAACTACCCATATTGGGTAGGCAGTCTTTAAGACAGCCCCTGAAGATTCTGTGTCTCTCGTACATTTTTTTCTTACACTGCACCAAGATTGGTCTATATGAACAATAGGAAACAGCAGAAAGAATAGTTTTTCACTTCCAAAATCAGGTTATGAAAGATGCTGTGACTTCTGTTTCTGTCTCTCTCTTTCTCTCTGTCACTTGCTTTAGGGGAAACCAGCTTTTGTATGTCGTGAGGATATTCAGACATCGATGTGGAGAGCTTCACAAGGCCTATAATTAAAGCGTGCCCAACAGTCTGTGGAACAACCATGCGATCCTCTGACCTTCAGATGACCACAGCCCCTGCTGGTAGCTTGACCATAAGTTCATGAGAGACCTTGAACCCTGGCTGAGCTGCTCCTGGATTGCTGACTCTTAGAAACTATGTGGTATGTTCAGTGTTTGTGTTTTAAGCTGCTAAATTTTGGGATAGTTTGTTACACAGCAACAGACAACAAACATACCATTGTTTCATTTTAAAAATGCTTACTTAGGCGGAGCACAGTGGCTCACGCCTATAATCCCAGCACTTTGGGAGGCCGAGGCACGTGGATCATGAGGTCAGGAGTTTGAGACCAGCCTGGCCAATATGGTGAAACCCCGTCTCTACTAAAAATACAAAAAAAAAATGAGTGGTGCGTGGTGATGGACGCCTGTAATCCCAGTTACTCGGGAGGCTAAGGCAGGAGAATTGCTTGAAACCAGAAGGTGGAGGTTGCAGTGAGCCGAGATCACGCCATTGCACTGCAGCCTGGGCAACAAGAGTGGACTCTGTTTCAAAATAAATAAATAAATAAATACAGTTAAAAAGAAATAAAATGCTTACTTAGTTACAAATACATACAGAACTCTTAAAATTGTTACTTTTGGTGGGGCGTGGAGGCTCACGCCTGTAATCCCGGCACTTTTGGAGGCCGAGGTGGGCAAATTACATGAGGCCAGGAGTTTGAGACCAGCTTGGCCAACATGGTGAAACCCATCTCTACTAAAAATACTGGGTGTGGTGGTGCACGTTTGTAATCTCAGCTACTCAGGAGGCTGAGGCACAAGAACTTCTTGAACCTGAAAGGTGGAGGTTACAGGGAGCTGAGATGGTTCCACTGCACTCCAGCCTGGGTGACAAAGAAAGACTCTGTCTCAAAACAAACAAACAAACAAACAAAAACAGCTGAAAAATGCAATATTTAATGTGCAGAGCAGAGCAGTTCAACTGGTGCACAGAATCAGTGAAGGGGAATATTGGGGAGTAAGATTGAGAAAGGTAAATTGATGTCCTTTTATTCTTGGCCCTTAGTGCTGGGACGAGCAACCAGTGAGCCAAGCACCAGGTGGTTGTTAATTGTCTAAATCAAGATCCAAACCAGGTCCACAGATTACATTTAGTTCTTTGCCTTTTAAATCCATTTTAATGTAGGTTCTTCCCCTCTCCAACCTTCACATATTTTCCCCCATGCCACTGACTTGTTGCAGTAACTAACTCTGCTGCCTGTAGGCTTCCCAACATTGGAGATTGTTTTCCCTTGGCTCTTTGGAGTGCCATTCAACTTGTTTTCTTATCTCCCTTATTTCCTGTAGGCATTAGCTCTAGAGGCTTGATTCAATTCATCTTACTTTTCAGACAAGAACACCTCAAAGGTAATGCCATGGGCTTGGCCATGTTGGTCCTTCAGGAGGCCCATCAGGTCTGGTGATGTTAAGATTGATCAACGGGTTTAGGTGGTGACCAACTCATAGCTCATTCTAAAGTTTCCCATCAACACTTCGCCATATTAATTTCATTCATTGATAATCACGGCTGATTTTTGAAGAGTAATCTCTGATACAACGATACACTTGGTCCATTGGTCACAATTTACCTACAAAAATTCATGTCATTCTTTGCCCTGAATCCCCAGAAGCTACAGCTTCCACTCATGGCTGTATCTCCAAGCCTTAGACAAGTGTTTCTCAAACTCTAATGTCCATACAAATCTTGTGAAACTGCAAGTTTGATTCAGGAGGTCTGAGGTGCAGCCTGAGATTCTGTACTTCTAGCCAGCTACCAGGTTATTCCAACAGCAAACTGGTCTGCTGCTGCACTCTAAGTAGCAAGCCTTTAGTGCGTCTCTAACATCTGACATCCAGGCAGGAGACAGAAGGAGCTGTAGGTCACTCTGAGAGATCCTCCCTCATGACTGAAAGGCCAACTGCCTAAGAATTAGAGAGGACACCTGAATTAGGTAACACTGTAGGGCTCTCTTCCTGGCAAATTTGCTGTCTCCCAACCTGGAAATCTACTACGTGGGACCAGTCATGGCCTCAGATGCCTCCTTCACTTGTCTTCTGCTGCTAATGCCCGAACACATGACAAGACCCCCCCCACCAACTGGGCTGGAACACCTAGATCTAGCCATGTCCTACTCCCCACCCCACAAATATCTCTGCCCAGATCTCTGCAACTAGAGATAGACAAAGTACAGTGGGAATGTACCGTGCTCTGGTTGTCTCCAAAACCTAGTATACTGAGAAGGGCATGAACCAGAAACTGTCACAGAGGCCTGTCTAATATCTCTGTAGTACCCTGAGAAATGTCAGGGCTTTTTGCCAGGACCATGTAGGAAGAGCTGACACCACCTTATGCAGGGGAGGGAGGGGCCGTGCTAAGACCAGGTCAGACAATAAAAGCAAATTATCCCATCAGCAAATGCTGCAGATGATTGTCCTAGGTTTTTCACTGTCTGAATCTTATGCTCCCATTTGGTTTTCACTCATTCACATCTCTTGGCTTGAGATCCTAGATTCCTGGTCCAGTTTTCTTTTTTCTTTTCTTTTCTCCTTCTCTTCCTCTTCCTCCTCCTCCTCCTCCTCTTCCTTCTGCTTCTTCTTCTTCCTCCTCCTCCTCCTCTTCTTCCTCTTCTTCTTCCTCTTCTTCTTCTTTCTTTTCTTTTCTTTTTTTTTTTTTTTTTTTGACCGTATCTCCCTCCATTACCCAGGCTGGAGTGCCGTGGTGTGATCACAGCTCACTGCAGCCCAGGCTGGCCTGGTTCTGTTTTGATGTCTCTTTTCAGCCTCCTTAAGTTTTCCCTCCAAATGTCCTTTCTGGTATTTTTGACCTGCTCTCCAAATGTTTAGACATGGCTTAGGTGGTCAAATTTGTGACTGGGGCAAGGGTTGGGAAGGGGTCCCAAGGCTTGGACAAGAATGATTCTCTTCAGTCTGTAGCTCTGCAGACCTCATATAAGGCTACACCCACCTCGATTCTTCTTATGTGGAAGACCGCTGGGGATGGGTTCAGGCAATTGGGGTTAGAGGAAGGTTGCAACTGGTATGTTAGGTTGCCACATGTGTACTGAGGAATTGCTGAAGGTTTTCAAATAGGGTGGAGGAAGTTTCATGATAATAGGTTATTTGAATATGTTTTTCCAGTTTGAGACATTTCCAAGATGTTGAGGCATCAACAATAAGCATATTTCATTAAAAATCTCAGAGGGAGCATTCTGTTCTGCTGTGGCCCCAGCCATGGTCTCTGGGTTCTCATTTTGGCATTTTCCCTTGGATAAATGTTATCTCAGTTTATTTATAGCTCATTTAGCCCATCAAAGCAATAATAATAATCCCCAAAATAGAGAGAGATGCTCTGATGATCAATAGGTTACATAAAAAACATTTTTGCGCAGAGTGAAAGTCAAGAGGGTGCTATTATTAATACAACCTCCCACAACCACCCTCTCATTCTCTGCATCTACCCAGTTTGTGTTATTTCCTTCAAGACCTTTCCTCAAGTATTTTTCCTCTCTGAAGCCATTCCTGACTCAATCTACCACATCTGTATACAGGAACAGGAACAACTTCATATTCAAGTCTAGGAGGTGGTGTGGTATAGGCTTTGAAAAAGGGCAGATCTAGGCTGGGCGCGGCGGCTCACGCCTGTGATCCCAGCACTTTGGGAGGCCGAGGTGGGTGGATCACGAGGTCAGGAGATCTAGACCATCCTGGCTAACACGGTGAAACCCCTACTAAAAATACAAAAAAATTAGCTGGGTGTGGTGGCGGGTGCCTGTAGTCCCAGCTACTCGGGAAGCTGAGGCAGCAGAATGGCGTGAACCTGGGAGGCAGAGCTTGCAGTGAGCCGAGATCGCACCACTGCACTCCAGCCTGGGCAACAGAGCGAGACTCCGTCTCAGAAAAAAAAAAAAAAAAAAAGAAAAAGGGCAGATCTAGATTTGAATTGTAGCTCTGCTACTTACATTATCCAAAGTGAAAGTCACATTTATTATCTGTACTATGAAACTATTAATATTGTGGTATCACTGTTGGGTTTGTAAACATTATTTCATTTTATTATACATAATTTTTTGAGGTGGGGTCTTGCTATGTTGCCCAGACTAGAGTGCAATGGTGTGATCACAGCTCACTGCAGAGCTCAAGCAATCCTCCCTCCTCAGCCTCCTGGGTAGCTGGGATTATAGGCATGCATCACCATGCCCGGCTAATTTTTTTTAAATTTATTTTTAGTAGAAACAGAGGTCTCGCTGTGTTGCTCATGATGGTTTCAAACTCCTGGCCTCAGGTGATCCTCCCACCTTGGCCTCCCAAAGTGCTGGGATTACAGACTGTGCTCAGCTGCTGTTGGTTTGCTTTTGTTTTTGTTTTGTTTTTTGAGATGGAGTCTCACTCTGTCACCCAGGCTGGAGTGCAGTGGTGTGATCTCAGCTCACTGCAACCTCTGCCTCCAGGGTTCAAGTGATTCTCCCTGCCTCAACCTCCTAAGTAGCTGGGACTACAGGCATGAGCACCTGACTAATTTTTTGTATTTTTAGTAGAAATGGGGTTTCACCACATTGACCAGGCTCGTCTCGAACTACTGACCTCAAGTGATCCACCCACCTCGACCTCCCAGGGTGCTGGGATTACAGGCGTGAGCCACCATGCCTGGCCCTGTTAAACACCTGTCTCTCACTTCTTTCTTGCTAAGATAACCCTGATTTGTTCAACTATTGGGTGGAGATTTTTTTTATCTCATGGACAGTGCTTCCAGCTCCTGAACCATTCTTGTCATGTGACCCAATTCTGGCCAATGAGATACAAGCGGAAGTCTGATGAGCGCTTCCGGGTAAAATGTTCATCCTGCACTGTCTACCTTCTTTATGCCTTTAAATTTGACTATGCAAGGACATGATATTTTCTACCATGAACAGTAGACTAGTGCAAAAACACTGATTCAGAGCTGTGAATTATGGAGTTGTTGATCTAATGTCAGCAATTGCCTCCCTCTGTCCCAGGCTCCAGATCTCTTACCGTGCAAGAGAAGTTAAACAGTCTTGGCAAAGGTCCTACTAGCCCTGCTAGCTGGCTGCTCTTTGGTTTGCTGTAGAAAGCATCCTTAACCCTTATAATTACCATCTAATAGAGTACTGTTGAGATTTAAATGAGGAAACCAGTTCACCTGGAGTATAGCAGAGGCTCCATAAACGTTTCTGGAATTTATCTGCTCGACAATGTTGATGAAGGTGCTCAATGTGATGCCTCACTCAGTTGAAGTTCCCCAACCATGGACTAGTTGTAGAATGGGAAGGGTACTTGTAATTGAGAGTGTTTGTCACTTATTCATTCATCAGATATTTACTACCTGCCAGCTATGCACTGGGGAGATGATGGTGAACCAATAATAGGCATGTTAGTTGCCTTCATGGAGCTTAGAGTCTAATGGTGGGAGATGGTTGGTGATCAAAGACCACACAAGTAAATGTTAAATTACAACTGTAATTCAAGAAGAAAGATGTTGCTCCATACATAAATTATGGAGAGATGTATCTTTCCAAAATACCTATCTCTCATCGGGAGAGTCAAAGAAGTTTCCCTGAGGAAGAGATGATTGAACACTGACGTGAAGGAAGGTTGGGAGCTAGTTGGATGAAGGAGGGAAGAAAGTAAGAGTTTTGAGGAAACAGATCTGTAAATGGGCAAAAGAGTGGATGGTATGTTTGCAATTTGTACTTTAATTTCTTAAATTAACTTTATCTTGATTAAAAGTGTGTGTATATGTATATATGTGTGTATAAACTATACATGTATATAAAACTATATATGTAGTTTAAAAGTCAAGTGATTACATTGATTAATAATACTGAAAATAATATTGTTTATAATGCATGCCTCACTCCTATCCATTTGCCAGTCCTGCTTCTTAGAGGCAATTCTTTCTTTCTTTTTCTCCCTTTCTTTCTTTCTTTTTCTCTCTTTCTTTCTTTCTTTCTTTCTTTCTTTCTTTCTTTCTTTCTGTCTGTCTGTCTTTCTTTCTTTCTTCTTCAATCCTCCCACCTTTGCCTGGGACTACAGATGCACGTCACCATGCCTGGCTAAAGGTTTGTATTTTTTTTGTAGAGACAGGGTTTCCCCATGTTGCCCAGGCTGGTCTTGAACTTCTGGGCTCAAGCAATCCTTCCACCTTGGCCTCCCAAAGTGCTGGGATGACAGGCGTGAGCCACTGTGCTTGGCAGCAATTCTTTTTCATCATTTGAACTTTCTCTTAAAAATTCTAACATTTACTCCTGCATTTCCAAATAATATGCTGATTTGCTAACCCAGAACACATTTCCAATTCCTTCTTTCTTGCCTGCCTTAGGGCTTGGAAAAGCTTGATATCCACTCTTCCAGCCACTCTTGCAGATAGGGGTGACTGTGTGATCCAGTCCTGGCCAATGGGACATCAGATGAAGATATGTTGGAAGCTTCTAATATCAATGCTGGTATTGCTTTTTTTTAATGAATACCATAGCTGAGGCTAGCATCACTCCTCCCTCCTTCTTGCTGCCTTAAACACAGATGTAATGGTTACAGTTGAAGGGATTATCTTTTGCCCATAGGGAAAAGGCCAAGAGAATCTTGGAGATACCAGAATTGACATCACTGAACATCAGTTCTGAAGCCAGTGTTGCTAACTTTGAGACCATCATTTATTCAAGTGAGAAAAACTAAATTATATTTTTCCTAAAAAACTCTTAGCCTTGATTTACTAGCAGCCCAACACATTCCTAACTAACACTAATGCTGCTACTTCATGATTTTTAAATTGCAGGCAGCAACTATGGACTTACTACTATGGCAGCTGGTTTAACTCTTCCACAACCCTCCACTTCCTTTTTATCCATACAACTTCAGTACCTTTCTCCCTTTACCTTTCCAATTGAGTTTTATCACCAATTTTAGCAAATTATCATTCAGTAATTCTATTACTATGACCATATGAATATTATTCAGTTGAGCCAAGTATGTATTAAGATTAATATGATTATATTTCCATTCTTGTACTTTTTTTTTTTCCTGGAGCTACTGAATGCTAAATATCTCCTTCATTTTCCCTGTACCTATTGATAATATTTTCTGTACTCACAAAGACTATCAATATAATTTCCTACAATCTTAAATTTAGTAGTTGGATTCTCCCCCTCTATTTCATCCAGAGACCTCTGTTAAAGGAGAAGTTTAGTTACTCTCTAAGCTGGCTACAAAGCCGTCGTTCTCTGACTTTCCTTTTTTTTTTTTTTTTTTTTTGAGACAGGGTCTCACTCTGTTGTGCAGGCTGGAGTGCAGTGGCACAATCTCAGCTCACTGCAGCCTCTGCCTCCTGTGTTCAAGTGATTCTCATGCCTCAGCCTCCCAAGTAGCTGGGATTATAGGGGTGCACCACCACACCTGGTTAACAGAGATGGGGTTTCACCAGTTTCAAGATGCAGCCTCAAACTCTTGGCCTCAAGTGATCCACCCACTTTGGCATCCCAAAGTGCTGGGATTACAGGCATGAGCCACTATGCCCGGCCCTTCCTCTTTTTCCGTTGGCTACCCTGTTTTCTGAGTCTTAAGACTATTCCTTTTTTTGGTGTTTTCCCATGTTTTAATGAAGGATATCATCCAACACCTTTCTGAGAAAGAGTGCATGACAGGCAATTTTTGACACCTTGTGCTTCTGAAATTAAATTTTATTCTACTTTTATACTTCACTGATAACTTGTTTAGGCATAGAATCCAGTATTTAAAGGCATTTTTCTAATCTCTTCAAGCTGGCAGTATTGCTAAAAAGTCTAATATATTCTGATTCTTGACCCTTCATGTGCAAGCAGTTTTTCTTTGCTTACTTCATTTTATTTTCACTCTCTGGAAAGTTCAGTCAAGAAGTTTAATAATCACTTCAATTTATGCCTTTCAGAATTCACTGGGCTGAGCATTAAGGGGGTCCTATCAATAAGAAACATAATGCTTTATTTAGTTCTTAAAAATCATATTTTATCTTTTCTTTAATAATTTTCTCCCATTATTTTTTTCTACTCTTTCTGAAACATCTGTTAGCCACATATTATTGTTTCTTAATTGACTGTACACTTTTCTTTTCTTTTTATTGTCCATTTTGCTGTCTTTTTGTTCTACTTTCTGGGAGATTTCCTAGATCCTGTCTTTAAACATTCCATTAAAGACTCTATTTCAGCTTTCCTATTTTTAATGTTCAGAAGCTCTTTTGACTCTCTGATATTTGTTTTTGTTGCATTTATTTATTTATTTATTTATTTATTTATTTATTTTGAGACCGTGTTTTGCTCTTGTTGCCTAGGCTGGAGTATGATGGCGTGATTTCGGCTCACCACAATCTCCGCCTCCCGGGTTCAAGCGATTCTCCTGCTTCAGCCTCCCAAGTAGCTGGGATTACAGGCATGCGCCACCACGCCTGGCTAATTTTTTGTGTTTTTAGTAAAGACGGGGTTTCTCCATGTTGGTCAGGCTGGTCTAGAACTCCTGACTTCAGGTGATCTGCCCGCCTCGGCCTCCCAAAGTGCTGGGATTACTGGTGTGAGCCACCACGCCCGGCCTTCATTTTTAGTTTTTTGAGACAGAGTCTCACTCTGTCACCCAGGCTGGAGTGCAGTGGTACGATCTGGGCTCACTGCAACCTCCGCCTCCTGGATTCAAACAATTCTTCTGCCTCAGCCTCCCAAGTAGCTGGATTGCAGGGGCCTGCTACCACGCCCAGCTACATTTTGTATATTTTGTACAGATGGGGTTTTGCCATGTTGGCCACGCTGGCCTCGAACTCCTGGCCTCAAGTGATCTGCCCACGTCGGCCTCCCAAAGTGCTGGGATTACAGGGGTGAGCCACTGCGCCTGGCCCTTTGTTGCTCTTAAATAGTACATTGTTCTTGTTTCATCGGTGTGTTATTTGTTTACGTATTAATTATATACTCTTTATTCCATCCCTGTACTATCAGTTTTTCTCAAAGTTATTCTTTTAGTTAGACTTTTGTTCTGGTGTTTTTACTTCCTTTTGGAGGCTTTTCTCAAACACTGATGATCTCTGACCTCATGTTTATATTTAAGTGTGGTATAAGAAGCTCATTAGAGGCTCTGTGTGAGGGTGGAACTGAACGACTTTTTTGAAGGGAGATATGGTAGACAGCAAGCATCTTTCTTCCTTTTTTTCTCATTCCTTTCCTTTTTTTTTTTTTTTTTGAGATGGAGTTTCACTCTTGTTGCCCAGGCTGGAGTGCAGTGGTGTGATCTCAGCTCACCACAACCTCCGCATGCCTGATTCAAGCGATTCTCCTGCCTCAGCCCACCGAGTAGCCGGGATTATAGGCATGTACCACCGCGCCTGGCTAATTTTCTATTTTTAGTAGAGACGGGGTTTCTCCATGTTGGTCAGTCTGGTCTCCAACTCCTGACCTCAGGTGACCCGGCTGCCTCGGCCTCCCAAAGTGCTGGGATTACAGGCATGAGCCACCGCACCCGGTTCCTTCCTTTCTTTTCTTTCTCCCTCCCTCCCTCCCTCCTTCCCTTCCTCCCTTCCTCCCTTCCTTCTTCCAGATTGGGGAACACCTACACATTCACATCTGTAGATCTTTTTCTAGGACCTTGTAATTTATTTAAAGAAACATCTTCTGATCTCTTGCCTTGGGGGAGAGGCATGGGTGGTGGTGGTATAAACTTGGCTCCTGGCTTACTAAGCTGGGTGGAGGAAACTATGAGATGATATCTCACTGATTAGCATACGATCTTTCACTTGCTCTCCTTCTTGTAGGTCCAGTGGCTCTCTCCTGATAGTTCCCCTGATGTACCCAAGTGGGAAGTCCTCCTGGTTCAATTTCACTACAGTACACTTTGTCTCCTGCTAGCATGGAGGAGGGATGGAGTTTTGGGCTGAACTGTATCTCCCTAAATTCAAGTGTTGAAGTCCTAACCCCCTCATACCCCAGAACGTGAGTGTATTTGGAGATAGGGCCTTTAAAGAGGTAAATAAGGTAAGATGGAGTCAAATGGGTGGGCCCTAATCCCATATGTTTATAAGAAAAGGAGATTAGAACACAGACATGTGGGCTCACAGTGAAATGACCATGTGAGGACCCGGTAAGATGGCTGTCTGCAAGCCAAGGAGAGAGGACTTCAAAAAAAGTATCTCTGCTGGCACCTTGATCTTGGACCTCTATCCTCCAGAACTGTGAGAAAATAAACTTTTGTTGTTTAAACCACACTATCTGTGGTATTTTGTTATGGCAGCCTGGAAAACTAATATGGATGGGAGCTTACTTGCACTGGGTGGAGGTGGTGGCCTAGGGGCCTAGGGGCCTAACAGCTTTGTATCTGGCTTTTGAATCAATCCCTCTGGCATCAGCCCTATCACTTACTCCCACCTTCAATGATAATCAGACACTTGATTTTCTAGGCCAAGCTTGTCCAGCCCTTGGCCTGTGGGCCACATGTGGCCCAGGATGGCTTTGAATGCAGCCCAACACAAATTTGTAAACTTTCTTAAAACGTTATGAGATTTTTTTTAAAGCTCATCAGCTATTGTTAGTGTTAGTGTATTTTATGTGTGGCCCAAGACAATTTTTCTTCTAATTTGGCCCAGAGCAGCCAAAAGATTGGACACCCCTGTTCTATGCCTTTCTGATGTTCTACAGGCTAAATGGTCATGATCCTCAGTGTCTGCATATGATTAAGCTCATCTGTCTCAATTCTGCTAAATCAGTTTTTACTCCTTCAGTCACTTTCCAATTTCCCAATTTTGTTGTCATCTTTAATACTTTCATCTCCTTCCTTACTCTTCTATCACTGAGGATTCAGGAAGGACTAGAGGGCCAGGATGTGGTGGCTCACGCCTATAATCCCAACACTTTGAGAGGCCAAGCATTGCTTGAGCCCAGGAGATTGAGGCAGCCTGCAGTGAGCTAGGATTGTACCACTGCACTCTAGCCTAGGTTATAGAGTGACTCCTTGTCTTAAAATTTAAAAAAAAAAAAAAAGATGAAGGAATAGAGATAAAGATACATGCTCAATGCTGTTTTAACAGGGTAGTGCTTTCTGTGAAAGGGTTACCTATGGCCAGTTCCAGCAACAGAAACACTTGCTATCCTTAATAAATATACAAACCTCAGCTGGCTGCTGGCTGAAAAAGAGGCTCCAAACTGCAAGGCAACTGCCATTGAATGTTCAGTTGGTTAAGTTATACATCCTTAGGTGGATTTCAAATTCAGGCATCCAGGTATATTTTATTCTTCTCCAGGTTCCTTCTTGGGGATAATAGTCAATTTAATAAATTAGTGTTTTTATAGTGCAAAACAACCTAGGAGGAGATAGTACCTGTCATGGCTTCACAACAGATTCAATGGCAGATCTGCTATACTGGCCCCGCATATGATGACATATGGTGGAAGACGGTCAGCAGGCAGACTTGTTCAACTAGATCTGCAGCCCTTTAAAACTGGATTCTGGCTGGGCGCGGTGGCTCATGCCTGTAATCCCAGCACTTTGGAAGGCCAAGGTGGATGGATCATTTGAGGCCAGGAGTTCCAGATCAGCCTGGCCAACATGGTGAAACCCCGTCTCTACTAAAAATACAAAAATTAGCCGGGCGTGGTGGCAGGCACCTGGTGGTGGGCACAGCTACTCAGGAGACTGAGGCAGAAGAATCACTTGAACCTGGGAAGTGGAGGTTGCAGTGAGCAGAGATCACACCACTGCACTCCAGCCTGGGCAACAGAGCAAGACTCTGTCTCAAAAAAACAAAAACAAAAACAAACAAAAAAACACAACTGAATTCTTCTGCCCAGATGCCATAGAATGGCATCGTTTTCCCCAAGTCTCACTATAATAAGAGATTCATCATAATGAAATGACAATTTAGCATCAAATTCTAAATACTTTTTACAATAAGAAAACGAGATTAGCCATCTTAATAGATGCTAAAGACCATTACTTAAATGATAATCAAAATAACACTATTTTTCCCCAGGAATTTAATTAGAATTTTTACCTCATAAATAAATAATTTCATTAGAAACAGCACTATCTTGTTACCAGTTTTTATATGAACATTTGCTTTGTTGCTGCCTCCTAAAATAACCATCAAACTCTAAACTGTGCTGAAACTTCCAAGTTCATGATGCATACTGCAGCAGATTCCAGGATCATTATTTTGAGGAGCTAACTACTCCAACTAAGGACAGTGGCCAACCATTAAATAAATAATCACTAGGTTGAGACTGGAAGAATCCACACAGGTAAAATCCATTATTTACTCTATGGCTGTCTATTGCAAAACTGCATGTTCAGCATAATTTAGGATGATGGTCTTCAATGGCTAAGGGTGTGCAACTTTATGCTGTCAGAATACTGTACTGTGTTTCTCAAATTTTAAGACGCATCAGAACCACCTATAGGCTTGTTAGAAACACAGGTTCTTTGAATTTCTGATTCCATGGGTCTGGAGTGAGTTGGTGAATCTGCATTCCTAACAATTTCCCAGGGGATCTGATGTTGACAGTCCATCCAGGGACCACACTTTGGGAACCACTGCTGTACTTAAGTGTTTATGAATAAAGATATTTGGAGACAGAGTAGTAGAGTCTCATGGTGAGCGTGGCAGAAACTTTCATATTTATATACTACTCTTCTGCCAAAGGAATCAAAATATTTGGGTAACAGGTAATTTCATGGTTGACAATTTAAAATGGTCCTTTCGAACATTTTCCTTTGCTAATCTAACCAATGAATACAGCAGTAGTTAGCCAGTAGGGGGACAACAAGCTATCTGAACAAAGTTGAGTTATTAGATACCAAAGAAGAAGAAAAGATTCTTGACTATCATAAACCAACAAAAGGAATGGTTTAACCATAAACACTGGGTTTCTTTGCACAGACAATTTGGGACAGTTTGGTAAAATCTTTTGTATAATTTTGGAAACGGACTTCAGATTAAACGATTAAACACACATATTTATCTTCATTCTCCCCTGAAAAGGATAGTAAAAGAACATGAAGGGATAAATCCAAAGGGGCAAAGAAGATAGAGGAGGAGTCATCAGCAAAAGCTATATTTCAACACAATTCTGAAGAATAGAGAGGGTCGATGGAGGAGTGAAAACTAGTTTAACAGAACAGTGAAAGCTACACTCTAATATGGCCATAGTGGTCAGTACAGAAAGAGCCCAATTCCCTACAAAACCCTAGAGTGGTCTGGGCCTTGGAGATGACAGAGATCACTAGAAGAAAATGCTGATGAGGGGCCCCAGGATCCCGGAAGGGTGAGGGAGAGGTGAGCAGCTAAAAGCAAGAGGCCAGGTCAATGTTGGCACTTGGAGTTGCTGGAGTCTCAGGTGCCCTGTCCCACTCCTCGCAGTCAGCATGAGAAAGAGGAGAGAGGCTTGTCCAGCAGGCACAAAGAAGGGCAGGAATAAGGCAACTGCCGGAAAGGAAAGAGTGTGAAAGATTGCACCCTAAGCAGTTACTCATCCAGACCTCTTCCCCTGAACTACTTCCAGAACACTGGCAGCCAAGTGAATGCCTCCTCAGGCAAGAGATTATAAGATATTTCTCATGAGAAACTGACAAGCCCCAAAGAAAAGACATCTAGCTTCTGACATTTGAGGTATCTTCCCATGAAAAAATGAGCTTTCATCTGATCACCATACAGCAAACCCACCAGTGAGCAAGCACATTTTTCTCACCCACATATAGAGTTTCTGGTGAGGTTTCTATTACCTCATTCCTACTTATGAAAGGAGAGGAAAAGGTTTGCAGACAGTTGATGAAAGCCTCTAACGTGATGGGACGAAAACAAATACATGAGAAGGGAAGCTAGAGAAAGCCAAGACAAGGCAGGAGGCAAAGAAAGCCCTACAGTAAGTAAATACTCTCAAAAGATAGAAAAAACTAGTGCGACTGTGACATAATCACTAAATTCTCTTTATAACAGACAGCATGAAATGAGCTCTTTAAATAGTTGAGGTAACAACTGCAGTAGAAAGTAAAGCAAGAAAATATCTTCCAAAATAGGACAAAAGGTGAAGACATGTGCAACAGGAAAAAAAAAAAAAAAAAGAACATTCTGAGATTAATCCAGTTTAAAAAATAAATAATAAGATTGAATAATAATTGAGAATTTAATAAGTGCCTGGTAATGTTCTAAGTGGTTCAGACATATTAGTGAGATAATTACTATTATAATCTCCATTTTATAGATGAGGAAACTGAAGCACAGCAAAATTAAGTGACATTCTCAATAGTAACACTGGAAGCTAGAAGATAAAAGAGCAATTTTTGCCTGTAATCCCAGCTACCTGGGAAGTTGAGTCAGGAGGATCACTTGAGTCCAGGATTTTGAGGCTGCAGAGAGCTATGACCATGTCACTGCACTCCAGGTGGTGTGACAGAGTAAGAACTTGTTTTTAAAAATTTAATTAATTAATTTTTTTAGAGACAAGGTTTTGCTCTGTAGCCCAGGCTGGAGTGCAGTGTCATGATCTTGACTCACTGCAGCCTTGACCTCCCTGGGGTCAGGCAATCTCCTCTCCTCAGCCCCCTGAGTAGCCGGGACTACAGGTGCACACCAGTATGCCTGGTTAATTTTTGTATTTTTTGTAGAGATGGGGTCTAGCTACATTGCCCATGCTGATCTTGAACTCCTGGACTCAAGTGATCCTCCTGCCTTGGCCTCCCAAAGTGCTGGGATTACAGGTGCAAGCCACTGTGCATGGCCTAAAAATTTTTTTTAATTAAAAAATTAAAATAAATAAGTGAAAAGCAATTTCTATAAAATTATGAATGAAGAAATTCTGGTAAGAATTCTACACTTGGTCAAACTCTAGTAAAAGTAAAAGTTGAATAAAGACATATTCAAGTATGTAATAACTCAAATTTTTACCTTCTGTACCCTTTCTTGGGCTGTTACTAAAACATGTGCCATGGAAAATGAAGCAGTAAACCAAGAAAGAAGGCACAAAACACAGAAATGGGGGTTCTCACACTACAGATTAAGGAGTGTCCCAGGCCGGGCACGGTGGCTCACACCTGTAATCCCAGCACTTTGGGAGGCTGAGGCAGGTGGATCACCTGAGGTTGGGAGTTCTAGACCAGCCTGACCAACATGGAGAAACCCCGTCTCTACTAAAAATACAAAATTAGCTGGACTTGGTGGTGCATGCCTGTAATCCCAGCTACTTGGGAGGCTGAGGCAGGAGAATCACTTGAACCCGGGAGGCAGAGGTTGTAGTGAGCTGAGATCACACCGTTGCACACTAGCCTGGGCAACAGAGAGAGACTCTGTCAAAAAAAAAAAAAAAAAAAAAAAAAGAGTGTCCCAGGATGACACTTGAGAAGCGGATCCATAGAGCAACTCATCTCCACTGAAACAGTAGAACAATGAATTTCTGGAGGAATTGTTTTCAGGGCAAAATTGGAATTGATTGTTTGATCATTTGGAAAATAAACATGATAGTCATTTGATAGATCAGTTGTAGAAAAATATCAGGATGGGGCATAACAAACTAAGTAAATAGATACAAGGTTTTATAAGGAAGAAAACAAGAATAGTACACTATTGGCTGTGTTGTCATTGCTATTGGCATAGTCACTTACTTAGCTCCTAAACTGTGAAAGTGCTGTGTTGGAAGGAGAAGTTGCTTGGCATGAAAGAGCTAAATCCTAATCTGAAGCAACAGGTAGTCAGAGCACAACATCTATTGGCAAATCAAGAGATGGCAGTACAAATTATTTAGAAATAGGGAGGTAAATGACAGAAGAGACAGATAAAAGCAGAATATGGCTGCCTCTAAAAAGGAGAGGAACATGATAGGTATTGCATTATCTTAAAATATTATATTAAAATAGTACCTGCATTGTCTTAAAATATATTATTTCTTTAAAGTGTGTGTTTATATTGTTTTTTAAAAATACAATTTTGAAATTTATTGTTGAAAATGGACACATGGAACAAACCAAACCTTGTTTTATCATGTAATTTTCAGAAAATATGTGATCCATAAAGATTAAAAGAAAGTTGTATTAAGTCTGGCAGCTTTAGTATTAACTTGAAATAAAATATGGCAAGCTTTCCACGTCCTCCTTTATTTCCACAATCCATATGTACGAGCTAGATTCCAGTCAGAACTTCCACAAATACTTCACTCTTTGGTAGCAGCGGTTATAAATTACGCCTTTGCTAATTTGCGTTGTTCCCAACCAGGAGAAACATTACCACAAAAAAAGTCAGTTTCATCCTGCAGTGTTCCCGCAGCAACCATATTAAGCTGGAAGAATAAAGCTCCTTTGTAGTAGTAGCGTCTATTGAATTACAATGTAAATGTTGATGCCTGCCTGGAAACGTCAAATGACAACAGGTTTACAGAACGAATTCAGTGGTTGTTTGCAGCTCTGGAATCCCAGGCTGCAGAGTTGAGATCGAAGAGGTGCGTCTGGCCATCTTAGCGTTCATTCAACCAAATCTCCTCACTCCATCAAAACCACGCCACTCCCCACCTGCCCAGCTCGTAAAAGGATGCTCACCTGTTTGAAAATCTGTAATATATCTGATGTCTTTTACACAGCAGGACACGAAAAAGTGTTTGTTGTGGATAAGAGTGTTAAAAATTCAATTACGCAACAGACCAAACTTTGTGCTTCTTTCCCCCTCTCAGCACAAAGTAACTTTAGTCCCGTCCTCTTCTGCCACTGTCAAACAGCCCTGTTACTGTGGGCATTAAATGCCTTGTGGCGTACTGCGCATTTGATTCTGGTTGACTTGGGATACCTGAGCTCGGCTCTCATTAGCTCTTCCGCTCGACCCACAATCCCTAGTGTTTGCAGGTGTTGCATTCCCCCAACCCCTTTCTTCTCTTCAACCAGTAGCCTCCACCTTCCCATCCCTGCTTTGGAGAAGGAGGAAAACGCAGCTTGAGATCTACTCGAAGAACTGACCCTCAGCTCTCACAGGCTGCCGCCGAGCTGCAAGCATGCCGCCGCTCCACTCGGGTAAACTTCGGAGTGAGTTACCTGCACTCGGAGAAGGGCCTTACCTGAGCGCGCCTCTGCCAATGGCAGCTCACCTGAGGGAGCTCCCCAGCCAATCATCGCGCAGCTCGTCCCTCGGGCTTGTACCCTTTAGTGAAAGAATTCAGCTCCTTGCGAGAAAGTTACCTGTGGCCGCCCAAGTCCGCCACTTTCTGCTCTGTGTCTGCCCATTGCCACGATCCAGGAGGACTCCGCGCCGCCCGGCCGCCTCCGAGCTCGGGCCCCATGTGAGGGGCCCCCCCTTATCCCACCTTTCCGGCTAGGTGAGGGCGCGAGCGGGCGAGCGAGCGAGAGTGGTGAGGGGGGACGGAAAAGCAGAATTACCTGTAGCTCTTGTTCTGCCATCTCGGGCGCTCTCACACACCTTCACCTGCACAGACTTGAAAGTCCAGTTTCACCAGAGGCTGAGGCTCCAGGAAAAGCGGAGCAAGTTCATTGGATCAAACATGTCACAAGAGTCGGACAAGTAAGTGGATCACACGCGCCGGCTGCTGCTACTACTACCACTTTGGGCTGATGGCAACTGGTTTGTTATGTTTTTGTTTTTAAGTTGCTATTGTTGGTATTTTTCTTTCTTTTTTCTTTTTCTTTTTGGTGGATCCAGACTTTTCCGCATTATGTTTCTACCCTGATTAAGGGGAGAAACCCTACAACAATGTGAATATTTAATATCCCCTTTGGGCCTTGATAGTAAAAGTGGGTTTTCCTTTTCCTTCTTCCCTTAGGAATGGTCTCAGCTCCCGCTCCTGGATGAATACTTGGATATTGCCAGAGGTTTTGGTAGATGGGCGCGGGAGGCCTGCTCTTCCCTCTCTGTTTTAGCTGCTCCCACCGATCTGGCGTTTAGGGCCATTTGGAAGTTCAGCTGAGTTCCTTCGATTTGTCCAAAGGGCCTACTGGAAAAGTGGGGCTTGGCCGCTTTTGTGTGACCGCAACAAAGAGCTTTTATATGAGGCAGAAACGGCCATCTTCTCGCACCGGGCAGGAGGGTGGGCGTGAGTGCGCGCCCGCGTGTGGCCCCGATGGGAGGCGAGGCGCTGGGAGGCCGGGGGGCGCGGGGGCGGCCGGCGCCGTCCCCCACTCCCTCGACATCCCGCCTTCCTCCCCCCTCCCCCGCCTCCCTCCCCCGGGTCCGCCCCCGCATTGTTTGGCCACCTTCCTCAGGTGCCCGGGGGGAAAGGACGGTTCGCGAACTGGGGGAACTCATGTGAGGCCTCGAGTTAGGGCCTCGGCGGGGCGCGAAGGGGCGCCTGCCACTGAGCGATTCACCCGCGCCCCCGACGGCGTCTGCACGCCCCTCGAGCTCGCGGCCCTCCACGCAGTTGGCCGCCACCTCGGACGCGGCAGGCGGGACTGCGTGGGGCGCGCCGAGCCTTCTCGGGGTGCTCTCGCCGTCAAGGCCGAGGGCTCGGGGCGGCGGGAACGCTGGGCTCGCGTCCTTCCCGTCCCGGACAGGCACTCCAGACGCGTCGGGGAGCCACAGCCTGCGCGGCCGGAGCCGCCCGCGGGTCACTGGGCCCGGTCCGGCCGCGTCCTGACGGCCTCCCCCCTGGCCGGCCCCCGCCCTCGGAAGGCTTTGTGCGAGCCGGGGGAGGTGGGGCCTGGGCGGGCGCGGGAGGGAGCCGGAGGTGGGTCCCGCGGCCTTTCTCGGGATTCGGCGGGGACACTCCCTTCCCCCTCCTCTCGGGCGCGTCCGGGCCTGGGAACTGGCTGCGTCCTATTGGAAGTGCGCGGGGCCGCCCTTTTGCTTTCCCCGGTAACTTTGCCGTGGCGTTGCGGCCACCCCGAGGGGACCTTCCTGAAGGTGTCTCGCCGGAGAGGGCCGGTGCCCCAAGGCCGCGGGCCGCTGGGCCTGTCATGGAGAAGTGGCGGGGACCCGTCCCAAGTTGAGGGACCACGAGGGAGGAGTGGGAAGGCCCTGCGGACCTGTTCAGGGGTGGAGGGGAAGGACTAGCCTCAACATAAAGCCGCTGGCAGGTTAGGCGAACCTAAGAAAATGCGCTGTCATACTTAAAAAGCAAAAAACTGCCAGATAGTTGTACCCCGTTAGCCACCGATGAGGAATTAACCGAGTACAGCATACCGGAGGGGAAGAACTAGCGTTACCAACACGGGAGCGGGTCAGAGGCAGGGTAGGAAGAGGAGAGTGTGTGGTTGTCTGAGAACACCCCCAGCTCCTCCCCATATCTCTCTAGTCTTCAAGGAAACACGACTCGAGTTTGAAATTTTCAGTAGCCAAATCCGGAGGCGACAGCAAGTTTTTGGGGTTTGTTTTGATCTTTGCCTGCGTCAAAGATGATTGCAAATCTAATTTAATTAATCGCGCAATTAACATTTAGTTTGCTTAGTTTTGTGATACAACAGAACTCGAATTCTGAATGAAAACGGGTCGGTCTTTATTTTCACCAGTTATACTTAGCAGCAATAAGAACAATGTGTTTACCATCAGAAATAAGTACTGAGCGCCCGCAATCTGGTTTCACCACACGCATCACCTGGTTTTTACAGGTGATAAGTATCTGGGATTACATATGCTTGCATTTAATGAACGTTGCTTTTATCTAGTCGTGGTTTCCAAGACGAAATTTTGTATCCTGGGAAAAGTAATCGTTACAATGGTGCAAGGAGATAATTCAACTGGTTTGTTTCTCTCTCATTGGGCTGTTGAAAATGCTTTAAGTCAATACATGACTTCTGGATCATTTTTGCGAATTCTAGCCTCGTTTTCTTAATATTCTAAGGGAGCCCCGGCAGGGGTGGGTCTGAAGCTTATGCAACTATGTGTGTGACATGGGGTGGGGACTGTAAGTAAACGGGCCCCTGGGTACAGCGTGGGGCTTCCTTCCTGAGCAAGTGAGAGGCTTCATCAGCCTCATGGAAAATCCACCTTACGAGGCCTGCCTGTAGTTTCTGGAAATAACATGAACGAACACACACTGGATGTTCTTTCATAATCCCATTGAGATTTAGGCAATCTTTGGGATTGCACAGGAAGATATTTCTGGTTAACAAGTCTGGACTGAAGTAGCATCGTCTTTTTTATGGTGTGGACTTTTCAGATTGAAACGTTCTGCTTTTGATGTTCTGCAGTGTTGATGCTATCGCCAATTAAAACAAAGTATTTTTAGGACATTTTGTCTTTGTACATATTTTAAAATTCTCTACTCCATCTTAAATTTTATGAAGATTTAAGATCTTTGTCAGCAAGCATGTGTACAAGTGAAGCAATGCTAGATTAAGAAACTCTTATTTTACTGCCAAAATGTATAAAATATATTTAGAGAACGTGTAGGTACTATGTGATTTGATACTCACAGGTGTTTTTCATTAGGTAAGTGTATTTTCTGGTTACCTACTATTTGTAACACATTCAGATAGGCGTAATAGAGGCATGCGAAGATGGATAAGATGAGCCCTGTTCTCAGGGGGCTTACACTGTAGTGGAAAGCAACTCATGGACAGACATACTTCTAATAAACACAATGCTTAATAGTCACAAAAAATACAACAGTTACAAAAATGTTTTTAAAAATACAATACAGGGGCCAGGCGCGGCGGCTCACACCTGTAATCCCAGCACTTTGGCAGGCCGAGGCAGGTGGATCACGAGGTCAGGAGTTCATGACCAGCCTGATCAACATAGTGAAACCCTGTCTCTACTAAATATACAAAAAATTAGCCAGGTGTGGTGGCAGGTGCCTGTAATCTCAGCTACTTGGGAGGCTGAGGCAGGAGAATCCCTTGAACCTGGGAGGCGGGGGTTGCAGTGAGCTGAGATCACACCACTGCACTCCAGCCTGGGTGACAGTGCGAGACTCCATCTCAAAAAAAAAAAAAAAAAATACAGGTCATGATAAACTGCCTCTCCCTACTCATCGCATTTTTGCTTATGATAATTTCAGTCATTTTGTGTGTTTTTTGTTAAGGAGTCCTGCTATTATTCAGAAAATGGCTGAAGTTATAGGTCTCTCATGTGGATAACATTTCAAGTAATGGGATGACTCTACATTTTAATTAAACTCTCTAGTCTTTAGTTTTATAAATGCATATGCTTGTTTACATTTGGCTATGCAAAATTTCTTTTAAGGTTAGAAACGTCAAGAATTTATCATATCTTTTTCAAACCAATACATATACCCATTCACTTTTTGAAAGAATATGCCTTGAATGCCACTATATACTTGGCATTGAGATTCACTGGTGAATAGAACTTAGTCCCTGCCTGCATGGTGCTTACTGTGTGTGTGTTGGGGGTGGGGGAAAAGGGGCAGGCTTGTTGACACTAAATCAACAAAAAAGTAAACATATATTTAATTAGATGATGATAAGTGCTATGAAGGAAAGCAAAACCAGCTGGAGGGATTGAGAATAATGGGGAGGTCTTTTGTATAGGGTGATCATGGACAGCTTCTCCAATGAGGTGAGCTTTGAGTGGAGGCCTGAGTGAAGTGAGGGATCAAGCCCTAAGATACCTGGGGTAAGAATGTTACAGGCAGGTGGAAGAGCAAGTGCCAGGGCCCTGAGGTGAGAGTGTGGTTAGCATGGTCTAGGACCAGAAAGGAGCTCTGTGTGGGTGAATCAGAGTCAGAGATAACGGCACCATCAAATAAATTAACATGATCAGTTCTCTACTTAATAATCTGGACAGTTGCACACTCAAAACAGTCAAAATTATTCTTGTAAGTGGTCTTGGTAATCAAGAGATAGTAATACCTAAGGAGTAAATGATGAACCTTCAGTCTTGTTTCTTTCCCTGAGTATCACCAGTTTAATGTTGAGGGGTCCAGAGTTCTGTTCCCTACAATGGATTAAATCTTGTACACTCCTTGATTCAGAGATGAATAAGTGCACACACTCTGGAGGATCCCTGGGGATTGAAACTAAAGAGAGACAAAGTACAGATAGTGTTTCCTCAGACACGCCCACCTCCCTAAAACTTGTAGTGTAACCTACTACCTTCAGCTACCATCTCCACTCCTTAACATTAGGCTTGTGCAAGGTAAAATTTGCCCTTGCTGCCTTCCTCTTGCTCTTGTTCAGTTTCTATAAACTATATCCATCAGAAAACATGGATTTGTCCACTGTGTCTGGAGGAACACTGCATAGCATGTGCTTTAGTGAGTTTCCCATTTTCAATGAAGTAAACTGACATACAGGCAAAGTTAACCTAACTGAAAAACAAGTTGTAGATGATGCACATGCTTAAAAATAGGAATCTCCACAGGAATTTCTAAAATCATTGCATCTCAAACTCACCTGAGTTTAAAACATATAAAATATCATCTGAGGCACCCTGGGTCCCAACCCAGCAGTGTTGAATCAGATTCTCCAGGCGAGAGCACAGGGAATTTCCATCTAAACAATGTTCCAGGCATTATAATTGCCTTAAATAGGGCAACACTGCTTCAAATTAAACTTAATGTTAGTTTACATAATAGATGCAATTTATATGCAACTTTTCAGGTGTATATCCAATGTGTAAGTGAAAGAAATCTGTGGACTTTTACTTTATGCTACCTTGGATGAACAGCTTCAGATATGATTTTAACATGGATATAAGACTTCTTAGGCCTGCCCTAGATGTTGTTTGCTTTCATTGTTTTGCTGAACTGCTGCTTCTGGAAGAAAGGGGTCTTTTTGAAGGGGAATATGTTTCCAGAGCTGCAAAAGAACTGATTTGAAGTGATGTCACCCACATGGGCCTCCATCAGGCCTGCCAAAGGTCTAGCTAGGGTTTCTGGCTGAATCCCACTCATGTGCGAGCTGGTGTTCAATTTTTATTTATTTACATTTTTATTTATTTATTTATTTTTGAGACAGAGTATTGCTCTGTTGCCCAGGCCGGAGTGCACTGGCACAATCTTGGCTCACTGCAACCTCCGCCTCCCAAGTTCAAGAGATTCTCCTGCCTCAGCCTCCCCAGTAGCTGGGATTACAGGTGTGTGCTGCCACGCTCGGCTGATTTTTTGTATTTTTAATAGAGATGGGGTTTCATCATGTTGGCCAGGCTGGTCTCAAACTCCTGACCTCAAGTGATCCACCCACCTTAGCCTCCCAAAGTGCTGAGATTGCAGGCATGAGCCGCCATGCTTGGTGTTCACTTTTTTGAGGACTGTTGTTTCACTGAATTCAGATTCTATTTTGTAGCGCAAAGTCAAAGGTAAAGAGCTCTAGTTTGATGCTGGTCTCTGGTGAAATGATTTGATAGGATGATGATTGCAGTTTCATTTCTAAGGCTCATGGTAGCTTGAAGTATTACTCTGATAAGATGGTACTAGATCTTCTGTTGGCCTACAGCGAGGGTCTGTTTTAAACTGACTGCAGGGTCTGGGCCATTCAAATGATCCCAGTGCCACCTGACTTAAGGGAGATTAGGAGTAAGTATTAGAGCAATCAATGAAAAGCTATGTCTAGCAATTTCTACTAGGCTCAGGAAAGTAAAAGGAGAATTTAGAAAAGTAGTTGGATAAAGCCGGGCGTGGTGGCTCATGCCTGTAATCCTAGCACTTTGGGAGGCCGAGGTGGGCGGATCACGAGGTCAGGAGATCGAGACCATCCTGGCTAACACAGTGAAACCCCGTCTCTACTAACAATACAAAAAATTAGCCAGGCATGGTGGCGGGCACCTGTAGTCCCAGCTACTTGGGAGGCTGAGGTGGGAGAATGGCGTGAACCCGGGAGGCAGAGCTTGCAGTGAGCTGAGATTGTGCCACTGCGCTCCAGCCTGGGAGACAGCAAGACTCCGTCTCAAAAAAAAAAAAAAAAGTACTTGGATAAATCAAACATACACAGAAGCATTTAAACAACATTAACAGTACCCAATCACCTGAAGAAGTGTTTGTTTCAAATGTACAGAAGATTCAAATCAGATTTTTTGGATGTTAGGTTGTTAAATTTACTTTTTAAAAAGTTTTAGATAATTCAGGCAACTGCCTCAGTTCCTCTTTATGGCTTATGGTCTAACTATAGACATACGTTTCTGGTTAAAAAATTAACTATGGTTACATAGTATTTTTCCCCTTCCTTACTTCCTCCCTTATTTAAACTAACATTTTCTTCTTGTTCCCTCCTTCCCTTCTTTCCTTCCTTGGTTTGTCTCCCTAATGTCACTTTCCTGGTTTTTTTTTCCTCCCATATTAACTTGGTGAGAACTGCACAGCTTCTGCGCATAGAGATAACGGTGAGTCTGATTTTAGGTGCTGCTATAGTTAGTGAACTTTGCTGCATTCTTTCAGTATTTACAGCATCAGCAGCCCATCCTTGTTACCTGGGCCAAGAGGTAAGATCATTGCAGCAGATGATGTCAACTAGGTTTAACCTTGGAAAAATTTGAAGTCATTTTTAGTATAAGAAAAGCCTTACCCTAAGTTAGAGTTCTCACTCATGATCCCTGGCATTCACTAGGGTACTGATACTCTCTTCCTTTTAAAGAGGTTTTCAATGACTCTTGTTCAATTATAAAAACTAGGCCTGGCCAGGCGCGGTGGCTCATGCCTGTAATCCCAGCACTTTGGGAAGCCGAGGCAGGCAGATCATGAGGTAAGGAGTTCGATATCAGTCTGGCCAATATGGTGAAACCCCGTCTTTAGTAATAACACAAAAATTAGCCAGGCATGGTGGCACGTGCCTGTACTCCCAGCTACTCAGGAGGCTGAGGCAGGAGAATCGCTTGAACACAGGAGGTGGAGGTTGCAGTGAACCAAGATCGCACCACTGCACTCCAGCCTCACTCCAGAGTGAGACTCTGTCTCAGAAAAAAACAACCAACCAACCAAACAAGAAATAAAAACAAACAAACAAAAAACAACAACAAAAAAAACTAGGCCTAACCTGATAAAGGGTAGTGATTGGTTTGGCAAACTTGTCCAGGGAAAATTCCTTAATGAGCAGCAACAGGCTGGATAGGAATTTTTGCTTTGGCCCAGGAGGACTGGTGGGTTGCTTAGTAACAACAACATGTACCTGGGAGTCCCTCAGATAGCTTCACTGGTCTTCAAATTTAGGCCTCCAAATTTCAGATTCACCCTACCATCTACCTGCCTGCATAGTTTCTTCCTTTGGATTAATTCAGGCTCTTCAGATCAGTTTTGTTTATTTTTCCATTACCAGGAGAGCACATTTTATGTTGTAAGTTTCTTATAATGGTAAATGGTAAACTGTATTATAATAGGTAATAACAAAAGTGTATATATATATTTTTTTGAGTTGGAGTTTTGCTCTTGTTGCCCAGGCTGGAGTACAATGGCACGATCTCGGCTCACTGCAACCTCCGCCTCCTAGGTTCAAGCAGTTCTCCTACCTCAGCCTCCTGAGTAGCTGGGACTATAGGTGTGCGCCACTATGCCCGGCTAATTTTTTGGTATTTTTAGTAGAGACGGAGTTTCGCCATTTTGGCCAGTCTTGTCTCGAACTCCTGACCTCAGGTGATCCATTCACCTTGGCCTCCCAAAGTGCTAGGATTACAGGCATGAACCACCACGCCCGACCGAAAGTGTGTTTTATGCTGTAAGTTTCTTACTGGAAATGGTAAAAAAAAAAAAAAGTACTGGATTATAATGGGTTAAGTGGGATAGAAATAAGAAAGCATTCCTTTGGGGATCTCTACCTCCCATCCCCAATTATACTGGGAAGAGAGAAGTGTTTCAGCTTCATGAGTTTTGGTGAGCAGTAGTAATATTATTTGTAAAAAGAGCACCTTTTGATTTGCCACATACAATACTAATCAAATAACACATTTTAAGAATTCTTATAGGAAGTGCTAGAAAAGCTGGTGCATTTCAGGAGATTTCAATGTATATTTTGAAAATAAGTCAGGGTTCTGGAGGTTGTTCATGCATTTGAATGGGCATTCAGTGGAAAGCAATCAATGCCTGTGGTAGATGAAGTACCTTATTTTACTTTGTAATGAACATGGCAATGAACTTTGTGGGGAGCACTTCACTTTCACTCCCAAGGAAATGCTTCCTTTACAAGTGTGAATGCAGATACCCTCCGGAACAGAAACGGAAAGCAAGAATTGCTTGTGGCTTCTCTTTATTTTGGCGCCAGCCTTTCATCTGAACTCTGAATATACAAATATAACTAACCCTGAGAGCCAGAGTCCCTTCTTTTTTAAGGCCCATGAATTTAGATCAGGGTTTTAGGAGACAAGGAAAGGCTGAAGTGAAGGAGAGAGGAGTGGAGAAAGGAGAGGACAGAAGGGAGCAGGAAGAAACTGCTTAACTACTGTTAAGTTGCCAGTGTTTTCTCAGTGGAGTGTGAGCGGCCAGCAGGGGCTGCTGCCGGGGCCTAGGGTGCGACAGCATGTGGCTGTTTGGCCTCCTAGATAATTGGTTTTGGTTTTAATTTGCAATCTAGAATCCTAGAGCTAGAAAGAGCCTTAGGGATCATCCAAATGCATCGTAGGGCATGTGAGTGAGCAAGTATAGGATTTTGATCTAAAAGCCTGGATTGAGAAGAAATGTAAGAAGAAATCTTACATTTTTTCTTCTGTGTTTCATTTTGGGATTCTAAGTATAAATTGAAAATTTGGAGTTTTGATTAGTTTGAAAAAACATGCTTTTTTTTTTTAAGAAAGATTGAGAGCAAGATTAGCACTGCATGTTTACTTCTTAAACCATGAACGTGAGTCTGTGAAATACCTGGTTAAGATTCTGATACCATTACTGGGGAGTTAAAATTGACTTTTCTTCCCACACTCACCCCAAATCATTGTTTTTTGGTTCTCAGTTCAGTGAGTCCCATAAAATAACTGCCTTCTGTACTTCTTGGATCTAACTTTTCAAAGAAACAAGGAACAAAGGTAGCTTTTGCCTCTTTCCTGCATTGCCAATAAGATAATTAACATAAGATCAGAAGATTCTTCTTTCATTATTTTTCATCTGTAAAATGGAATTGAACTAAATGATCTCCGTGAATAATTACCTGCTCCTATATTCTGTGTCTCATTTTCTCCCTCCAGAGGGGTCTGGGCTGGTGGTGGCTCACAGCAGGGGCCATGAACATTAGCAAGACAGGAGGTTACAGGCACAGTGGGACCTGCTTCTGCTCCCAAGCCCCCTCACCTCCTTCACCAAAATCAACGGTGGTCTGATTCAGATGGCAGACTTTTGGAAGGCAGGAGGAATTCAGAGGATCACATGGAATTCAGAAGGGCAGCAAGGCAGTGAAATCAATGGTTTAACTAGCGGACTCCCGCACAGCCTTGCTGGGATGGTAGAAAAGTGGTACAAGAAAATCAGATAAAATGGGCTGGCAGGGACGCTGAGAACTTCTTCCCAGAGACAGCCCAGGAAGTGTTCATTCTGGCAGGCTCATGGAGTGAGAGTGAGGCAATATAAGAATGAATGGAACATTGACTAAAATTTAGTAAGCTGAAAACCTTAAGTAGGTGAAAGGGATGACCTCCTCCTCCTCCTCCTCCTCCTCTTCCTCCTATTCTTTCTCCTCTTCCTCCTCTTCCTTTTCCTCATCCTCTTTCTTCTCCTTCTCTTCTTCTCTGTCCCCTTCTCCTTCTTTTTTTTCTTTCTCCCCCTTCTCCCTTTCCCTATTACTCCTTTTAATAAAATGTAATTCACAGACACCCACTGTCAAAAAATATTGCCAAGTGAATAGTTTAGTAAATGTTCAGAAGAGATTTCAAATAATATAAGGATAAGAATAGCAGCCGCAGTTTCACTTCAAGGATAAGGTAATATATTATTTCACTTCAGGGCACACAATGATCATTTATTTAGGTCGGGAATAAAATCTCCTCTGGTATCCTACTGTGTTATAGAATTTAAAAGTCTCTGAAGTCGACTTTTTCTGAAGTCAATTGCCCCTGAAAGGTTCTCATGTTGGAGGGAATTTTGATTAGGTCACAGGACATTTATGTTTCCTCTGCAAACTAGGATTTTTAAGTTGCTCTGGAGTCCTGGTGTATACTTTTAAGAATATGTGTATCTTACATATTTTGGAAAATAATTTTAAAAAGAACAAATACCTCAATAGAAAGGTGGTCAAAGAGCATGAGTAGACAATTAGTAAAAGCTGTATAAGTGGCTAATAAAGACAGAAAATAATATTAGCTGTAAGCTGTATTAGTGATAAGAAAATACAGATGATATAACAGAGATATTCTAAGTTTCTCTGTCAAAGTGGCTAAAATTAACAAAACCGGGTTCGGGTAAAATATATTTTTGGAGTATTATAATTTATCATAAACTTTCTGGAAGGCAGTTTGGCAAAACTGGTTGAAATGGGTCTACCCATTGATAACTAAATTCCAGTTTCAGGGATTTGTCTTAAAGACATAACTAAAGATATAAAGTGCCACATGATTTTTAAAAGTGAAAAATCAGTATAACCCTAAAAGCCTGGCTATCAAGGGTTGGTTTAGTAAATCATGGTTTAGTGAGATGATGGGACACTATGCAAGCATTACACATCACATTAATGAAAAAATCCTTAATGATAAGAGAAAGTGTTCATGATGTATTATATCAGAATGTTTATAGGCATAAAAAGATGAAGAATAAAGAATTCAGAAAAAACACAAAAAGTTAACAGTGGTTTTCTCTCTTAAGTATAAAATAAAGGTACTTTTTTGTCTGTTAGTGTTTCTCTGTGTTTTCCTATTGTGCTGATGTGAGCTTGCACTGCTTTTGTAATTAAGGATAAATTTTATTTATGCATTTATGTATTTATGTATGTATGTATTTAAAAAAATTAAAGGTTGTATATAAAAATAGTTATTAAGTGGAGACACTTAAGAATAATACACACTTCTCTAAATAAAACGGAAAAGCCTACTTGCTGCTTGCTTGTTGCAGGTAGAATTGACCCGATCCCCTGCAGAAATCCCTGCCCTCTCCTCTCTGTCCCAGGAATGCCACGCTGCCCTTCACGCTGGCATGCTGCCTGTCGGTTCTGTGCTATTCCTTAGTGACCTGTAGATTCATTATCTGTGTCTCCACAACCTTGTCCTTTTAGATTTGCATATGTGTTAAGTCCAATCATTAAATCCAGTGATTTTTCAAAATAGCAAAAGTAGGTGTATAAGTTTCCAACATGTGTATAATTTGAAGCTGAGGAATGACTAAGAATGAAAGAAACTCAGTTTGTTCCACTCAGTGGGCTGCATGTGCCTATGGAGTTTCACTTGAAGCAAACTCTCTCGAGGCAAACCTGCTGGCCTCACCACCTCAGACCCCGCCTGAATGTTCATGGGAGAGACTTGGTGTTGGGTCCAGTTTTGAGCTTTTTTGAAGGGACAGGGAGAGCCTGGAATATGACTTCCTTTAAAAACAAAAGGTAGTTGTAGGCAAGGTCGGGTTTTTTTTTTGTATTTTCTAGAATAAAAATTTATATTTTTTTTAGAGTATAGACTTGCTTCTCCCTGGAGGGCCACACAGTGACTCATCTGACTGCTTCTGCAAGCTGGTGCATAGATCATGCCAGACCAGCTTGGGTCTGCTAGTTAAGCTGCAGGAGATTGCATCATAGGATTTACTGCACGCGTCTTTAATGGAAGTGTTGTCGCCAACGTGAACTTCTTTGCTTATCAACCTATCCAAGAAGCATCCACAGCAGGGAACAAAAAGTACCTGATGGGAACTTGCTGGGGAAACTGGCCTCCCAGAGTCACTGAAGTTGCCAACATTGCATTAGGAAAAAAAAAAAAAAAAGAGGAGGCTAAAAATACAACAACAAAAAAAAGGTGGAAATGAACTTTTGTAAAATGTGAGCAAAACCAAAGCAATCTTCGGCTGCGGAATAAACACAGAGGTGGTGAAACAGGAACTAGTAGGTATACATTTTGGCCGTGTGCTCAAAAGTGAATTTGCAATTGCCCCTTCTCTCCCACTCCCAACTGGCCCTCCCCTCCCCCATCCTTTTCTTCATATTGTATAGAAATTCTTCAAACCTCAAATACTATATCTAATATTTTTAAAAAATCATGATGTTCTTCGGATGTTAAAAGTCTAAATGGGCCGGGCGTGGTGGCTCATGCCTATAATCCCAGCACTTAGGGAGGCCGAGGCGGGTGGATCACCTTAGGTCGGGAGTTTGAGACCAGCCTGACCAACATGAAGAAACCCCATCTCTATTAAAAATACAAAATTAGCCGGATGTGGTGGTCCATGCCTGTAATCCCAGCTACTCGGGAGGCTGAGTCAGGAGAATCTCTTGAACCTGGGACGCGGAGGTTGCAGTGAGCCGAGATTGCACCACTGTACTCCAGCCTGGGCAACAAGGGTGAAACTCTGTCTCAAAAAAAAAAAAAAAAAAAACAGTGTAAATAAAGGCACCTATCCTTACGGGGCTTGTGGGAGGGTTGAGGGAAGGACTACAGTCTCCTTTTATCTTGTGTTTATCTTTAGTTTTAGCAAACATTCTATAAGGTATGTTTTGTATCATATTCAGCCACATGAAAAACACAAATTTGCATTTCGATTTTGTTCACAAAATTTGGGACACAAGTCGTTTATCACTTTTAACATCCTGAAGTTGAACTGGTGCAGCAGTAGTATCGTTATGCTTGTTAGCCTTCATAATCCTTCCTAAGCAATAAAATACCCATGTGGTCGAATCCCAGGACACGTTGAATTACAAGCTCCAAGTTTTTCCGCTGCAGCGTATCCAAGTGTGCTTGGAAAGAAGAACAAAATTAAACATGCTATTTAGAGCTTTCAGGGCTAACTAGATTTTGATGTTGTCATTGTAGCAAATAGTTCTAGAGTGTGGAAGAAGTTGAAAATGTTTTTATGATACAGAGATTTTTATTGTACTGCATATTTAATGAATTATTTTATAAATTGCTGTTGTGAAGCATTTGTGAATGACCTGCCTCCTAGCTTTCAATGCTATTGCCCAGGCTGACTTTTATTGCAACTGTTTTATGATACAGTTTTGCATTGTATGTGTTTACTTTTTAAAGAAGCATTTCCTGGGAGGTTTCTTTTTCTGGTTATGAAAATAATATATGCTTATGGGGAAAAATTGGAAAATAGAAACAAGTATCTAGAAGAAAAATCACTCATAATTCCAGCACCCTGTTAATACTTTGTCTTTTCTTACAGTTTCTAATATGTGCATGCATAGTATATCAATGTGGTTTTACAAAGAGTGTGCAAATTATGATTCTCTTTTTTACATCATTCATGCCATTCTGCATTTTCCACTTAATACTATACTATTGGTACTTTACCAATCCCTTAAGTATTCTCGTACATAGCATTTAAAGGTGAAATCTACCACCTCCTATTTTTAATATTTATGTTGTTTTGACTTTTCAGTATAATAAATCATGTTTATATGTAAAGGTTTTTATCTCCGGTTATTACTGTAGAATAGATTTCTGGAAGTATAAGAACAGGAGACATAAATATTTTTAGGTCATTGATACATAATTTGAAAATGACTCCTAGAAAGATTTTAACAATTTGTGTTCTACCAACAGTGTTTGAGGGTGTCTTTTTCTCATTGTCTCACCAGTAAATGACAATTGTAATTTGTTTATTTGCAAGGCAAAAAAAAAAAAATTGCAATTTGATAGTTAAAGAGATTAAACATTTTCTCAGATTTTTATTTTGTAATTTGTATTTCTTTTTAGTGAAGCTCTTGCTTTTACCCTGGCTACTACCTATGATTGTGTTATGTTCTGGAGGAGAGGGAACTTGGCTGAGGGGGACTTTGGGGCTGAGATCCAGCTGTGCTCCCCTCTGGCGTCTACCCAAAGTTGTACCTTCCAACATTTGTACAGTTGCACCCTATGGGCTAACAGAGGCCTGTTCTTATTTTTCATTTATTCAAAAATAAATTGAGATACTCATATTTTTATCATTGACTTGTGAGAGCTCTTTTTGCACCTAAAACTATTAACCCTTTTGTTAAAATCCTGGCTATCATTTCAACTTGTTACTTTAATTTCAAGATTTAAAAATGTTCAGAGGTTTAAATTTTTAAATGTCAAATATTTTGGTCTTATGTATGTGTGAGTACTTTCATTCCTTTCACATATGGAAAGCTTGAGATTAATCTATGGATTTTACTCATTAAATTTTTTTCTTTCATTTTACCCTTTTTTTAGTGTTATTTAAAATATTCTATAAGAGGTAGTTAATTTATACTTAAATGTAAAAGTATCAGAAAATAACACTTTTCTACCACTCAGAGATGTTAATACTGTTAACAATTTGAAATCTATATTTTTACTCCCTTTTCTGTGCATGTATATACAATTACACTATGTATGAAAAGATAAGATAGTGATTTATATACTGTTTAGTAACATTTTTTAAATTGATACTTATTACAGATAGCTTTCCATGACAATAAATATTTTTAATGGCCCAATAGTTTTACACTGGGTAAAAATATCCAAATTAACCATTTCTCCTTTGTTGTATATTTAGATTTTTCCCTGTTTTTTACTACTAAGGTCAATACTTGAATGATTATCCCTTTTTTTTTTTTTTTTTTTTTTTTTAGACAAGAGTCTTACTCTGTCACTCAGGCTGGAGTGCAGTGGTGCAGTCTCAGCTCACTGCAACCTCCGTCTCCCGGGTTCAAGCAATTTTCGTGCCTTAGCCTCTTGAATCTCTTAGCTGAGATTACAGATGTGTGCCACCATGCCCAGCTAATTTTTGTATTTTCAGCAGGAATATTGGGGTTTTGCTATGTTGGCCAGGCTGGTCTCGAACTCCTGGTCTCAAGAGATCCACCCGCCTTGAACTCCCAAAGTGCTTGGATTACAGGCGTGAGCCACCGTGCTTGGCCTTGAATGATTATCCTTATCACTAAATTTTGCACACTTCTTAGTTATTTCTTTGAAATACATTCCAATGAATAGAAATTCCTAATCAAAAGGTACGCACTTTTTGAAGACATTTGGTTCATATTTCCAAATTGCCATCCATATATTTTCTCCTAATTAACACTCCCACCAATGGTGTATCTGAGAGTAGAATTCCACATTCCGTCTCTAACAATGCATATTATAATCCTCTCTTTAGTCTTTGCCAATTTGGTAGATTAAAAATGGTACTTGTTCTGAATTGCATTTCTTTCCATTTACTCAGGTTTTTTTTTTTTTTTCATCACGGGAGAGCTTTATCTTTGTTTGCTTTAAATATATAGAGAGTATTTTGAGATCTTGAAAGTGCTTAGGGTTTTGTACAGAGTTCAGCTGTAGAGCATTTATAGTCAGTAAAAAAGAGTTTGTTAGCAGAGTGTGGAGCCATGATCTCTTCTCTCAGTACGTCATTGGGTCTGAGAACAATCCCCAATTCACAGCCCTCATTCCTTTGCCAATGAAAGCAGTGACTCAGATCAGCATTTAAAGTCCCCTGATCAATGACCACAAATTCAAGGTACCTAGTCAAGGGTGAGTTCGGGATGAGTTCAGGATGAATACATCCAAACGACAACAAATGAGTGGCCACCACATAAGCCTATTTGACTATATGATTTATAGAGTGCCTATAGCCAGACACAAAGCTGGGCACCAAGCTAAATGCAGAGACCCCAAAGATGAGACAGTTAGGTCAAGGTTTAAGATTGTAATTAGAAAAAACATAATTTAGGAAAAAAAAGCAATTGCACATTTACCTTCCATTCTTCAGATAATTAGTTGTGGGAAATGTGGAGGCAGGTCCAGAATGAGGCAAGACAGTGTGAGTCTTCAAATTTTGTACTTTTATTTCGATTTCAAAGGTCTGCCACTATTTTTCATTTCTCAGGCTTGGTCAGGCTTTCATCCCTTCCCTGTTTGTTTGTTTTCCTTTCTTTCTTTCTTTCTCTCCTTCCTTCCTTCCTTCCTTCCTTCCTTCCTTCCTTCCTTCCTTCCTTCCTTTCTTTCTTTCTTTTTCTTTCTTTCTTTTCTCTCTTTCTTTCTTTCTTCTTGTGTGTGTGTGTGTGTGTGTGTGTGTGTGTGTGTGTTTTGGCCTATTAGTGGTTAAGAAACACTTTGGTTGTTTATCTAAATAGTAGGGCTATTTAAAATGAAGTCACTTTTCAAAGATAAGGCTCCAGGGCCCTGCAATTAAACTTCATATTAAAAACCTTTCCTAGAGCTGCGGGTTAAAACATCTGTCACATGCATGTTGCTTATAATGTTAAACATAACATCTGTGGAAAATGGCAATTTATGGAAGTAATTTGGTACTTTTCTAAACTGAGATACAACATTAAAACATGTAGGGCAATTAAGAATTTGTCTTAAAAGTGTTGATGGCATTAGAGCCAGCTGCTTTAATCAGGAGCTCATTATCTGGTTTGTGAATTATTGAGGCTATTTTCTTCAATTTTCCTCTTATGGTTAGCCTTTTAGATATATATATATTTTTTCCTCTACAAATCTTGCAGAGAGGGCATGAACAGAAAAATTCAGCTTAATTAGTTTGGCTACTGATTAAGGGGAAAACATACTTAATTCTAGTAGAAGGTTAAACTTACTATTTTAAATACATTCTTAGATTATCTAGGATTTCATGTGATCCAAGCTATATCTTCTCCTACTTTTTTTTACAAAATGTTCTTGAAGCTGTAAATATAAGAATTGCTTGATTAGGAAGTCAACCACTTGCAAGCAACAAATAATGGTTCTCCTCCATAAAACCTATAAAGCACTTAAGTAAATGAAGGGTAATCTTTAAGTAATTGGTTGTATTGCATATTTTTATTTATTTATTTATTTATTTTGAGACAGGGTCTTACTCTGTTGCCTAGAGCAGAGTGCAGTGGTGTGATTTCGGCTCACTGCAGCCTTGACCTCCCAGGCCCAGATGATCTTCCCACCTCAACCTCTTGAGTAGCTGTAGCTGGAACTACAGGCTCACACCACCATGCCCAGCTGAATTTTGTATTTTTTGTAGAGATGGTGTTTCACCATGTTGCCCAGGCTGGTCTCGAACTCCTGGGCTCGAGTGATCAGCCCACCTCTGCCACCCAAAGTGGTGGGATTACAGGCATGAGCCACTGCAACTAGCCATATTTTTAATTTTTTGCAAACTAACTCTATAAGTATTTGTCCATGAGTTTTATGACTTTTTCAGTAAATATTTTAATGTCAGCAGAGCATTATATACAGTGGATTTATCATCATTGACTTACATTTAGGTTACATGTAGGTTGTTGCTAGAGTTTTCACTATTATAAAGTCATAATTCTATACAAATCCTTAGGCATAAAATCTTTCAAGATTTTTATATTCCTGAATTAAGGGCCAGTGAGCGAACAAAAAAGATTTTTTGATCATTTCCTAGAATGAATTTCTACAAGTAGAATTTCCTAGCTTAAAATTTACAAATATTAAAAAATATATGTTATTACACAATAACTATCAATTTAGTGAGAAAAAAGATAAACTTCCCTTTTATATTTCTCTCCTACCACTTTCAATAGAACTTTAACAATTTTTGTGGATATTCTTCCAGATGTTTTTCTAGGCATTGTACCACATATAAGTGCGCATGCATTTGAGAGTTTTAAAATTTTTCACTTGTCGGCCGGGCGTGGTGGCTCATACCTGTAATCCCAGTACTTTGGGAGGCTGAGGCAGGTGGATTACTTGAGGCCAGGAGTTTGAGGCCAGCCTGCCTGGCCAACATGGCGAAACCCCGTCTCTACTAAAAATACAAAAAAATTAGCCAGGCATGGTGGTGCATGCCTGTAATCCCAGCCACTCAGGAGGCTGAGGCAAGAGAATCGCTTGAACCTGGGAGGTGGAGGTTGCAGTGAGTGGAGATCGTGCCACTGCACTCCGGCCTGGGCAACAGAACAAGACTCCGTCTCAAAAAAAAAAAATTTTTTTTCACTTGCCTTATTATTTACAAAAATAATTTTATACATGTTGTTTTATGATTTTGATAGTTCCATATCAATAATACAGTCACTTCATTTTTTGGGTTGCATGATATTTCACATGAAGAATATACAAGTGACTAAAGGACAAATTCATAGAAGCGGAACCTTTGGGGCAAAGGCTAAGCATATTGAAGCCTTTGATAGATTGCTCTCCAAAAATGCTACTTGAATTTATAATCCAATCAATAATGGTCAAATATGCTTATTGCTGCCTACCATCCCAGCAGTGCATCTTATCAGTCTTTTTCAACCTCCATCTCCTGGGTTCAAGTGATTCCTCAAGCGACGCCTCAGGCTCTCGAGTAGCTGGGACTACAGGCGTGTGCCACCACACCTGGCTAATTTTTGTATTTTTAATAGAGATGGGGTTTTGCCATGTTGGCCAAGCTGGTCTTGAACTCCTGACCTGGGGATCTGCCCGTTGCCTTGGCCTTCCAAAGTACTGGGATTATAGGCATGAGCCACTGTGCCCGGCCTCATCTTGTTTTTAGTTTTTTTTTTTTTAAATATCTTCTAGGTTTTATGCCTTGCTTAAGAAGGCTTTCTCTGCTCTAAAATTAAATACAGACAACTTTTCCCCCAAGCAAATTTCTCCTAAATTTTATTCTATCATTCTATTTATTTTATTCTTTTGTGGTTTCACATTTCCACTAAAAGCTTTGATCCACCTGAAATTTATTCAATGAAGAAATGAGGTGAGGTCTTTACATAATTGTTTTTCTAGATGGCCAAACTATTCTGCCAATGCCATTTATTAAGCAATACATAATATTTCCCTCACTTGTCTGAAATCCAGCCTTTATTATAGATTAAATTCCTTTGTGTATTTAAGACTATTTTTTAACTCTTCAGTGTGTTACATTGATCTATTTATGCCTATGAAGCAACTATTTATTTAAGTTTATACAATGTTTTAATATCTGGAAATGTTGTGCCATCTAATTAGTCTACTTTAAAAAAATCTCTCTGGTTATTTTGCCTTTTTTTTTTAATGCAAACTGGAATCAGCTTCTGTAGTTCTTAAGAAAACCTGATTTGAGAGTGAGGAGAAGGGAAGGGATTCATTAAACTTTATGAATAACTTTAGTATAGAGTTGATATCTTATTCACATCATGCATTCCTATAAAAACAAATACGTTTTGCTCTATTTATTTAAATCATCTTTGATGTTCCTCAGTATCATTAAACATTTTCTTCATTAGAACTTGCACTTTTATTATATTTACTTTTAAAAGTTTATCCAAAAATATGTTATCTTTTTGGTACTATTTTAAGAAGTATCTTTGCTTATTAAATATGTTTTATTTTATTTACATTTTGAGACACAGTGTCACTCTGTCACCCAGGCCCGAGTGCGGTGGCATGATCTCAGCTCACTGCAACCTCCGCCTCCCGGGTTCAAGCAATTCTCCGGCCTCAGCCACCCGAGTAGCTGGGATTACAGGTGTGCACCACGATGCCTGACTAATTTTTGTATTTTTAGTAGAGACGGGGTTTCACCATGTTGGCCAGGCTGTGTTTTGATTTCTTAAATCTTTCTCTTTTATTACGCTGGTCGGGATTGGCAGAGGATGCTTTCAGTATTTCACTGTTGAGCATAATGGTGCCGTTGGTTTCTTGGCTATTGTCTTAGTGCAATCAGACTGCTATAGCAAAGTACTGGGTGGCTTATAAACAACAGAAACTGATGTCTCACCGTTTCGTAGGCTAAAGGTCTGAGATCCGGGTGCCAGCACAGAGGGGCTCTGGTGAAGTCCTTCTTCTTAGCTGGCTAGTTTCCTGGCCTCTCCACCTCTAAATGCCATCACATTAGGGATAGTATTTCAACATATGAATTTTAGGGGTGTACAAACATTCAGTTTATTGCAGCTGTTAATAATTTTTATATTTTTTTCCCCTTGTTTTCTTAATATAGTGATATCAATCAATAAATTTCCTAATTTTTTTTGAGTAGTTTTGCATTCCTGGGATAAGCCTTACAGGGTCATGTTGTTGTTGTAGTAGTTGTTTAAATAATAGGTTCAGTTCATCAATATTTTTCTGAGGATTTTATGTCTGTATTCATCACGATCCCACTACTTACTGGGGTTGTGGCCTTGGGTAAATTACTTAATTTCTCTTAGTTTCTCATCTATAAGAAGGGAATAATAGTGAGAGATCTTGCCTCCCAGCATTATGGTGAGGTATATAACCCTTAGAACAGTCTGTGAGACATGGTAAACACTCAGTAAATGTTCTCATTGTTGTTATTGTAACTGACACGGGTCTCCTCTTTCCTGGGTGTGTGTATGTGTCTCTGTGTATGTGGGTGCAGGCTATCGTTGTGCTTTTTTTTTTGGAGATGGAGTTTTGCTCTTGTCACCTAGGCTGGAGTGCATTGGCTCGATCTCAGCTCACTGCAACCTCCACCTCCTGGGTTCAAATGATTCTCCTGTCTCAGCCTCCCTAGTAGCTGGGATTACAGGTGCCCGCCAACACACCCGGCTAATTTTTGTATTTTTAGTAAAGACAGGGGTTTCACCATGTTGGCCAGGCTGGTCTCAAACTCCTGACCTCAGGTGATCTTCCCACCTTGGCCTCCCAAAGTTCTGGGATTACACACGTGAGCTATCGCGCCTGGCCATTGTGCATTTTGATATCTGTGTTATACCAGCTGATTTTAATGAGCTGGGAAACTTTCCGTGCTTTATTATGCGCTGCAACAATTCAAACAATGTTGAAATTATCTATTCCTTGAAGGTTGCTGGGCCCATGAAAGTCCTTGACTAACCTTTCAATGTCTTCTATGCTCCCTTTGTGTATCTGCCGAGGCTTTCACACTAAGGCGAAGTTTCAGCATTTATGTTTTACAGGAAGTCATCAGCTTCAGGTCTCCCTTATCTCACTGGGTCTGTCTTCTCACCCTTTCTTCATCAGATTTTACCTCTCCTGCTATTCTCTTCACCCCAGCCCCACTCTTACACACATACACATACATTTACATGCTCATACCCATATGTGCACACACACAGGACAGTTCAGTGCTTTTATGAATACTTGGCTAGAAAAACTGGAGCCACAGTACATTAGACTTACACAGTGATTCCTGTGGATAGAACTGGGACCAATAAGTGAAAACAAAGAGACTTTGTCTCAGTTTATGTATGTGTTAGTCCAGATGCTCCAAGAAGCAGACACCATGATGAGGTTAAACATGCGAGGATCTTACTAAGGGAATGCACCTGTGAGGGAATGGAGTAGGGGAGCTACGCAAGGGAAGGAGAGCCCCCAGACTCTGAGGCAAGCCCAGCCCAAGGGCTGGAGAGGTACCCAGCAGTCTAAGAAAGCTTCCTCAAAGCCCTAGGAGTCCTTTATTTTGTGCCATCAGAGGAGTCCTGCATCTGCCATGGAATCTGGGTCAGTACAACCTCTGGCTGGGAGCAGCCCGTGGGAGGCCTGGCTGCAGCTGGGCCCATGGGCAGCTGCTCTCCCGGCAGCTGGAGTGCTGCAAGGTGCCTGCTAGTGGCTGCCACAAAGTGAAAGTTTCCTAACAACTCGAGCTTTCTGCCAGTGGAATGAAGAGCTTTTTCAGGTAGTGACTTATTTCCAGAGATGTTTAGGCAGACGAATGTTAGGATGGGGCTCTCTGTTTGAGGGAGAAAGTCTCAACCTTTAAGTTCCACTTCCATGCTCACTTTTCTCTCTCCTCCTCTTCTCCTTCCTCCTCTACTCTCTGTCCTTCCCCCTTTCTTCTCTTCCTCCTTGTTCTTTCTTCTTCTCCTTTTTTCTTCTTCCTTTCCTTTCCTTTCTTTCCCTTCCTTTTCTTCTTTCCTTCCTTTCCTGCTTCCTCCCTTCCTTCCCCCCTTCATTTTCCTTCCTTCCTTCCTTCCATCCTTCCTTCCTTCCTTCCCTTGTTCCTACCTCCCTCCCTCCCTCCTTATAGGGATCACTGCAATGAGGTCTTGAAGTAGGAAAGAGAGAATAGACTCAACTCCCTCTCTCTTTCTCTCTCTCTGTCTCTCTGCACACACACACACACACACACACACACACACACATTAATATTATATATGAGGTTGGGGTGTGGCCATCACTTTTCCTACTTCATCAGCTTTTCTTACAAATTTAAAAAATGTCTTATGATGCTTACATTCCACAGTTCAACATCCTCTTCCCCTCTCCCAGCCTGAGAATGTCTTTCTTCCCAGAGTCCTGTCTCATTGTTGACAAGTTCAGGAACTACAGGTTTACTTAAGTCACGGATTCTGTCCTTGTTACAATATAGTGAGGAAAAAGAAAATGTAAAATGGGACCAGGAAGCCTATGTCTCTCCTGCCATTTCTGCTCTTTCCACCCTTCAGAGTCTGTTGAAAACCAAGACGTGTTGCATGCTGGGCACTGCATTTTCATGTTTCAGTGAGAGGCAGCTTAAGTGTTTTCACATGGAAGCCTTTCTCCCGTGAGGCATGCCCGCAGTGCAGAGGTTGGATGGGGGGTGATTTCCAGGATCAAGGAGATAGGGTGTCCAGGAAAGCCTGGGGATTGCACCTAAGAGGTCAGCTTGACCTTCCTCTTCCCTTCCTCTCTGGCGAGTTTCCCATTACAAACTCCTCCTGTCTTTTGCCAGCTGACTGGTGTTGGGGCCACTGTAGTCTACCAAAGACAGCTTAAGAATATTGCACTTTACAATAATGTTAATATCAAGCTCTTTCATAGTTACTGTACGTAGTGTGTCACAGGCACCCCTCTAAGCACTGTCCATGGATAACTCAATTCTCGAATGACATCTGTGAGGGTTCATGAGAAAATGGGAGCGCAGGTTGGCTCAGTAGCTTGTCAGAGGTCACAGGGCTGACAGGCAGCAGAGATGGAACTTGAACCCTGTGGTCTGACTCTGTGGTCTATGAATGTAACCTCATGCTTCACTGCCTGTTTCCTGAAAAGGGACCAAATGGGGTTTTGATCTCCTGCTTCTCAGGAGGTCCGGTGCCCATTTGCCTACTGCCTCCCTCCAGAAACCTGGTGGTTTAGTGGTTGACAACTGACAACCACAGACTGCCTCTGGGCTGCAGACATGTTGCAAATGACCCACATAATATTTTCTTAAAATATAATTTTAATTTTTATCAAAGAAGTATATTTAGTTCAAAATATCAAATCATACTTAAAACAATCTGTAAAAAATAGTAGTTTCCCCTACTCTTCTCTCTGATTCTGATCTCCAGCAACTGTACTGGATTTCTTTTTACCTCTTTTCCTTTTTTTTTTTTTTTTTTTTTTGAGACAGGGTCTCCCTCTGTGGCCAGGCTGGAGGGAGTGCAATGGTGTGATTATGGCTTACTGCAACCTCGATCTCCCAGGCTCAAGGGACACTCCCACCTCAGCTTCCCAAGTAGCTGGGACTACAGGCACATGCCACCATGCCCAGCTAATTTGTAAAGACTGAGTCTTACTATGTTGCTCTGGCTGGTCTCAAACTCATGAGCTCAGGCAATCCTCCTGTCTTGGCCTCCCAAAGTGCTGGGATTACAGGCATGAGCCACCGCACCCGGACCTATTACTTCTTGTTTACCTCCATATGTCTCAGAAATAAATACTGCTATTTCTTGATCTATCATTTTACGTATTATCTATTCACTTCCAACCATGAAGATAAAGGTTTGGCTCTGCCACAACCCACTTGCATGAATCAATTGTTTCTTCACTTATTGCCACCATCTGAAACCTGCTTGCATGGACTTTTAAGGCCAGTGAAAAGCCTGGGCATTTGAAGGTGTGGCAGGGTGGAAAACTCACATACCTTGGTTAAATGTTCTGGATCAAGTTCACTCCATATCTGCAGGACAGCATCATCCTGTTCCTGTGGTGGGATGCCTTTGGGTTTTAGGTCAGTCCTCTGCTTGATCATGGAGTCCTGGGGCCTCTGCTTCGATTGAGGACCGTCGCTTTGGCTCTTCACATCTCCCCTTTCCACCTTCACATCTCCTAGTCACTAGGGCTAAAAGTAAAGGGAAGCTGGGGATACTGGAGCCATGTCAATAACTCACAGTGGAAAACTCTTATGGAACTTCATCCGGGGCTTTCAGCAGTCTTCTCCCTGCCCCCTTCCCAGTTTTCCTTCCTTCAAAGGGTCTTACTGCATTTATCTCCCATTTTGTTTTCAGTTTTGCTAAGTTCCTATTCTCTGCTGAGGATGATTCATGGACGCCTCCTTCCACTCAGCCTAACCCCTCTGGATGGACCAGTACCCCCAGGACAACAAAGAGTGCAGGGAAAGTGTCCAGGCAGCTGCCACAATAACATTAAGCAAGCCACTAATGGCCACCAGCGCAAAGGGCTGTGCTGTCAGTCTAGTGGACTCTTTCTGCTAACAAAATCAGGCTGCATTTTGTATTTGATTCAGCTCTGCAAGACACTTTCCTTGGGCAATATTCCAACAGTTGTTGGGGAGTCTGTGTAGTTAAAAAAATTCTCACTTTCCTCAGAGACAATGTAGACAAGATGAGGCTTTCATAGAGCATCAGACAATATAAAAAGTACAACACTGACCTTTGTTTTTTCTTCAGACTTTCATGTCCGTTTGCAGTCATTTGATGCAAGCATCACAAATGTAATTAAGCAGCTATAGTTCCTAGAAAGCTTTAAGGCTTTATGCTTCTTGCAACCCTACCTGACTTTCTAACAGGATTGCTTGGCTAGCACCTGCTTGATATGAGTGAACCTGGGAGAGAGAACTCCACATTTTTGTGCAGCAGTGACACCAGATAGAAGAGACAGGCAACTCGGGCTCACCAGCACCTCGCTTATTCCCACTACATCACATGGCCAGCAGGAGAGCCCATGTAACTGCAGGGTTCTAGAAGTTCTAGAGCTTTCAGGCTCCACACACTCTTCCCTCCTGTAACACAGCTCACCCTTCTGATCTGAGACTTCGTCCACAGTATAGCAGCCTTTTCCTAAACTCTTCTGTGAATCTTCCCCCATATCACATACTTCCCTGCCTCTAATAATCATATCCTCCACCTCCTTGTGACTTTCCCTATTAGAAAATCATTAATCCAGCCTGGTCAACGTGGCAAAAACCCGTTTCTACAAAAAATGCAAAAAATTAGCCGGGCGTGATGGTGCATGCACCTGTAATCCCAGCTACTTGGGAGGCTGAGGTAGGAGAATCACTTGAGGCCTGGAGATCGAGGCTGCAGTGAGCTGTGATTGTGCCACTGCACTCTGGCCTGGGCAGCAGAGTGAGACCGTGTCTCAAAGAAAGGAAAAAATAAATAAAATCCCTAGTATAGGGATGGGCAGCCATTTCCAGGGTACCAGGAGTAGTACCCATACAGGATCACCTCCTCACTTGTAGGAACTCCACTTGACTTCTGGTGTGTTTGGTTACAAGAATATAATACAACCATTCTGCAGTGCCTGGTCTTCAGCTATTTTTGCCATTGCCTCCCTGCTCATCACCCATGCCACATGTTTTCTTTCTATGCACTGATCAATGTCCCTTCAACAGAACGATTCACTCCAAGTCAATGAGTTAGCTCTGCAAGTATGAGATCGTTCTGTGCTGCTTCTCTTTTCTCCCATACTAGAAAGACCCCCAAGTTCTTTCCATCTCTGCTAAAGTCTGAAAGTGGAGGTAATGACATCTCAAAGAGTTTTCTAAGGTGTTGTCTACTCCTTTGGGCTTCTGTCCATGTTGGGAGGATATTAGCAAGCACTCTACGTAATTTGTTGATTTAACTTCTGTCTCCTGTGCTGCTGTTTGTGAGGCACATTGGTATGAAAATCTTCCATTTCCCCCACTGGCCTCGTCTGTTGGAATGTATGACATGGGGCTGTGCAGTTGACAAATTTTTGAGATGTCTGCACACTCACATACACACATACACAATTTCTGTCCATTTTTGTTAGGTTTTATGGGAGAGTGGGTTTGTAATGCAGCCCTACTCTAATGCCTTTCACCTGAAATCTCTACTCATTTTTAGGTGTTTCAAGTTTTGTAGTCAAAGTTATCACTTTTTCTTCATTGATTTTTTTTTTTTTAATTTTAAGAGATAGGGTCTTGCTATGTTGCCCAGGCTGATCTTGAACTCCTGGCCTCAAGTAATCCTCCCGCCTTGGCTTCCCAAAAGTGCTGGAATTACAGCTGTGAGCCACTGTACTTGGCCCTTCATTGATTCTTCTACTGTTTTTATGTTTACATAGCTATTCCCAAATCCAAGGTCAGATTAAATATTCATCACTTATTACTTGAATTTTTTTTTAAAGGGTCTTGCTCTGTTACCCAGGCTGGAGTCCAGTGGTGTGATCATAGCTCACTGCAGCCTCAGACTCCTGGGTTTAAGCAATCCTCCTGCCTCACCGCAGAGAAGCTGGGATTACAGGTGTGCCACCATGACCAGCTTTTTTTTTTTTTTTTTGTATGGTTGCATATGAAACAACAAAAAACAATTGTCTGGAATTTATTTAAATCATCTCAAGTAAAGGTTTAATTTAAATAAGCTAACATACAAATGACCTTCATCCACATCACACACACCCCACCCTAACCCTAAGTGTATTGCAAACACACATATGTACGTATATATGAAGATATATGTATATGTGCATGTATATTCACATAACATATGCATATACAGATAAAAGGCTTTCTCCCCCATCTACTCACTGCTAATAATCAATTTAAAAATGAGAATATTTTAAAATCCATGCACAGATCCAGGACTAGAGGACTTGAGTGCTTATAATTATTGTCTAATTATTGAAAAACAAATAATTAGTTCTTATTTTCCTAATAGTTCCATTAGAAGCCCATCTAAATTTTAATCAGGCAAACTCAAGTTTAATTGGCTTTTATTATTTCCAGCATTTTAATTTTAGATCAAACTTATCATAAAGTCAATTTGTTTGCCCTATCTCCTTTTCTAGAAGGGACATCTTGTGTAAGCAACATATTTTGTATGGATTTTATACAGACTTTCCCATTACTTTCTTGTGGAACACTTGTAAGTTTCTAATCTATTCTCTTAGCTTTAAAGACAGAGGTGGAGTCCAACATTTCTACCATAGAGTATCTCTGTTACACAACTTTGGAGGAGATTATAGACTGATTCACGTAGTATGTGAGGTTACAAATTGAGTGAGACATAATACCCACTTGCACAAAGATGTAAAATTTAAGACAGTTATCTGAATAAAGAAAATGGCAGAAAATAATGACTGCCTTGAAATAAAGAAAAGGGCTACAGAATCTTAAGGAAGACCTTATAAAGATGATTTTTCTCATTATGCAGAAAGTAATCCTTAGTTTATCCTTCCTGGGCCATTTCAGTAACTGCCTTGTTGGTCTCCTACAACCTCTTTTCTGTTCAATCCCACGCAGCAGACAGGGTGATCTTTTAAAGGTCACAAGAGAACATCTTGTGTTTTTAAAAGATCACCCTCTGTATGGATTGAACAGAAAAGAGTTTGATCAAGATGTTCCCTTCCTAAAGACCTCACATGAGTACCCTGTGCACTTAGCATACAAAATGTAAAATCCTAAAAGTGAATTACTAATCCTGGCATAATCTGGCCTCTGCTTATCTCTTAAGTTTCATCAGACACTGCCCTCTTCCTTCTTGAAACATTATGGTCCAGCTATACTGCCCTTCATTTAGTCCTTCGATTGGGAGAAGTTCCAACCTGCCTCAGGGACCTTGCACATGCTGTTCCTGTAATGACATTCCTTCCTCTTTTCCTTGAGAAATTCCTCCTCCTTCTGCAAGTCTCAATTTGTGTTTGAATACTTTCACAGTAACCCCATCCTAAGCAGCCCCATCTCAATCTAAATTAGATCCTCCATCAGTCTGAGTTCTTCGTGATGAATAATCTAAGATAGGATTACTCATGCAATACTTGTATTAGGGGAACCACCTGTGAGAAAAAAATACAGAGGGAGCTGGCAAAGTGGGGGAACTGTCAGACAACAATGTGAGTCTGACTTGGAGTGAAGAAGAGAGGGAGGAAATGTTGAGCAGAAGCTTCCAGGGCTGCTGTGCAGTCTAAAGAAGATGCAGCAGGGCCATGGGGTGGGGGTGAGGGTCTTTGAGTCAGAGCCAGCCATCAGAGGAGTCCCTGTTCCCCAAGAATGTGCCGCTTTGGTAGTCCTACCACACATGATCGCTGGCTGGAAGCAGCCCATGGCGAAGTGTGGTCTCCACACAAATGTGGTGATAAATTTCAGTGACGGGCAACAGGATCTTTGGCCCATGATGCTTTCTGTGGTTGGAGGTGTTGTGAGGTGCTCCTGGCTACCACATGGTCCCCATGATATTTTCTCTTGTAGCACCCTGTACTTTTCTTCATTAACACTCGTCACATCTGCAGTTGTATATTCTTCTGTCAGAGCTTCACCAGGGCAGAGACTGGGTCTGTCTTTTTCATCGCTGTATCCCAGTACTCAAAGCAGTACCAGCTCACAGTAGGTGCTCAGTTAAGACCTGTCGAATGAATGTGATCTTAACTTTCATGGTTTTTAAGTAGCAGTGTTTCCGTTATTTAACAAGACATAACTTCCATGATAAGATTTTTTATTACATCTTTATACTTGGACTTATATACCTAGGGATTAGGGCCGATTATAAAAAAAAGTTTTAAAAATGTAATTTTTTGTTAGCTTTTAGAGAACGCTGTGGTAATAAGCTGACTTGAACTAATCAGTTCGTAGATGAAATGCTCCTTAATAGGAGAGACTGTGTCTGGCTTGGTCAACACTGCCCCCTGCACCTAGCTCAGAGCCTGTAGTACAGCAGGAGCTCAATAAAGGTTTGTTCAATGAACTGAGTGGGAAATTTAGGGCAGGGGTGTGAATGGAGGAAGAAAACTTTGGTAGGAAGCTGTTTGTAATTTTGGTTTTGTCCTCATGGAAGAGTGCTTATATGTTTGCAAAGCACTAAAGATTTTTTTTAAATATATATTTTTATTATACTTTAAGTTCTAGGGTACATGGCCCAAGTGTGTGATGTTCCCCTTCCTGGCAAAGGACTAATGATTAACCAACAGTATGCAGTTGGTTCTTCATATCCAAGGTTCCAAAACTGTGGGTCTAACCAGCTGTATTTCAAAGATAGTCAGAAAAAAAATAATAACAATAATAACAATAAAAATAATACAAATGAAAACAATATAACAACTATTTTCCTAGCATTTACATTGTATTAGGTATTATAAGTAATCTAGAGGTGATCTAAAGTATATAGTAGGATGTGCATGGGTTATATACCTAAAATACCAGGCCATTTTATATACGACACTTGAGCATCTGTGGGCCTGGAACCAATCCCCTGTGGATATGTGTCCTCCAGCAATTTGTCCTTGAATTATTTCAGTGTTAACAAAATAACTGTGTAATCCCAGGGAAATGGTATAACCTCTCTGGACTTCAGTTTTCCTATTTGTAAAATGAGAAGTTTGGAGTGGATGATCATGAAGATTTCTTTGCAGCACTTGTGTGCTACAGGTCTATTCATAAACACAAAAATGAGTACCTCAGGCCATTGCCAAGCCTTACAAATACAAGTATGTTTATACATATACATATACATATATATATATACACACACATATACATATATATATATAAACATCTATATCTGAGTTGTTTTGGAATTGAAGTTGCATGAAATATAACTTGCTTTTTTTTTTAACTTTAATTTCTAAATAGGCCTTCTGTTCATATACTGATTGGGACCACAAAGTAGAAATCTATTATTCTTTGTTTCTTTTTTTTTTTAGATGGAATCTCGCTCTGTCACCCAGGCTGGAGTGCAGTGGTGCGATTTCTGCTCACTGCAACCTCCGCCTCCCTGGTTCAAGTGATTCTCGTGTCTCAGCCTCCTGAGTAGCTGGGATTACAGGCACCCGCCACCATGCCCCGCTAATTTTTTTTTTATTTTTCGTAAAGATGGGTTTCACCACATTGCCCAGGCTGGTCTCAAACTCCTGGCCTCAAGTGATCCACCCACCTCGGCCTCCCAAAGTGCTGGGATTACAGACTTAAGCCACTGCGCCCAGCCAACATCTATTATTCTTACAAGGAATGAAAGGGGATTTTTTTTTTTTCCATACAGGTGAAGAGAGAAAGGTGTACAATAAAAACCTCTTTCCTTGGAGAGGGGAACTGCATAAAGATGACTGTGACCATGCTTTTATGTATGAAGCAGAGGAAAGGAAATCAAGAATGTTGGATGCTATGGAGAGAAAACACCCAAAATTATTAGTTCCCCACTACCACCCGTCCCAGCTTGTTTCTTCAGTCCAGTACTTTTATATCCACTGAAAGTTTTTTTTTTTTTAAGGGGGGTGGGGTCTCACTGTGTCACCCAGGCTGGAGTGTGGTGGCACATCACGGCTCACTGCAACCTCAATCTCCAGGCCTCAAGTGATCCTTCCACCTCAGCCTCCCAAGTAGCTGGGACTACAAGCATGCACCACCATGTGTGGCTAATTTTTTAAATTATTATTTGTAAAGATGGGTTTTTGCCATGTTGTCTGCTTGGTCTTGAATTCCTGGGCTCAAACGATCCTCCCACCTCAGCCTCTCAAAATGTTAGAATTACAAGTGTGAGCCACTGGCCCAGCCTTCTTTTCCATTTATATTCAGTTGCATAAGCTATATATATATTTAAAACCACTAAATAAAGACAAATCACGCACCATCCCACCTCCAAAAGTTACTTGTTTTGCTTTCTTCTGGTTCATAACCTTATTTGTTTTGACTCACATACTTATTGGTTTAACGCAGTTGCTACCATAATCACCAATCATCAGGTGCGTAATAGAATGCCCCACCATTTGGATTTGTCTTATGTTTTCTCTTCAAGATGTGCCTCTCTCAGGGTATAACTTGGTTAAGGTAGTAGCTGCCAGGTTTCTGCACTGAAAAATCACTGTTTTTCTCTTTCCAAATAATTGAATCACTTTGGATTGTTTATATTTTTCCAGAAATGTTCCCATTTTGTCTGTTTTCAAATATTAGCATAAAGTGATTCACAAAATTGTCTTTTTTCAGAAGAGAATTGTCACATCTAAAATTGTCTTCCTTTTCTAATATTTGATTATCTTTGCCAGTTTGTTAGTTTTCTTTGCCATTTCAAAGAACCAATTTTCATCTTAAATTGTCCTTTCTGTCAAGTCTTTACTTCGTTAATTTGTTTTATCTTTATTACATCCATCTTTCTAAGTTCTTCAGGTTAATTCTTTTATTTTTTTCTAACACGTTACATGCTTAGCTCTTTAACTTTTTAGCCTTTGTTCCCATCTAACATAAGCAGTTAAAGTATGAAATTTGCCTCTAAGTGCTGATTTATCTATATCCCACAACATATAGTATTTTATCATGGAGTTCTAATTAAAAAAAAAGCTTCCTTTAAGAGCTGTTCTTTGACCTGTGAATATTTAGAAAACTATGTTATAATTTCAAAACATATAGTCTTTAAATTTCATCTTCTTTGCTGTTGGTTTAAAATTTAACTATGTTGTGGTCAGAGAATTTGGTTTGTATTATAAGAGTTCTTTGAAATGGGTAGAGTCTTGCTTAATGGCCTGATATTAGGTCAGTTTTCTTATGTATCATGGGTACTTAAAAAATAATACTGGCTTTAAAAAAAAAATCCAGTTTGAAAGTATTTATCTTTTGAAGGTAGGGTTAACCCATTTTCATATATTATAATTGCTGATATATAGAGTCTTGTTTTTTCTATGCCATACCATTATTTTTATTTTTGTTTATTTTTGTTGCATTGATCAACATATCTTTTTTTTTGAGATGGAGTTTTGCTCTTGTTGCCCAGGCTGGAGTGCAATGGCGCGATCTCGGCTCACCACAACCTCCGCCTCCCAGGTTCAAGCGATTCTCCTGCCTCAGCTTCCTGCGTAGCTGGGATTACAGGCACTGGCCACCAGGCCCAGCTAATTTTTGTATTTTTAGTAGAGACAGGGTTTCATCATGTTGGTCAGGCTGGTCTCGAACTCCTGACCTCAGGTGATCTGCCTGCCTTGGCCTCCCAAAGTGCTGGAATTACAGGTGTGAGCCACTGTGCCTGGCTAATATATCTTTTTTCATTATTTTTCTCTGGTTATTTTCTAGAGCAGTGCTTCTCAAATTTTTGTTCTCAGAATTTCTTTAATACTCTTAAATTATTGAAGTCCCAGAAGAGTTTGTATTTATGTGGGTTATATCTATTGATATATATCATATGAAAAATTAAAGACAGTAAATTTTAAAAAATACTTATTTATGGCTCAATTAAAATAATAATTGTAAACCATGTGATAGTTATAAAGCATATTAACATATTGTTTTATTTCATTATTATGCTTTTTAACCTTTTTTTTTTCTTTTTGAGATGATATCTTGATATATTGCCCAGGCTGGTCTTGAATTCCTGGATTCAAGCCATCTTCATGCCTCAGCCTCCCAAGTAGCTGGGATTCCAGGTGTGTACCACCACACCCGGCTTGAAATAACATTTTTGAAATGAAACATAACTGGTTGGGTGTGGTGGCTCATGCCTGTAATCCCAGCAGTTTGGGAGGCCGAGGTGGGTGGATCACTTGAGGTCAGGAGTTTGAGACCAGCCTGGCCAACATGGTAAAACCCCACCTCTACAAAAATTACCAAAAATTAGCTGGGTGTGGTGGCACATGTCTGTAATCCCAGCTACTCGGGAGGCTGAGGCAGAATGGCTTGAACCCAGGAGGTGGAGGTTACAGTGAGCTGAGATCATGCCCCTGCACTCCAGCTGGGCAAGAGAGCAAGACTCTGTTTCAGAAAAGTAAAACCCAAACTAAAATTTTCAAAACATACGAATTTAATGAGAAGAGTAGTGTTATTTCACATTTTTGCAACTTTCTTTAATGCCTGGCTTAGCAGATGACTGCTAGATTCTCACATCTGCCTCTTCATTCAATCTATTACAAAATGTTATTTTGGTTAGAGAATCCTGCTTCACACTGATAGTTGGAAAAGGAAAATATATTTTCATATAACTATATATTCTTTGATACCTCACCAAAATTCAAAACTGGTAGTTTTTAAAGGTTAATTGCAATGTGGAAACTGAAATCATACACTGAACTTTCTCTGTTACATTAAAATCTATAGGCTTGTCTTGCACTTTGAATAGAACTTATATTGTGTGTTATTCTATAACATCATGCATTGGCATTTGGAATTATTGGTTGACTGAGTTATTTGGATTTTCCAAATGTTAATGTGCTTCATGATACATTAGCAAAAAATTATATCCATTAACCTCATCAGAAAATAAAGTACTAGAAAGTTATCAGTAGTGGTGGATGCAAGTTTCCAAAAATTTTCTTTTTTTCCTTTTTTTTTTTTTTTTTTTTTGCTTGAAAGCTCAAATTTTACCATTGGCAACAAATACTGTCTGTTGTTTTCTGTGAAGTGATAGACTCTCGCTTGGTTTATTTTTGAGAAGACATCAGCCAAACACTCAAGTCTGAACACGTAGTTTGTCAATATGTCATTCTTTCAGGTAAAAATGGAATCCCTTAAAAAAAGCAGCTAGTTTCAACTCCTACTCAAAGCACTGCACGAGTGCTTTTCCTTGAGGCAATTGCTGTATTTCGGTATGCAGTCAAAGTGCTTTACACGTACTTCCTGCTTTGTCACACAGAATATTAAAAAGATTGGTACCCAAAGTGTGAGGTTAATAAAATTAATATTCTATACTGCTTCATGAAGGACATTCTCAAGTGAAACTAGCACGTATTTGCTTGTTTGTTTGCTTGTTTTGTTTTTATTGTATGTGATGATAAAAATATAATACCTCAAGTATAGTTTAATGCCGCTGTCTTTATTCATGTCAGAAGCTTGAACTTTTGCCCAACATTAGTTTTATACCATTACTACAAATGTCAACAGAGGGAATAAGGCACATATATCTCAGTATTATTAGGGAAATAGTTTTAAACTCATAAACCCTTGAAAGTATCTAAGTGATTTCTCTAGGTGTCTGCACACCATACTATGGAAATTGTTGCTCTTTAATTTCTATATCCTATCTTTATCCTAGTAATTGTTACCCTTGAACTTTTAATAAGCATAAACTTATCTTTTCTATCAATATCAGGAGTTAACCATTATGTATTACTCTCCTTACGTACAAAGCAAAATCAACATGCTTTTTATTTTACCTCATTATTACATAAAAAATTTTTTTGTAGAGACAGAGTCTTGCTTTGTTGCCCAGGCTGGTCTCAAACTCCTGGCCTCAAGCAATCCTCCCACCTTGGCCTCCCAAAGCACTGGAATTATAGCTATGAGCCACTGTGCTGGGCCCACTACACCTTTTAAACAACTCTTCTCCTGTCACCTCTCAGGTGTTTTATTTTAGTTTGGTATTATATTTAAGAATTCTTTCTTAGTGGCATACATTTCATTTCTGTGATCAGAAATCAGCTACAATTAATATTTTACTGACTTATTTGATATTCTCTGATGGCTGTATCAATTTTCTTCTTTATCCATGCATCTCTTTCTTTACTTTGGCTGAAGGGATAAAGTTTTCAAAAGGGATATATGAGTGGAATCGTTTTTGAATCTTTTCACGACTAAACAGGTATTTTATTTTGCCATCACACTTTATTGATCTTTTGCTCTGTTTAGACTTTCATGTTCAAATCCCTTTCCTCTTGTCTAGCAGCATTTAGTGATATGGATGAGAAGTTTATTGGCTGGCAGTTTCTAGTTCTGTTCTGTTGAATGTTACTTAAGTTTTTTCCCAGTATTTGTAGCATTTTTAAATTTAATCTTCAACCCAAAAATGTCACCAGGATATGAATAGAAGTGCCACTTTTTCATTATTCTTTCCAACACTTCGGTGCCTTGCCAATACTCAAGTTTTTTTTCAGCTGTAAGACATTATTATTCTACTCTATTCTAGTCTTCTTTTGTGTATTTGTTTCTTCCCTTTCATCCTCTTCACTGCTTTCTTCTGTAACTCTTGTTAAATTGAACTTTATACCTGTAATCATCCTGCATACCTTTTAACTTTGTCTTATGATTTTTTGTTTGTTTAAAAACTGGACAATGCTTTGATTGCTCAGTTTATTAATTCATTTTGTGCTGTCTTTCCTATTCAGTCCTCGTACAAACTTTTATTTTTATTCTAAAAATCATGTAACTTGTTTTGTGGTTCTTGGTTTCTAGTAGCCTGTGCTTGTGTTGTAGGTGCAGTAGCTTCTTTTTACCCCCGTCTCTTTTCAGATTTTTTTTTTTTTTAACTAACAAGCAAAAAATCAAAAACAAAAACACAACAGCTTTAAGTTGGAACATCAATAAGTCAAATTGCTGCTGGAGTTCCCACATGTAGCTGGGGAACATGTGCCCTCATTGCAAGGCAGGAGGTAGGTACGTGACTGTGCATTTAGGTATATTTGTGACCGAGAAGAATCACAGAAATGGAAACCACTGGAGAACAGAAAGCAGCATGAACTTTTCAGCAGGCAATCCCATAGCGCGAGGCTCTTTTCCTATTCTTTGCCTCTGTATCCTCTGTGTTCCTTCTGGTTCCAGCTGAACCAGTGATAATCCCAAATCAGTCCTTCCTCCTTTTCAGTTTCTCATCATCTTCAGACTTTCTGGAGATTGAAGAGCCATTCAAACCAAATCTTTGAGCTCTTTCCTTTAGCTTATCCAGGTTCATGATAGGTTTGTTGTTAGATGACAGACCTTTTGTTGAAACTGAAGAAGTCCCAAACCTAGCTGCCCGGGCAGTTTTCTTACTTTACAAGCTCACGGGTACATGGACTTGTTCAGCCCTCTTCTGCATTCTCTCTCCCTGTGGTATTTCAGATGTAATTTTTACCACTTTCTTCTCTGCTTCCACGTCAACAGTTTTTTCAGGGAGTTCTTCCTCTTTGACAGGGATTTCTATGGGGCTTTGTTTCTTCTTCCTCTGTTTCATCTCCCAGTACATCTTCATTTGCCTCTTCAGCATGCCCTGAAAAATATGCCTGGAGCCAGCACTTTGGGAGGCCAAGGTGGGCGGATCATGAGGTCAGGAGTTCGAGACCAGCCTGGCCAACATAGTGAAACCCCATCTCTACTAAAAATGCAAAAATTAGCCTGGCATGGTGGCATGTGCTTGTAGTCCCAGCTACTCGGGAGACTGAGGCAGGATAATCGCTTGAACCCGGGAGGCGGAGGTTGTGGTGAGCCAAGATTGAACCACTGCACTCCAGCCTGGGCAACAGAGTAAGACTCCCTCTCAAAAAAAAAAAAAAAGTGCCTGGAGCCTTTTGATGGCATCTTGTTTCATTTCCTTGGTCTCCAAACCACAAGGAAGACATTCTTGCTTTAGTTCAGCAATCTTCCACTTATGGTGCACCACCGTCTTGGTCGCCATCTTGTTACCCCTCACTCCAGTAGGCCCCCACCCACTGCCTCTCAAGTATCTTCCTTTTAACATTATTTTCTGTATTTAGCATTAATTATTTTCCTCATAAATAACCTTTTTTGCTCATCTTGGGGCTTCTCTTTTACTCATGTAAGGTTTCCTTAAATTTCCTTACATTCTCAGTTCTCATATTAAAAGTGAAGAGTTAGACTGAAGACCTTTCAGCCCTGGCAGGGGGCCGCTCTCTTGATGGAAGCTCTGGCCACAGGCTCTGAGGATGCCTGGAGGGTCCTTTGTATATATACAAGTGAGGCCCAGCAGGGTAAGCTGGGGGTTAGACACACGAAAGGACTTTCCTGTTGCTTTAAGCTCATGTTTTTTGTCTGTTGCCTTTGTGGCAGTTTGAAGTTACTCTAGGTGTTTTACCATGTTATTTCTCTCTCTGGCCCTAGGAACCCCAAAGGCGGACTCCTCTGTATTTAAGAAGCCAACTAATGTTGTAGTTAGTTCCATTGGGCACACTGTACAGGAACTGGCTTAGCCATAGGCACTGAAGACTTGAGTTTTCCAAGCTCAGAGAGAAAAACAGTCCTCAAGCACACATTAACCCCTCCTGCACCAAAGGTGGGGTGCAGCCTTCTCAACTCTGGCTTTTCCTTTATTCCAGTCTCTTCTGCTTTCTATCCCCTAGAATTGCATTAACATTTCTTTTCCATATTGGCTGTAAACATTAGAGGTAAACCCATGAAATGGTGTTTAAATGGAAATCGGTCCTGCAGGCTTGTAAAGTGCTTTTGTGCTTTCTCTCTTACTGCTAGAGATTCAACTGCTGTAATTTCCTCAGAAAAACTGACTCTCTCTTTAATTCTCAAAGCTAATTTGGTTATAACATAATTCTTTCCTTTAAAAATCATATTTTTGTTTGCTCTTAAATATAATAGTTCCCTTATTTCCCAATTCTTTAATCTATATTTCTGTTACATGAATCATTTGCTATCATTTTTCTGCAGGACATTTAAAAATAGATGACCTCTAGTTGTATTATACTAAAGATAAATTAGGACTTGCTACCCATCACCCCATTCAATTCATTCAATAAATATGTGTTGCCTGCTTTCCTGCCTGATATGTACTCTCTAGATTGTTCCAGGACCTTGGAATTCTACAAATAATGTAAACTTGTTGTCTTTCTTCAGGGAGCTTACAAACTCCGCTTTTGCATAATTTCTCTATTACTCTGAATTTGGATATCATCCTCTGTTATATTGGTCTTTTGTATCCTGTCTGTTTATGAGTTTTCCCTTTTCAACTAACTTTTTTCTAATTGTGAAAATAGAGCATGGTCAAGAGTAGGAAATAGAGAAGGATGCATAAGAACTCAGGCTCCGAGGTTGTGCGTGGTGGCTCACACCTGTAATCCCAGCACTTTGGGATGCTGAAGCAGGTGGATCACTTGAGCTCAGAAGTCCAAGACCAGCCTGGGCAATGTAGGGAGACCTTGTCTCTACAAAAATAAAAAAATTAGTCAGGCATGATGGACCACTCTGGAGGCTGAGGTGGGAGGATCACTTGAGCCTGGGAGGTTCAGGTTGCAGTGAGCCATGATTGTGCCACTGCACTCCTCTAGCCTTCTAGCCTGGAGGACAGAGCAAGACCTTATCTCAAAAAAAAAAAAAAAAAAGAGAACTCAGGCACTTGGATGCAATGCTGATCTAATGCTGACTGCTACCTGAACCTGGGCAAGTTACTTAACACTCTATTCTCAATTTACTCATCTGTATGAAGGGCATGATATCCATATCTGACTCTAAGTTTATTATTAACATAACGAATACATGAGTTAACCCATGTGAGGGGCTTAGAACATTAGCTGGCATATAGTGGATGCTCAATAAGTAGTATGATGGTATTGTTGAAGATTACTTGACAAGTCAAAAAGTAGAAAGGAGAAAATAAAAATTCACCTATAATCATTGTCAACATTTTAGATTTTGATTTACACACACACACACACCACACACACACACTAACCAATTTTAGTCATTTCATAAGTTGCCATCTCTACAAATTCTCTCCATTTTTAAATTCTTTTCTTGTCCTCTTCCTTTCACTTTCTATTGTTATATCCTTCTCATTGTTTCTAGAGCTCAGTGGGTTACCTTTCCTGTAGCTCTTTAGTTTTATTTCCAATCCTTTTACTTAATAGGTGAAGTAAGAGCATGCTTAGGGCACTACAAAGCTGGGGCTCCCGAGAGGGGGTGGGGGAGAGAGAGAGAGAGACCATGCTTCAAGTAGTAGATCAGTATATTTTGCAATCAGTATCTAAAACGAAACCATCTTAATTTCAATGGACATAAATTTTGTTTTACAGTTTATTGTTTTTAAAAACTATGCACTTTATGTGGTGGAGGGCATTATAATATTTTCACTGAATTAATTGAATCTTCTCTTTCCCGAGCATAGCCATCTTTAACGTGAAGCTATCAATATCGTCCTGGGCTTATGGATTCATTTCACTTCTAACATGGAAAGTATCTGTTATCTCTTGTGATTTGCCTCTAGCAAGCACTAAAAGGAGGGATATTGCTGAAAGCAACTAGCAGTCAAACAATCATTTGTGGCATTTAAATTGTGACATTAACCCTGGGTAGGAAAATTGGTTCATTAATTTCCATTTGAAAGTCTTATTCTGTTAATGGGAAAAAGGCCAATATTCCAAAAGAAAAAAGTAGTTATCACATTTTGAACCTTTGCTCTTTCATTTTTGGTCTGAATATGGTCATTTTTCTGCTAGGGAGATGAAGTGATTACTTAAGTCAGTAATCAGCCGTAGTGAATCAGCTACAAGAAAATGAGACCAATCTCAAGTGCTCAAGACTCAGAATATAAACTATTTAGAGAGTAGAATTCAGCTGGCCGCGGTGGCTCATGCCTGTTATCCCAGCACTTTAGGAGGCCAAGGTGGGCGGATCACGAGGTCAGGAGTTCAAGACTAGCCTGACCAACATGGTGAAACCCTGTCTCTACTAAAAATACAAAAATTAGCTGGGCGTGGTGGCATGCACCTGCAATCCCAGCTACTCGGCGGGGGGGCTGAGGCAGGAGAATTGCTTGAACCTGGGAGGTGAAGGTTGCAGTGAGCCGAGATCATGCCACTGCACTCCAGCCTGGGGGACAGAGCGAGACTCCATCTCACAAAAAAAAAAAAAAGAGAGAGTAGAATTCATGTGCTCTCAAGATAAAGGCTATGCTTGTGTGTGTGTGTGAGAGAGAGATAGAGAGAGAAAGAGAAAGAGGTGGGGGAGAGGACAGTTGAGACAGAGTACATAGCATGAAATCCTGGAAATTATATAAATGTTTCATTACTTCTTCTTAAGGAAAGGGTAGTGGGTAGAAATTTCTTTTTGCCCCAAGTCAAGTCAGTTTTGGGAATGATGGACAACAGGTAGACGAAAGGAATTCTTAATATCAGGCCTTTGCTGATTGAAGTTTAGCCTTCCCCTCCAGTTACCTCAGGTCCAAATGTAAATATCCTTGGTTTCCTAGGTCACATTTAAGGAGAATAGAAGAATGAATCTCCACTTTTTTTTTTAAATTTGAAGGGGAGAGTTAAGAGGGAGGAGAAAGATAGTTCAAATTGGATTGATGCTTATTAAATTAAATTTATAATTATGCTTCCTAAAATCAAGGCAACTTACATTTGCATAGCACTTTATAGCTCAAAACCAACTTTACAAATATGCTGTGAATTGATTTTATGAAAACCTGAAGAATGCAGCTCCTCCCATTCTCTTATTAATATTTTAAGCCATAACTTTTACTTCAATTCCTCAATGGCAATGGAGCTTTTATTCATTCATTTAACAGATGTTAATTGACTACCAAGTATGTCGCAGGCACTGTTCAAGGTGCTTGTGATATATTCATGAACAAAACAACCCCAGCCCTGTGGAACTTAGGTTCTAGCGGAGGTAGACACACAAGGAACATTGACCATAATAAAAAAGTAAGTTACATTGTGTTTAAGGAGGTGATGGCTGTTATGGAAAAAAGAAAGAGTCGAGAGCTGGGTAAGGGAGATAGAAAGTTTTAAAGGAATTGGAAATTCCAGCATGGGTGGAAGCAGGTTGCTGCATTAAATAGGGTAGTCAGGTTAAGTCTCATTAAGGTGAGATTTGGACAAAAGCTTAAAGGAGATGAGAGAGCTAGCCTTAGGTATTTGGGGGAAGAACATTCTGGGAAGATGAAACAGCTGAAGTCAAGGCCTTAAGGTGGGACCAGTGCAGCAAGATGAGAATGAGTGAGAAGGAGAGTATGGGGAGAATAGACTGTAGAAGTAAGGGACCCATGATCCTGGGGGACCTGGTAGGTCATTGTAACAACCATCACTTCTATTCTAAAGGAAAAGGGGAGTCATTACAGAATTGAGCACGAGAGGGCATGATGTGATTTTGTTTCAATGGGATTTCTCTAGATGCTGTTTTGTTGAGAATAGACTGGAAAGGAGGGAGCGGGTAATCATAAAAGCAGGGAAACCTATTAGGAAACTGTATTCATTTTCTATTCCTGTGTAACATACTATCTCAAAACTTAGCAGCTAAACTAGCATACATTCATGATCTCATGCACTTTCTGAGGAATCTGGGAGCAGCTTAGCTGTGAGGTTCCGGCTCAGGGTTTCATAAAGTGGCAGTCAAGTTGTCATCTGGGTTCATAATTGATTCAAGACTTGACTCAGACAGGAGAGTCTACTAGGCTCACTCACCTGGTTGTGGGCAGCCCTCAGTTCCTCACCGGCTGTTTGTCAAGGCTTCAGTTCCTTGCCAAAATATGCCATGATATGGTAGTTTGCTAGCACAAGGGGATGGGGTGGGAGTAGGGGAGAGACTTACAAAGATGGAAGCTGCAGAGTTTTATTATCTAACTCTGTGGTAATATAATATCACTTCTGCTATGTCCTATTGGTCATATAGACCAACCCTGGTCCAGTGTGGGAGAGGACTCACGAGGGTGTGAATTCTAGGAGTCAAGGATCAATGAGGGCCATATGGGAGGCTGGCTACCACAGAGACAGTGCAATAATCCAAGTGCAAGATGATGGTGGCTTGGACCAGGGTGCTAGCAGTGGAGGTAGTGAGAAGTGGTCAGAGTCTGGATATATTTTGAAAATAGAACCAATGGGATTTTCTAATGAAGTGGATGTAAGAAAATGAGGAATCAAGTATGACTTCAAGTATTGCAACTAGAAGGGTAGAGTTTTCACCAACAGAGACAGGAAAGGCTGAGGGCAGATAAGGATTTAAAGTGTTGTGTGGTGGTGATTGAAGAGCAGATGTTTGGCTTCCCTATATTATTTATCTTGCTCTTCTCTAATCCTCATCACGGCCCAATTAGAGGGCACTACTCTGTGTCTAGTGCTCTGCCAGGTACATCACATGCATTTCTCTCATTTAATTTATCAGCTCTTTCACAAATGCGAAAGCTAAGATCCAGACAGGTTGAATCACTTGTTCTATGTGATAGGGCTGGTAAAGTTCTATATGATAGGGATTTGACTCAACGACCATCTCCTGTGGTCACATTCTGGATGTATTTTGTAGCTGTGTTACCCTGGACAACTTAGTTAACCTTTGTGTGTGTTAACATTTTCTACAAACAATCTGACACACTTTAGATGTAAGAGCCTAAGGCCAGTCTGAGTGTGTAGGTGTGTTAATTTACTCAGGGAGATGTGTGTGTGTGTGTGAATGCACTTGGGGATGAAGTAGAGTTTCGTGCTTCTAGAAGAAAGCCAAAGACTAAGCTAGAGAAGAAGGTTTTCCAGATCCCAGGGTGAAGCCAGGCTGTTGTGAATCCAAGGCAGGACAAAGGCCAGTGACTGTGCATGGGAGCTGCCGGGCTTTTTATTTGATGGAATGCCACTGTTTTGGTGTCATTCTTGGATCTGACAGCTCAGTGACAGTTTTCCTTTTTCTCTTTCTTCTTTTTTCTTTTTTTTGAGACAGAGTTCACTCTGTTGCCCAGGCTGGAGTGCAGTGGCTTGATCTTGGCTCACTACAGCCTCCGCCTCCCAGGTTCAAGCAATTTTCCTGCCTCAGCCTCCCAAGTAGCTGGGATTACAGGCGCGCACCACCACACCTGGCTAATTTTTTGTATTTTTAGTAGAGACAGGGTTTCACCAAGTTGGCCAGGCTGGTCTCGAACTCCTGACCTCAGGTGATCCACCCGCCTTGGCCTCCCAAAGTGCTGGGATTACAGGCATGAGCCAGTGCACCTGGCCTTCAGTGACAGTTTTCTTTGCATAGTCAGTCATCTTTGCATGATACAAATTAAATGGTAGATTATGTAATAAATAACACATAGGCTGTGAAAATTTTTAGCAAAGGGAGGCCCTGAAAGATTAAAATAGGGAAAATCCTGGAAAATTTTCTGGAGGATGGGATGTTGCAGCTGGACTTTGATAAGAGCACAATTTAGACAGAGAAGCAGGAAGGGAATTTCAGGCAGGGGAACAGTCTGAGCAAAGGTATAGAAGTAAGAATGGGCATCTTTAGGAAGCTGCAGAGAAAATGGCTTAATTCCTTAAATTAAATAAGTACAAGGAAGTAAATTTTGAAAAGTAGGTTGGAACCAGATAATGGAAGACCTTAAATGTCAGACAGAGGATTTTGGACTTGATGTTATAGGCAGTAAAGAGTCATAGTATACTCTGAAAAAGTTATGTTCTATGAAGATTATTTCACTAGCCTTCAATATGGATCAAAGAGGGGAAAGTTGAAGGCATGAAGAGATAAGACTGGAGCTGTAATAATAAATACGGTGATTGACTTCATGTAAGGGATAAAGAGAAAGAATAATAGCTAGCATGTATGCAGCTTTTATAGTGTGTCAGTATATTTAATTCTGACAAAAATAGTAGGAAGTGAATATCATTATTCTGTCTACATTGGGATACTTCTCCATTTTATAGGTGAAGAAACTGATACACAGAAAGGTTAACTAAGTAATCCAGGGTAACACAGCCAATAAGTGGTGCAGCCAAGATTTGCACCCAGGCAGTCTGGCTTCAGAGTCTGAATATTAAAACGGTACATAAGGTTCAGCCTTGAGTGACTGGGGACAGATAATGATGAGGAGTGCCTGGTTGAGAACTGATGATTAGCTTAGTGTTGAAGACATTGATTTTAAATTGACAGCAAGATTCTTTTTTTCTTTTTAACTTTCATTTTACATTCAGGGGTACATGTGCAGGTCTGTTATATAGGTAAACTCATGTCACAAGAGTTTGATGTACAGCTTATTTCATCACCCAGGTACTAAGCCTAGTACCCAATAGTCATTTTTTATGCTCCTCTTCCTCCCCTCCCCTCACCCCCCGCCCTCTGGTAGGCACCAGTGTCTGTTGTTTGTCTCTTTGAGTCCATTTGTTCTCATCATTTGGCTCCCACTTATAAGTGAGAACATGCAGTATTTGGTTTTCTATTCCTGTGTTAGTTTAAGGATAATAACCTCTGGCTCCATCCATGTTCCTGCAAAGGACATGATCTTGTTCTTTTTTATGGCTGCATAGTATTCCATGATGTATATGTACCACATTTTCTTTATCCATTCTTCTATTGATGGGCATTTAGGTTGATTCCATGACAAAAGGATTCTATGTAGAAATACAGAAATGGTTCTCAGGTACTATATATCTGTTAGTCATTAAAGTAGAGCAATGAAAGCTGTAAGAACAATGATGTAGAGAAATAAGAAAAATACCAAGGAATGGTCAGAGTTAAAGAAAGAAGAGGAGAACAGGTAGAACAGAAATTAGGAAAGAATGGTTGGCTAAAGAGAAGAACCACCTTAGCATAGTGTCTCACAAGTAAAGCAGGATTTTACAAAAGCAAAAAAATGGCCAAGAAAATTCAAGGAGTTAAGACCTGAAAACAGTCCATTGGACTTTGAGCTGGTTATTAGTAGAATTAGTTCTATGGAGCGTACTACTACTATCTAACTATTATCTGTGGAAGATCTATAATGCACCAAGCACTTCAAATGTAAATATCTGAGTGATTCCTTTAGAATAATATTATAAAATATCATGATACAGAGGAAGAAATGGAAGCTCAAAGAGACACCTGCTCATCAAGGAGATGAGCAACTCATCTAAATTCACTCATTGATAGAGCTGAGATTTAAACCGAAGTTACCCAACTCCAAAAGCATCCTCCCCCTATATCAAGACAAAAATTCCATAAAACACAAACAAACCAATGTCCTTGTAGAAATGGATATGAGAAGTTGATTAAAAGTAATAATTTGTGTGCATACTTCACCATCCTAATTTTTTCCTTTGTTATTTTCTTTTTTAAAAAAATTTCTTTTCTTTCCTTTGTTTTTGTTCTCTACAAACCCTTGTGTCTAGGGCTGATTTTCAACAGATCACAGTGAGGGAGCTGCCCTGTTACATAAGAAGCCCTGACCCGGAAGCAGATCATCCACTAATGGTTTAGAACGGGGTTTCCCATGAACATGCATTGCGTGACGGGCACTGTCCTAGTTTTTGTTTTGGATCCCAAGTGTCTTTATAAGTGGATTTGTGTCTGGATCTGTTGACCATAACTGCACATATCTTTAGACGGGGAAAATGTTATGTGTTAAGCTTCCTCTGCTTCTCCCCAGCAAAGCATTCCTGCATTTGACTGCTATTATACTCAGGGGAGCATGGAGGGGGCTGTCCAGGCAGAATGATCTGGAGCCTTGGAGACTGGCTGGTCTTGGTCTCAGTGGCACAGCTGCATGGTCCCTTTCATCACTTCAGCTGATGACTCATCTCTCAGCCATCTCCCAGCATCCACACAGAGAAGTCATGGATTAAAGAAAACGAACAAGAAAAAAAAAAAGTTGTCTGTGTGACATGGCCTTAGCCTTGCTGTGATTGCTCTGGCGATCCCCAAAATTTTCCTCCAAAGCAGGACCTTGGGATCGAGTTTACAGTTGCTGTTTACCGTTCTGTGTTTGAGGCTACCCAGGACATAGCCCACCTAAAGCTTCACAAAGGATATTTAAGAAGCGGACCAGAGCAGAATTAGAATTGCCCTTCCAAAAGAGCAATGATAAAACAGCTTCAGAGTGTTCCTAACTGTGGTGAAAGTTGTTCTGTGAAACTTTCCTTTCTTTACAAGTCTACATTTTTGCTCAGTGTACCAGAGAGATTATTCTGTTTTTATTAAATTAAACTTCATTCAACAGTGCTGTGTACCAGAGAGATTATAATTTGTGAAGAGAAAACCAAATTCATTGCATAGTTAAAGGGAAGAGCATAAAAGGCCCCTGTGGCTGCCAAGAATGTGAAAAGAAACAGCTAATAATGTTGTGATTTCCCAAAATACTTTTTCCACTGATCACGTAAGGATTCATCAACAATTTCATTTTAGGGGAAAGGCTGATGGCGCTCTTAAATTTATGAGCAAAGCTTTGTGCTAGGAAAGATGAAATCAGCAAGCTAAGAGACTCAGCAGGAGGGAGTAGGGATTTCAAGAAGGAAGATTTAGGGAAAAATCCCTCCAGTGAATCAGGACACATCTTAGTGTAAATCGAGACTTGGCTCTGATCCTTCAGCTTGGTGCTTCCTGCTAAACTTTTGGAATTTAGCCAGTGTTATAATTAACACCTCACCCCACCTGCACTCCTCCACAGCAATGTGTGCGTCTCTGAGGCATGACAGAGTAAAATCCTCATCCTTTTCAATGGTGTGATCACTCCCAATAACATGAAGTCCTTCCTGCAGGACTGGGCATTTTTGGAAGTGTGCATGCCTGTGCCTTCATGGGCAACGACTGAGGTTCCAAATCCTCTGTTTTACTCTCCAAGTGGAGGCTGCAGACCAGGCACCGAGGGTGGCCCCAACTAATCAATCGTGGGGGGCCGGTGACATTGTCACAGCCAGGGCCCACCACCTCTGCTACCTTCTTAGTTCTTTCTGGAGGCCTCATTATAGAACCTCAGGAGTCCACCAGCATATCCTGTCTCCAAATCCAACCCTGCATATTTAGAAGTTTTCTACATGGAAATGCTATTTTATCATTAGATTAAATATGTAAATTTTTCTAATGGACTCTCCAAAATAAATACAAATATGCTCCTTTTGTAAGAAAATCCCATTATTCTGCACTACCAAAGTATCCTTCACTTTAAAAAGCATTTCCCACATCTCACCATCTCAGCATTGACCAGCACATTCCTACCTATGCTTCAGCTTTGTTTAGAAATGTTGGCCCCTTATTTGTCCTGTCATTAGGTTAGTCCCCTCTGTCGTGTGCCCTCACAGCACCACCCATGTCCTTTCTCACACGCATGGCCCTGTGATAGTGATATTCTCTCTCTCTGGCAGGTACGTGGGGTAAAGAACATTATGTCACGTGCCACTCCATCCTTAACAACCAGCACAATGTCTGGCAACTATTGGGCTCTCAATAAATATTTAAAGAATATTGTTGAATGAACAACTTCAATTTCCCTTCAATTAATGATTATCTTTAAGACTTTTAAATTATACTCAACTTTACCAAAAATTGATATATCCACAAATTTTATGGGAACATAAAACTGTGCAGTGATAGTCATACCTGTTATTTGCAAAGTACTATGCAGTTTGCAGAATCCTATTTTATCAATTATTTTATTTGATCTTCATAAGCACATTGTAAGGTAAGTAGGCACTGAATTATTTAAGAAAGTGAACGTTAGACATTACCCAGCTTCTCACCACTGTAAATGGTGAACAAATACTTACTTCTAAGGCCTATACTACTTCATGTCACCACAGTGCCTAACAGTATGGTAGTAAGCCTGCCAACCAGGGTGTTTTCTCATGTATTCCAAGAAGCCTGATTATACCCTTGTAATCTAACTCATTTGCAATTGAGTCAATGTTCTCTCTTTCCTTCCAATCAGTTTCACCAAACCACTGGCTCAAAGAGCCTGACTCAGAGGCCTAGCGACCGGAATTCCACTCTGCTAAACGTGCATTTCCCATCTGCCCCACCCCAAACATATCTTACCAATGTCAGTGTCTTTTTTTCTGACCTGACACAAAAGCATGCATCATGACAGCACACAAAGGGCCCTTGACACACTTTTCATTGTGAGTTCACGCCAGTTCTCCATCACAAAGTGAGCTGAGGAACCATCTACCATTAGGAGATCCCATAGGAATGTCAGCAAAAATAGACCTCTTTTTTTTAGTCTTTTTTTATTTTCCATTTTATTTTATTTTATTTCTATATTTTTCATTTCAATAGCTTTAGGGGTACAGGTGGTTTTTGGTTACGTGGATGCATTGTATAGTGATGAAGTCTAGGCTTTTAATGCACCTGTCACCTGAATAGTGTACATTGTACCAATGTTTATTATATCACTCTGTTTGCCTTTGCATACCCATAGCTGCTTAGCTCCCACTTATAAGTGAGAACATGTAGTATTTGTTTTTTGTTGTTGTTGTTCCTGAGCTACTTCACTTAGGATAGTGGCCTCCAGTTCCGTCACTGTTGCTGCAAAAGACCTCCTTTCATTCTTTTTTAATGGCTGAGTACTATTTCATGGTGTGTGTGTGTGTGTGTGTGTGTGTGTGTGTGTGTGTGTGTGTACACCATGTTTTCTTTAACCACTCATAGATTGATGGGTACATATGTTTTTTTCCATATCTTTGCCATTGTGAATTGTGCTGTAATAAACATACAAGTGGAGGTGTCTTTTTAATATAATGACTTATTTTCCTTTGGGTAAATACCTAGCGATGGGATTGCTGGAAGTAGTGGTAGATCTACTTTTGGTTCTTTGAAAAATCTCCATACTGTTTTCCATAGAGATTGTACTAATATACATTCCTATCAACAGTAAATAACTGTTCCCTTTCCCACATCTGCACCAACATATGTTGGTTCTTGGCAAAAAGGGACCTCTTTTATGACTGCATGATCATCAGAAGTCCTTGGCAGTTGAATTTCTATTGATTGATGTTGGTGTTGCCTTTGCCAGCCTTGTCACATGTCCCTGCCATGTTACGATGTGCTGACATAGGTGTTAACTGAAATACAATGTCTCATTGTTCCATGTTGGTTCCATTTCAATGAACAAGCATATGAGGGCTAGGAGAGAAGTGACCAAACCTCTGCAGGCTCTGTTATTTGATAGCCGAGCACCCAGCAGGGGAAATGCTGAGGACTGTCATGGTCTTTGGGTACTTGAGTCATCATACTCACCTGAAGACATTGCCTTGTTTGTCAATTGCTGCTTTATGCAAGGCTGGCTTGGTTAGGATTGATTGACTCCCACCCATTTCTGTTTCTACTGTAAATTCCCCGTATAGACTCCCTCACTTTCCATGATGGTCTTTGTAGCTTGTAGTTTTTATATCACCTAAATATTGTAGAATTCTGTTGTAGCACAGGATCTACAATAGAGTCCGTCTCATTACTGCTGTTCCATATCATTTTACACAGCATTACCTGAATACACTGTGTTTGCAAAGTAGCTTACATTGCCTTTTACATTGAGACATGGGTTGGTCTATAATTTGCTAGTAATTTCAAGTATAGATTAAACTAGATAAAACAGTTTTCAATAATCATTAGCATATTGATTACATTCAATGTCTTACACATATTTATAATGAGAACTCAGAGAATTAAATGAAACCTGCTCTCTCTTAGGGTTCCATTCTTGCATTCATTAATAAAGAATAATTAGGCCAGGCGTGGTGGCACATGCCTGTAATCCTTGCACTCTGGGAGGCCCAGGCACATGGATCACCTGAGGTCAGGAGTTTGAGAACAGCCGTCTCTACTAAAAATACAAAAATTAGCCAAGCAAGGTGGCAGGTGCCTGTAATCCCACTTACTTGGGAGGCTGAGGCAGAGAATCCTTGAACCTGGGAAGCGGAGGTTTCAGTGAGCCGAGATTGCACCATTGCACTCCAGCCTGGACAACAAGAGTGAAACTCCGTCTCAGAAAAAAAAAAAAAAGAATAAATAAATAAAATTACTTGGCCCCTAGAATGACTGGATACAGAGCTCTGAGTTTGAAGAGGACCAATTGTTTTAGTCAATTTTGTGCTGCTATAACAGAATACCTGACCCTGGGTAGAAATTTATTGGCTCACAATTCTGGAGGCCCAGAAGTCCAGGATCAAGGGGCAGCATCTGACCAAGGACTTCTTGCTGCATCATCTTATGGGGAAAGATGGAAGGGTAAAGAGAGAGTAAGATGGAAAGAGAGCAAGAGGGGGTGAAGCTATTTCAGTCACAATGAACCCACTCCTTTGATAATGGCATTGATCCATTCATGACCTAAACACCTCTTAAAGATGAGTGGGCTCAACACCATGTGGGAGCCCTACCTTCCAATACCATCACAATGTTGACTAAATTTTAACTTAGGTTTTGGAGGTGATGAACATTCAAACCATAATACCAACTTATACTACTGGTACTACTTTTTAAAGACTTATTACTTCTCATAGACAGTAAAAAAATAAATCAGTAGTTGTCACTTTAACTTTAAACTTCTTCCCTTCCTTCTCCCCCATTCTGGGGAAATAAAAATTAATGTTTGTAGTCATGTAATATGTATATTATTAGGGGTAAAAAATTTGCTCTCTCTGAAAATGAACCTCACATTTCTCTTGTTTTTACAGTAATAAAAGACTAGTGGCCTTAGTGCCCATGCCCAGTGACCCTCCATTCAATACCCGAAGAGCCTACACCAGTGAGGATGAAGCCTGGAAGTCATACTTGGAGAATCCCCTGACAGCAGCCACCAAGGCCATGATGAGCATTAATGGTGATGAGGACAGTGCTGCTGCCCTCGGCCTGCTCTATGACTACTACAAGGTAGGTCCCCAGCCTCCACTTTTCTCTTCTTCCTGCTCCAGGACAACCCTTTGCTGGTGGGAAGAAGGAACAGATTGTTTGTCCCAGGCCAGGGAACTAATAGCATTTCCAAAGTCAATATAGAATTCAGCCTCTTCCTGTTCTCCTTGCTCCCTGCTTCCCCATCTACAAAGCTCAACTTTATCACCCATCCAGAGGAAGTACTCATTTTGGGATAATATTTTTTGTGTTCCTTGTTCACATGCATAAATATTATTTGCATATTATTCTTACCATATTACAAATACTTCCTTGTTGCTATGTTTACTTTAGGATTATTATTTTTGCTGAATGAAGTATATTACATTGAGTGGCTTTATTAGTCCATTTTCACACTGCTGATAAAGACATACTGGAGACTGAGAAGAAAAAGCGGTTTAATTGGACTTACAGTTCCACATGGCTGGGGAGGCCTCAGAATCATGGCAGGAAGCAAAAGGCACTCCTTACACGGCAGTGGAAACAGAAAATGAAGAAGATGCAAAAGTGGAAACCCCTGATAAAACCATCAGATCTTGTGAGACTTATTCGCTATCACGAGAACAGTATGGGGGAAACTGCTCCCACAATTCAAATTATCTGCCACAGTGTCCCTCCCACAACACATGGGAATTATGGGAGTACAATTCAAGATGAGATTTGGGTGAGGACACAGAGCCAAACCATATCAGTGGCTGTACCATAATTTAGTTATTGCTCAGTGGTTGAACATTTAGGTTGCCTCTAGATTTTTCTATTTATTAGAAACATTCAGGGTTTCTAGATTTTTCAGTTTTATAAGGAACATTCCAGTGAACACTTTCGTGGAAGACTTTTGCAGGAATTTCAACACCTAATTTTGTTACAACCCTAACTTTCTCCATTTGTTTTGATGAGTAGTAAATTTTTATTTTGAAAAAGTCTTAAGGCAAAATAAATGTAATGCACTTATATTTCAAAAATATAATTGCCATATACTACCTATAAAATAGGAGTATTTCAGGAAATCAAACAAAAACAATGATTTTTCTCAAGCATAAAGAACTATGCCTGGTATGACCTGCTCCTTTTGAATTATTAAAGTATAAAAAGTTGACCAGTATTTACTGAATGAGATTTATTGCCTGCCTTGATTGTAAACACCTTTGGCTGATGCTGGGAATTGGCACAAATGTGAGGATGGCTGTGTTTATTTTGCTGGTTGGGCACAATGAACTCTTATTAACTCTTATTTTAGAATAAGAACTGAATCCCACCTTCCCTTCTCCCTCCATCATGGAAAAACCACAGAGTTCAGCAAAATCATGCAGGAAAGATAATTTCCCTTTTAGTAACCTTTGGTCTTGCTTCCTGTTTCTTTTCTGCTTCCTACTTCCTGTTAACTTCCAGCAGCCTCCACTTTGCAAGCTATTGTCTCCTGTCTCTCCCCTAGAACAGTTCTCATGCTTTCAAAAAATCTCCCACCACCACCTCTGGCATTGCCACCACACCTATTCTTCTGCCAGAGTTTTCTAAAATTACACATTCCTTTCCCACCTTCTTTCCCATTAAAACACTCAGGAGGGATTCCTTCTTGGGGAGATGATTGAAAACAAAGCGAGGCTTTATCTAAGATGAAGAGCAAGGTATGAGTGGCAGGTGCAAGTGACTGACAGGTAGGACCATCCAGGGTATTTTAAATAAGGATATTGCTAACTCAAATAAATGCATCCTTTATAGTTAAGAAGTGCTAGAGAAATATATGAAGGGCTTTCTATTGGTCTAGGCTTTCTCCAGTCTAGGCTGACTTTCCCACTTATCAAGAGAGCCAGCATTGGCAGATTGTGACCACCCTCTTATGAAGGCATAAAACTCCCAGCAGGACTCCTGACATAGCAAGAAGGACCTTAACTTTGGGGGACTTGGGCTCCAGATGAAAGGATGCTTTAAGGCCTAAACTACATTGCATGTAACTAAGGCTATTTTCTCTACAGTGAAGGGGAATTCCTGAAAAAAAAAAAAAAAAAAAAAAAAAAAAAGTCTGAAAACCAAAATGATTTCATGGTAGGCTTTTTATTCTTCTTCTTCTTTTCTGGCTGTGGTTGTTTTATAGTTTTCATTCTTTCTGATTGAGGATCTCATCTGAGAAATGCAAGGATAAATTCTAAATGTTTCAAATTGAAAATTTTCAAAATGTATTGAGGATAGTTGGGAAGCACAGAACTCATCAAATTAGGCTGCTTCGTGTACTGGGCCACTTCTTGAGGGCTTAACTGTTTTTGGTCTCATCCTTAGAAAGAAATTGAAAAGTGATTTTCTTCTATGATGAAAAAATAGTCAAAACTTGACAGTTGTATTGATCTTCAAAATCTATAAATATATCTTTAAAGTGACCCTGATTTGATTATTCAGATCATTACAACTTCTCTTTGTAACATTTTTTTTTTTTTTTTTTTTTTTTTTTTTTGAGATGGAGTCTTGCTCTGTCACCAGGCTGGAGTGCAGTGGCACGATCTTGGCTCACTGCAACCTCCACCTCCCGGGTTCAAGTGATTCTCCTGCCTCAGCCTCCCAAGTAGCTGGGATTACAGGCACACTCTACCATGACCAGCTAATTTTTGTATTTTTAGTAGAGATGGGGTTTCGCCATATTGGCCAGGATGGTCTCGATCTCTTGACCTCGTGATCTGCCCTCCTCAACCTCCCAAAGTGCTGGGATTATAGGCGTAAGCCACCGTGCCCAGCCTGTTTGAAACTTTTATAATGTTAAATTAATATGTCAGTTAATAGTTTTCATAAGGCTTTGAAGAAATATATTGATTATATTTAGGAGAAATATGTTGTTCCTATTCTTTAAAATATAGATTTTATTCTGTTATTGTGAAATGGATATAATTTCATATATCTGTATTTGATGACAATTCTTTTTTTGTGTTAGTGAGAAAGAGAAGCATATCCTGAAACAAACATAATTAGTAATTTTTTTTTTTTTTTTAGACAGAGTCTCGCTCTGTTGCCCAGGCTGGAGTGCAGTGGCATGATCTCAGCTCACTGTAACCTCTGTCTCCCGAGTTCAAACAATTTTCCTGCCTCAGCCACCCAGGTAGCTGGGATTAAGACATGCATCACCGCAACCGGCTAATTTTTGTATATGTATTTTTAGTAGAGACGGGATTTTGCACATGTTGGCCAGGCTGCTCTTGAACTCCTGGCTTCGAGTGATCCACCGGCCTTGACCTTCCAAAGTGCTGGGATTAGGCGTGAGTCACCAAGTCCAGTCCATAATTAGTAATTTATGAAGGCAATATATTTTATTTCCCACAGATGCAGAGGATAATTAAGTATTAGTAAATATGGGTGATTAAGTACTAGTAAATATGGTACCCAGATTACTTGTCCTCTTATGCTAGCATTTAAAGGAAAGTTGAAATATTGCTTTCTGTAACTATTCTGAGATACCAGGTAGGGAGTTTACATAAAACTCAAGTTGCAGCCAAGTCTAGAACTCCTTCTGTTGAATTAATATTTCCAAGACTGTGTGGACTACTAGAGTTACATAGCTTCTTTTATTTCACATGAGCTTTGCTATACTTTTGCTTGAAACATTTTAGTGTTTCTGGAAATAATTGGTCTTATTTTCAAACACTGTATGTTCAAATGATCATTTTGAAGCCCTTTTCAGTTGCCTGGGTGTTCACAGCTTATATATGTTGGTGTTAAAGTTATAACAAAGTTAAATGTCCCTTGAGGATAGACCTTTTTCTGTAGTCAAGTGAAATGTTAATGAAACACAGCAGTCTGTTTTTTTTTTTGGTTTAAATGCGTGTAAACTCTGGGAAGTTAAATTATTGTAAAAATTGCTGCCATGTTATCATTCACATTTTATAGACTTTGTATGCCTCTTCAGAGGATGAATTGATTCTATTTTTGTCAAAGAAACCATTTTTCCTCACTCCTGAAGTTGGAGTATATCACCCCTGTGGGGACAGTCATGGACTCTGTCCACAGGGAGGAGTTCATGAGCTACACGCAGGCACTCCAGAAATGGTGGTCCCTGTCCTGTGAACGTGGCAAAGGCATACCTTTGCATAATACTTCATAAATTTCAAGGTCTTTTCACCTACAGTTGATAACTGTCACCACAGATCATTGCAGTGAAGTCCATCAGGTTTTACATTTTATAGTTCATGCAACTCAGTGGGATTTACCCAAGATCACAGGACAATCCTGTATGTTTCCTAATAGCCATTGTTTTACAATGTCCACCATTTACAAAATGCCCTTTTTTGAATCCATTTAAAAATTTTAAAAGTATGCATTTGGAGCTTAATAAGTTGCTTACTCATAAAGTGGTGTTTATTTTTTAAAATCCAAATATATAGAATCAGTCATAATTTAGAGACTAAAATTCTAGCCCAGTTCTCTATCCAGTTTAAACTACTTACCAGTAATAGCTCCACAGTTGTGCGACCTTTCCATGAATTTCAGGCATGACAGAAAAATGTGACAGATTCAATTAGCCAGATATTTAAAAAATGTTTTGACTTACTTTATGTAACTTTATTTTCCTCTTGAAAGAGCTGGTTTATCATCATCTGGTTCCAGCTGTAGTGAAAAATAGGCTTCCCTGGTCAGTTGGTTTCTATCTGTTCTATTGACCAGTACTGCTGGAAACCAATTTGTTGGTTGATTTGTTTGTCCATCTATCCATCTATCCATCTATCCATCCATCCATCCACCCACCCACACACACACCCACCCAAAAAATATTCACTAAGTAGATATGACCTCCCAGTAATGGGGGTAAATATTGGATATCTAAAGGCAGATGATATTCGGTTGACCACCTCAGAGAGATCACCGACAATCACAGTCCAGGACAAACACATTGCTATAAACCTATAACCATGGTTTATGGAGGTCAATGCTCAAAAAGGGGCATGTTCCAAGAGCAGTGGGTTGACTGACAACCTCCCAGATAATTCACCAGCTTTCCAGAGGAAGCAATGCCTACTCTGCCACAGAGTAGAGGATGATCTGTCACATGCACAGACCAGGACAGAAAGAGAGAGAGACAGAGAGTTGGTGAGGGGAGTTCATAACAAGGGTAAGATGCCTAAGATGATTCCTGGATTAATCAAGGCAGAGAGTACAGAATAAAGGCTCTGAGGAGAACAATAATTAAGAGTTGAGTTTGATGTGCCTGCAGGATGTCCAGGTAGGGACATCTAGGACTCAAGGGAAGAGACCAAGTTCAGAGTTCTCAGTTTATCTAAAGATGGTTTGTAAAGCCAAAGTTTCAAAAAAGAGCATGGTTCAAAGAAGAGCAAACCCGCAGGTTAATAACCACCTTTATGGTATTGTGCCTAGCACCTTAAACCGAGCACAGCTGTCAGCACAGAGCTCACATCAGGGGCTCTTGGCAACAACAGCATTCACTTCCATGAATCTTTGGGAGTCGCTAACATGTTTCAGTGTTTGGAATCCCTATTCTTCTATTTCTTTGGTCCTGCCCTTTCCAGGCCATTTTCATTGATCAATTGATTCTTTCAATAAGTATTTAGTGAGGGCCTACTACATTCCAGGCATTGAGGACATAACCATGTACAAGGTAGGCATAGAGACTGCCATATCATGGACACAGAAAATTAGATGGGACTCAAAGTATGGGCACAAGTTAGCCTGGAGAAGGCATGGGTGGTAGTGTGGGGGTAGGAGGGGTGGGGCATGTTCTAGGCAGAGAGGACTTTGTGTCATGGCTCTTTTATGAGAAGGAGCATATGCATGGTCGTAGATATAGTTGGCCCAAGTGTGAGAAGCAAAAACAGGGGCTGCCTACATTGAGATGGGAGACGTATTTGAGACTACCTACCTGAGAGTAATGGGAAGCACTGATGGGTTTTAAGTATAATAGCAACACGACAAGATCAGACTGCATTTTAAGCAGACCACTCTGAGTCTTCCTAATGGATCCAGAAATAATTCACAGTTATGAAATGAAGGAGAGGAGAGACCAGTTAGCTGATTCAGCAGCCCAAGCAAGGGACCCTGGAGGCTGAGCCTGGAGGCTGGTGTCCAGGGGCAGGGGATGGGTTTCAGAAGCACAGGGGACTTTGTGCCACCTGGTTGGAAGGGGAGAGGGCGAGGGATGCTTGACAGTCCAGAAAAATGTGATGGTGCCATAGCACACAACAAAAGAAGTAAATCATCTGTCCCTGCTTCAGAGGCCTTTCCTCGTCTGGCCTTTGCTCATCTCTGAGGCCACATCTCCCCCAACTCATTCCTCACGTGGGACATGCCTTCCTTGTTCTGTCCTGCCCTCTAACCTTTTTATAAGCAGCCCTGGTGGCTAGAAAGCCTTCTCCATCCACCTGACAAATTCCTACCATGGCTCAGCCCCTCTGGGGAGCTCTGTCCTCTAGGCTTCCAGAGAACCCTGTCGGTAGCACAGTTTTATCTCGTATCATGGGGTATTAAATTTTTAAAACACTATAGGAATAACTATATTTTAGGAAAGAAACTAAGTGCTCTCTAGTGGGGTGGGCGAGTCATAAACTCAGGGTATAGTGGCAGGCAGAGCTGGGGAGGCAGGTCTCCTTTTTTCTATATATGTATAGTTTTCCAGTTTATTAAGTTTTTAATCTCAATGCCAGTGGAATTTCTTTCTCCTTTTTTCCCTCTTTTATTATTTATTTTTATTTTTTTTAATTATTATACTTTAAGTTCTGGGATACATATGCAGGTCTTTTTTTTTTTTAAAAAAATTATCATTTCAACTTTTGTTTTAGATTTGGGGATATGTGTGCAGGCTTGTTACATGGATATTTTGTGTGACACTGAGGTTTGGGATACGACTGTGCCCAGCACCCAGGTAGTGGGCATAGGACCCAAAAGATAGTTTTTCAGCCCTTGCCCTGCATCCCTGCCTTAGTAGTCCCGTGTCTGTTGTTCCCATCTTTATGTCAATGTGAACCCAATGTTTAGCTCCCATTTATAAGTCAGAACACGCGGTATTTGGTTTTCTGTTCCTGCATTTATTTGCTTAGGATTATGGCCTCCAGCTCCACCCATCTTGCTGCAAAGGACATGATTTCATTCTATTTTTACGTCTGTGGGGTCTCCTTAAATACTTACTTCTTCCTTAATGCCTTTAAAAAAATTGTCATAAAAGATATATAACATAAGATTTACCATTTTAACCATTATTAAGTGTCCAGTTCTGTGGCATTAAGTACATTCACACTGTTGTGCAAACATCGCCACCATCTATCTCCAGAGCCTTTTCATTTTCCCAAACAGAAAACTCTGTACTGTTTAAACAATAATTCCTTTCTTATCCTCCTACCTGCTGCTCCTCTCTGTTTTACCTTCTGTCTGTGAATTTGAGTCTTCTGGAGTAACTCATATAAGTGGAATCATATAATATTTGTCCTTTTGTATCTGGCTTAGTTTTTTTAGCATAGTGTCTTCAGGGTCCCTCCATTTTATAGCATGCACCTTAATTTCATTCTCTGTTAAGGCAGCATAGTATTCCGTTGTATGGCCATGTCCCATTTTGTTTTTCCATTCATCTGCTGTTGGACATTTGGGTGGTTTCCTCCTTCTGGCTACTGTGAATAGTGCTGCAATGAACACAGGTGTGTTGAGTATTGAAATTGTATGTTTATCTGTCATCTCCAATAGATGATGAGAACTATCATTTATCTCATTTCTATCCAGTGTTTAGCAATGCCTGGTATAGTATACACTCTGAAAGTTAACATGAATGATTTATAATTGATTTATTTTATTTTTTATTAACAAATATAAAGTACCAGACACTCCAAGTGCTTAGAAAATTAAATTAACTCATTTAATTTTACTAAAAACCTGTGAGATAAGGGACTATTGTTATGCCCATTTTTCAGATGAGGAAAGTGGGACAGAGTTTACTGAGTGGTAGAGATGAGATTTGAACCCAGGCAAGCAGGCTCTAGGTCTGGACTCTTGGTCACTCTGCTCTGTCCCCACACTAAGCCAGGTATCTGGGCTTGTGTACATAGTCAGGTAAGTGGAAATCACAGGAATTGCTAGAGGACTCCAGTAGAGGGATGATTTTCATGAATGTTCTTTCATCTCAAGAAAGCAAAGGCTGCTTTTTGGGTGCAAAGGAGTTTGGCTAGAAGGAAGATCTGGAGATAGAGCAAAAAAAAAGAAAGAAAGAAAGAAAGAAAAATACACAAACAAAAAATTCAATCAACCAACCCAATTGAAGCCTACTTATTCATGTGTTTGAAAACAATGGCAGAGTAAAGTATCTAGGATGCAGTAGACGATTAGATGATGGTCAGAGACAGAGCTGGTGGGATGGCCCTTCTTTCAATGAGCACTTTTTCAATATTTTTCAGGTAATATGTTGGCATTGGGAGTTTTTTTTTTTTGAGACTGAGTCTTGCTCTGTCGCCCAGGCTAGAGTGCAGTGGCGCGATCTCGGCTCACTGCAAGCTCCGCCTCCCAGGTTCACGCCATTCTCTGGCCTCAGCCTCCTGAGTAGCTGGGACTACAGGTGCCTGCCACCACGCCCAGCTAATTTTTTGTATTTTTAGTAGAGACGGGGTTTCACTGTGTTAGCCGGGATGGTCTCTACCTCCTGACCTCGTGATCCGCCCGCCTTGGCCTCCCAAAGGGCATTAGGAGTTTTAAGACAATAATGAAAGTGTATTTAGAAACAAAATTGTGGAAGCAAGTCCACAAGCTGTGTAGGAAGGTGGACAAAGGGGGGCCCAGGTATACTGGATGCTTCCCCCAGCTACTGGCTCAGTATGGCCCGCCCCGTGCCTAAGCACTCCCAACCACGTCAGCACTTAAAGTTCTCATCAGAGGGGAGGGTAGCTCCCTGTTCTTTATGGTGACACTTGTTGTAACTCTATTATGTTTTTGTCTGATCAAAGGCACCCAAGTCTAGATTCACCTCTGCTCACATTGCTCCTCTCCCCTCTTACACTCCCAAGGTGGGGAGCGCATGAGAGGTGCTCGGGTCCAGGGAGAGTCACCTAGGCCAGCAGTGAGCAGCCGAATCATGTCTGTTGTGGCCATATGTTTATCACCAACACTTTGTCTCTGGCTCCATAATCATTGTCACTCAGGCTACTAGCCTTTATCATCTCCTGGTGATAGCAACTTTTCCACCATTTCCTGGAGAACATTCCATTTTGGTTTCTTTGCTTATGCCGGTGTCCAGCTCTGAACATGGTCATGGTTGCCTCTGTGTATGTCTGACTGATGGTTGGTGATGTTTCCAGGTTCCTCGAGACAAGAGGCTGCTGTCTGTAAGCAAAGCAAGTGACAGCCAAGAAGACCAGGAGAAAAGGTAAAGGAATTTGCCTGGCCCCCAGAATAACTCTATGTTTTCTAAAAAACAATGTTATTAAACTGTATGTTTTGTTCTTGAGAGGAGATGGGGTCAAGAAGCTTAGCATCATCTATCTGTCTTTTGAGTCTGGACCAATGCTAGATCTCTCAATGAGGAGAGCAAATTGCATGTTTGGTTGTGCATCCAAAGGGTCTCTCCACCCTCTTCAGATACCCCTCTTCAGATTCCAAGGAGGCTTAAAATCCTGAGTCAGAGGTGAGATGCTGGTAAGATAGCCCATTGCTGGGATTAACTTTTCTGATCAATCCTATGGCATTATAACTGCAATTAGGCCCCTCAGGAAGTGAGACACTTGAAGGATTGCTTTTGATGATCAGGGAAGGGGAAAGAAAGGAGGTTGGGCTCTTTCTCAGCCAAGGGAGGCATAGGTGGAGGCGACTGTAAGGGCTATCGCTGTCAGGGTGAAGGGGCAGGACAGCTGCAGGAGATCACCATGGAACACCCCTTGTCTGCCCTCCTCAATCAAGAACCAGCTGAAAAGCAAGGCACAGTCAGATAAATTAAGATTCAAAAGGGGCAAAAAAATCAAAAGCAGCTTTATTTCTGATGAAGCCAATTGGAGAATGTGACTTGGAATCTGTAGCTTGTAACATTTCAGTCCTGACTTAGGTAAGTGTACCCATTCAGTCCCAGGCATGACTTTGTACCGTTTATGGCACAGCAGGGGTGACTGGAGGGTGAATCCCCTCTCTTTAGCCAGGATGATCCAGAAAAAGAGACAGGACCAGAAGGGACCGAATCACCCTGCTCAGCTACTTCTTTCAAACTCATCCACTTCTTTTTTTTTTTTTTTTTTTTTTTGAGACGGAGTCTCGCTCTGTCACCAGGCTGGAGTGTAGTGGCACCATCTTGGCTCACTGTAATCTCCGCCTCCCAGGTTCAAGCTATTTTCCTGCCTCAGCATCCTGAGTAGCTGGGACTGCAAGTGCGCACCACCATGCCAGGCTAATTTTTTGTATTTTGGTAGAGACAGAGTTTCACTATATTGGCCAGGATGGGCTCTATCTCCTGACCTTGTGATCTGCCCGCCTCAGCCTCCCAAAGTGCTGGGATTACAGGTGTGGGCCACCGCACCTGGCCCAAACTCACCCACTTCTTTCAAACTCACCCATCAATAAATCTCTTCCCCTGCAGTGGGATGGAGAGAAGCCATAGTGTTTTTCTATTGGAGGTTCTTCCATATGGAAGTAAAATCCCCTACTAGCACATGTGTCAGAATCTGACCTGGCCTTGATAGGAACTGCTTGTGACATTACAGTCTTCTGTGATTAGCAGCAGGGGCCTCTCCACCAACCAGCAGCCATATGCTGTGCAGCATCTCCAGGGCGCAACCCCAGCAGAACATGAAGGCTGCCTGCATCTGAGTCACTGTTCCATTAGGGATCTCCTGAAGCTCCACACTGCCCTGGAGTCCTGGGACCTCGCTGGAAGAAGAGGCTGACACTCTTCAGGCCCTAAAACTTTTCCTTGACCCAGCCAGTTTTATTGAGTTAAACTTGTGCTATCTGCTTAGTCCTGTGCCAGAATTATAGCAGGATCAGGGAAAAACAAGTTTAAGCCATGTGCTCTGTCTACCTTTCACATCACAGACAAGTGAGTATCTCTTAGGACAACATTACAAAGCAACAGCTGCTCATTGTATTTTAATGGTTACTTTTGTGATTTTCATAGAGCACTTTAAAAAAAAACTGCAGTGAAGTATAGACTAAACTACCTTATATAGATTAATTATGACTTAGAGTTTTCATTGAATATAATTTGGAAGGATGTCATTGTGATCTGCAGCATATTCATGAATTAAGTTGCTATATGTTAATATAGTATCATTACAACTGTTTGTATACAGAAGTTGCTACCTGGAAAAATAACAGAATCTCAATGACATGATCCGAATTTTCTAAAAAGTATGTTTAACACACCATTATTATCATTGCATTTTTCTTGTATTATAATATTTGGTTCAATTTTAAATTATATTGCAGGTAATTTCTGTCTCACAATAATTCTTAGTTTTAATTATTCATTTTTTAGATGTATTTGTGAAGTTCTCTGGTATTAGCTTCAAAAGCTAAAACTGTTTAACAGAGGCATAGTTACACATTTTAGGTTGGTGCTGAATCTGTTATTTTCTGGTGGTATGATAACAATATTCAACTAGATTTATACAATTCCATATCTTGCTTATTTGTTTATTAGGACACCAAATCCAAAAAATATTTTGACTTGTATTCTTTCTTTAGAATTCCTATGTTTTGCATGAATTAAAGAATTAAGAAACTTTGCCCCAAATGGACTCTAACTATACAGAAGTTGGTTAACTTTAAATATTTTGGCAAAGCCAATGAGACTGTGTGTGTGCAAAGCCTGGGGTGGAAACTGGGTAACAACTTTGTAGCCAATAAATGTAGACCAATTTATGTACTCCTAACCTGTAGGGGCTTATCCCCAAGTATTAATGGTTATTTCTTCACTCAAGGATCTGGGCTGACACGAGTTCGGGAAATCCTGGGTTTTGACTAAACAGGTGAAGGAATGCTGGAACCTTTACTGGGTTCATGATGTTTGCAACCCAGTCACGGTGGTCTCGTTATGGCAATTTTGTTTGTTTTTTATTACTGATTTCATGATGGACTCTTTTTTTGTGTGTATGTGAGGAATATCTATTAACATTCCATGCAATGTTTAAACAATGAGGTTTAGGACATGGTAATGTAAATGGGTGGTCTGGGTTTTGGCATCCTCCAACTAGCTGGATTCAGATGAAACATAAATTCTAAATTTTCACTCTTTCTTATATACAGGTTCACTCTATTGATTTGATCACGAAATCAGGTCATTACTTAAGGCTAGAAAGTGTGCAGACTTGTGATTTTACTCCTTAGGAAATTATTTTCTAGACTTATTTCTTCTACACATAAAGTTTTAGATATCTTAAATATTTTTCTATTTGCTGTGTTCATGTGGAGAAATTCTTTTTGCAAGTTTCACTTTGAAGTTTCATCTGAAAAATCAAAGCTGAAAATATCAAGTCCTGCTTGGTACTTAGGCAAGCTCAAAGGCTAATGGGCTTCCTTCTTTACACACAGGAGCCAGAAGAGCCCAGTTCTTGGAAGAACATTTTTTTTTTGAGATGGGGTTTTGCCCTTGTTGCCCAGGCTAGAATACAATGGCATGATCTCAGCTCACTGCAACCTCCGATCCCGGCAGGTTCAAGTGATTCTCCTGCCTCAGCCTCCTGAGTAGCTGGGATTACATGCATGTGCCACCACGCCTGGCTAATTTTGTATTTTTAGTAGAGATGGCGTTTCTCCATGGTGGTCAGGCTAGTCTCGAACTCCCGACCTCAGGTGATCCACCCACCTCGGCCTCCCAAAGTGCTGGGATTACAGGTGTGAGCCACCAAGCCCGGCCTCAGAAGAGCAAATTTTAAGAGAATAGCCCTCACAATGAGAGATGCCACAAAGCCCCAGAAAGCACATGCTAGATAAAAACAGAAACAAACAAACAACGCAGGCATCAGAGAGGGGGCAAAAGATGTATTTTCTCTCCACATTACTCAGAAGAATCCGTAAATTAGTGAGAGGTGGCCCCAAAATTGCACTGACCAGAGGGACTTGGCTAATAAAATCATTTTGCTGTCAACAATAATTTTCCATTAATGAGTTCTTATTTGTTTCTGCTCTCTCCCAGACTTCTTTAGTATAGATGAAAGTATTTTATTCTAGTCTGGCAAGAATTAATATTCTACATCCTCTCCTTTCTCTCTGTACCACCCAGGAGGTCTGAGATCTGGGAGATCTTGTTTTACATAAGCCAAGCTACACCACTTCCTTAAGCCCCCAAAGGAATTCAGTGCTAAGGACGTCAGTGAGCTCATGTTCTCTCTCAATTTGGTGAAAATACTTGAATGATAAATTCTCATTATTTTATTTCTCCTTTAAGGTGCCCACAGAATGGTAAAAAATATCCTCCCCACTCCCTAGTCCTTCAAATTACCATGTTTGTCCTAGTCCTTCAAATTACCATGTTTGTCCTCCTCCTGCTTTTTTCTTTTTGTGTTTTAAAACTAACTTTTTGGTAAAAATTTTCAAACACGTACAGAAGTACAGAGAATAGTGTAATAAACCCCCCAAATACCCATCCCATTCTCCAGTTCAGCAATGATAAATTTTTGCCACTGCTTAATATCTGCTTGATACTGACCTTTTCTCTCTTTCCTTTTCTTTTTTTTTTCAGATTGCAATAGTATTTAAATCCCTGTCATGTCATCATATTAGTTAACCTCTAACTAATTCTGATTTGTGTGTCTAAAAAATAAAAAAGGACATTTTATTACATAAGCTCAAAATCATTATCACCCCTAACTGAATTAACAATACTTTTTTTTTTTTTTTTTTGAGACAGAGTCTCGCTCTGTCCCCCAGGTTGGATTGCAGTGGTGTGATCTCGACTCACTGCAACCTCTGCCTCCTGGGTTCAAGTGATTCTCCCACCTCAGCCTCCCGAGTAGCTGGGACTACAGGCGCATGCCACTGTGCCTGGCTAATTTTGTGTTTTTAGTAGAGATGGGGTTTCACCATTTTGGCCAGGCTGGTCTGGAACTCCTGACCACAGGTGATTCGCCTGCCTTGGGCTCCCAAAGTTCTGGGATTACAGGCGTGAGTCACCGCACCTGACAACAATACTTCCTTAATATCGCCAAATCCCAGTCCATATTCAGTTGTCTCAAAATTCCCATTGCCTGATAATTGCCTTTTTGGTTTGTTCAGGTCAAGATCCAAACAAGAGCTGCTTCTCATACTTGATTTTTATGACTTTTAAGTCTCTTTTAATCTAGAACTTCTTCCACCCTTCCTCCTTTTTTCATGCCTTTGACTTGTTGACAAATTTAGGTCAGTAGGATGTGCTGCATTCTGGTTTGTCTGATCGCTTCTTTTTGATGTTGTTTAAGTCATTCTTTGTGTTCCTGTATTTCCTAAGAGGTGAAAGTTAGATATGAAGGTTTGATTAGATTTAGGGTTAGGTTTTGTTTTGTTTTGAGACAGTTTCATTCTTGTTGTCCAGTCTGGAGTGCAATGGCGCCATCTCGACTCACCACAACCTCTGCCTCCCGGGTTCAAGTGATTCTCCTGCCTCAGCCTCCCGAGTAGCTGGGATTACAGGCATGCGCCACCACTCCTGGCTAATTTTTTGTATTTTTTTGTTAGAGACGGGGTTTCACCATGTTAGCCAGGCTGGTCTTGAACTGACCTCAGGTGATCCATCCGCCTTGGCCTCCCAAAGTACTGGGATTACAGGCATGAGGCACCGCGCCTGGCCTCGTTTTGTTTTTGTTTTTTACAGTGAGACTGAGTGCTTCAGGTTGCATGATACCAGGGGGCGCATGGCTCACTCGTGGTCCTACTTCTAGTGACGCAAGGATCCCATTGCGTTTCGTTGTGAAGTTTGCCAGCCCCCTGTCCCTTAATGGCATTAACATCCAATGATTATTGCCTGCATTGGTTATTCTATTAGGCGTTGCCGAATGGTGATTTTTCTAATTCTATCATGTTGCGGGGGGTTTCAACACACAGAAACTGCCTTGGCACCAGTGAAGCCCAGAGTAATTTGAGTGGAGGAGAAAACCGAGTGCAAGTCCTAAAGACTGTTCCAGTGAACCTTTCCCTAAATCAAGATCACCTGGAGAATTCCAAGCGGGAACAGTACAGCATCAGCTTCCCCGAGAGCTCTGCCATCATCCCGGTGTCGGGAATCACGGTGGTGAAAGCTGAAGATTTCACACCAGTTTTCATGGCCCCACCTGTGCACTATCCCCGGGGAGATGGGGAAGAGCAACGAGTGGTTATCTTTGAACAGACTCAGTATGACGTGCCCTCGCTGGCCACCCACAGCGCCTATCTCAAAGACGACCAGCGCAGCACTCCGGACAGCACATACAGCGAGAGCTTCAAGGACGCAGCCACAGAGGTGAGTCCCAGGCTCCATCGACGGCCAGAACCCAAACCCAGAGCCCCTAGCTAATTTTTTTCTATTTCCTTTCAAAGTGTGATAAATGAATTAAACAGCAAGTTTTAGCTTCAATTAGTTTTTTAAAAGATGTGTTTGTTGGTAGTCTGGCATTCTTTCTAAACAGGTATTAATAAACCTGTCGATGTGTATGTGTATGGAGGAATATTTCTATTTTTCTTGGTTCTTAGATGATGGATTTCTTTGTTTTCATTTTAGTCTTAAGACTAAATATTTATGAGAAATTAAGAGATGTTTGTGTGGAAACTTCTGCTTTGTAAAGTTTTCACCTTGATCTTTTCTAGTTTGTAACCTTCCAAATGGTAGGTAGCTAAAGGTAGGGCTTGTCCATTCTTTTTTAAAAAACAATATAACTTTGGCTGGACGCGGTGGCTCATGCCTGTAATCCCAGCACTTTGGGAGGCCGAAGTGCGTGGATCGAGGCCAGGAGTTCAAGACCAGCCTGGCCAACATGGTGAACTCCTGTCTCTACTAAAAATACAAAAAAAAAAAAAAAAAAAAAAAAAAATTAGCCAGGCCTGGTGGCAGGCACCTGTAATTCCAGATACTTGGGAGGCTGAGGCGGGAGAATCGCTTCAACCCGGGAGGCGGAGGTTGCAGTGAGCCGAGATCATGCCACTGCACTCCAGCCTGGGTGACAAGAACGAAACTCCATCTCAAAACAAAGCAAAACAAACCAATAAAACTTTAAAAAACCTTGTCTGATGGAATACTCAAGAAGGAGAATTTGCGTTATCAATAATCAAGTGTGTGTATGTGTGCATTCTTTCTACTTTACAAATAGAGAATATGTATTCTTCTCAGGAGCTCATAGGACTAACTTTGCTTGTTTATTTTAAATTCAGAAGTTCTAAGTGCACAGTTGAGAATTTTGGTAATTGTATACAATTGTGAAACCAACATCAGAATCTAGGTATAGAAAGTTCCCTTGCCCTGAAAATTTCCTTGAAGCTCTTTGCATTTGAAGCCTTCCCTGCTCACCTTGCATTTGGCGAGCGTGGATCTGCCTACTGTCACTATAGTTTTACCTTATCTAAAATTTCATGTAAATGAAGTGATAGAGGATATAGTCTCCTATGTTGCCTTTTATTGCTTAGCATAGTTTTGAGACTCATTTATGTTCTTGCTTTTTTGTTTGTTTGTTTGTTTTTGAGGTGGAGTCTCACTGTGTGGCCCAGGCTGGAGTGCAGTGGTGAGATCTTGGCTCACTGCAACCTCTGCCTCCCCGGTTCAAGCGATTCTCCTGCCTCAGCCTCCCGAGTAGCTGGGATTACAGGTGTGCACCACCATGCCTGGCTAAATTTTGTGTGTGTGTGTGTGTGTGTGTGTGTGTTTTTAGTAGAGACAGGGTTTCACCATGTTGTCAGGCTGGTCTTGAACTCCTGACCTCAGGTGATCCGCCTGCTTCGGCCTCCCGAAGTGCTGGGATAGTGGTGTGAGCCACTACGCCCAGCCTTGTTGCTTGTTTTAGTAGTTGTTTTTTAAAGTTGCTGAGTAGTATTTCATAGTGAGTGTATACCACTATAGCTAGTCACTAGTTGATGGACATTTGGTTGCTTCCAGCTTTTGGCTATTATGAAAAATGCTGCTGTGGACATTCCTGTTTATATTTCAACATGGACATATGCTTTCATTTCTCTCGGGTAAATACCTAGAGCTGGAATTGCTAGGCCATGTGGCTCATGTATGTTTAACTTCATAAAGTACTACCACACGGTGCTTCAAAGTGGCTATACCATTTTGTTCCTACCAGCAACGTATGAGGATCCCTGTTTTCCACACCCTTGCCAAAATTTGGTAACTTTTAAACTTCAGCTCTTTTAGTGGATATGTGATGGTGTCTCATTGTGCTTTGAATTTGCATTTCTTTATGTGTAGTGAGGTTGAACATCATTTCATGTACTTATTTGGCCCTTCCTATAACTTCTTTTGTGAAGTGTCTATTCAAATTATTTGTCCAATTTTTAAATTGGGTTTTCTTCCTTTTATTAAGTTGTAAGAGTTCTTTATATAATGTGAATATAGGCCCTTCATTAGTCACATATTTTGCAGTCCATTAGCCTTTTTGTTTTTTTAACTATATCTTTCCATGAGCGACGGCATTTAATCTGATTAAGTCTACTTTATTAATGTTGTCTTTTATAGTTTATGCATTTGTTATATCATTTAAGAAATCTTTCCCTAACCCAATGTCACAAACTTTTTTTGTTTGTTTTTTGTTTTTCTTTAGATGTTTATTAGTTTCATGTCTTTCATGTAGGTTTCTGATTCATTTCGAAGTAATTTTTTTTTTTTTACTTTTTAAATGGTTTTATGTGCAAATAATGAACAGATGTTGTACCTATAAATTCTACTTTCCAAAAACAGGAGCTTTTTAAAAGAAAACCACATAATAACTTTTAAAAGGCACTGGGATTCCTCTGCTTCTAGATCATTGCTAGGCTAGAAAAATAAAGTTTGTTCTACCAGGAATCACAAGTTAGAACTAAGCATTCTTCAAAGTGGAAATTCTAGACTATAGTGTCATTCCAGGCAAAGATTATTCATTTCTCATCCCCAACATCCACAACTACCTATCAGAAGGGTTAAACCAGGTCAAAACAGTCCAGCATAATTAGGCTTCATCAAACAATGTCATTATGCTCTTCTAAGATGCAAATAAACCAAGCAGGAAATACTAAAATCAAAATAATATTTGACACTGTCATACAAATTGTTAGTTCCTTGTTGTATCCCCCTTCTATAACATTAATAAAGGGAACATTTTACTGCAAAGAATATTTTATTTTATACATCACTAGCCATGAATTTTTGCCATTAGTTATTGTACAAATGCTGTCTAGTGCCATTATCCAAATGGCATAACCATTTTACATCCACAATTCACTTCTATAGTTTTAAGTAGAATTTTCATGATTTATGTAAGTACATCTATCAGTAAAGATTTAACACTGAGATGCAATCTAACATCTGTAATATCTGATGTTTTGTAGATGGCAATGTAGGAAAGATATATTTTAATCACTTTTCATTTAAGTGACCTTATGTAAAAAATAATAATTTAGCAGTTCCAAGTCTCCAAAGGGCATTTTCAAATGTACATAAAAGAAATGGTTACAGAGATTTTTAAGAAGCATCTTCCATGTCCACATCCTCTTGTAACTGTTGTACCATTTTCTCTTCCAACTACTTCCCTTTGCCTGCAAGGGGGGCTCAGATAAGATGGATGTTTTGCTTTACTTCTTTGATATCCTGAACTTTTGTAGCTCTTTATTTTTCTTCGATCTGTTCATTATAAATTTAGCTTGGCGTTTCTGTTTGATTTCTTCAACTCTCTTCATTGAATCAATACTTTTATTCCATAGCTCTCACTGGTATTCGATAGGTTCATTTCTACATTTTTCAAATTCAAATGAATTATACGCCGTAAGCCCTTTACCAGCTGCTTTCAGGAATGCTTTGGTTCACCTAGCTTTGGAGGATTGTGCTTCTTTTTAAAGTTTTTATGACATTTAGATTTGCAAAATCTGAACACCTTGCAATTATTGTGGACAAACGTCATGCCGTGGCCAGGGTAGATGGGCCCTGAACAAATATAACACTTCTCAATATGCATATTGAACCCGTGTGGGTCCCCACCAACCAAACACCAAGCTTGAGAGGTGATGTAATTTTTATATATGGTGTGAGGTAAGGATTGAGACCCTTTTCTCCATACTGATATCCAGCCATACTGGTTTCGTTGTGGCACCATTTGTTAAAAAGATGATCTTGTATTCATTGAATTGCCTTGGGATCTTGGTAAAACAGCAATTTGTGATATAATTGTTGGTACCTTTTCCAACTTTTGATGTAGAATATGTAATGTGTATTTTTATTAGCTCAGATCAGCTTCTTCACTGTTTAGGAGCACTGCCTCTGCATTCAAGATGGGGGTCATTGGTTCTCTACTTTTCAGCCCACCTAGGCCAATAAAAGACAATGGCAGAAGGAGAGAATGTGTGGTTTTCCAGTTTCCTAAAGAGAAGTGAGTGTAGTGGCAGCATGATAATATCTTTAGCCTGCTGCCTATTTAATTTCCATTGGGAAAAATGCAGCTGCCTGAGCTTGAGATTTCATCTTTAAGTAATAATATTTGAAAATAATGAATATTTGATGGGTACTCACTATGTGCTGGGCATCATTCTAAGGATATATAAGCCTCACAAAAGCCCTATGTGGTAGGTACTATTATTGTCATCTCTATATTCTAAATGAGGAAACTGAGGGATAGAGAGCATAAGTATGCTCATGGTTATTTAGCAGTAAGTGGGAGGGATAGGACTCAACCTAAGCTGTCTGGCTTCAGGACCTAAATCCTTAACCATATGACTACACACTCAGAGAAGCCTGGGGCCTTCTAATTCTCAATAGTTCCATTGCTTAAGACAGTGATTCACCAAAATCTTTTTAAAAACATTTGACTGTCCTTGGTCCATCTCAGATTTTTTTTTTTTAATCTTTCAGGTGAGCAAAGAGTACAAAAGGTTGATGAGCAGGGACTGGCTCTCTGCAAAGTTGCAGAGAGCAACTGTTGTATACTAGGACATAGAAGTTGCACTAGCAGCCCTGCCACTCCTGGCACCAGTCATTTCTGAGTGCCTGCTGTATTCTGTGGAATCAGGGAGTGATGAAAGTGACATATGATAAATTCCTTGTCCTTAAGAGGCTGTCATATTTCTTGGGTTCTGGTAGCTTTACAATCAAACTTTCAATGCTCTTGAAATTTAAAAAATGGTCTTAAAATTATCTTTCTTAGCTTCCTGCATCATATTGCTTAAAATAGTTAGCAAACTTATTTTTTTTTTGTTTTTTTTTGTTTTTTTGTTTTTAAACTGAATGAAGGATCTTGTAGAGTCTTTGGTATTGTTGATTATTTGATTTGCTCTTAAGTAGTGAGGGGTGCTTCTGTAGAAGAAAATAACTGAAATTATCACTCCATGATCCCATGTGAGGTACATGTTTTTTCACCAAAAGATTGCCACTGATGTATTTTCTCACACAGTGTAGAAATATTCCATTAGTCACAGAAGAGTGTATGGATGTGGTCCAATGTCAACGGAATCATCATGCTATTTGGGGGATGTGTTATCAGTTATGTTTGTTGTTTGTATTGTAGATAAAGAGGCTTGTGAAAGGAAGCTATTGTATTTTGGGCTTTATTTTGAAGTAGATGAGAAAGTAAAGAAACTTACCAGAAACGAAATATAAAGACTATTCCCACTGATTTTGGTTGAGCTGCTGTCCTTGTCTTGGAAATCAGTGTTTACATGGCATGTTGTATTTCAGCCTGGTGTAAATTAAATTGAATATCCTACTATGATCTTTAGCTATTTCATTGTCAACTAGTTATAAGATTAAGTGATTTCAGAGTAATTTCACCAAGAAAATTTCATTAAGGAAAATTTGTCTAAACTCACTTATTCTAGGCAAACTATTAAAATATCTAGAACCCGGGTTGAATAATCAAATTTATTTTGCCATTTGAGACCAATTCTTCTGTGTGTATGTGCACGTGCATGTGTGCACAGTGGTAGCAGGGAAGGGAGTAGTTTGCTTTAACTCAGGCTGGGATTTTTGAAAAGACAGTGGTAGCATTAAAAAGTGCTTTAGACTGGGAGTGGTGGCTTGTGCCTGTAATCCCAGCACTTTGGGAGGCAGAGGCGGGAGGATCATTTGAGCCCATGAGTTCAAGACTAGCCTGGGCAACATAGTGAGACCCTGTCTCTACAAAAATACAAAATAAAAAAATTAGCTAGGTGTGGTGGCATGCACCTGTAGTCCGAGCTGCTTGGGAGGCTGAGGCGGGAGGATTGCTTCAGTCCAGGAAGTTCAGGCTGCAGGAAGCTATGATCATGCCACTGCACTCCAACTTGGGTGACAGAGCAAGGCCCTGTCTCCAAAAAAAAAAAAAAAAAACCACTTTAATGGATGAATTTTAGCTAATTTGATCTATATTTTATTCCACATCCTCTTTGTAATAACATTTGGCAAATATGTGTTGATTTATACTGGGTATTAGGCACTGTGGTGATGTGGAAGCTTAGGGCAAAATGCATACTGGTTTCTGCCTTCTAGAAGCTTACAATCTGTCTGTATGTGTGAAGGGAAATAATGCTAGATGCCATTTATTGAGTTCTACTCTGTGCCAGGCACCATGGCTTACTCATTTTACTTCTTATCCTTACTGTCATCCTGCAAGGAAGGTGCATTATTTTTTCCATTTTACAGATGAAGAGACAGAGGTTCAGAGAGGTTAAGAAACAAACCAAAGATCATGCCACTAATAAGCAAAGAGTATAGTTGATAAATATACAATGGAGTGGTATTTAAGACCAAAAATATTTTAAGAAACATTTAAAAATTAAAAGATGGAAGGATTTTTATCAAAAATCATATAGATATATAATCATAATAAATCAAAATGGAAGGAAGAATTTGTTTATTCTGTACTACAGTTTTCTATAAGTCAGTTAACAATAGTTTCTGGTTTAGGAACAAAGCAACATCAAGATCTCAGTGATTTAATACAATAAAATATTATTTCTTGCTAATAAAACACTGATGCATGTCTGTACAGTTCTCTTCCAATTAGTGACTCAGGAATCCAGGGTCCCTGCATCTTGTGACATTATCATCTCTATGTGTGGTTTCTAGTGTCTCCCCAGCAGAGGAAGGGAGGCCATGGAGATGGCATACTGACTTGTAAAGTCATACTTTACTGACTTTAGTCATATTGACTAGTTGACCTGGAAGTGGCGCAACTGCACCATCTCACATTTTGTTGGCTAGAACTAGCCACCTGATCAACATAACTGCAAGAGGGCCGAGAAGTTTAATTCTCCCATTAGTCCTCCCATGTGCTCAGGAATTGAGAAGAACTATTTATAAGTGAACATCGGACAGCTCTACTGTGTATTTCATAACTCAACTCCAGGCATGTTATTTGTAGAATTAACATAGTTTGCAGAGCATCTTGAAATGAAAGCAAGTAATGACTATTTGTCATTATCTGGATAGATGTATGATCATTAGTCCATTGATTTTATATTCATCTAGTCTGAAACTGGAAGTGATCCTGGATCTAAACCCTATCCAACTTAATTGATTGACAGCTGGTAGTCCATTATCCTCCACACATTTAAAGGACAAAATCTCAAAAATGTTGATTCATCTACTACATTGGAACATGGCCTCACTTTGGATTAATGCACACAGTTTTATTATGTTTATCTTAAACATATGATGCAGTGGCTATGGTAACACCAAATTTCTGTCACTTTGTTAATGTGTTTTAGCACCAAGTAAAATTTTAGAAATTCTCTGGGATACACATTTTATACCTTAGGAGGATTTAAATCTATATGTAGTCAAAGTTGATAAGACTAGATCACTCATTATTTATATTAACATGGCATTTACTCACCTCATGCACAGAATGTCTATGAATGTCCCAGTTCTGTTAAAGCTGTTATTTAACTTTGCAGCACCATTTGACACTGTTGATCACTCCTCCCTCTTGCAAATGCTCTTGGCTTCATGTCCACAGCTTCAGTTATCATCTGTGTCCAAAAGACCTTCCAATTTTACTCTCCAGCCCGGTCCTCTCTTCTGAACTAATATTTATTATAATGTAATAATATTTATGTTATAACTATAATAATATAAATATAATAATATTATTATATATATTATTATAATTAATATAATTATATTTATTATATCTAACTGCCCGATTGATTTTTTTTACTTATCCCAAGTCTAACTTATGATCCTCCCCCATACAACCTTATCCATGTTTCTCTGGAAACATTGCACTCTGTTAGGAACATTAAGGTTGACTGCCAGTGATGCCAATTTTCCCTTTCTCATAGCAGTGAATTTGATGAGCTCATATAGAACTTTTGCTCTTCTTCAGAATGCCTGCACACAGTTTGTAGTTTTTAAAATATTTGATTAGCGTTTTTTCCTACTTTACCAGAAGCTTCATGAGAGCAGGGACCTATTCTCCTTTTGTTCACCACTGTGTCTGTAGCACTGAGCACAGTGCCTGATATAAAGTAAATGTTCAATAAATATTTATTGAAAGAGTGAATGGGTAAATGATGGGACCTAAAAAATTGTGGCTAATCAAAGACAAGAAATGGTTTAGCAATTTATGATTTCCCTACAGTTAAAGAATCATTGTCTTTTTGAGACATATTCTTACCAGATATCTTGTCTTTGCAACCCAAGAGAAAGAACAGAATTCCAATATTTGAGATTTAAATATGTTTACTATTGCCTAATGTCTAAGGTCCTTTAAGAGTAATCTATCAAGTATATGTTAGCATACCTTCTTTACTATCATTTTTCTGAGTTCAAATTTACAGATGCACTGTATCAAATCACAGTAAACTACAGTGATGTTGGCTGTCTGACTGCCTTTTGGCATCCTACAAATTATATTAATAGGTCTCCGAGCAACTGTGGAAACTTGATAACTGTAGCCAGAATGACCTGAGCATTTTGATTCTAATTCCTAATACTAATTTACTTACAGCCATGTAACCCATCAATGTAATCAGGTCTCATCTAAAGGATGGTGATGTTTTCTAGGTACACTATCCATTTAATTCTTTTAAAATTATAAAGATAATGTAACAGAATTGAAGAAAAAATTTTAAGCTTAATGAAAAGTAATATCTATGTTTGTAACATGGTAACTACAGTAGTCACCACTACTATAACATGGAACTGTGAAAAATGTTTATTTCTTCACAGTTCTTGTCCTCATGCATTCATGCATTGAAGTGGGATTCTGTATTTCAGCCAGAATGTAGTTGAGTCTTTCTGAGTCTGAAGATTTGTAGTATCATACCTTCTCATGCCATCTGGGGGATTAGAACCACAGAATTTACAAGTCCAATATGCTTTAGGAGGTTAGCCTATCCTCAGGCTGCAGAAATCTATGGCATGGATGGTAATTCATTCTTGCCATGTTTACTAATGCTGATTCACCTGGTTTTTATGGATTACTGCATATTCCTTCAAGCAAACACTTTGGAAATGCATCTGTGTCTCCAATAGTTTTTTCATCATATTACCCTCCTACTCCAAAATTTTCTAATTCCTGACCATATTAAATGTAAATACATTTTCCTAAATCAGCCTGTCCAGTAGAGCTTTCTGCAATGATGGAAATTTTTTTTAATACTATCCAATGTTAGTCACTAGCCAATGTGTTAATGTAGTACTTGAAATGTGGCTAGTTGACTGAGGAATCAGATGTTTAAATTTATTTCAGTCTAATCCACTTAAATTTAAATAGCACATGGAGCTAGGGGCTATCATATTGGGCAGCAGGACCTACATTTTCAAGTCCCTGCTAAATAACCAGGCAAGGCCTGTGTCCTTGGCCTCATGTATGCACCACATTTGTACTCATCGTTTTTGTCTTGACTCATGGTGGCCCTCCCTTGCTTGGGTTACTTTCTCTCAGTTCCTTCAGTTAATCCAGGCTGTCTTTGACTTCCAAGGGTCAGAGCGAAGCTCACCAGCTCTATGAAATCCCCCTATAATTTTGCTGATCTTCCTTTCCTGGTAATGCCCAGTCCATGCTTTTCCAGTCAAGACACATGAAAGAATGAATGATTCAACATAGACTTTCATATATAGCCATTTTCTGTATTTTAGTTTTTTTTTTTTAATGTGAATTTATTCCATCCCCTCAACCAATTTTTATCTCTCTGAGGCCAGGGCAGTGTTATATATAATTTTGTGTTTCTTCTGGCACCAAAGCAGATTGTGAAGCCCCAGAAAATTCCCATTGAATGCTTTGCTGATTACCTAATTTATTGCAAAAGAAACACAAATCTGTACCTTTGATTCTCTGTCATGATTATTTATTCAGCCAACAATTATTTGGGCAATGTTCCTGGGATTCATGTGGGTAAAATTTGAAGGGAAGATAATCTTCTTGAATTCAAGAAGTAAGATTGGATAAAAAGAAGGATCATAAATATGTATGGAAACTGTGATATAAGGTATGCTGAGTTCCAGAGATGATGGTTAGGAGTTGTGAGGAAGTTTGGAAAATAGCTGTGGTAACATTTTTCCTTTAGAAGGAAACCCTTGAAATGCTGGTCAAAGAATGTAAGTTTATTGCACAGAAATGAGAGGCAGGAAGGTTATCTCTTAGGAAGAGACACTTGAAAAATGGTCATAGTGAAAAAACAAGATACGTGGTCAATGAAATGCTTTTTCATCAGTATTCTACAATATTCGCTTCCGATCAAGAATTAGGGCTTTTGGTCGTCTACTTTTGAAAAGGTTCTAAGATGCAGCAAAGCACATCCTATATGCACTGTACATACAATTGAACATCTTGAGACCCAAGCTTCTTTGTGTGTAATACTAAACTTAGTTTCCCCAGAAAACCTACTCTTAACAATATTGTGATAATGAAGATCCTTAGAGAAGGGCACTGAATAGGGTCAAATTATTACTTTATAATAGTATTTATACATGTACATAGTGCTCACTATGTACCAGGCTCTATTCTTAGTAACTTCACTTTTTTAAGAAAATAGGGTCTTAATAGGCACTCCAGCCTGTCGCTCAGGCTGATCTGAAGTGACGTGATCGTAGCTCACTGCAGCCTTGAACTCTTGGGCTCAAGCGATGCTTCCGCCTCAACTTTCTGGGTAGCTGGGACTACAGGGATGAGCCACCACACAAAGCTAATTTTATTTTATTTTTAGTCAAGACAGGTCTTGCTTTATTGTCCAGGCTGGTCTGAAACTCCTGGCTTCAAGCAATCCTCCTGCCTTGGCCTCCCAAAGTGCGGGATTACAGGCATGAGCCACCATGCCCAGCCTATTCTTAGTACTTTTTAAAACTTATTTAATTCTTCTAATTATTATAAATAGAAATTTTATAGATGAAGAAAATATAGCATTTGCCTCATTTTATATAGGTAACAGGTAAAAGAGCTAGAACTTGACCCTATACAATCTTGCTTCAGAAACTATGTTCTTAACCATTCTACTGTATTGCTTTTTGCTGCGCTATATGACCTCTGTGTAATTCGTGTTCTGTTACTTCAGAATTTATGACATTTGGAATAAGTGTTGGAGACAATAGCAAATGGAAGAGATGTATTATCTATTTGAGGAAACAGCTTCCAGTACCTCAAACTCTGTAGGAACACCTGCAGACACGTGAATAACATACAAAGCACAAATGTATTTTCTGTTGAGTGTAGCTCTCAGTGAGGAGGTGATAGGTGAGTTCTATGACTACTTTTGCTGTAGTTGAAAACATAATATCAAATACATAACTTTATTTTCTAATGAGAGAATAAAATAGTTTGGATACATTTATTATTATCATTTTTGCATAATGACTTACCTATTTGTTTTAATTCCGATGACTCATATTTTGCAGAAATTTCGGAGTGCTTCAGTTGGGGCTGAGGAGTACATGTATGATCAGACATCAAGGTGAGTTACCAGGAGATGCATCCTTAGAAACTGATTAACTGATAAACCTTTAAATGTACCTTCGAGTTATACCTTTAAACCTTTTTTCTTTGTAAACTTGTACAGAACAGTGTGATTTCCTTTGCCTCAGTGCTTTTTTCTTTATACAAAGGACTTCTATATCATTATTTCCAGTCTTGGACAATTTTCTGGGACCTACACCCCTTTTCTTCCTTCTGTTGGCTAGACATTCTTTTGTAGGTGTTCCTCTGAACCTCATACTCATGTGCTTCCAGCCCAACAAGTGTAATATGAAGCCCCATCTTTTTTCTTCTTTCCCTCCTTTTCCACTTGTTTCACACCTGGTGTTCTGCTTTTATTTCCTATTGTGGCTAATGATGTACCCATTCTCCAAGCCACCCCAGCTAGAGGTAAAGGATCTGGCTTCTTTCCTGTTGGACTTTCTCAGCACTTGCTAAATGCTGAATTGTCTGTTCCACCTGTCATCTCCTTTCCAAGTTACCCTTGTCAACTTTCTCCTGAGCTATTGCAATACATTGGATCTCCCTGCCAACACTTCTTTTTTATTCCACTGTGCACATAGCCAGCTACCAGCTATCATGCACTCAGGTGCCTTCCATGTGCAGCAGTGTGAGTAGGGTTGGGGATAAGATATAATCTCTCCTTACAAGAGGTCCACACTTTTGGAGGAGACAAATGTGATGACAGACAAATTGAAAAACATTTGCTAAGAGATGAGTCCTGCTACAGAGATATATAAAGAGCTAAATGGACCTATAGGCCTGCACATGTGTGTGGGAGTAGGAAGGTGTGTGGGGTTGAGGGCAAATATTCACAGGAAGTGGCATTTGAGCTGCATCTTGAAGGATTAATAGCAGGTGTTTTCTAAGGAAAGAAGGAAGATTAAGAACATTCCAGGTAAAAGAGTCATGTTTTAAGACCTTGGTTATGATCATGTCTGAAGACAGGAGAGAATGGCAGCTGGGCGTGGTGGCTCATGCCTGTAATCCAGCACTTTGGGAGGCCGAGGTGGGAGGATCACTTGAGCTCAGAAGTTCAAGACCAGCCTGGCCAACATAGTAAGACCCCATTACATAAAAAAAAAAAAAAAAGAGTGAGAGAGTGGCAAGAAATGAATTTATCTCCCCCATTTACAAAACTTACTGAAGATTTTATCATTTCAGGCAGAATTGAACTCAAATTCCTTATGAAGGTCATCAGGGCCCTCTATGTTTTGGTCCCTCTTTACTTAAAATCTCATCTCCCACTATGTTTCTTGCCCCTTTGCTTTTACACATATGGCCCTTTTCCATTCTCCTGGTTTCCTCTTAAAGTCCTCTGGTTCCAATCTCAGGCTCCCCACTCATCCTCCCCAGATCATCTTATTTAGAATTCCTGGGGGCAGGAAGCGGGAGGCAAGGAAGAATGGACTTGAAATTGCCTTCTAAAATGTGGGAATAGGAGTCTAATTTGCGTGCTGTAAATCCAAAGCACCATGTCAGCAGCTGCCAGGCCAGTGGGAAGAGCAAGGACCTACCAGTGACTTGACCTCGTTTCTCTTTCCGCTGCTGCCATGGTCCAGCAGAGCGAGCATGTCTCTTAGCCTCTCCTTAGCTGTGAAATGAGGAAGGTGGGCTGAATCTTGGGTTTTTATCCTGTGTTATGGGCAGGCTTGATGGACACAAATCCCTGAAATTATATTAAAAATCGTTTATGTTCATAAGTGCCTTTATCTGGGAAGGAAAATTCACTGCTTTCTTCATGTTTTCAAAGCAGTCTGTGCCCTAGACAAGACGCAAGCTAGTGGTCTAGGTGATTCCTAATATCCTGTCCAGGTCTAAAATGTTATGATTCAATGGTACTGTGTTGAAATTGCTTTTTCAGACAAAATGACAATGGAATCAGTTCTGTTTTGAATGATTTATTTCCCAACTTCTTTTAAGACACATATTCTGGAATTTGCTTAGTTTATTAGCTTAAGCCTAAGATTTTTTATCATAAAACAGGAATATTATTCTGCCCTTCAGATTTTCTTATTATAAAAGTTAAAAAATAAATAAAACATTACAGGAATATTTAACATAGAAAGCAAGAGCCCCCCATAATCCTGTCAGGAGGCCATTTTCAGAGATAAAGTTTGAGTCATCTTTGTGCCCAGCCTTCCAACGACTATGAAATAAAAGAGCTAAAAAAATAAACACAATGGAGAGTTTCTGATGATCTAGAAAATATGTGGTGTTTGTTATTGGATTGTCACTGTGAGCCGTCCTGCAGTATAGCAGAAATAAATATTTCTGAATGAATGTGTTAAACAAAAAATGATTGTGGTTCATACCTGTTGTGTTATTTTAAATAATTGATATACTCTTCGAAGTTGGGAAAAATCAGTGTTTTTCCTTTGTAAATTATATCATGTTTTTTAAAAAATGTGAGGGACACTATTTAGAGCAGGGATCTGCACACTTTTTCTGAAATGAACTAGAGAGTAAGAATTTTAGGTTTGGCAGGCTATCGTCTCTACCACAACGACTCAACCTTGCTGCTGTAGTACGAAAGCAGTCATAGACAGTATGTAAACAAATGAGTGCAGCTGTGTTCCAATAAACCTTTATTTACAAAAACAGGCAATGAGATGGATTTGGCCTATGGGCCATCATTTGCAAACTCCTGATTTAGAACAACCCTGCCATGAGTTCTTCCGCAGGCTTGAAAACAAGAAGCAAAATACAAAAAGTACTCCCTGTTATTAGGGAACTAGATTCTCAAGTGAATGTTTGAGTTTTGGATTTTCATGTTTTGAGATGTTTTATAGTAAGATACAGCTATCTGTAACACCTTGGTTAGACAAAAAAAAAAAAAAAAAGGTTAGGTATATACATGAATTGAACAAAATTATTTATTTAGTTGTTTTGTTGTTAGGGTAAAAATGGCAAATTCTATTAATTCTTAAGCTTCAAGCATTACCTAATTGCCAGCTAAGATCTACCAGGGGTTCTCCTGGTAGAGCTGTTTTTTGCACAATTGGCCAGGCACATCGTGGACTTTATCCCCTTCCAAACCATCTGGTTTATGGGCCACTGTTAGAAATGTTGTATACATTGTACTAGCAATGACCTTTGATCTGGTCTCATCTCTTTTGCCATATGCTGTGTTTTGTCTCTAAAACAGTAAACATTGGTTAATGTTCATGTGAAATGCTATGATGTGAAATTGGTCAAAAGAGCAGAAATGTCCAAGTGAGTGGATCTGACCGCTGTTTGTTTTCTTTCACAGTGGCACATTTCAGTACACCCTGGAAGCCACCAAATCTCTCCGTCAGAAGCAGGGGGAGGGCCCCATGACCTACCTCAACAAAGGACAGTTCTATGCCATAACACTCAGCGAGACCGGAGACAACAAATGCTTCCGACACCCCATCAGCAAAGTCAGGGTAGGGGCCACATTTCTCAGATAAAGTACAAAGGAATCCGATGAACGGAATGGCTACCTCACAGCCTTGTGGAATGGCATGGAAAAAAAATAAAACCTTCAACATAAATAATTCTAGAACGAATGTCAGAGAGTTGGGGCAAGAGCACTTATTGGCTCGTAGTTGATCATTGTAATCAGTAACCAGTAAACCCCAGGGAAGGGACATGGTTGGAACATGCTGTCTGACTGTATCCGAGGAATTTTCCCGCTTCACTCACTGCTTATGTGCTTCCTCGTTGTTGTTATTTTCAATCAATTGATCTTAATTTTTCAAGTAAGTAGCTGTAAGTCAGAACCCCTCTGTGGGTGAGAAAGAGCTTTGTTCTATTCTGTAAAGGAAAATGCAGTTCACTCTGAATCCCTGGGCCTGGTGGAACTTGGTTTCAAAGCCTTCTGCAGCCCAGGGCTTTCTCAGGGTTCCAGAGATGAGGCACGATCCCCACCAGGAGTCACTTGGGGGAGTTTTCAGATTCATGAGTATTATTTCTACTTGTGGGAAATGAAACTGGCTCTCCCTTCTCTGGAAGCCTGCCAGCTTCTGGCGTACTTGCTACTGCCAAGAAGGGAGAGGCCCGGTAATCCTTCTCTACTGAAAAGGAAAATTATAGCACAGCTCTGAAAAGAGGTGGAAGGACTTTCCTGATCTGTTGTAAAATGATTTATGGTGTTGGGTCCATGATGCCCAGCCCACCTTATTTTAGTCACAGCTCCCTCCTCCTACCACTTCAGAACACTTAAGAAGGGGGCACATGGTGTGCCTACAGCGCCACAACTCGGGCATGCCGCCAGTGCAGGTGGGGCGCAGGTTCCACGCAAGGCTGAGCTCACTGCAGTGAGAAAGCTGCTGGTGTGCTGTGTGCCCATCAGGAGAATTAGTAAATTCTAATGCTGTGGTCAAGACTGCGGTGAAGAATATGCCATCACAATAATAATAACAAGAGTCATAAAATAACAATTTATATTTATTATCTTCAAGCGCCAGGTATTGTATTAGGTGCCATCTGTCTAGTAACTCACTGAAACTGACAACAATCCTATGAAAAAGGCACTGCTGTTTTTATGATATTACAGATAAGGAAACTTGGTGATAAAGTTTCAGAAACTAGTAACCGGCCAAGGTTACATAGCTAAAAGGTGAGGGAACCAGGATCTACCCCAGGGCGTCGGACTCCTGAACCCAACTCTCTTTACTGTGAGGTTGTGCTGTGTTGAGCAGCATGGAGGGCTGAAGGCAGGGAAATGTTAGCCTGGATGTATTTCTCTCTGGATATATTTCCTATAAATTACATCCTCCCCCTCTTGTATATGAGCATCTGGTAAGAAGACACTGAATAAATTAGCTTTTTTTTTTTTAAGCCTTATAAATTCCAAGTGTTAGTATAACTCATATACACCCTCTTAACATCATTATCATCAACCTGGAAAAAATGGTGGGTGGTTAGTATTCTAAGGTCATGACAACAGTTTGGAGTACAGGGACTTTCCCAAGAATTCTACTTTGCTGAAATCATGAAAATAATTTAATAAGAAAATTTTATTTCTTTATGTTCCATTTTGGCTAAAGTGAAGAGTCCCCCCTTTCTTGGAAGGACTTCAACCTCCACCCTTGGAGACTAAGTTGGCGCCTCTCAGAGTGGCTCTTTCTTACTCCCCGGCTCTGGAGCAGGAAGGAGAAATGTGTTTGTCACCTATCAGCATTTATTTCTGAGAACAGTGTTTCATTCCAAGTCAAAGCATGTAGGGCGTGGTAACAACAGTTTCAAACTGCGTTTTCCTTTATCATTGAAGAAATGAATTTCCATACCAAGAATATGCCATTATTTATGCTAATTTAGACACTTGCCAGAAAAAATATTACTTTAAATTTTATTTTTATTTTGCGACAAATAAATACCAGGAAGCCACGCAGTAAACTTTGACACATAAATGGAAAAGTTTGAGGCGTGGCAGAGGGTAGAATGAAAAGCTGGCTGAGCTGGTAGTTGCACCAGCACAGAGAATGGTTTTCTTTGTTGTCATGTATCCAGTGCCTCTGAAGATCTCACTGCTTGTGAATTCGAAACGATATGGATACATATTTCTAAACAGTTTTCCTAACAAACATCTGCTTTCTTGTGTAAAAATTGTTTACACATACTTTAGGCAAGAGCCAGATTTCAAAGTGACAGCCAGCCACCGGCATGTATTTGCTGTCTGTTATTCGTCAGGTGCCAGGGTGAATGGCAGACACTGTTTCTGTCCTTGCTAAGTTTGATGTTAATTGGGAAGACATTGCCATTGGCTGAATAATGGTAAATAAGTAAATGACTACTAATGTGTAAACTGCTACAAAGGAGAAAGTTGTTTTGGTTTTGGTTTTGGTTTTTGAGACAGGGTCTCTCTCTGTCACCCAGGCTGGAGTACAGTGGCATGATCACTACTCATTGAAGCCTCAACCTCCCAAGCTCAAACGGATCCTCCTGTCTCAGCCTTCCAAGTAGCTGGGACTTCAGACGTGCACCACCATGCCTGGCTTTTTATTTTATTATTTTATTTGCAGACATAGGGTCTCACTATGTTCCCCAGGCTGGTCTTGAATTCCTGGACTCAAGAGATCTTCCCCCCTCAGTTTCCCAAAGTGTTGGGATTACAGGCATGAGTCACCCGGCCCAGCCCTAAGAAGTTCTTAAGGAATGAGAGTCCATGAAATATTTTTCAGGAATAGTAGGAAAGTGCCTAAGAAGTGTTTTGGATGTGGAGTGAGAGGAGGAGTATTCCTGATACTGTAATTAAAGGGTTTTTTTTTGGAAGAGGGTTGTTTTTGGTACTGTCTCCATTTCATAAGTGACGGTGAATTAATGTGTATTTAGTTTAATGAGGCTGTTTATAATTTAGAACTGAAAAGAGTTTTGAATTCTTATTTCTGCAAGATATAATTAGTTTCTCAAGCTCATTTTTAAAGTGCATCCACTTTAGATTTAAATAGATATCATAGTTGCTCTTGCGTTTTTCAGTGTATGAAATATCTGTAGTTTAGATCTATGTTCACCAATATGAATTTGTCTTTCAGCATTTTCCTCATTTCCTTAGTATTTTTCTCATTAATTTTGATATTCCAGCCTGAGCCACTTAATTAGACCACAAACAGATGTTTGCTTCTTTACAAATGGCATCACATTTTATGTTTAAGGAGTAGAAATTTCAAAAGAATGCTTGTTTCCAATACAAGAAAAAAAAATTTGGGGGGGGTTTCTGCTGACCTCACAAAATAATACATTTGCTGCTAATTGGTTAATCCAGTTGTTTATAACCTCCTGGTAAAACTGATGTAGGACTCTTTTTTTTTTCCTTCATGCTTCAAAATGAATTTGAAAGACAAATTCATTTTTTAAGTAGGTCCATTTTATAACAAAACGGACCATACAGCCAAGCTTGTCTGGGCTTTTCTAAAGCAAGAAAAGCAACATGACACAAACACACCTCTGGTAGAACTTCCAGAACTGGAGACTGAGGCAACAGAGGCACTGAACAAAAAGTAAGCTCCACGATTCTCCCCTCTGCAGAGTGTGGTGATGGTGGTCTTCAGTGAAGACAAAAACAGAGATGAACAGCTCAAATACTGGAAATACTGGCACTCTCGGCAGCATACGGCGAAGCAGAGGGTCCTTGACATTGGTAAGTTGACCTTGACTTCCCTGTATAGTCCTCGATAAACTGACATGTTGTCTCAATGCCAAGGGGAGCCTGGCGTAGTAATCACAGCTGGAGCCACAGAGCTCTTATGATGTGCCCGGCACTAGTCTATGTCAGGACATTTAGTGCAGATCAGACTGAGTAACCAAAATCAGGCTAAGCCGAGAGCAAAGCGTTTTCTATTCTATGAAAGTCAACTGTGTCTCATAAAATCATAGTCATATAGTTAGATTTGCAATGACCATTTCAATTCCTAAAACGTGTTTTCATGGCCTCCCCGTTTGAGCCTAGTAGGCAGTCAGCAGGTCAGATGAACTCTTATCCCTGTGACATAAATAAACTCAAGCTCGTGTGACCCTAAAGCCATTTGGCAAAGGTCATGTGACTACACATTAAGTTTCTAGTTCTCTGTCCAGTGTTCTTTCCATTTCAACACATGCCTAGTGTAAGCAATGCTAGGTGGTCACGCAAGTGAACCATTTAAAGAAGGAGTGAATCTGCCAGGAGTCTGTGTACCCCTAAACTTGAGGTCCGTTCTGTAGAGACCAGCAGCCCCCTGGATGGCACATCACTCGGGGTCCAGTCTGGAAGGCAACACTCATGCCCAATAATTCACTGGGCATGAATTCATTGCCAAGGTTGGAAAGGCTGAAGGCACAATGAGACAATCCAGCTATTACCTGCAGGGCTGGAGAATCAAAGGGAGGAGGAGGTGGGTGTTGGAGGAGCCACCCAGCAGGAGCTGGGACCACAGAGAGAGCTGTTTTCCAATGGGAGATGAAAGCACAGCAGAATTGCTGCCAGAGACATTCTCAGTGCCAAGAGGGAGGAGAAGAACTGTCCTGGCTTCTCTCTGCCTCGTGATCTCCTGCCAGTGCCTCCCATCGGCAGAATTTAACTCGGAGTCAGAGGGCACATTACCGTGGAAAGTGCAGTTTGCAGAATCAACCTCTGAGATGCAGAGCAAAGTAGGGGAAGTCAGGGAATAGATCTTAAAGCTTCCAAAAATTACTTAAAAACAGACAGTAATGTATGTGTTTCCAAATAATTTTACCACTGTTTCCATAAGAAGTAAGTCATTTCTCATTTGTAGACTTCATTACCCCATTTTGCTGACTAAGATGCTTCAGTCCAAATGAGTGTGGGCTAAGTGAAGGTTCCCATCCTGCTGGGTATGAAAAGGTATTACTGAGCCTTGCAAAGGACAATTACTTTGATTTCTTACACATTGCAATGAGGACTTTTCAGATCTTCCATTTCACCCTGGCTAGGACTTCTTGACCACACTGGCAGAGTTTAATGACTAGGATAGGGTGAGAGGCTCACTGTAGAAGACAATGAAACTAGTTACTGGTTTTTCTTGCAAAATAGTTAAGCCGCTCCTCACCTCCGCATCACACACATACACCTATTGTATTAACTAGTCAAACATATTTATCGAATAAACAAGGAAACTGAGGCCTAGGAAGTCTCACTGGCCCATATCACATGACTCCCCCTCAGATAATTAGTGCAAGAGCCGGGATAAGATCTGTGTTCCTGACCTGAGCTGATAAACTAAACCAAGACCTGGTGACTAGGACGGGGATTGGGGATACTTGCCTTAACCTGTTTAGTTAAATCTGCATAGAGCAGAGGAACAATTTTATTTTATTTGAAAAGTTAGCCTTATAATTATTACCCAAGAAAATGAAAGGAGCAATTAAAGAGAAATATGGAGTAGGTCCAAATAAGGCAAATAATAAAAGCATTTTACTGGCATACCTGTTGATCCAACTTTGATATTGTTACAGGGTTTACTTTTCTGAGACTAGAATGATTTCTCAGATCTTGTAAAACTTCAGATCTTCTTATCTTCTTTATCATCTCTTGCCTGCCTTCAGACTTTTCTTTCTGTATACACATGTGTCCCCATAGGCACACACATGCTTTATCTCTGAGATTTGTGACCTTTACTAAGTAGCTTCATGGGTAGCTGGGCTACTTGCTTCCAACCTGAGAACAAGGCATTAAATCCATCAGTTAGCTTCAATGAGACATGAATTTTCTGAGCACAGTCTCTACCCCAATCTCAACCTGACATCTGCTCACATAGAGAGAGAAAATATGCAAAAATCTCATACAATTCATTCTTCTGCTAGATTAAAAAAATCAAATCATGCATTTCTCTGCCAGTGGGTTGTAAACACTATTTCCCACATAAAGGAGCACCGATGGTGTCCTGGCACATATGTCTGCCTGTTGCACCGTCATCTGCTTTAACTCTGGAGTGTGATATTGAGAAGGTTTCTGAGGTCACTCTTTGTCTCCACTAGGACTATCATGGAGGGTTATCAGTGCCTGCAGAGGGTGAAGGAAGGCAGAGAGTGCGTGGGCCGTACATTTGCTAGTTTTGGTTAGGAACATTCTAATGGCCTAAAAAATAAAAAAGTATCCTGAATTATTTAATGCATTTCTTTTTTGAAACCCCCGTGAAACTGGAGGTTAAACTCAGGGCTCAAAAGTCTCAATTCCCAAATCTCCACCAGCATCTATGATCTGCAGGTTCAACCAAGTCAGCCAGGCAGTGACCCTGAGGCTGGAGTTAGAGACCGAGATGAGGGCCCCTTAGCTAAAGCAAGGGTTCTTTTTTTTAAATTGATACATAATAATTATATGTACTTATGGAGTACCTGTGATATTTTGATACAGGCATACAATATGCAATGATCAAATCAGGGCATTTGGGATATCCATCGCCTCAAACATTTACCATTTCTTTGTGTTCAGATTATCTCAAATCTTCTCTTCTAGCTATTTTGAAATATGCAATAAATTATTGCTAACTCTAATCACTCAGCTCTGCTATTGAATGCTGGAACTTATTCCTGCTCTCTAACTGTGTTTGTACCCATTAACCAACCTCTCTTCATCCCTCCCTCCCCGTCACTCTTCCCAGCCAGGGTGACCTCAAGTGATCTGCCTGCCTCGGCCTCCCAAAGTGCTGGGATTACAGGCGAGAGCCACTGCGCCTGGCCAAAATAACCCATTTTCTTGTTTAAAAGCCAAGATGCTAAGAGGGAAGAATTTTACGCAAGATCACACATGTGATAAGTGGTATGTAGGTGGGATAGAAACCCAAGAATGCCAAAATGTGCACCATTTTTATTTTTATTTATTTTATTTTATTTATTTATTTATTTTTGAGACGGCATCTTGCTCTGTCACCCAGGCTGGAGTGCGGTGGCATGATCTCGGCTCACTGCAGCCTCCGACTCCCTGGTTCAAGGGATTCTCCTGCCTCAACCTCCTGAGTAGCTGGGGCTACAGGCACACGCCACCACGCCCAGCTAATTTTTTGTATTTTTAGTAGAGACGGGGTTTCACTGTGTTAGCCAGGATGGTCTCGATCTCCTGACCTCGTGATCTGCCCGTCTCAGCCTCCCAAAGTGCTGGGATTATAGGCGTAAGCCACTGCGTGCCACCATTTTTTAAAAAACAATTATTCGAAGCCCTCTCTCCACCATATACTGCCTTTGTATTCCAGCCTCTAGCCAGTTCTTGGCACCCACCAGGCCCTGTCTACATGGAGAGAGACTGGTTCACAGACATCCTGATTCTTTGGTCTGTGCCTTCCTCTCCAGACATGGAGGACGTTTTGCAGTCTGAGTGGTGGACTTCTTGGCTGCTGCTAGTTCTGACATTGGTGGAAGCCAGTTTGATATGCGGTTCTTGTACATTGGGTCGTAAACTGTTTGGCAGGAGTTGGGGGCAGGGGAAGAAAACATTAGCAATGAGCTCTAACTTGAGGTAAGTAAACCAAACAAACCCAGGCCCAAGTAGATTCTGCTGCTTTTCAAAACACATAAGCAAAGTTCTCTGAGTCTCACAAGTTCACTCTTGTGAGCTCCTTGAATAACAACAATTATTCAAGGTCATAAATAAGTTTACATTCTGCAGTCCCAGGAGCATTCCTATGTCGGTTATACCTCTTGCGTGGAATCTCTGCTTAAATTAAATTTGTCATTTGATTTTCTCTGAGTGAGAAAGCCCCTTTAAAAGAAGACTTGGAGTTAGTGATGGCCCCATATTAGTTAGTTAACACCGGTTTGAGGAAAAGCACAGTTATTCCACATTCGTTCTGCAAAAGTTTACTGAACACCTACTATGTGCCAGACCCTTTGTTAGGCACTGGCAATACAAATGTAATTAAGGCAGAGCCCTGTACTCAAACTGCTCAAGACTAGGGGCAAGAAGATGACTAGCTAAGATATCACGTGGTAAGTGGCAGCATAGAAGAGCGCTTCCCAGAGAAGTTTCTGAGACTCATCTGAAAGGATAACTAGGGCATGTGAGGTCAAAAAGGTAGGAAGGGTGCTGCAAGTTGTGCAATAGCACATTCATAGATACAGTAATCAAGACAAAAAAAGTGGGACTGAAGCTGGGCGCAGTGGCTCACGCCTCTAATCTTAGCACTTTGGGAGGCCGTGGCAGGCAGATCACTTGAAGCAGAAAGTTCCAGACCAGCCTGGCCAACATGGTGAAACCCCATCTCTACTAAAAATATAAAAATTAGCCGGACGTGGTGGCGGGCACCTACAATTCCAGCTACCTGGGAGACTGAGGCAGGAGAATCCCTTGAACCCAGGAGGTGGAGGTTTCAGTGAGCCAAGATCACACCACTGCACTCCACCCTGAGCAACAGAGCAAGACTCCGTCTCAAAAAAAAAAAAAAATGGGACTGACAAATTATTTAATAAAGTCTGATAACACTATTAGCCAAGGTGGAAGGGGTGGATACTCTCATGCACGCTAGTGAGAGTGCTAGTTGATTTGTTGATTTGACCCATGCAGAGAGTAGGGTTAAGGAAGGGAGTCCTCAGTACATGGGGCTGTGGAAAGGCTTGTATTTTTTAAGGGCATCTTAGAATGGCAGGGAGATGAAGCATAGATGGAATTTTCTGGTCTCAAACTCTAAAAGAAACCCTGATTAAGCTGTTTCTATGTGTCACAGGCTGAAGCCTTGGGTCCCCAATGGAGGCTGACTGAGCCCAGGAAGGATTCTAGGGGTCCACAGACCCAGAAGGCTCTGAGTGTTAGAGGTTCATTGATTCTTGACACCTCAGTCCTGGTGGCAAACCTCAGAGCTGCAGGTAGAATGTTAGGGAAATGCTATTTGAGTTCCTCTGCGACCACCCACCTCAGCGTCTTTGCAGAGGAACGTCACTAAGCCAGAAGTGGAGCTCAGAGTTTCTTGCTCTTTGTTGCTTTAACAGTATCTTGGCTCCACAAAGTCTTGTTTTACAGTTTTATTGGGGAGATATTCAAGTGTGTGTGTGTATGTGTGTGTATTTATACTTTTTTATACTGAGGTTTAACATGAATATCTTGTTTAGCCATGTTTTTCTGTTGTTGAATGAAGCAGATTTTAGAGATCCAAGATGTGTAAGAGAGGGTAATAATAGAAATTGTACCTGCAAATTGCCATTCATCCAAGTGGCTGTGTTACATTTGCTCATCAGCCCTCCCAGAACTTTAATAAGGACAGACAGTGGAGAATGTGCGGAAGTAATAATCAAATAGAATACTGTGACAAAATGAACTTTCTCTTGAATGAGTTGCAGTGCTTGATGTTGGAGGCTTTAGATAACCACTGGGGATTTTTGGCAGGTTTGTAATGGGATATCTGTATTTCAGGGAGGTAATTCTGAGCCAGCATGTGGGATGGATGCAGTGAGGGATGGACTGGCAATGGAAAACCAGCAATAGCCAGGTGAAAGACTGGGATTGAAGGCATGAATTGCAAAGGAGAAATACAAAGTTAACCCAGGAGTGAGAGACAAACTGTCAAGCTGATAGAGCCTTGATGACTGATTGGCTGTGGGGGATACAGGGGAACAAAAGGATCATGAAGAAAAGCACAGCTTTGCTAACTGGTTGGATGCCCTCCCCAGAGGCAGGTGAGACAGAAGGAGCAGCAAGGCCAAGTGTTGAGGGAGTGGAGGTTGGCCAGGTACTGAGTTCAGCCAGGGGCATGTTGATTTTGAGGCACCGTCTACACATAGAACAGGCTGGGAGTTTCCCAGGACTTATTTGCACAGTGGAGTTATCCAGTTTTGCACAGTGTGTGAGCCATTTAAAAAATATTTAAAATGGATCACAAATAAAAAAAGTTAACTAGACTAGATATCAGTCCAAATCTCCTCAAATAGTGGATAATTCCAAAACCACGTTCTCGGGAAGGCATATTTTTCTATTTGTTACCTTTCAAACAGGGAAGGAAAATTAGAAGAGGTTCAACAACCAACATTAACTTCATAGAGTGAAAGCCAGAAGCTACAACAGTTAATTGGTAGCACACTCATATATAACTTCTCCCTACAGAAGAGAACTAAGAATTCCTTTACTACTTTCTGGTGCAGATGTTCCAAAATAATGCACATAACAGCTCTTGTGCTTTCAGAACGGGCAGTACAGGTTGTGATGTAGTGAGCCTGATTCCACAAACACATCCAAATAAACATCATTATAGTCACATCCAGTGTAAGCATTATTGACACAAGGTTGTAGTTAATTGTGAAATAAACTGTATGCTCTTTATTCAATCTCTGTCTTCAATGTTGGTTCACAGTAATCTTTCCTGTATCAGGATTTATTAGTTACATTATTAATATTAATCCTGTAGATTTCCATGGTAATTAGCAGGCAATTATAGTACAATTTCAGTTATTAGCATATGATTATAGGATTTTTGTCTGTGTCCTAATAGAAATCTATTTCTTAAGAGTCAATGTTTAAATTGTGCTCTGCTGAAAGTAGTTTTATATTAAAGTCACACTTTTTTGAAAACTTAAGTTTTCAAAATGAAATCAAAGCATTTCTTCACGTTTGATTCTCCATAGTTCTCTTTGAGGGCAAAGGAAGCCTCTTAAGAGACTCTTGATCACAGACTTTAGTTGACCTCTGTGGATGATTCAGCATGGCTATCCTGTTAAGGTCTAGAAGCTCTTTTTAATCTGGAGTCATGCTCCACTTTCAAACAAGAATCATAATTAAACAGTTTATTTAAACTGTTAAAAAAAAAGAGTTTTTTTTATTTGAGTTTTTTAGAGGAAGCTGGCTTTGGATGAGCCCTACAAGCATGCTTTCTCAGTTTTTATAGCCAGTCCTGGGCTGGGCTACTCTGAGAGCTATGCAGAAAAGTGGGAGGGTGGAGATTTAAGGTGGTGTGTAGGAAGAGGTGACGTCCACATGTTGGGAAGTCAGGTAGCCAGGTGGCTAGGTGGTCAGGTGGCTAGGTGGTCAGGTGGCTAGCTGGTCAGGTGGCTAGGTGGTCAAATGGCCAGGTGGTCAGGTGGCTAGGTGGTCAGATGGTCAGGTGGTCAAGTGGCCAGGTAGCTAGGTGACCAGGTAGCCAAGTGGTCAGGTAGTCAGGTGGTCAGTTGGCCAGGTAGCCAAGTGGTCAGGTAGTCAGGTAGCCAGGTGATCAGGTAGCCAGGTGGTCAGGTGGCTAGCTGGCCAGGTAGCTAGGTGGTCAGGCAGCCAGGTGGTCAGGTAGCCAAGTGGCCAGGTGGCCAGGTGATCACGTAGTGTGAATTTGTGGCCCAAACAGGCCTGGGAGACAAGAGCACCAGCAACTCCCCACTTTCTTCAGCAGGGCTTCCCACCATCCCACCTAGTTTAGTTCTCTGGTTCTCTGGAGGGCTGTCCTTTTCCCCAAATTATACAGATTTGCTCTCTCCCTACAGTCTGGAAAATGTAGGTCTTCCCTCCTTTAAAAATAACTCAAGTAAATAGGATTTCATTTTTTGATGTTTTTCTAGGCTGTTTCCATACTTCTGAATAGATATGAAAAATAAATTTGATTACAAACCAAACCAAACCTCTTGAGAGCTCCCAAATTAAAAAAACAAAATCCAAGGGCTGGTGAGAATTAAGGCTGTAGTTGGAGCTCAGTCAGAAGAGCGAGCTCCATCCCCACGTCCTCCATAGGACCAGATGAGAGGGGAACTCTGGGGTGTGAGCCAGCAACAGCCTCACTTGCAGCTCCAGATCCTTCCTCTGTTGCATCCGCCCTTGCTGTTATCACGAGTTCATGTGCAGTGTAAGACATGCTCTGTTTTCTAGAGACGTGCTAAAGCTGCAGTTATGGAAAACTCCTTTTCATCTCAACCTTGATTAGAAACAGTTATGTGATAAAAGTACGGTAGGCTGTGAAGGTTAATTAACTTAAAACACTGTAAATGCAAGTGTTCTCTAAAGTTTAATATTTGTTTAGGCAGAAAATAATTTTCAATCATAATTGAGCCACTGTGGGTTTTCAGTTACTGGATACCTGTCTCAGGATGAATCCTGGAAACTCATTCTGTTGAGGCTAGTATCTCGGGAAAATCCCTTCCGCTGTGTGTGTGATGGGGGTGGTCCTCGGGCTCCCTCTGGTTCCCTCCAGGGAAGGGTCAGGATTCTATCCCCAGCTCCAGTCCCTGATCCCTGCAGACTCTCTTTCAAGCTATTGCTGGGCCCTCTTCTTTCCTTCCACCTCATGTTTCTTTTTTTTTTTTTTTTTTTTTTTTTGAGACGGAGTCTCGCTCTGTCGCCCAGGTGGGACTGCGGACTGCAGTGGCGCAATCTCGGCTCACTGCAAGCTCCGCTTCCCGGGTTCACGCCATTCTCCTGCCTCAGCCTCCCGAGTAGCTGGGACTACAGGCACCTCATGTTTCTTAAAAGAGGAGCCTACACTTCCTGCCCGACATCTTAAACTGTCACCCATTTCTCAATCCAACATAATCTGTCTTTTATTAATATTTTAAAATGACAGATATCTTTTCACCCTTCACTATTTTTTCCTACTTACTTCCAACCTCTTGTTTGACCCATCTCTGGGGTTCTCCTTGCCTAGAATGGCCCTCTCTCGCTTCTTCACCTGGAAGACATCTCACACCTTGAGACCTTGTTCCCTGTCCCCACTTGGGTAAGATCTTCTTAATCTTCCCAGGTAGAGTCCACTGTTCCCTCTGCAGGCTTTGGTTTAGATCTAAACAATAGCACTTGGCAGTGTTTCACTTGGTTTATTCATTCATTCATTTATTCATCCTACTAGACGCTGAACTTTTTGAATGAAGAGAGGATTTTTTTAACCTTGAATCTTTGTATGCTTAGCAGCTGGTACAGAACCTGGCAGAGAACAGATGCTCAACCGATGTTGCATAATCGATGAGCACACTGCCATGTGTGGTTTTGTGCGTTTAGGTGACAGTGACAGTAAGCAGGCCTGTGCCTGGTTCACTGAGAAATCTGACTGGGGTTGGACTCTCCTCTTTCATGCTGAAAGAATCATTTCTGGTAGTATTTTTCTGATACTAGAAGACTAAATATGCCTTTAGTACTTCCATTTCTTATATTTAAATATATTTTATTGTACTATAAACATTTTGATATAACTTAAATACCTCTGAGACTTAATTGCTAGCCTACAAACATAATATATATACTCATAAACAAAGGTAAATGTCTCCTTTTAAACTTAACTAGAAATTATTTCTGTTTTCCTGAAACAGACGTGGAAAATTGTTGAAGGGCAAATTTTTTAAAACAAGTAGGTAGATGTGGAATTAAAACTTACAACGAATGTGTCCCTTCGTCATTTTCCTTCACTGCTCCTCGGAACTCAGTTTATCTGGTTCCAGCACATTATTGTTTAATAAGCCTTTTCTGATATTTCTCCTACTCCTGGAAATGTTAAAGCCATGAGCAGTTAACCAGAAGGAATGTTACAGAGAAGATAAAAGCAGACGATGGATGCTTGAAGAGACCTCTGAGAGTCTGTTTTAATGACAGGGTAAAGCTGTCCTATAGAGATACTGGTTTAGATGATGAGATTTCAAAATCAAAACACACACACATACTCACACGCACAGATAACTGAAACCACTGATAGACCTGCTGTGTTTAGTGCTATACAATGCTATATTTCCTATCTGTCATTTTTTTAAATACACATTTACTGGACATTGAGTTGTTTTTCCCCTAACCGGTGGGACTTTTGTTATATCCATAGCTATAACATCATTCTTTCATCTCCAATGTGGAATTTATACTTTTATTTGATTTCATGTTTTCTGTTTGGGACCTCATTATTTTCTTTTTCAGATGTGCATTTAAGGAAACTTCAGGCACTCTCATAGTATTATAGTTTTTAATATTATTGGATTGGCTTAAAAATGACCAAAAAAAAACCTAGAGATACAATTAGATAGTTCATGAAATCATATGTTTCATGAACAAAACTATAGAGCCGGTCTATTCAGCCACCCTCTAGCATTTGCTAGAAGTTTCTCTCCCTGTGGCCTTCAATAGAAACAAATATATGTCTTTGTAACATCCACAAGAGTGAAATTAGGCAAATTTAAAGTTTTTCTTCCTTGTTTACAAAACCTAAAACTTGCCAAGTTTTTTCAAAATTAAATTAAACTCTTTGAGGTTGTAGAAGCCAAAATAAGGTAAAGCTAATCTGAAGAAAACTCTTTGAACAGGCTTCAGGAATGTGGACCACCACTAGTTTCTCTGCTTTTGGAAAGACATGTGTTGAAATAATTGAGTGCTTAATAAATGAGAGTCTCGTCATTGTTTAACAATCCTGTGCCATAGGTGCTGTAGTGTCTCCATTTCGCAGATAAGGCAGCCAGCTTAATGAGGTCATGTAGTTCTCCAAAGGTTGCTGTGGACTCAAGTCCACTCACACATACAGTCTGGGGTCAGCATTAGAACAGTAAACTGTAACGGCAACAGCAGTTTCCCTCCCTAAGAGAACTCAAAATCCTATTTTGACATAATATCAAAATCCTCTAATAATTTCAGAATTGATGAAAAATAAGTAAAAGTACACAGGACTAGCAACATGAGTCATTCAAGTAGCAGTTAATGCAAAAATCATTCCTGCAACAAACTAGAATAGTGCATGAGCCACTTCCCAGTGGCTCCCCACCCCCTTAACACAGGTAAGAGGTTTACCTTCCTACGTCACTTAACTCATTCTGTGTATGTGATTTGGGCAGCCAGGGGTAAGTGGGAAGCTTGAAAATGAACATTTATCTTACTGTATTTTGAGTTGCTTAAGTAATTGGGCTTGTAGTTCAAATTTAGTGAAAGATAATCCACTTGAAGATTTATAGTCTTTCTTCTGCACTGCCAATTACCAAAAAGTTATTTCTAGTGTTTGAATCTATTCAGTCTGCAACTCTGAAGTACAACTATAAGTGTTTGAAAATTATTTCTCACACTGAGGGTTGTTAGACACTAGAATGAGGCTGTGGAATCTTATAGAACAGACATTCTTGAGTCTCTTGCCAATAATATAAAATACCACCACTTCAGAAACAGTTCAGTTTCCTTTTATAAATTATAGTCGGTTTAACCAAGTGTTATAGTTTCTGGATATGTCATCTGGGGTGGGAAAAGATTAGGGAGCTTTGTGGTAGAAGGGGCCCTGTTTGTCGGGGTGATTACTGCTGATTAACCACTTTGGGCAGTAACTTCTAATCCTACGTGCCTATAACTTCTTGTCTCCACATGTACTCCCAAGAGTGTCAGTATATTAGACAACAGCATGAAGAATGGAAAACTGGCATATGCTTGAGTAGTTCATGCAGTGTTTTAAGCATGTTACTTACCAAAGCACAGTTTGCATTTTCATTCATTCAGAAAACTGTCAGAAACTGCCAGGTACTTTTGTGTGATTTACAAATTAAATTTGTGGACAGAGACAAAATGGTTATAGTTAAAATCTCCCTGAGCCACATGGACTAATGAAATGAGTTGAATGTTAAGCCTGTCTGAGTTACTAAATCTGGAGCTATGTGCTGTGGTGCAAGCACGGGCACGCGTGCATGTGTGTTTATGTGTGTCTATGTACAGGATATGACCTATTGTCAGTTTGAAATCAAGTTTGTTAGTCAAGACCAACATTCTTAAAAAATGAAATCAGACAGAATAAAAAATACTAGCATACACAGAACATAGTAATAGGTTACAATGTCAAATGTTCATACTCTGTGCTTATGGTCAGTACAACTTGAAAGCTGTAACATTGTCTATATAATTCCTTCTCCACAAACAGGAGGGTGAATCAAGCACATGTAAAATATTAGATGTAGCCTAAAGAGAAAGTTCTAAGAAACACAAATGGTATCTGTGAGGGTATTATACTAAGCCATGGAGAGTAAATAGTAATAATATTACTAATAATTATGCCTTTAATGATATATTAATAGACGGGTCACTCTATGCTGGTCACATATGTTTTCATAATTTCAGTTGTTATTGTCCTGGATTATGTATGGAAAGGTGCTCATCTGGCTGTGTAGCAGAGGAGTCAAAGGCCTCTGGCATGTATGTAGATGAATTTCGTAAGTTCTAATCCCAGCCTGGCCCGTTACAAACTGACTGTGGGGGATGGGAGAGTACTTACATGCTTGCCTGTTTCCTATTCTATGAGGTGGGAATAATAATAATAAAAAGATACCAAGAAAAACTGTCTGAGGTAATACTTGTGAAGTATGTATGTTTAGCACAGGGCTCTCAAAAAATGGTGGCCATTATTATTATTTGCTCATGGACCAGTATTTCAATGATGGAAATACTTTAGTGCCTCTAAAAATCAGCTCTAGTGTTAACACACTTAAGGAAACCCAGTCAGGTCACCTCTGACTCTGTAAAGCATTATAAAGAAAATAATGAACTCATAAGTGAGTTCTTGTGAGTCATTCAGGTTTTAAGAAGCCACTGCTTTGATTTTGAAAACAGACAAAAAAATCTCAGAATCTACTTGGACTAGGGTTCATTTATTCTGCCTGTTTCAAGTCAGAGCAAATACTCCTGGAATGACCCTCTCCTGTTTCCTGAGTTTGAGCCGATCCTATTTGGCACTGCAGACAGGGAGAAGTGGATGTTTGAGGACAGATGGGAGGTGCAAAGTGGAGACAAGTATTGGTCCCACCTTCCACTATGAGACTAGCAGGGCCCAGTTCTCTTAGCTATTGTCTCTATTTTGTAGATTAGGAAATTTCAAGTTTAGAGAAGTTGAGTTAACTCACCGAAGGTCTCGGGGCTTGGTGGGAAGAGGGACGGAAAATTAAATTCAGGTCTGTGTGTCTCCACCACCATGTTCCTTCTCTTTATACCTTGATTGCCACCCTTAGAATTCTAAGCACCACGGCCCCAAATATATAAACTATGTCGAGCTCTCAGCTTTTGTTAAAAGCATCTTATTAGGCCATGGTGTATGTACCTTGAGTCGGCATTTGTGCCCAGAGCCATTTTCAGCATTCCAGCTTCATTATTTCACTAGTCCAGACAGAATCCGCACCTTTCAGAAGAGAAGCAATCTTTATATTAATTATGCCACTCCTTTTAATCTCCAAAAATATATACAAAAATAATTAAAAGGGGTAGTTATAATTTACCAAGCGTGTGAAGCTCAATTAAGGTGGAGGAATTAACACTGCCTTTGACGGGATTTCCAGAATCACACTTGCCCCTACAATCCATTTGAAGAAAGCTCAGCCTACAGAAGTCTGAATTTAAAAACCTATTAACAGGCCAGTGATTATATGCAAAAGATAAAAAATAAAAAAATAACAAAAGGATTCACCATAACAATTCAAATAGAATTGGATCCTATAATTTCTGTGCCAAATATAGCTTGCCAGAAACACAAACACAAAGCATTGCACTTTCACACATCCTCAGCAGCCCTTTGCAGAAGCACTGCAACGTTTATCATCATTTCCCCAACACTGACACCTCTTGTTTTCTTAGAAAGGCTAACTTTGGAATTTTTCTTTCGATCTTCACAGTGCTTGCAGTATGTGGAGATATTTTCTTGTTTGTCTCCTCTCTACTGAAGCACCCCAACCTTGTCCTTCTTGTCAAGGAATTTGCAATGATCCCAAAATGTCCAGTCTCTTTGCCTCATCAAGCTTACATTCCTTCAGTGCTTCCCAAGAAACTAGTAGCCATTGTAGGACATACTATGATCCCAATATCTGCTGACAATGTGTTGTTGAATTTGCAAGACAAATATGGGCAGTGGTTAAAAGTGTGGCTTTTTGCATCAAGCAGACCCGGATTCAAATCACAGGTTGGCTTGTTACCAGCTATGTGATTTTCCACAAACAGCTGAACTTCGCTGTGGGAGGAAGATGCTGATTCCTGCTTCATAGAGTGGTTGCCAGGATTAGCAGAGGTGATAAAGGCTTCACATAGGCTTGGCATGAGCTTGTAAGTTCTCTGTTTGTGGCAGTTATTATCCTAAGGGCATTTGCATTTTAATGCCAGGAGATGACAATGTCTTTATCCAAAGGATAGAGTGTTTCAGGATGAGCTTCCAGGCATAAGAATAAGTAGACATCCTGGAGCAGGTGGTGCTTGAATCTTACTGTGCAGGTAACTGCCTGTCCTCCCATATTGGTATTTAGTCCTCCTAAGAAGGGAAATCTGAGAAACGAAGGGGAACTGTCACATGGACTTCATTGACAGTTGACGTAGGACCTTAATGACAGGTACAGCACTTTCTTTCTTTCTTTTCTTTTTTTTTTTTTTTTTTTTTTGAGACAGAGTCTTGCTCTGTCGCCCAGGCTGGAGTGCAATGGCACAATCTCGGCTCACTGCAACCTCCGCCTCCCGGGTTCAAGCAATTCTCCTGCCTCAGCCTCCTGCATAGCTGGGATTACAGGTGCCCACAACCACGCCCGGCTAATTTTTGTATTTTCAGTAGAGATGGGGTTTCACCACGTTGGTCAGGCTGGTCTCAAAGTCCTGACCTCGTGATCCACCTGCCTTGGCCTCCCAAGTTGCTGGGATTACAGGCACGAGCCACCATGCCCGGCCAGATATAGCACTTTCTAATACTGTGTGGAGTGAACCAAAGGCACCAAAATAATCCAATAATGAAGTTGTTCCTTTTAATTATTTTGGCATTTCCATTTGCCATCGAACAATATTAAGTGTGGTCCCCAGACCAGCCACATCAGCTCTACCTGAGACCTTGCTAGAAATGCAAATTCTTGGCCACATTCTAGACCTATGGAATCGGAATCTCTGAGAGTGGACAGAGAATCTGCATTTTACCAAAGCCCTCCAGGTGATTCTGGTGCACTGCAACATTCGAGAAGCACCGTTATAGAATCCCTCAAGCCTGTAAGCCATGGGAATTTGGAAACACTTGTTCTGCTTTGGGAGGATCCTAGCAGACCCCAGAGAATTTCCATGTGTTCCCATACACTTCACTCTGAGATTCCAAGGACACACACAGACTTAGAGAGGACCTTGAACATTTTGGCTATATCTCTGGCAGCACATGACATTAACAATGAGATTAAGTTCATTCTTATTTCGTTAGAAAGACTCCCATTTTTTCTACCCATGGTTTTATTCTTTTTGTTGTTGTTGTTGTTGAGATGGAGTCTCTGTCACCCAAGCTGGAGTGCAATGGTGTGATCTCGGCTCACTGCAACCTGTGCCTCCCGAGTTCCAGTGATTCTCCTGCCTCAGCCTTCAGAGTAGCTGGGATTACAGACACTTGCCACCACGCCTGGCTAATTTTTGTATTTTAGTGGAGATGGGGTTTCCCCATGTTGGCCAGGCTGGTCTTGAACTCCTGACCTCAGATGATCCACCTGTCTCGGCCTCCCAAAGTGTTAGGATTACAGGCGTGAGCCACCACGCCTGGTTGGCATAATTTTTTTAAACCTGTTTCAGCCAATAATAATATTGTTGCATCATGCCTGTTTTGGGAAATATTAAGCCATTTTCCTATTTGTTCACTCATCCTCGCCAGGTAGATGTTAGTATTGTGTTTACAAACTAGTATTTAAAATATGTAGTTTTTATGTTGCCTTGTCACTTTTTTTAGGGGAAAAAAGTCCATTTGAAATTCAATATGTTCACAAAGATGTATTTTATAATTGTGTTTTATAATTCGTTTAAAGCGGGGTGATTATTTTTCAGCTATGGTAACTATCATTGCAAAAAGAAGCCATTCACTCAGATCACATGAGTTCTAATCACAGGAAGGAATCCCAGACGTAGGAGGTTGAGTGGGACCCTCAAAAATGATATGTCCTCGTCCTAACTCCCAGAACCTGTAAATATGACCTTATTTCAGAAAAAGATCTTTGCAGATTGTGATTAAGGATCTCAAGATAAGATCATCCTGGATTAAGGTGGGCCCTACATCCAATGACAAATCCTTAAAAGAGAAGGGGGAACAGGCTGGGCATGGTGGCTCACACCTGTAATCCCAGCACTTTGGGAGACCGAGGCAGGTGGATCACCTGAGGTCAGGAGTCCAAGACCAGCCTGGCCAACATGGTGAAACCCCATGTCTACTAAAAATATCAAAAAAATTAGCCAGGCATGGTGGCAGGTGCCTGTAATCCCAGCTACTCGGGAGGCTGAGGCAGAGGAATCGCTTGAACTCAGGAGGCAGAGATTGCAGTGAGCCAAGATTGCACCATCGCACTCCAGCCTGGACAATAAGAGTGAGAGTCTGTATCAAAAAAAAAAAAAAAAAAAAAAAAAAAAAGAGAGAGATAGTGAAGGGGGAACAGATGCAGAGACACAAAAGGGAAGGCCATGTGAAGACAGAAGCGGAGATCGGAGATCGGAGTCACACACCGCTGGCATGGCACAGCTTGATTTCAAACTCCTGGCCTCTGGAACTGTGAGCAAAAATATTCCTGTTGTTCAAAGCCACCATGTTTATGGTAATTAGTTATGACAGCTCAAGGAAATTGGCACAGCAGCTCATTACTATGCCTTTTCCTGACTACAGCTGTCAACATTTACAACATTCGGGTTTGAGAAACTTTCTTGAGGAAATAAGTTGAGGAAGGCTCAACACCAGGTTACTGAGTTTCCATTCCTACCGTGGGCCGTAAACTCTTAAGCATACAACACTCACCCAAGGACATTCACCCAGCTTTCAGAAACCAGAGGCACATCTGTTACCATTTTATTTGTCGGACAACTATGCATGTGGAAGAAGCCACATTGGTGTGCATCAGCTGTTTAGTCCCTTGGAAGACTTTGAGAGTCGTGAAGTGGGAGCAGAGCTATTGTACCACCTGTGGAGACTGAACACAAAGGGTAGAGATGAGCAGACATTTCTTGTATGGTATAAGGCTAGAGAGGAGTGCATGACATTAGTCTCTTAGTTATCTTTCTTGTTTAGAATGCCTAAGGATCCATCCATTCATTCACTCAACAAACTTATGGAGCACATCCTATGAGTATGATATTAAGAACTGAGAAAGCAGCAGTATTTAAGATAAGTTCCTTGCCCTCATATAACATATATAACTAATGAGAAATGTTGGTGATAAATAGTAAACGAATAAATAAAATACTTGTACATGCCATGAAGGACATATACAAGGTAATGGAACCACCCAATAAAAAGTAGTCTTACTATCCTTTTGTTTTGGGCATACAAAAGCAGATTAAGGATAATCGTCTTGTTCATTTATTTATCTATATACTTATTTATATTCTGTCTCTAGGACTGAAAAAGCCAAAAGATCAGGGACCTAGTTTTGTTTCTTGCTCTTTCTCAAGCATGAGGACACTGCCTGGCACATAGAGGGCTCACAGTAAATATTTCCTCAATACATTTGTTGATTAAGTGAAGGTGATAGAAACTGACAGGGACCTTGAACAAGATTAGAGTATTTTATCTGTATCTATATTGCATTTGTTTTTGAAATTCTTTCCTTATTTGAGCTAATACAATTTTAACAGAAGACATTTTTTATGTGGAGAAGCTATAGGAAATAAAACCTCATAATGTTGTAACTCATGAGAGCTAGGATACATGTTTGAACAAATTTTCTTGGTTTGTCTTTATTTCTAGATATGACATTTGCTTTCTTTTTTACAATTCACCTAAAGGCTGCTTATTTTTAAATGTGTATTTAAAACTTCAAAGTTGCGAGACTATCTTTTAGAATAATTAGCTATAAAGAATCAAGGACTTCAGTTGATCTAAATTCAACAGTCTTCTTTTCTCTTCAAAATTTTAAGAGTTTGGCTGGCCTGCTGGAAGCACAGGTTTATATTTAAAATCATCCCAAGTATAGTCGTATAACCTTATTCTAAATTTGAAAGATATAAAATTGTTTTTCTTTGTTTTTTGTTTTCTCTTTTAGCTTTAACTATTTATTTCAAAATCAGTAAGGAAACTGAATACCCTAAGAAAAAAAAAATGGGCAAAGGACAGAACAGGAAGTGTTTCAATAAATAAATGCATTTTTAAAACAAAGAAAAGGGCTGGGTGCCGTGGCTCACACCTGTAATCTCAGCACTTTGGGAGGCCGAGGCGGGTGGATCACGAGGTCAGGAGATCGAGACCATCCTGGCTAACACAGTGAAACCCCGTCTCTACTAAAAATACAAAAAATTAGCCTGGTGTGGTGGCAGGCACCTGTAGTCCCAGCTACTCAGGAGGCTGAGGCAGGAGAATCACTTGAACCTGGGAGGCAGAGCTTGCAGTGAGCTGAGATTGCACCACTGCACTCCAGCCTTGGTGACAGAGCAGGACTCCGTCTCAAAAAATAAAAATAAAAAAAATAAAATAAATAAATAAAACAGAGAAAAAAGTGAAGAAATACAAAGAGTCAAAAACAAAATGAAAGATGGTTCAACCTCTTTCACAATCAATAAATTACAAATTAAAATAATGAGTCACCATGTTTTGCATATCAATTTGGAAGGAAACATTTGGAGGAAACGAGAACACATGCATATGCGCTGTTACTGTGAACGTCAATTGTTTCAACTTTAGCAGGAACACTTTGACAAAATGAATTAAAAGCCTTAAAAATTTTTTTTCCTTTGACCTGCTACTTTCACTTCTAAGAATATATATTAACGAAATATAATTAAGCATATATGAATTTTTAGCTGTATAGATAATTAAAACATTATTTGAAATAGAAAACTATTGGACATCATCTGGCCAAGACAAGCAAAATAAAGTCCTGGCACATAATTCAATTTAGTAGTATTTGGCCATTAAAAGTAATTTTACACCAGTTTATTGACATGGGAAGATGCTGATGATGCATTAGGCAAAAATAAATAAAGAAATAATTGTTACAGTATTGTATAAAATATTTACATATTTTTGAGAAAGGTAGGCAGAGAGAAAGATAGGAAGGATGAAGTGTACCACAGATCTGTTTATAGTTGGTTATTTGTGGGTGAGAAAATTGTGATTGCTTTTAAATATTTTTCATATTTGTTCATGGTCTCTGACTTTCCTGTGGTGGCCACACACGCTTTTATATTGAAGTACGTGCTTTATTTAAAATGTAAACATGTAGTTTGGCTTTAAAATTTCCATAGGGGGAAACCATAGAAACACAGCAAAGGACATTAGTAAGCAGTTTCCATAAGGAGACACCTAGTTGGCTATCCTGTGTGAGAAGAGATGTTTGAACTTAAAAGCGGTAGAAGAAGTGCAAATATGTTGTCAGTGGAATGCTGCCTTGTGCTCATCAGATTAGCAAGAAAGTAGAGAGAAAAAGGGAAATAGAGTTCTGGTGGGAGGCTGCACTGGCTGATCCATCCTGGAGAGTGAATCTGGAGGGCTGTTCTGGAGAGCACATTTAGTAACTTTTTATGTGATCAGTCATCAGTTCAGCTCCCAGGAGTATGAATTTTTATCACAGAGATGTCTGTACCAGAGAGCAGAGACCACTGAAGGGTCCATCTCTGGGATGGGAGATAAGTAAACTGTGGCGACAGTCCCTGGAGCCACAGTTAGAAATAGGCATGCAACTATGCTGCTATAAAGACACATGCACACGTATGTTTATTGCGGCACTATTCACAATAGCAAAGACTTGGAACCAACCCAAATGTCCAACAATGATAGATTGGATTAAGAAAATGTGGCACATATACACCATGGAATACTATGCAGCCATAAAAAATGATGAGTTCATGTCCTTTGTAGGGACATGGATGAAGCTGGAAACCATCATTCTCAGCAAACTATCCCAAGGACAAAAAACAGAACACCGCATGTTCTCACTCATAGGTGGGAATTGAACAATGAGAACACATGGACTCAGGAAGGGGAACATCACACATCCGGGTCTGTTGTGGGGTGGAGGGAGGGGGGAGGGAGAACATTAGGAGATATACCTAATGCTAAATGACAAGTTAATGGGTGCAGCACACCAGCATGGCACATGTATACATATGTAACAAACCTGCACATTGTGCACATGTACCTTAAAACTTAAAGTATAATTTAAAAAAAAAAAGAAAAAAAGAAATAGGCATGCAACGAGCAGTGAGGTTAGATCCGAAAAGGTCTGTAGTCTGGATTGCCAGATGAAATACAGAGTGCCAGTTAAATTTGAATTTCTGATAAATAATGAATACATTTTGAAGATAAGTATATCCCAAATATTTGCCCAATCTGGCAACTTTAGTCATGGAACAACAGAATTTATGAAAATTAAAGCTATATACACAGGCAATTCAAACCAATATATTCCGTAAGAATATATATAAACACATTTATAGCTATTGCATTTGTGGGAAGGATAATAGGAAGAAAAAGAAATACATAGTAACCAAATAAAGTCATAAAATAAGAGAAGGCCTTGAATAGACCAACTATGATTAACTCAACTCTCCATACCTAAGTCCAAAAAGATTTTTTTTTTTTTTTTTGAGATGGAGTCTCACTCTGTCACCCAGGCTGGAGTACAGTGGCATGATCTCAGCTCACTGCAGCCTCTGCCTCCCAGTTCAAGGGATTCTCATGCCTCAGCCACCTAAGTAGCTAGGATTACAGGCATGTGCCACCATGCCCGGCTAATTTTTATATTTTTAGTAGAGACAGGGTTTCACCATGTTAGCCAGGCTGGTCTCAAGCTCCTGACCTCAGGTAATCCTCCTACCTCGGCCTCCCAAAGTTCTGGGATTACAGGCATGAGCCACCACACCCGGCCCCAAAAGGAAATTTTAAAAAAGCTTTACTGTGGTCTCCTGAATTTTTTTTTTTTTTTTTTTTTTTTTTTTTACTAAAGTACTGATGACACTGCCTGGCTGATAAACAGAATATTCTGTTCTACAAAAAATTCCATATGAAGTACCCTGGTACTTCTAGCAAAATTAAGTGGCAGAAAAGTGAGCAGGAGGGAGAGTGGGTAGGTGACGTAGGGCTTGGGAGAAAAAAGAAAACCTTAATAATCTTATAAAACTAGTAAAAAATGAAACTAATGAACAAATTAGCTAAGAACATTGGTTTGCTTAGTTTTACTCTTTTAATAGAGGAACACGCTTACATTCTTATAGAGTAAGTATTAGTAAAAGAACATCAGTGAGCACCAGTCCTTAACTGTTAGCATGGAGATAGCCTGAAAAATAAACGAAGTTTAAATTTACCCATTGGAAAATGATGGTTCAGTACATGTCACTGAGTCACTCTTACTCCTTTAAAAGCTTGTTCTTTTTTTAATGTTACAGCCGATTACAAGGAGAGCTTTAATACGATTGGAAACATTGAAGAGATTGCATATAATGCTGTTTCCTTTACCTGGGACGTGAATGAAGAGGCGAAGGTGAGTGACATTGATTCATTGTTTATACCTCTTAATATGTGCCCATCCTCAGCAGTTTATTCTTTTTTAAAAGCCTGTATCAGTAGCCTCCTATTAAAAAGAAATGAACCTTTCATCTTTTGCCTTTGTGGAGGGTAAGGGAGAAAAGGGAGTGTGCTCCTCTGTGGCTTCCTGTAGAATGTAATGAGCCAAGCTGCGTGTCCCACCCAAATCCTTCAGGCCCCAAGCTTCATTTTAGCACTTGGAGCTGGGAAGATGGGGCCTGAAAACCTTTTCCCTCTGCAGTGCAGATTCCCCCAAAGGCGTCTCTGTGCAGCCTCCTCTAGACACAGAGAGAGGAGCTCAGAGCTGATGTCTTCGTAGGTAAGCTACTGGGTAGACCCCTGACCCCATAGCCCCTTCCAGGCTTAAGCTGGTTGAAGGATGGAATACAGGAAGCAGGCTGCAGGTCCCTGAGCTCTACTGATGGAGGTGTGGTCACCACTGTGACCTTCAGCCACTTGTTTAATGTTGGCTGCTTAACTAACCTTTTTCTGTTTTTTGGAGTGCCCACATGGTTAAGAAGTACAAAGGTAAAATCTGTGGCGAAGTGAGCCCTGAGAAGAGACGTCCACCATTGCAACGGTTTGGATAAAAGAAGGCAGAGTCATTGATACCTAGATTTGCTTTCCAGCCACGAGTCTCTTTGATTTTATGAAAACCCCAAACCGTTCTGCTATGCCCACTCTCCTTTCTGTGTTCCTTAGCTTCTGATCCTTGATTCTTATTTTGCACTCATGGGAAGGTGCCAGATGAAACCTAAGCTTGTTTTTTGCTTTGGTTCTGGACCATCTAGGAGGGTGTTAGAAGAGTTTGTCTTCAAACTAATGAAAAGGTCAATGTACACTGCTCTGGTCGATGCTTTATTGTCTGCGAGCAGGGGGAAGGCTGGGTGAGAAAGGAAACGGGTTGGGAGTTTGCAGGCACGGCCACAGAAGAAGAATTGCCCAGTGTCTCATTTCACTCAAGTATAAAACAATGTAGAACAGGCCTGAGAAAGGCGGCCCAAATGGGCAAGTGGTGATAGAGTGCCCGTACAGCCTGGAGAAGTTTCCGTGGCTCAGTGCCTCCCAGAAAGGAAGCAGGCCTTGCCATGGGGTGTGAGGTTGGTCCCACACAGAACTGTAGGCAAATGTGTCTCTAAGGTCCACTCCTCCTTCATTTAAAGTTTCCTGCCCAAGCCATGTGCTTTCGGCACTTTGTTAACCTCCTCGGCTACCCGAGCCCCGTTCTCCCTGCCCCTGCCCTCTCCTGAGAACATCGTGCTCCTGTGCTTAGGGCTGTCTGCACCTTTCCCACATCCCTGCCTAGTGCCTCCTTATTCCAGCCAATTCCTTTCTCATCGTTCCCTGTTCTCTCAGAGGCTAGATTGCTGAACCTGATCGGTAAGAGGCAGTCTGTGTGACGGCACAGGACTAGGATGGCCACTGAGTCATCCTGAGCAAGTTATCTGACCTCTCTGGGCCTCGGTTCTGGCATGCAGACAAACACACAGATTTCCAAATGTCTCTGCTGCAGCCAGCATCATGCTGAGGGCATAAAGCATGATGATCCAATGCTCTGGGGAGGGAGGCCTGGAACCAGTAACTGAGCAACAGTGTGACCAGGGAGAGGCAGGGCCTATGTCAGAGTCCTTGGGAAGAAAATGGGATCGTGTAACTGGAAGTGTCTTATCAATGTTAAAGGACCAGGCATGGTGGCCGATGCCTGTAACCCCAGCACTTTGAGAGGCCAAGGTGGGAGGATCCTTGAGGCCAGAAGTTCAAAAGTAACCTGGGTAAAGTAGGGAGACCCCATGTCTACAAAATAAAAAATAAACATTAGCTGGGCAGGGTGGCATGCATCTGAAGTCCTAGCTACTCAAGAGGCAGAGGTGGGAGGATTGCTCAAGCCCAGGAGGCAGAGGCTGCAATGAGCCATGATCATGCCACTGTACTCTAGCCTGGGTAACAGTATGAGACTGTCTTAAACACACACACACACACACACACACACACACCCCACCACCACCACCACCACCACCACCAACAACAACAACAAAACAAATGTTAAGGCAAGCTATAACTATGAGCTGTAATCATTACCATAATTTTAATTATCATGCAATCTGTGATAATGAGTGCTAGTGGGTGAATGCTTTAACTGTTCTGCTTCAATAGGGACCTTTTATAGAAAATGCCTAACCTGGAAGGTACAGTTTAATGATGGAAGCTTCAGACTCTGCAGTAAACCAATGAGATAGTTAATGTGGAGTTGAGTTGATCTTCCAGCCCAGTTCATTCCATACCACTCATTCACCATAAGCAGGAGCTTACTTTCCTTGTCTAAATGTGTGTGCCTGTGCTTGTGGGTGTACATGTGAGTGTGCATGTGTATGAACATGCATGTTGCTCAGAGCAGTCAAGTTTAAGCTCACATACGCTTTGAAAAATGGCAGTGGAGGATATTTTATATTGCATTGTTTTATATTGCAAAATTTTTTTAACTTCATTAATAATATTTTAAGTGATTATTACTTGGTCGCAGCAATTGTTTGAGGTTTGGGTTAATCAATAAGTAATGAAAAAAGTTCCAAATATTTTTCTCCAGACTACTGAAGAGCATTTAATGTTTTATTTTACTTTAAGTTCCTGGATACAAGTGCAGAACGTGTAGGTTTGTTGCATAGGTATATGTGTGCCATGATGGTTTGCTGCCCCTATCAACCCATCATCTAGGTTTTCAACAAAGCAAGAAGTAAAAGCCTTGCATGCATTAGGTATTTGTCCTAAGGCTCTCCCTCCCCTAGGCCCCCACCCCTCGACAGGCCCTGGTGCGTAATGTTCCTCCTCTGTGTCCATGTGTTCTCATTGTTCAGCTCCCACTTATGAGTGAGAACATGAGGTGTTTGGTTTCCTGTTCCTGTGTTAGTTACTGAAGAGCTTTTAAAGAGAAATCATAAAAGTTAAATCTACTTCATTAGAAAGGCTGAGAGGATTTTTTTTGTCTGCGGAGCCTAAGGCATTTCTCTAAAATATCATTGATTTTATAATAAGCAGACTACAAAAGGCAAAATTGCATGATTGTTGACAGAAAGGTTTTCAACAAAGCAAGAAGTAAAAGGCATCCCTCTCACAGTGGAAGTGTTTGTGATGTTCATGTTGTGGACTTATCTATCAGGAGCAGTTGCATTTGCATTCAAATTCCCGTTGGTAACGTCTGCACAGAAACTTTCACAGGCTTCAGGGCAGCAGGCCCTTTCAGTATCACATGATATTTTGGTTTGTGTGGCCAGAGGACACAAACCTGTGGCCTACAGCCTTTTGATGGTCCACAGAATGCATATATGTATGTGTGTATTATGCATTTTTGTACTTCTGTTTAGAATTTTAACTTTTTTTTGCCCACATTAGATAATCAGAAGATTATTATTTTTAAAAATCCAGGTTTTTAAGTCTCTTGGATAATTAAAGATTCTGGCAACCATTAGGCCTGAGTGTTTGCAAGGCTCTAATGAGGTACTGGGCTCTTTCTTTATTGCTTTCTCTAGCATTCTGCATTCTGGAACTTTCCCTACCTAGCTTTGGCGAACATTTGAGTTTTCATGCCCAACTATGTCCCCCAGGCAACTGATATGCAGTTTAGCTCTTCACTGCCTTTCAGCATTCAGGAGGGTAGGCTGAAGCTGTAGGTAGGTTCAGTCTTTCTGCCCCGGAGCTCAGAGGAATGGGGCGAGTAAGGCCACCAGCATTCCCTGGCTCCCTGGCTCCTTTGGCCTGGTCCTCATGGGGCTGCAGTGGCAGCAGGCCAGACACTGATTTGTGTCCCCACTGTTGAAAACAGAATGTGTGACATTCTTCTGAATGCTCACAATAGTGGTAAATCTTGATCTTTCAAGATGTTTAAAAAAAAAACACCAGAAACCACCTTGATCCAAATGTGAATACATATCAACAAGCTGGATAATACCACTTGAGGATTAAGAATGAGGTTTTTTTTGCACCAAGTTTTATATATCATCTTTGAAGCTGGCCATATCAGAGGAGACCTTCTAAATATGCTTTAAAGCCATGGCAGCATCATTGGAGAAACCTGTATGTCTTCCCAAGATGATTATGTTAAAGGATAGCTTTTATTTGGATATTTAAGTTTTGATGCATTTATTTAAAAAACAAAAAACAAAAAACCAATCCGGTATTTGGTATTCTTGCCACAGATCTGTAATCAAGACCTGATAATAAGGTTTATGGATTTCTCCAAAGCATACATTTTCTTTCATTGCTGACTTACATTTTATTTCTACCTCTCATTTAGCATGAACAGAAAAAAAGGAAAGACATGAAACTCTAATCATTTAATTTAATTAAATTATAGGAAAACGTTTGGCCAGGGAAGGTGTTAAAGCTATTAGTTAAAATGAGGTTTGGGGATTAATTCCAGATTTGCAGTGTCCATTGCAGGCGGATTCTGGCAGAACTATTGCAGAGTTCTTCAACCCAAAACCCGTTTTGCTGGTTGTGAGACAGAGTCTTTCTGCACAATGACACATGCAGCAGGAATAGTCTCCAACAGGATCAGCTTTTGCCCTCAGGGTCTCTGCAGGCTGGAAGCCTGTGTAATGTGAACAGGCGTCCCTGGGCTTCTGATATCTAGGAGGACAAGGTTCTGAGTGTCCACACTGTCACTGCTTGGAAATTGATGGCGGGCAGGGCCCAGTGTGTGGCAGCAGAAAGAGCACTGAAATGGAGTTCAGACCTGAACTCCAGATTCTAGCTAGATTCTAGGCCAGATTCTAGCCCTGGCACTCGGGTAGCCAGCTTTTTACTTCCCCTGTTGAGTTTTTTTTTTGCAAAAAAAAAAAAAAAAGCCATAAAACAATGGGAAGTGTGTTTGTGTGTATGTGTGTGCATATGTGTATGTGTGTGTGTAGATTAAGATCCCATCCATATGATCCCAATGGGAGGACTTCTGTGTCATATTCTTTCACATGACTCCCATTTACAAGAATTTTTTAATTTTCTTTCTCTCCTTACCCAAACACCGATACCTAAGAAGTAGATTTGTTGGTCACTAATCCCTAAGATGAGGAATTCCCACGCAAGACCCTAGTGAGTTATTAAAGGGCTGTGAGCTCAGATTCCTGGCACCGAGCACTGCCTTTCTCTAAGTGATGACATCACCCCCAGAGCAGAGTGCAGCAAACCCTAATTACAGGCTTCCTTTCCTCCTAGATTTCTAAGGAGAGTCTTGAAACTGGGCCCCTTATTTTTGTCCAGGGCTGTTTTCTCTGTTCGCAGTGATTTTAAGATTAAACCAATCTTGGTGTGCTACAACGACCTCTGTCATGTGACCACAGAGAAGAATTACTTGAGCATTAAAGATGCTGCTTAGTGCTTTGTGCTGACTTTCAGGAACACTTTTCCTTTTTGGATCTTTTCACTGGAACACCGTAACAATTTGTCCATGTCTCTATGCTTCACCCTTCCTTGGTTTATTATACATAAGATTAAAAAAAGCCTTCTTTCCATGAAGCTTTTTTTAAATTGCTCTGCCTCCAAGCCTTTTAGAATGACCTTAGTTCAGGATTCAGTGAAAATGTTCACTACCATCACACTAATCATGCTGACAGATAAGTCTACTACTGGCCATCTCCGATCTTTATGATTTTTAGAAAAGTCTATTATAATTCAATAATATGAAACTCTGATCTCCCAGGGTTGTTCTTTGCTGCATTCTAGCCCAGTGCCTCTGCTTTCAGAAGCAGACTGATTACTTTCCTGAGTGATGTCTATCCTGCTCCTCCTTCCCGCTGTGTGTTGAGTTGCAGGAGAGGACTTAGGGGTATTGGTTTGTCTAGCCTTCTGCTTTGCCAGAGCATCAGCAAATGTTCTTCCTGCATTTTGGGATTAGGGAGGACCTTCCAGACAGGAAGTTGTTGCAGTTTTAGAAAGGGCCAAGGACACAAGTAAGGCATCTGTTTTTATCTCTGTTAACAAATTTTCCTAATGAGATTGGAGGTGGGCAGGGCTGAGACCCAATGGAGGTGGGGAAGGGAGCAAAGAGCCTAAGAGACATCATGGATAATCTTCTTGGGCCTTTTAGATTCTGATTCCACTAAATATTACCTCTCAACATATCAGGCCCTGCAAGATTGGGCAAATGGAAAAAGTTAATTTAGAACCCAGGGCCCTATGAGTCCAGAGCCCATGCTGTTGACTCTCCCAATAGAGAGAAATCTGATTTTTGTTTTAAGCCAAAGCAAGCTATGATTTTCCTTCTTTAAGCAATCTATAGGGTACAACCTGTTTGTATCCAGAAAGAAAGAAAATGAATGGCTGACTCCATTTCCTTGAGCAAAGCCGTTCAATCAGGCCACCCTGCTTTTGCCACCTGCCCTGTCCTCACGCCACACTTTCTCCTTCCCCACAAAGATGGGCCTGCTGGTGCAGCACTTCCAGCACATAGGGCTCTCTCTATCCACGTCTTCTGTTGCCCTGGTACATCACCTGTCCATATCGTGCATATCATTGACCGGAACTGATGTGGGAGTGAAAACTCCTTGCACTCTTCAACGGAGCATTTGCATGCTGATTAGCCTAACACTAGTGAGCTCCTCTGCATAATTCTTACCTCGCTCCAAAGATCAGTGCATGCTTTCAATTACAGTGCTGAGACATATCAGTGTTTTCTTCTCCATGCCTTTACACATCTATTCTTCATTTCCCCCATCTCTCTCTAGCTCCTTTCCCTGGCATCCTGAATTTCATTTTTATTCATTTACATGATCTCTGCACACCTTTCTTTAGTATATTTTTTCTGTTATGAATAGTGGAGGCAATTCCTTGTTCTTTTTTTGAAAAACCATGCAAGAAGCACAGCACTGAGAAATTTCCAAAGCAAGAATGAGGATTATGATCAGAGAAGATGAAGCTTGCAGGAGGCATACAGTGACCCTCCGCTCTACATGTGCAACTTAAGAAATTCAACAAACAAATCCTCACATTTACCAGGGTGGTAATTGGAAGTGACTACTTACACATAAGCCAATGTTCCTTTTATAGAGAGATTCCTCTAATCTTGGGTCTCTTTGGAATGCTTCAAATGCATTGGATTTACAAAAGAGATGTGCATGTAATTTTTGAAACTGTGGGAAAATGCAAAGTGAGGAGACATGTTGATATTTCCTCTGGGCCCTATTTGCATTAATAGTTTTGCCCCATTGCCTTCCTGTTGGATTTTGCTTTAATACTGACAAGGAGGTATCATCTAAGAACTGAGAGCCAGTCTCAGGGAGGTAAACAGGGATGTGCTAAGATGAGTTGGCTGGTGAGAAGAAACTAAAAGTGCAAGTTGAAAGTAAAATGTTCTCATCTATATTTGTAAATCCACTTTAAAGGGAGAAAATGAAGTTGATTTAATGTCCCAGCACTGCCTGACAGCTGCCCTGGACTTAAGAGTGCATTTGATGTGGCCTGGGTCATGGTGACTGCAGTGACTGGCTTCATGTTGTGAGATGTGACTAGAGCCATCATATAGGCTGACTTACTATTTCTATAGAAAACCCAGCTCTCTTCCTTCTCTCACTTCCTCCACTCACCTCCTCTCTCAGTGTTGTCTTTTCAAGGTGAGCAAGCCAAGCCTAGCTTTCTGCTCCAGCAGCTGCTACTAGAGAGGAAAAATAACTCTATGTCCTCATTATCTCAATTTTAGTAGCTTAAAAGATAAGATGGTGAGAACTGCAGGGCTTTGGCCATAGCTTATGAAAAAGGAGTAAATTGGAGAAAACATAGGTGTTCTCACTTCTCATACGCTGCAAATTATTCAGTCTCTTTGGGTGAAAAATGTTATGCTAATTGAAAGGCTGGCTTGTATTCGGTACCAAATCATGGCAAATCCATCAACTTGTCTCAAATGTGTTCTTTTTTCTCCTTTCCCCCTTCCCTCTATCTCTCTTCCGGTTCTTTTTGGTCTAAACTGCTTAACCAGTTTTTATTGAGCCTCCATTGTGTGCCAAGCACAGTTCTTTTGAAAATTAAAGTTTTGATAGTCTTAACGGATCATGCTTTCCAAAGGGCTGTTCCTAAATGGATGGCGTTCTTAATCTGCTGACCTCCACTGCTGGATACCAAAGGAGAAGGGAAGATGTGTAAACACTGTTTTTCAGGATGCAAATGGAAACCAAAGGACTGTCTGAAGGAGACTACACTCCTGAGTGCCCTGTGGGTTCATGACCTTGCTTATTCCACAGCCTGCACCCCTCAGCGGCCCAGTGCTTTTGTCTGGGGAGTTCTCTTTCTGCTTACAAGACAGTCTAGGATGATATGGGGTTGATAGATATTCATGATTAAGAAAAAGTTATACTCCAATTTTTTGCCTAAATTAATGTATTGGCTGATTTTAAACAGGCGATCTTGTGGAAAATTACAGAATATTACAGAACATATCTCATGGTCTGAAAAGTAAAAATAGGGCTGGGGGGCACTCCTGGGAGGGGTCTTGAAAGATTGAATTGCACACTGCAAAGCAGGGCAAATGGCATTTTTTTATGTGTTTGCTGAGGTGTGGTGTGAGTAAAGGAAGCCTTAAAGGAGAAAAGTAAACATTTGCTGGAGTCTTTGGTATTGAACTTAAACAAAGCCATGCCTTTGTTCCAGTTTTATAAGGTAATGGATGTTAGGAAAAGCTATAAAGCTGGAGTTAATTCATATATAAAAGGAATAATCTTTGGAAGGCATCTCACCAAAGGTATCAATGGCTAGATCTTTGTTAGAATGTGAAGTATCCATGGTTTCTGGACTGAATTTTGCTTAGGACTCTGTAATTAACATGTACAAACTATTGTATTGTGCAGAGAATTAGATTGCATACTTGGATTTCATAAAATGATTGTGTGTGCGTGTGTACACAATGACTAATATTTGTTCAGTGATTACCATATACCAGGCACTCTGCCAGGCAATCTATATGCATTATGCAATATTCATATTTTTAAGTAAATAGCAGTTTCCATTTAACTAATGAGGAATTTGAAGCCCAGAAAAGTTAACTAGCTTACCTGAGGTTGCACAGCTGGCGCCTGGTAGAGCTGGAATTCTAACCTTAGGCTGTCTGGTTCTGAAGCATGTGCTCTTTCCATGGCACCTTTTTGTTTTGGAAAGACCTAGTAGTAATATCTCCTTTATTATCTCTGACAAGGGAATAACCATTCCTGTGAAGCTGCGCACCCACTGCATATCAGGCACTGGGCCAGGCGGTGGAGGGTCCTGAACAAACAAGCCAGGCAGAATCCCTGCGCTCAGAGAATGTTTGGACTAGGCTAGCAACTGAGACACAGATGTAAATAATTGTAATACAAGGTAGGTAAGTGACAGTGGGTCTATGGGAGATAAAGTGCTAGAAGAGGTCTGAAGAGAGAGGCAGCTCCATTTTTTATTTTTCTACATTTTATTTTTTAAAATTTCAAGTGAAAAGTTGAAAGACTAATACATTTGATACCACTTACCCTTTACCTAGATTGACTCATTGTTAATATTTTGCCAGATTTGCTTTGTCTCTGCTCACTCTCTCACACACACACACACACACACACACACACACACACACACACACCTACACCTCATTTCTAAGTACTTCAGCATGTAGAGAGGTCCTCTTTCTGTGGGATCAGGAAGACACAAGGAAGGACGTGGCATGTAGGGTGTGTCTTCAGGGTCAGGTGGACTTAGACATAAGGAAGTTGGAAGAAGAGTGTATGGTAGGGAACAAGGGGGTGTCCAAAGGTGCAGAACCTGGAAAGCACAAGGAGAGAGGGCACTGTGCCACTCAGGAGAGTGTGACACTCAGGAGAGAAGTTAGTGTTAATTGTAAAGAGGGGATGATTGAAGTCATGAGAAAGGACGAGATTGCTGGGGAGAGAATTGGAGGGTGGGCAAAACAGGGTGAAGTATAGGACTTATACATTCTCCATTTAGAAAATGTAGAGGGAGGGGAGCTGGAGAAGGAAGGGGTGGTGAGTAAGAGCAGAGAAGAAGAACAGGGAAGGAAGGAAGGGGAAGGAGAACGAAGAGGACAAGGAGAGGGCCACCAAAGTCCAATGGTTTAGGCAGTGGTTGCTCAAACTGTGGTCCTCAACAAGCAGCATCAGTGCTGACTTCGTAGATTGTTAGAAACACAAATACTTGTCTCCCAACCCAGGTCCACTGAATTAGAAACTCTGGGGGTGAGGCCCTTTAACCTGTGTTTCAGCCAGGCCTCCTGGCGATTCTGATGCACGCTAAATTAGGAAACGCCTGATATAAAGATGCTGCTAAGAAGGCTGCCCTTGATTTAAAGAAAGCAATTTCAGAAGTAAATTTATACACGCACATGTGAACAAAAGCCACGTAGAAAGACATTCATTGCAGCATTATTTATGACAGGAAAACACTGGAAACAACCTAATGTTGAAGAAATTGTCATTCCATATTTCATACTTTTTTAAAGGGAGAGAGAAAGCGATCTTCGGACTTTATTGTTAAGTGAAAAAAAGCAAGATGCAGACCTGTGTGCATTTTATGCTACCATTTGTGTAAAATAGGAAATGAGGTGTATTTGTATTTGCATAACATGTTTCTAGAAGGATACTCAAGAAATTGTTGGTTGGCTGGGAAACAAGGAAGGGAGGTCATTTTCACAGTTTACCCTTCTGTGCCTTTTGGATTTTGCACCATATTCAGGTGTTAAAAACTCAAAACAAGTTTTAAGTATTAAACATGAACAGAAAAAGCTTCACATAACAAATGCCGAAAAAGTCGAGTGAATGAATCTTTCAGTCTGTACTTAAATTCTTCTTCTGCCTGGGAGCTCGTTATTTCACCAAGCAGCCCAATCTCTCATTATGCACATCCCTCATCCTGATGTGCTGCTTCGCAAGATCTGCTCGAGTGACAGAGCAGAGCAGGAGAAACTGTTGTAGTTTGAAGAGCAGTGAAGGTTTCTGCCTGAGAGACTTCCCCATGCTCTCCCCAGCAATACCTGGGATTCAACCCCTCCCAAAGTGCTGTGGGGAGAGAGATTTAATGTTTTCAAATCAATTCTCCTTAATTAAATGTTTGTTCCATTAATGCAAATCATAACTAATCTACCTTTGGATCATTTGAAGTTAGCTTCACAAAATCCCCAGGGAGAGAATCCAGCTGGAAGGTAGCAATAGAAGGAGGAAGTAGTAATCCTACAGGAAGGAGGGCTTGAACTGGGGGACCCTGGGAATGCTAAGGAGGCCACCCAGGCAGGAGCATTAGGGAGGTAAAATGGAGAGGGCTTTGTTGATTCTGTCATGGGGGTGAGAGCTTGGAGTTCAAGAACAGGACCAGCTGAGAGACTAGGTGTCTGAAAGGAGAGAGATAATGTTGACGATAGTAAAATTCTTTCGATTTTCATGACACTCTACCGTTTAAAAGTATTATTTCATATAAGTGTCACAGTACCAACGTAGGGGCTGTTATACCTATTTAAAAGAAGAAAGTGAGTCCCAGAAAGGTTAGACAATGAGTCCAAGGCTGTAGTGCTAGGGTTTGCACCAGGCACACCATTTTGAGCCTCTTGGCAGATGTTTTTTTCTGTCTTTGCTTTACTCTCGTTATAATCGAACCCAGGTTTGACTTCTCACCACTTGAAAGCCAGACTCAAGAGACAAGGGTTGGTGGAAGGAAAAGCAAGTTTATTCAGAAAGCCAACATAACCGAGAAGATGGTGAACTAATGTTCTAAGGTACCATCTTAAGTCAGTACAAACTTTAGGCTCTTTCGATATTAAGGGCAGAAGGATAAGAAGAGGATTGAGATCAAGAGGTAACCAGCGACTGCAGACATCTGGACAGCAGTGAGTGTCCGAGGAGGCTGGGAACTTCCTTGTCCTTGGTCAGGTCACAATGCTCCTAAAAATCTTTAACAAAACATAGTTAGTTGTTTACATACTTCCCCATTCATCCCGGGATTAGTTTTAAAAGCTACATGACTGCTGTTTTCACATATTATGTCAGTGCTCTGAAGTCGTCCTTGCCTATGTGCACGAATGGGTAAAGACTCCTTAAACAAAAATGGAGTTAGTTATGTTAGTTCTTTTGCTTTCTTATGTTACATCTTCTCACCCACCACCTTCAGAGAAAGCTCTTTCTTCCTCTCACAAAACTTCACTTGTGAGTTGATCTCCTTTATCCCCTGATTCTGAGGCTCTTGACTCCCACAGCCACTCCTCTCTGGAGCCTCTTACATACCTCATCTCTTGTCATGTGGACACCTCCTTCATCTCAGAAGTGCCCCGCTGCTTGGACAGCTGCCCACTCCCAGTACTCCCATCCCTCCCTTAGCTGAGGTGCTTCTTCTCCATCTCCTTGACCTGTCTCACTTGCCCAGCAATCACCTTCCTCTCCTCCCTTCCATTGGTCTGGCCTCTGGAAGTAGCATGGATGCTCTCTACTACTGAACACAATGGCCTTTTCTCAGTCCTCATGCCCCTGTCCTCTCTATAGCTTGGATGTCGGAGGCTGTGGCCACAGCTCTATCTGCCTTGGCCTCAGAGATGCACACTTGGCCTCATTCAGTGCTTATTACTGGATCACAGTGATAAAAGCAGATTGATTTGCCTTTTTCCTCACCACTCCCTGCCTTTCAGGTTCTTTCTTCACCTTCCAGATATAAACCCTCCTTTTCCATTAGGGTGATCTCTCCATTTTTTCAGAGGCAGCATGCGCTTTCTTTCTCTTCCATCTCTCTTTCTCCTGTCTCAAGACTCCTACAGGAAATCTTCCCTGGCTGCATTGTTGAGCTCTCTTCTTCTTCTTTCTCTTTTTTGAGATGGAGTCTCGCTCGCTCTGTCACCTAGGCTGGATGGAGTGCAATGGCGGGATCTCAGCTCACTAAAACCTCTGCCTCCCAGGTTCAAGCAATTCTCCTGCCTCAGCCTCCCCAGTAGCTGGGATTACAGGCATGTACCACCATGCCCGGCTTATTTTTGTATTTTTAATAGAGATGTGGTTTCACCATGTTGGCCAGGTTAGTCTCGAACTCCTGACCTCAGGTGATCCACCTGCCTCGGCCTCCCAAAGTGCTGGGATTATAGGCGTGAGCCACCATGCCTGGCCTTCTCTCTTACTTCTTAAAGCAAGCAGAGTCTGGAGTATTCAATTTAATATCTAATTACGTACCTTCTACAACAGTGAATACTGTTGGACCCCCACCATTTCCTTGAGGGCAGGGCCCTGCCATAGATAGACTTCTGTATTTCCCATGGCCTCTATATATAGCATCTTCAGAGTGTGGATGGATGGATGGATTAGATAGATAGATAGATAGATAGATAGATAGATAGATAGATACATACATACATACATACATACATACATACATAGATATTGATGAAGATATTCATGCTGAATATATAGTTGATGCTCAATTTATGATTGTTGATTGATAGATAACATCCAGTCAGAGCAGTTAACTCCACTATATTAAATTGACTTCAGCTACTCATATTAATCTCTGCTCTTAGGAGGTATTGTTTATGAAAGCAAGAGCATAGATAAAGTTGTATTTAGAAAAATAATTTATCTTCTCTTAAGTAGTTGGACAAATATTTGTTGACTGTCTACCATGGGCCTAGTACTGGGAATAGAGTGAGCTTGAGGAAGGCAAGTACCCTCCTCTTAAGGGCTTTTCAGAATCATGGAGCAAACAGACAATTAAACACTAAACAAATAAATAATAAGATAAATTCAAATAATTGTATGGGCGATGAAGAGAGGAGAAAAGAGAAATTTGACAGACTGTGCCACTGGTCAGGGGCCAAGGGTTTGAGAGGAGGAGGAAGAGGAGGTAAAAGGCAGCTCTCCATGGGATGGTCAAGGCAGGTATTTCCGAAGAGTTGACATTGGACTGAATCTGAATGAGAAGGAGCTGGCAGTGTGGTGATCTGCAGGGACAGCACAGAAGGCAGAGCACACAGCAGGCAGCGAAGCCTCTGAAAGGAGAACAAACAAAAAGTGAGCACTGGAAGAATATGGGGAACTACAGTAGAGTATGTGAGTCCACCAAGCATGCATCTGCGTGTATACATACATAACCGCAGAATTGAGAGGAAAACATAAATATTTTATCAGGAAGAAAGGAAGAAATGAAATAAAAAAATTTGAAGAGTACTTTCTAAAAGTGCTATATAATTGTACGTTTTATGAAATCTAGGCATTTCTTATGTCCTCAACAAAACATCAAGATCCCTGGGGGCGGGTAGTCTGTCTTGCATCCCGTATTCCCATCTCCCAGCACAATGCCAAGCACAGAGAGAAGATATTAAATCACTATTTGATGAATACATGCATAAAAAAATAGATGGTTACCCAAAGCTGAGATTTCACATTTTAATATTGTCTACTTTTAGTCTATCTTCCGTCTCAATTTGGCATTGCATCTGCACACAAATACAATCCTATCAAAGTGGAAGAAGAAAGGTAAAATGTGAGAAAGCTGTCTGTAGAAGTTCTAAAACCGAGAAAGGAACAGAGTGGAGAAACTGGCAAGAGCACATTTATATAGTTATATATTGTTTGTGAAAGGAAAATGTGTTCTAGTGTTAAAATGATTATTTCTTATGTATACCTTGTACCTGTAATTTAGAGGCTTCTCCTGTGCAATTTCTTGGAAAAGAATTTTTTTTTCAGTCTCGATTATCAGGATATAAGTAGCTTTCTTAGTCTTTAAAAAGAAACATCTTAAAAGTGCAAAATACAGTTGCTTAAAGAGGAAAATAAATACATTGTACCAAATCACAGACGTTACAATTTTTTGAATCCCAAATTGCTTTCTGAATCAAAGGTAGGCCCATTTATTTTAATGGAAAGCTCTCAGAAAAAGCTTTAGGAGTTAATAATCAAGTTAATGTAGCAATTCTAAAGCTCATTGATTTGTGCTTATTTTAATAAATCTTACTGTATGCATAATGTACAACTGAGGGGTATTATAATTTCAGCAAAGTCACTTGTCTTGGGTAGAAACCACAAAATGGGAATTGTAATTCATATGTAACAAATGATTTTGTAAAAAAATGCCAATGTTATGAGACTGCTTCTATTTCTGGGAAAGATCTTGGTACATTTAGAAACAATCTTTATCTGAATCAATCTTTGAACTGATGACAAAATTAAAATTGTATTTATTATCTGCCTAAATACACCTGATCTAATGAATTCTTTCTTAAAAAATAAATTGTGTGCTATTAGCATTATAGGAAAACAAGTAAGAGAGGTTTTAAAAATATTATATGAGCATTTGTAACTTTCTTAACGCTTGGGAGACAGATAGATTGTTCACGGCATTTATACATCCTTTACATAATCAAGGCTTCCACCGAAGTGAAAAATAACTTTCTGTGCTTGACATTTGGATGAACATTTGGTAGAGGAAATTATACCTTTTCCTTAAGCCCCTCTAATACATATTTACAAACAAGTGCTTTGTAGATACACTTCCAAGTAATTTGCTTTCACATTTGCCTGCTGTGCATGGAGCTGAGACATGGTTGGGTTTGCAAGATGAAACAAATGAATGCTTATCACTTTCCAAGCTAAGGCTTTAGTTAATGTCTTTCCATGATTTCCCAAACTCCTGCCCACCCCCAATTTCAGTTAAAGTTCAACCATTTGGGTTTTGAGTGCAGCACAGCGAGACTATGATTGATACCATCAAGGTACTGAAACTGTGCTTTGCCAGTGGGTCAGGCAGCTAGGCAAGAGGAAACAATGCCAACCCTATTATAAATTCCTTCCCTTATAGGTTCACTGGGAGCTGACAACACAATGTAGCAGAAAAGGCAGATTCTTGTGTTGTTTACTTTTAATGGAATTAGAGAGCCCATTAGAGCTTCTACTAAGGACCTCTCTCTATTGAGAGAACCTAGCCTAAGTGTCTCCCGGTGAAGTCTGATGTGTGGTAGCTCATTTGACCTTTAAAGACCATCTCTACTGGGTGGTTGGTTTTTATAACTCCTCCAGGGAAAATTTAGACTATGTATTATAGCATATTGCCAGTAAGCAGTTATTTCAGTGGATCTGGTGGGTCTGTCCCACTTAAATGGCCCTTGTAAATATTCACAATCCATCACGTCGGCTCTTAGTTGAGACTTGAGCTGATAAGGCCACATTTAATATTGCTTCCTGCCTGTCTGAGTGTATGTATGTCCACTGTGATTGACATGTGGTTAAATCACTGAGCCAACCATGAATCTCAATAGCTTAGGAAATATTCATCAGAACACTTTTCTCCTCTGGCTCCTGTAGTTCTAGGCAGGCTTTATGAGGGAGTGGAAAATAACCAGTCTGCGTTAAGACTCCTGTGATTATGGCCACCAGCAGGAAGATCTCTATGAAGCACATGGCCAAAACGATGAACAACTGCATAGCTCACCAGAGTGATCATTTGCTTTGCTGACATACAACTGCATTTTATACACTCTGGCCAAGATGTTTTTCAGGTGTTCCCTGAAAATTATACTTTTTTTTTAACCTAAAGTTTAGTGTTTGATGAAGCTGTTGTTATCTTTAGAGCACCATCGTATATTCTCTCTCAATCTTCCCTCTGACTTCTGTGATTGCAGGAACCATAACCAGTGCATCTATGCTAGTGCCTAGCACAGCTTCAGGAACTTGGTAGGCGCTTCAAAAATATTTGTTGCATAAATGACTGTTAAATAAAAATTCTCTGCCATTAGGGCTTCTCCAGGGACAGCAGACAGCATTTTCTGTCTCTGTGATTGTAGTGGGCAAAATACTTACACCATGGAAAATCAGTAGGAGAATCGGACATAGCATTTTTTCTTTCTTTCTTTCTATCTTTTCTTTCTTTCTTTCTCTTTCTCCCCTCCCCTCCCCTCCTCCTCCCTCCCTCCCTTTCTCTTTCTTTCTTCTTTCTTTCTTTCTTCCTCTTTCTTTCTTTTTCTTTCTTTCTTTCTCTCTCTCTTCTTCCTTCCTTTCTCTCTCTCTCTCTTTCTTTTTGACAGAGTTTCACTCTTGTTGCCCAGGCTGGAGTGCAATGGCATGATCTCGGCTCACTGCAAACTCCACCTCCCAGGTTCAAGAGATTCTCCTGCTTCAGCCTCCTGAGTAGCTGGGATTACAGGTGCCCACCACCATACCCAGCTAATTTTTGTATTTTTAGTAGAGATGGGGTTTCACCATGTTGGCCGGGCTGGTCTCGAACTCCTGACCTCTGGTGATCCACCCGCCTAAGCCTCTCAAAATGCTGGGATTACAGGTGTGAGCCACCACGCCCAGCCTGTGTGTTCTTTCTCAGTAGTCTTTGTCACTCAGTTCCTGTGAATCACCTGACATTTGCATCTTTAGTCATTCTCTTTTTCTTTACTGTTCCTCAGTCCTTGTCAGACCCCTGCTCTAAGCCCAGTGAATGTGTGGGTTTGTATTTCACTAGTGTTCTCCATGCCCAGGGCTCTGTTTTGTCTTCCTGGGGCCTCTGTGCACACCTGCCTCTCTGTACACACAACACAGAGGACCACCCTGTGTTGGTCACTGCTGGATCACTCGTCCATCTCCCTCTTGGACTGTCAGCTCCATGAAGCAGGGGTTTGAGTTTCTTTTCTATCCCCTATATCTAATGTTGTGTTTGACCCATTGTGGGCTTGTGTGGATGTTTACAGACTGAATGAATGAATACATGAATTAAAGAAATGAATGAAGGAAATGAATGTATTGGCAGTTAGATCATCTTTTTTTAAAAGCAACTTTTAATGGTATATATTTAAGACACACATCATGATGTTATGGAATACATGTAGATACTTTATCCATCATCTCACATCCAATGTCTCACACAATTACCCATTTCTTTTTGTTTTTGGTAAAAGCAGCTAAAATCTACTCATTTAGCATTGATTCCATATACAGTACCTTTTTTTTCTTTTTCCCCTGACTTCCCATCTACAGTACAATTTCATTACTGATGGTCCTCGTGTTGTACCTTAGTTTGCTAGATGTGTTGGCATAATTAGATCGTTGTTGGGCACTTGTTTTCAGGCAGTGGCTGGCAGCGTGAGAGCCCAGGGGTTAGGGCATAGGGTTTCTGTAATCAGCCTGTCACTAAGCCCTGTCATCTGGCCTGATTGGTGTGGATGTGGTACCCCACTAAGACATTCCTCAGTGCCAGTTGAGGAGCTCAAAAATAAAATAAAAATGAGGTTTATAGAGATGTAGCACTACAAATGAGATGCCTGGATTGCCAAAAGCCTACAGGCTTTGGGTTTGAAATGAACTAGATCAGGTCTAGTAGTTAAATCAAAAATTCAAAAGGCTTTTATTTTATTTATTTATTTTGAGATAGGATCTCTCTCTGTCACCCAGGTTGGGAGTGTAGTGGCGCAGTCTCAGCTCACTGCAGCTTCAACCTCCTGGGCTCAAGCAATCCTCCCATCTCAGCCTCCCAAGTAGCTGGGACTACAGGGATGCACCACCACACTCGGCTAATTTTTAAACTTTTTGTAGAGATGGGATCTCACTATGTTGCCCAGGCTGATCTCAAACTCCTAAGCTCAGGTGATCCCTCTGCCTCAGCCTTCCAAAGTGCTGGGATTACAGGCATGAGCCACCACGCCCGGCTGAAAAGCCTTTAACATGCAGTCCGTTTCTCATGGTTTTGCTTCCTTGAGGGCTGCTCTCCATAGTGTCGCTGTGGTGTGAGGGACTTCAGGTCCAAGGCTTAAAGGTGAATGGAAAACCCAGGGAATCAAATAAGATAAGCATTAAATAGTACATCTAATGAAATAGTTTTCAGAATACATAATTTTACAATTTTAAAGCAATGAATAGTTTAACATTTTATTTTAAATAAAAAGAATACATGTGGCATCAAATGAAAATAGTACCAAGAGTATAATATAGTGTGCCTGGATCTCCCCAGAAACCACCTCTTAATCATCAGTGTAGTTACCATGTAAACCTGGGTGCTACACTGATACCTCAATTCCGTGATAAATCACTCTTAAATGGTATCAATGGACTGCCATCCACTATTTAAAATGAGGAGAAATTTAGCTCATTTACACTCCTCCCTCTCTTCTTACCAATATTTTATAATAAAATAATTATTTTTAGTTCTTTTGTTGGTCAGCACTGTAATCTTAGTAATTTCCTGGAGTTTCCATTTTTTTGAATTCATGTGATTTCTCTTATATCTCTTGATGCGCTGTGCTGTAAGGTGAGGATGTTGATGCCTTCACTAATTCACTATATTTTCTCTCCTGTTTCAGATCTTACATTTAACAATCTTTTACTTTTTCACTAACCTGGAAGTATATTTGTATCTACATTTTGTCCTGCAGGGAGGGATCCTAAAGGGAAAATTGAAATCTGAAATTAAGTGACTTGTGTAAGGTTTCTTAGCTGGTTAATGTTACAGCTGGAGCTAAAACCTGGGGCATTTGACTCCCAATCTCGTAGGCTTTCTGCAGATAAACTCAGTGATTCGCTCATCTAATGTTTATTGAGTGCTTATTTTCCTCCAGGCACTAGGTACCAGTAATACAAAAATAATAAGTGGTCTCAAATTGCATGCTTCATAATCATGGAACAAAGACAGATATGTAAACAAATAACTAGTTTCAATGCAATAATGTGCAAAGGAAGGTGTTATCTGATTTTTTTTTTTATTCCACAGGCCAGAGATTAGAATAACTGGTATAACTATTAGAAGTGGCAACTTTGATATGTTGAGGAAACAGTGTTTTACCCAGGCCACTTATGCAGGTTTAAAAAATAAGTAAGACTTGGCCAGGCACGGTGGCTCACGCCTGTCATCCCAGCACTTTAGGAGGCTGAGGCAGGCGGATCACGAGGTCAGGAGACTGAGACCATCCTGGCTAACACAGTGAAACCCTGTCTCTACTAAAAATACAAAAAATTAGCCAGACGTGGTGGCAGGCTCCTGTAGTCCCAGCTACTCGGGAGGCTTAGGCAGGAGAATGGCGTGAACCTGGGAGGGGGAGGTTGCAGTGAGCTGAGATCACGCCACTGCACTCCAGCCTGGGCGACAGAGTGAGGCTCTGTCTCAAAAAAATAAAATAAAATAAAATAAGACTTTGCTGATATACTTCCAGGAAAGCAGTTTAAATGGTCTGTTTCAAGATTAAATATGAAAGCAGATTTTAAAAATAATGTATAATTATAAATTATATGTTTTATGCTCAGCATGTTTTTATGTGAAAAGAATATCAAAATATTCTTCAGTTGTCTTTATGGGGTTGTTTAGTATTTTGACTTAAAGTCTAAAGTTTATGCGTTTATTGTACATTCTTTTTATGTTGACTTGTGAACTTTTTCTTTCTCTTTCCCTCAGATTTTCATCACCGTGAATTGCTTGAGCACAGATTTCTCCTCCCAAAAAGGGGTGAAAGGACTTCCTTTGATGATTCAGATTGACACATACAGTTATAACAATCGTAGCAATAAACCCATTCATAGAGCTTATTGCCAGATCAAGGTCTTCTGTGACAAAGTGAGTAAAGATGACAGTTTTTTATAAAGGTATCTTTTTTATTAGATATTACTTTTAATGGCATTTCTTCCTTGTCACCTTTGCTTGTCTAGTGGTGTCAAAATATTCACTTTACTCATCACAGTGGGAGTGGTAATCTTCTATTCTCAGTTCCTGTTAGATATCTAGGAAGTCTTCAGTCAACTATTTTTTTTTTTTTTTTTTAGTTTATCATTTTTATCACTAATTTAATGACTGACTGTTTCTTAGTCAGCTCAGGCTGCTATAACAAAAAACCATAGACTGGATGGCTTAAACAACTGAAATGTATTCCTCAAAGTTCTAGAGGCTGGAAAGTCCAAGGTCAAGGTGTCAGCTAATTTGGATCTTAGTGAGGGCTCGCTTTCTGGCTTGCAGACAGCTGCCTTCTCACTGTGTCCTCACATGGCATAGAGAGAGAGCACGTGCACAAGCTCTCTGGTGTCTCTTTTTCTAAGGACACAAATTCTATCATAAAGACTCTACCCTCATGACCTCATCTAAACCCAATTACCTCCCCAAAATTTCATCTACAAATACCATCACATTGGGAATTGGGAGTCCAACATATGAATTTTGGGGGTACACAAACTTTAGTCCGTAATACATTGTGCTATAAGTTTGATCCAATTAGATAGCTCAAATAACAGATTAATATTCTTTACTGGGCATAGACCCTGTCCCAGAGCATATCAGGGCATCCGTTATTATTTTGTGGGTTAAATGGGACCTCATCTAGGACTTTTTGGAATGGAAATAGCACTTATAAAATAAGTTCATTAGTACATATGCACTTAGTAAACATGTACTTTGAATCTCCCTGAATCCCACCCCAAAAGAGTTGAAAAATGTGAACAGCAAAACTTAAAACCCTATGATTAGGTGACAGAAGATCCTCACAAATCCCAAATATGAATGGGACCAAGCATCAACAATTTCAAAACCTGTGTGATATCAGCATTTGTGAGGGAAAGTAATGGGGCCACCTGATAGCCAAAGAACAGGAAACCTACAAAGTTTTCCAAAGTACTCACTGGAAAGTGAAGTGGGCTGTCTCAGGAGAGCATGTGAGACTCGGGTGGGAGGGTACAGATCTAGTGGATTCTAATTTGCCAGTGAGTGCAAGAGGACTGAGCATTGAAATGTTTTAGGCTCTATGAATTCTGAGAAGTCAGAAACTAAAGTTCCCTTCTAAGACAAAATCCTGCTTTGGAGAAAAAAAAAAATTATCGGAGTAAAGTCTAAGCTGAGTTGAAAAAAAAAGGTGAAAAGGAAAGAGGTCAAAATAAAAATGAAGAGGAAGATGGGACGGGATACAGAGTAGGCAGATCTCAGAAAATCTGACTATATTTGTATCACTCTGTGAACACACCAGATGGGCATCCTGGGAGCCATGAAGCTAGAAGAAATCCTGGCTCACTCATTTCACTTGAAAATGACCAACAGAAAAGAAAAAGCAGTTGAATCCCATACAATGTTTCATGAAAAAAGAGATTAAGATCAGACTGACTTCCCCATGAATAATGAATGCCTATCAAAAAGGCCCACAAAACAGGTGAAAACTGTAGCCTAACATTTCAAAATAAGCTAAATGAAATTAAGGAAATAATGGAAGTTATGAAGATCAATGTAAATCACAATTTGAAAAAATCAACTTGAGATGTGTAGAAAATAGAATGACTTGAAAAGAGATGAGATGGAACTCAAGGAATTTAGAAATAAAAGATTAAAATAGATTAGAATTAAAAACTATGCTAGAAGCAACACAAGAGTAAATAAATATAAAAGATAATGCTCTAAGAAAACAAGCTGGAAAACAATAAAATTTTTAAAATCAGAGAAAATGAAAGAGGTGTGAGAGAAAATACAGATACAGAAGAAAGATAAAGATGTAATATAGGCCAGGTGCGTGGCTCACACCTGTAATTCCAGCACTTTGGGAGGCCAAGGTGGAAGGATCACATGAGTCCAGGAGTTCGAGACCAGCTTAGGCAACAAAGCGAGACCCCTGTCTCTACAAAAAAATGTAAAAATTAGCCAGGTTCAGTGATGCATGTCTGTAGTTCTAGGTACTCAGGAGGCTGAAGCAGGAGGATTTCTTGAGTCCAGGAGTTTGAGGTTACGGTGACCTATGCTCCAGCCTGGGTGACACAGCAAGACCCTATCTAAAAAAAATAAAATCCAATATACATATAATAGGAATCTTTGAGGAAAAAAAAGTAGGGGGATGGAATACTAAAAATACATTGCTTTAAATATGCATTTAAATACATATGCTCTAAGGAAAACTTTAAACAGAAAGCATATGTATTTAAACAGCCCACCACCCACTTGGGAAAATTGATCCAGTATAACCAATACAAAATAGTTAAGCTATTGGACTTTTTGAAAAAAGAAAATAATATTCTTTGGGCATCTAAGTAAATAAAATAAATATTAAATCACTTATAAGGAAAATTTGATTATCAAACTTTTCAACAGCAACACCTTGTCAGAAGACAATGATATTTAAGGTAATCAAGTAAAGAAAATGTGAGCCAAGGATTTTATATGTAGCCAAATTGACTTTGAAGTATAAAGACTGCAGGCAGAAACAAAATAAACAAACCCCCAAAATCCAGAGAATATTTCTTCTCGGGGACTCTAGTAGTCAACAAACTTTAGACAAGCAATATTACTGTAAAGACATTGATAAAACGATGGGTGGTGAGCATTCAGGATCTATTTACCTGTAGATCTAATTCTAAATGATGGTGGAGACAGTGTGACAGTATATTCTGACAAGGTATAGACATCGTACAATTATTTTAAAATTGGGAAGGATAGGAGGGGTATATGAGAAATAAGTTGACTAACTGCTTACAGAGATTAACTGTAAGTGAAAGGATAGTACTTCATATTAGATGCTGGGAAGAGAGAGGAACAGGGAGCAGATATTAGTAGCCAGTTCACTATTGCCCAACACTCTTTTTTAAAATTATTTTTCCGTAAGTTATTGGGATACAGGTAGTATTTGGTTACATGAGTAAGCTCTTTAGTGGTGATTTGTGAGATTTTGGTGTGCCCATCACCCGAGCAGTACACACTGCATGATATTTGTAGTCTTTTATCCCTCAACCCCCTCCCACTTTTCCCCAGAAGTCCCCAAAGTCCATTGTATCATTCTTATGCCTTTGGGTCATCATAGCTTACCTCCCACATATCAGTGAGAACATATGATGTTTGATTTTCCATTCCTGAGTTACATCACTTAGAGTAATAGTCTCCAATCTTATCCAGGTCACTGCAAATGCTGTTAATTCAGCCCATCACTCTTAAAGGTGCTGCAGTCAGTTGTATTAAAGGTGTATGTACTGTTAACATGTCCGAGAGTTCTGGTTTAGCAGTGGCAGGAGAAAGCAGAGATGGTAAGGAAAACAGAAAGAAAACGCATTAACAAGAACTGCACAGGGGTTAGGGACATGTGGCATAGCAGTAAATATCCCTAAAGTCTCAACGGCCTTTCAGGCCATGATGATTTCAGTTAATGCCAATCTTCCAGCCATCACAGCAGCACAGCAATCAATAGGACAGTTTCCATGACACTGGTAGGACAGTAGGACAGTACACAGTAGAACAGTTTAGGACAGTTCAGAGTACACAGTAGGACAGTTCACAGTAAGACAGTTCACGGTACCCAGTAGGACAGTACACAGTAGAACAGTTCACAGTGCACAGTAGGACAGTACACAGTAGGGCAGTTTACAGTACACAGTAGGACAGTTCACAGTAAGACAGTTCACAGTACACAGTAGGACAGTACACAATAGGACAGTTCACAGTAAGACAGTTCACGGTACCCAGTAGGACAGTACACAGTAGAACAGTTCACAGTGCACAGTAGGATAGTACACAGTAGGGCAGTTTACAGTACACAGTAGGACAGTTCACAGTAAGACAGTTCACAGTACACAGTAGGACAGTTTACAGTACACAGTAGGACAGAACACAGTAGGACAGTTTACAGTACACAGTAAAACAGTTCACAGTACACAGTATGACAGTACACAGTAGAACAGTTCACAGTACACAGTATGACAGTACACAGTAGGACAGTTTACAGTACACAGTAGGACAGTACACAGTAGGACAGTTTACAATACACAGTAGGACAGTACACAGTAGGACAGTTCACAGTACACAGTACACAGTAGGACAGTACACAGTAGAACAGGTCACAGTACACAGTAGGACAGTACGCAGTAGGACAGTACACAGTACACAGGACAGTTCACAGTAGGACAGTACACAGTAGGACAGTACACAGTAGGACAGTTCACAGTACACAGTACACAGTACACAGTAGAACAGTTCACAGTACACAGTAGGACAGTACACAGTAGGACAGTTTACAGTACACAGTAGGACAGTACACAGTAGGACAGTTCACAGTAGGACAGTGCACAGTAGGACAGTTCACAGTACACAGTACACAGTAGGACAGTACACAGTAGAACAGTTCACAGTATACAGTAGGACAGTACGCAGTAGGACAGTACACAGTACACAGTAGGACAGTACATAGTAGGACAGTTTCCATGACACAGCAATCAGTAGGACAGTTTCCATGACACTGGTAGGACAGTAGGACAGTACACAGTAGAACAGTGTAGGGCAGTTCAGAGTACACAGTAGGACAGTTCACAGTAAGACAGTTCACATTACACAGTAGGACAGTACACAGTAGGACAGTTTACAGTACACAGTAGGACAGTACACAGTAGAACAGTGTAGGACAGTTCAGAGTACACAGTAGGACAGTTCACAGTAAGACAGTTCAGAGTACACAGTAGGACAGTACACAGTAGGACAGTACACAGTAGAACAGTTCACAGTACACAGTAGGACAGTACACAGGACAGTTTACAGTACACAGTAGGACAGTACACAGTAGGACAGTTCACAGTAGGACAGTACATAGTAGGACAGTTTCCATGACACAGCAATTAGTAGGACAGTTTCCAAGACAGTAGAGAAGTTTCCATGACAGTTTCCAGAGGCCTGTTAACTCAATAGACACAGTTGAATAGAAATGGTGAAATATTGAAGGTACAGACAGCATAAGCAATTTGCCCAGAGACACACAGTGGGAATGCAGAGTAGTTAGATGGAAATCTAGGCCTGATTTCAAACTCATTCTCCTGGAATTGATAAATAACTTTATACATAAAATACCGAAATGACAACTGGCCATTCAAAACCTCAACAAAGAGCCAAGGTAGGCTTTAGAAACAAAACCGAACCAAAAAAATCAGCTTATGTCTTTAATTCAGCATATTAAATATTAAGAAAACATTTTCAAATGATGTATAACAGATAATTTTTTAAAGCACAAATAAGGAAGCATTTAAATAATTTGAATTCCCTTACTTTATTTCAGATATTCCAGGGGAGATTGTAGAATCCCCCTCCATGAATCCCCTTCTTGGAAATAAAGAATAAAGTTAGAGATGAAGAGAAAGAGGGGGAAGAATTGAATAGAGGAACCTGGCAATCCATTCATATTCACTTTGGTAGTTGGAAATGAAAGTGAGAGACAGGGATTAAGGATTCTCCTAAAATTATTTTACGTTATAGTGTTAATATAATAAATAATAAGAAAAACAAAGAATAAAAGCATGCAGAATATACAGAGGATGTTATATTGTTGTTCACCCATGTCCTAGAATGAGAGGGACTTTAAGACACTAAGAGGGCAGAGACAATTATTGATTGATTATACCTTTTGTTTGAAAATATTTTTATACATTTTCATTCAGTTATTTTAAATTATAAAAGGGAGAGGGCGAAAAAGAGGATTATATGGATTTTTCCAAAGCAGTTGTTTCCTGAAGTCATGTTAAGAGGGTAATCTGTGGCAAGGAGATAAATGGTTGGGAGAACCACTTATTTGTGTGAACATGTTTGTAAATATGCATAAAAACTGGGAAGGACTATGTCAACAAATACCTTGCCAATCAGAAAGTAGGTGGCATTTCCAATAGCTCCTATTTTACGTATCGGTCAGTAAATATCAGTGCTAAGTAAAAGAAAATGGTTGGAGAATGTTGGGTAAATGATAAGCATTTATTCCAAGTGAGTAGTGATGTCAAGAGGTTCTAGCAGGTAGTTACACATCCTGATATTAAGGGTTGGAGTCGGGGATGTCAGGAAAATCATAAGGAAGAAATCTCACGAGTCCTGCAGGGTGTATTCATCGTAATTACTGTCAATTTCTTTAACAAAGTAGACCTGAAATCTTTTGCTGTAATTTGTCATCATTTTTGAAGCTCTAATTTCAAAATCCAGGTAAAACTAATTCCTGGGAGATTAAAAAGAGATATTAAAGTTTAATTTTTATACTTTTCAAATGGGTGTGTAAATACAAATGCCCACTTTGACTTATCCTGTCAGGCAAAAGAGTTGAGGGCTATTCCATTTTAAAACCATACATTTTCTCATCACAGTCTATAGTTTTCAAGAGATGGAATTCTGCACTATTTACAGTTCTCCAGCTTGATTTCTAATTAATCAATCAATTAATCAATTCTAATTAATCTCACACCTGTGAGACTGCAGCTGAAAATAAAGGGCTTCCCTAATCATTCTTGGTATTAAGATACTTCTATTGAAATGCATGTGTTAATACATTTTAAAAATTCAGGATCTGTTTATATAGCTACATACATAGATACCTATGTGTGTATCTTTATGCTAACATTAAATTCTTTCACAATCTTTCGTGAAGGTTTTGTATTACTGCAAACAATAGCTACATATTGTGGAAATACGGAGAAATAAAGCCACATTCTTAAAATACATGTAGAGGAGCAACTTAAGTGTTAAATAAAAAACAAAGACAGCCATCACCTCTCAAGTGGTGGCAAAAATGATCACAATATTGGCAGGAATTTTCCAGATATATTTTCCAAATTTAACACTCTATAGTGAACATTTAGATGGAGGGAATTATTTTCAAATGACAAATTTAGTATCTGTAGCAAATTATTCTCCTCTGGAAGAACTAGACTTTTGCACTTTAATAACAGTAGAAAGAATATTTTCTAAAAGTCTGAGGTCACAAAGAATCATAGGAAGAGGTGGAATACTCGGAAGGTCTTGCTCAAGGAATGTTTTCTTTACTTTAATGGAATGTATCGAAGCTTCCCGGGGTCACTGTGAAGTCAAAAACTTTATTCTAGAAATAAGAATTGTGGTTCTCTTGAGTGGATACTATCAAAACTGTTTTGTCATGCTGATAGCTGGGCATTCTGGGCAGGAAATTTCTTTTGTAGAAGGGCCACCATCTGCTGTATAGATACTCTATGTTTTATGTTAATTCTTTGGGTTTGGCATATGAAAGAATGCCTGAAAAATAAGCAAGTGATTTTGCTAAAATTCTACATTGAACATACAGGCTTACCTCGTTTTATTGTGCTTTGCTTTATTATGTTTCACAGAAAACAAATTTTTACAAATGGAAGGTTTGTGACAACCCTGTATTGATCAAGTCTGTCAGCTCCATTTTGCCAACAGCATGTGTTCTTGTCTCCGTGTCACATTTTGGTGATTCTCTCAACATTTCAAACATTTTCATTATTATTATATCTGTCATGTTAATTTGTGATCAATGATCATTGGTGTTACTATTGTAATTGTTTTGGGGCACCTCCAACTGCACCCATATAAGATGGTGAACTTAATTGATCAGTGTTGTGTATGTTCTGATTGCTCCACCAACCAGCTGTTCCCTAGTCTCTCTCCCTCTCTTCCTTTGGTCTTCCTATTGCCTGAGAAACAACCATATGAAACCAAGCCAATGAATAAACCTACAACGGCCCCTGAGTGTTCAAGTGAAAGGAACAATTGCATCTCTTTCACTTTAATCAGAAGCTAGAAATAATTAAGCTTAGGGAGGAAGGCATATCAAAAGCTGACACAGGCCAAGAGCTGGGCCTCTTTTATCGGTTAGCCAACGTGCGAATGCAAAGGAAAGTTCTTGAAGGAAATTAAAAGTGCTACTCCAGTGAACACACAAATGATAAGAAAGTGAAACTGCCCTACTGCTGTTGTGGAGAAAGTTTTAGTGGTCTGGATAGAAGATTAAACCAGCCACAACATTCCCTTAGGCCAAAGCCTAATCCAGAGCAAGGCCCTAACTCTTTTCAACTCTATGAAGGCTGAGAGAGATGAGGAAGCTGCAGAAGAAAAGTTTGAAGCTAGCAGAGATGACTTCGTAACATTCAAGCAAAGAAACCATCTCCATAACATAAATGTGCAAGATTAAACTGCAAGTGCTGATGTAGAAGCTGCAGCAAGTTATGCAGAAGATGTAACTAAGATCATTGATGAAGGTGGCTATACTAAACAACAGATTTTCATTGTAGAACAAACAGCCTTCTATTGGGAGATGTCACCTAGGACTTTCATAGCTAGAGAGAAGTCAATGCCTGGCTTTGAAGCCTCAAAGGAGAGGCTGACTTTCTCGTTAGGGGCTAATGCAGCTGCTCTCTTAAAGTTGAAGTCAGTGCTCATGTACCATACCAAAAATCCTAGGGTCCCTAAGAATCTTGCTATATCTAGTCTGCTTGTGCTCTGTAAACAAAACTACAAAGCCTGGATGACAGCTTATGTGTTTTTGGTGGGCTTCATTTTAAGCCCACTGTTGAGACCCACTGCTCAGGAAAAAAAGATCCCTTTTAATTGACAATGTTCCCAGTCACCCAAGAGCTCTGATGGGGATGTACAAAAAGATTAATATTGTTTTCATGCCTGCTAACACAACAACATCCATTCTGCAGCCCATGGATCGAGGAATAATTCTGATTTTCCAGTCTTTTTATTTAAGAAATATGTTTTGTAAGGCTGTTGCTGGTGTAGATAGGGATTCCACTGATGGTTCTGGGCAAAGTAAGTTGAAGGCCTTTTGGAAAGAATTCACCATTTTAGATGCCATTAAAAACATTCATGATTCATGGGAGGAGGTCAAAATATTAAAATTAACAGGAGTTTGGAAGAAGTTGATTCCAGCCCTCACGGATGACTTTGAGGTGTTCAGTACTTCAGTAGAGGAAGTAACTGCAGATGTGATGGAAACAGCAAGACTAGAACTAGAAGTGGAGCCTAAAGATGTGATTGAATTGCTGCAATCTCATAAGAAAACTTGAACATATGAGGAGTTGCATCTTATGGATGTGCAAAGAAAGTGAGATAGAATCTACTACTGGTGAAGAGGCTGTGAACATTGTTGGAATGACAAAAAAGAATTTAGAATATTACATAAACTTAGTTGATAAAACAGCAGCAGTGCTTGGGAGGATTGATTCCGATTTTGAAAGAAGTCCTACTGTGGGTAAAGTGCTATCAAACAGCATCACGTGTTACAGAGAAATCTTTCCTGAAAGGAAGAGTTAATTCATGCATCAAACTTCATTTTTGCCTTATTGTAAGAAATTGTTACAGCCACCCCAACCTTCAGCAACCCTCACCCTGATCAGTCAGCAGCTATTAACATCAAGGTAAGACCATCTATTAGCAAAAAGAATACAACTTGCTAAAGCCTCAGTGTGTATTTTTTTTTTTTTAGCAATGAAGTATTTTTAAGTTAAGGTATGTACATTTTTTAGACATAACGCTATTGCACACTTGATATAGTATAGTGCAAACATAACCTCTCTATGCACTGGGGAACAAAAAAAGTGCGGCTCTTTTTATTTCAATATTTGTTTTTTTATGGGGGTCTGGAACTGAACCCACAGTACCTCTGAGGTATGCTTGTATATAAATCTTGAAACAGATTAATTCTTGTCCCTTTCCTCATAAATAGTACAAAATAAAACATTAACTCAGAAATCAAATTCCTTGACCCAACTTGGGGTGTTTCTGGGGGCAGCTATAATTTATACAGGTTAACAAATATCTAAATTTTATTTATATTAAATGTTATATTGTACAGAGTCCCTAGCACATAGAAAAATGCCTTACATGGACCCAAGAAAAAAATATTTCCTATCACAGACTTTAGTATTTTGAAGAACCCCTTTGCTTATGTTTCACATCCAATTGAAGATCGTATCTGCGCATTTAACACTTCATTTTTTGAAAATATGTTTTCTAGCACAAAACTGTATAAAACCTTTATATATCATGAAGAGACTTCCCAAGCAGATAGTTTTATATTTTATGCCTCTTTTGCTGTGAATTTCCATGATCTGCAAGTGTCAATGACAATTCAAAACTTCATATGAAGCACTATAAAATCCCCCCCTTTGGTAATAAGTAAGATAATTATTCCATTTGGTAGTTTTTAAAATATAAAAATGCATAATTAAATGATCTGGTTAAAATATTCAGCTATTTCAATTCTATTATGTAAAGCTCTTAGAAATTCCCTGGCACAGAGTTAGCTATTATTACTCATTCTCCAAAAATTAGTTTAAAAGCCATAAGGCATCTCTTTTGTGAAGCCTTCATTGACCATAAATTCTCACTGTGTCATGGCGTCATGCTGGCCAGAATTGGGAATCTGCTTTTCTACAAAAGCCAATTTGATAAACAAAAAATATATCTCATTGTTTTGTAATAATTCAAACCATTTGTGCGTCTTTTTCTGTGAATTGCCTATTTCATGACTCTTGTCCATTTTTCTATCAGTATGTTAGCTGTTTTTAAAATTTGAACCATTATTTATATATTAAGGATTTGATATTTTATGTGATATTTTATTGCAAGTATTTTCGCCAACTTGTCCTTTGTCTTTTGATTGATTTGTTTGCATACAGAAGGATTACATTTTTGTATTGTTAAATCTATCTGTTTTGTATGTGATGATTTGGGGACAATTTCGGAAGGGTGAAAGGTTGCTGGCCATTCTGTGCATTACTGCTCCCTAAATATGCCACCACAATGGGCAAGAACTGTAAATGTGAATCTGAAACTTAGGGAAGGAGTTTAGGTTGGAGATGTTGATCAGAGTGTCACCTGCCTAGTGCCTTGTGAAAACAAAGACACAGGTTAATTCTTCCACAGCAAGAGTAGAGATAGAGCAAGGAAAAGGAACCCACGTTGGAATGTCTATATTTGGGGGATAAGGAGAAGAAAATGAGTTCTCAAAGCTCATATAGAGAAATAACCAAAGAGAAAAGATAGGGCATCATTATAGGCCAGGAAGTAAAGAGATATAAGGTGGTGGTCAATTGGTTAAGTAGGGTGCGATTTGGCAATTTGGCAAGAGGTGCCCATGAAAAAGCCAAATTGCAAAAACAGAGGAGCAAAAAGGAGTTTAATAGACTAAACATTTTTCTATTTGGTTGAATGAGCACCATCTCTAAGAACATATGGAAATATTAAAACAAAAACAAAAACCATGCTTACATGTACAAAGTGGTCCTACATCTTGTGTGGTTTCCTTATGGCTTCTTTCATTTCCACCACTGTAATAATTTTTTAAAGCTTAAAAGGAAAGCAAAGGAAACATTTTATAGGGAATTCACACTTTAAAGCCCTCTCCATGCCTAGGAATAAATTTAATGGGTCAATGATTCATCTTCTGACATTTTATTATAATCACTAAAGTCACTTAATGGATTTCACTGGTTTAGGGAACTGGGTTGATTCTTTCCATATGGATTCAAAACTGAATTTCTTTAAATAGGAAAGATACCAAAAAAGGAGAGAAAATCTGGGAGAGGTGGGATCCCTCACAGGTCACAAATGTGGTATAGACTTATGAGTGGTCTTGGCTTTCAGAGCCAAACCCAACCTTGCCAGAGGAATGGAAATGGGGCTGCTTGGTTACCTCCTCCCCTGTATTGTTTCATATCCTCATGACTTATGTGTGACATGACTTTTGCATGCTCTGCTAATATGCCTGGCATTTTCTGTATTTGTTTTTTTCCTATCAGGGAGCAGAAAGAAAAATCCGAGATGAAGAGCGGAAGCAGAACAGGAAGAAAGGGAAAGGCCAGGCCTCCCAAACTCAATGCAACAGCTGTGAGTTTCACTGAGACTAATGTTGCTTTCTAAAGACTCCAGGTGGGCTGTGTCCACTGGGGGAACAGGTGGAAGAAGTGGGTTGCAGGTAAAACTGCATACATGCAAGGCATGGTTTGCTTTCCCCTGGCAGTGGAGACAGGGTGATTGATTATCCCTGTGAAAAGCAAATAGAATCACATGAGCACAGTGTGTTTGAGCTAGGAAGGACTTTGTAATAATGTGGAGACCAGCATCCTCCTTCTGCAGACAAGGAATCTTGGGTGCATGAAAGGACAGGAGGGTGTGAGGGGCCTCGAGCTTCACCTCAGCAGTGCTCACTTGAAGTCTACGCTCCTGTTTGTTTTGCTGGGATGAGGTGGTGGGAGGTGTTGAAGTGTGTTCACATCTATGGTATTCAGAAAGCTTCATATGAGAAAATCGTGGACTTTAGGACTTACAGTTGAGAGTTCTTAGTCATATATGACTCTCTCATTTATGAGTTTGTGTGATCCCATCCAGCCTCTGATGGGAAGTTGGCTGCCATACCTTTACAGAAGAAGAGTGACATCACCTACTTCAAAACCATGCCTGATCTCCACTCACAGCCAGTTCTCTTCATACCTGATGTTCACTTTGCAAACCTGCAGAGGACCGGACAGGTATGACCTACCAGCTAACGCCCACCTCCCATCCATCCACAGGGCAAGTAGGGCTTTAAGATAGAAGCATTTCAGACAGTGTTGACCTCAAAAATAACTTACCTTCCATTCACTAGAGAAAAAGTCAATGTCATTCCCTATAGTAAATGCATTTTTATAGAAAGGAATGTCTCAGGAGAGGAAACTAAGTCGAAGAGGAGAGTAAGCTGATATTAGTGAAGCCTTGACAAAGCGTGGAAGAGGAAGAAAGTGAGAAGGCTGATAACCTGTAAGAAGTTTTGTTCTGTCAACTTTGTCATGGCCAGGATTATCCTGAAACACAATAGAGCTCCACCTAATGGTGAGAAGTTGAACTGCACCTGTAACTGCATAAAGTTGCACAAGAGGGAAGTCTCCGCTTAAATAAAACTCATTCAACAAATTTTCGCTTAGTAAATAAAAAGTTCCCATTTAATAGGTAAATCATTTCACATCAAAAGAAAAATGAGGTTGTAGGCAAGCCCCCTTAAAAAAATTCCTGTCTTCTAGTTATATCTACAAGTGAAACGAAAGATCTCAAACTAACATAAATGTCCAATAATTAACTCATTATGGTAGCTCAAGTTGATGGAATATTATGCAGTCACTAAAATTTTAATTATGGAAACTACATAGCAACATGGGACCTAGTTATGATAATGTTCAGTGGAAAAAAATGTAGAATAGTAATTTGTGTTCATATTATGATCCCAAATATATAACTGAATTTGAAGGGAGCAAGAAAAATTGCAACACTTTTTACAGGGTTATGAGATATGGCTGATTTTTTCTTTTTATTTTTAGTATTATTTCTGTTATGTGATAAACAAAAAATTGTGTGAAAAAAGAAAAAATAATTATTTCCTTAGCATTAACCAGAATTGTTTTTCACCAAATCAATTGGGTTTTAATGAATTTTTGTATCAATTAGTTTTCTTTTAAACCCAAAGTCCTTTGAGGAAACATCTGTTTTGAGAAACAGGAGCATACTGACACATTTAAGTTTTTCTTGCATTCTAAGCATGCAAACACTCAATGGAATTGACCTTGGTGTAGAAAGAGAAATCCCTACTGGCTTTACTTTCTCTTTTGGATGTATTTTGTCCCCTAGTATTCTGTGTTCTTTTATTAGATTCATGAGACAGAGCAACTCTACAACCACGGCTTTTTTGTTGTTATTCATGACCCAACATGGTAATAAAATGCCTATAGCTGTTTCTTAAAACACATCAACACTAAAAACCCATTTAACATTTTCATCCAGTCTTACTTGTTGGATAAGAACAAGGACACAAAGTAGGGAGGAAGAATTTTATAATTTATCAAGATAAGCATGCCAGTACCTATTTTTTTTTTAATTCCCAAGACCATGGTGATGATTTGTGTCTGCACTGTCTGTGCCCCATGGGATTTTATGGGGCTAGGTTTCCACACCTTCCAGAAGAAGGGATAGTTGAGTTAAATTGTTCTTATTGTTTAGTTTACTGTCATAACTCTGGCCTCAGTTCCATGTCAAAGCTGGCAACCTGACCTGTTCTGTTGGCAAGATTTCTCCAAAATATACAAAGTGTAAATTAATCTGAAGAGGAAAAGTGGCCTTACCTAGCTGCTCCTGACTGTCAGTCCGCTGACCTCTCCTGCCCCCGGGTGTCATAAGCCCGGCTGTCAGCCTGAGGTGGAATCAGAAGGAAAAGTGCAGACTTTTCAGTCTGTTGGTTTCAGCATTTGCCAGGCAGTCCAATCAGCACCCCCCTGTATATCCTGCCTATATATCCCCCTGTATATCTGGAGGCCTTCCTCAGAGCTCTCAGGCTTCTCCCATGGCCTTGGATTTGGAGATGAGGGGGTCAATGAAGAAGCCTGCCCTGAGCTTCTGGCAAAAAAGGAACACACTCAGCTGTCCCTAGAACAACCTGTGACTATCCTGTGGTTGATCAGCTGGCTTAGCTGAAGGAAAGGAGCTTGGACAGTGGCTAGGGACTTTCAGACTGCCTTTTCTCAAAAAAGTTAGATGCCTGGGAGATCCTTCCAAAGACAGGAGGGAAGAGGCAGTGCCATGGCCTTAGATTTGGGGATGGAGCAGAGATTGGCTAACTTTGACCTGCAGAACAAGAGCCAGCAGTGGCAGGTCAATGGATATGGCTGGTTTCCCTTAAGTGGGTAGAAAGAGAAAGGGGAGCAAGAGAGACGCAAGGATTGGTGTCCATCTCAGAAACCGCCGCAGTCCTGAGACTTGCTAAAATTAGCTGCAATGCAGTTGTGCACAACTGCGGGGCCAGCAGCCCTGTGGTTCTCATGGCCAGTGAGGCACCCTCAAGCTATGCTGAAGCTATGGGGCAGCAGTCCTTGTTCACTCAAGGACATGACTTGGGGAGTGGGTATTTCACTCTCAGGCCACCTGCCCCCCACCCCACTGATGATCTCATTGATTCACTTGTGGATTGAAATATTCTTCAGACACTTATCAAAACTAGTATGAAGGAATAAATCCAATGTGCAGGTGCTATGGAGCCCTTCAGTCTCACTCGCCTGATACTGAAGCCCTGATATTCAGGCTGTTTATGTCTGGACGCCTTTAAAGGTCATGAGATTAGGCGAGATTGGGAAAAATGGTGGGATGCAGCGGCATCATCTTTTTAGATAATGTCTACTTTGCAGGCATTAGCCTTCCCCAAAGTACTTGAACCCAAGGAGGACTCCTCTCTCACACACTCAAAAACCATCTCTTGCACTGTTGTTTGTAAAAAAACTTTTCCCACATCACAGGAGTTCTTGATAAGGATTCGGATTCCTGAGTTCCATCCTTCATCTTTTGAGTTAAAATTCCCCAAGTAAGTTCCAGGAATTTTTATTTATGATAAAGTCTCCAGATATTTCTATGCACTCTAAAGTTTGAAAAACATGCTCTAAAAATTAAGTTAGTGCAATGGGCCCAACAGCTGACATGGAAGAAATAGTGGGTCTTTATGGGCAAGGAGGAGAAATGACAAAGAAGGGACAGTGATAGGACAGTGATGTAGAGGCCATTCAGGAGGGTGGGAAAACACCTAACAGAAGGCTGCTTCCATCTTTTAGTCACCAACCAACTTTGTAGAGGCCAGCAGTCAGGCCAGATAGATACACTATGCCATGTTTAAAGAAAGCAGCAAAACACAAGCCAACATGGGGAACTTTATCAAAATAATCCAGTTGCATGGCCAGTGGAATGCCCCAGCCTCCTTCACTTAGGTGGGTTACTCTATATTCATTAAATTAGGCAGTCCTATTCCTAGTACATCCCAATGACAGTTGCTCTGAATGCCACACTGAGACTTGTTGTGGGGAGAAAAAACTTACCTCCACTGTTTTCTGTTTAAGAAGAAACTAAATAAACAATACAACAACAGCCATTAAAAAATTAAGAGGAAAAATTCCTGTAGAAATCTGAGCTAATGACTAGAATGACTCATTCCCAGAGAGTTCCAGGTAACCAGTCTTGTTTTGTAACTAGGTCTAGGCTTGGCAGCATCCCAGGAACTGCCAAGAGCCTTTGAGAGAGTTTGCAGGGAGGTTGTCTATCTAGACACAGCTGTTTCTCACCCAGGCAGGGGCAGGGACAGTGACTAATATACTAGGATCAGAGGCTACTTTTGAGTTAATATGTAAATGTCTGATACTAACTCAGGTATTATTCTTCACTCAAAGGCAACAGTCCTGACACACACAGATAAAGATGACAAAAGACCCACAATTAGTGTTTACAGATAATTGGGTCAAGAGGACATATATGCACAGCAGATGCCCTCTGGGTTTCTCCCATGGTTCTATAAAATAATAAGGATGCTTCATAATTTCTTTAATCTGATTCTGCCTTCTGCCATGCCAACTACCTAAAGTCTGTCTTTGGAGATCTTCCTTCTGGCCAGGAACACCTTCCAGAGCTAAATGACCTTTCCTGGCCTGAAGACTGTTGACTCCCAAATTTCTGTGGTTGCGGGATGCCAGGATACCCCGGGCCCCTTTGGGGAGTAAGTAGACAGGCCTAGTTACTGTCACACTGCCCTCTTACCCCACTCTCCATCCCGCATTTGGTCCACAGACAAGCTGACTCCAGACACTGTGCTACACAGGGGGCAGGAAAGGACCCACCCTGCAAAGCCAGAGCCTTTGTAAACAATGGATTTTAGATCCCGCCAAAATGTCTCCTTAATGTCAAAAGGAAGATTTGGCTTAATGCCATAGTTAATCTAATCAGACTGACTTTAGCTAGAAATAATCAGATTTCCAATTTTATTTTATTAAAATCTAGGAATTAACCCCATGGAGATTATAAGGAACTTAAATATGCATTTCCTTAGAAATACACACACACACACACACACACACACACACACACACACACACTGTTATTAAACAGATTAGTCTTTTGCCTTTTTAAGAGACAGTTTATGCCTTAGGAAAGTCTGTACATCACGTAATATTTTTTCCATTTCTTGTCTCTGACCTACAGTAAGCCTATTGTTTTGTTCCACAGGTGTATTACAACACGGATGATGAACGAGAAGGGTAAGACACTCAGTTCTTTCATTTCAACACTCCAAGTCAGCTCATGTCAGTGGTAATGGCTCTTCCAGCACTTGGTAACCCTAGGCAGGAAGTGAAACCCTCCTCTCACCTCAGGACTCAGAGCTGAGAGACGCTTGATTCTGGGGACCATCTGGGAGGGAGGCTGGGGGCTGGAGGAATGAATAGCTTTCTACTTCCAGGATTCTTTCCCCACCCGCTTCCTCCCTAAGACCCACCCCTTTGAATAACTAGCTGTTTTTCTAAGGGACCGATCCCTTCCATTCCATCCTTTCATCAATAATCCAGTTGGTGAAATCTTCTCAGTAGTCCTTCTTACCTATTGTTTGGCCCCAACACAAGATCAAGATGAGCTTGAGGCAAGAGTCAAAGATGACAGCCTACCCTTCTTCCAGTACTGCCTGGGATGCACACACAACTCTCAAAGCCCTGTCCCTGAGAAGTTAGCCTGGCAGGCCAGTAGTGAGGCTGGTTTGAATACCAGTTGGACTGAGAGCCTTTTCAATCGTAGGTAAGAGACAGTCACAGAGACTCCCAATGTCTCCACATCCTGAATGTGGTCCTGCAGGCTTTTAGGAGCAGCCAGATCTTCAAAGTGCTTTCTATCCATTAATTCAGTTTGTAGACTCAGAATTTTAGGGCCAAAAAGAAACCTTAAGGTCATTTAGCTGACCTCCTCTCGTAGATCATGGTAATAGCTATACCACCTCTTTGACAAGCAGTCAGCCATTTTCTACATGAAAATTCCCAGTGATGGAGAGTTCATGTGTGTGAGATAGCTCATCACACTATTGGACGATTCCAGCTCGTAGGGAGTTCTTTTGTCTGTTGAGCTGATGTCTACCTTCTTTTGACTTCTACCCGTTGGCCTTAGTTCTGCTCTCTGGATAAGTCTCATCTTCCCTCGTCATTCAAACACCCCTTTCCTCCCTGCAACTGTTCTTGGTAAAATACAGTTTTACTTCTCAACATCTTAATTTCCCTCCAAGGTATAGTACTAAATTTGTTAGTAGTCTCCTTAAAATTGGCTGGGTCAGAATAAATATATGTTCTGAACCACATAAGTTGCAGATTATATTGGGAGATTTCTTCTTAGGACCTGGATGCTATTTTATACTCAAAGCAATCTAGAACTACATGCATTTTCAATAGCTACTTTATGTTCTTGGTTGCGTTACCTGTGTGTCACTAAAATCTTTAGATGTTTTTTCTTCAAACTACAGTCAAACCAGGGCTTCCCTATTCTTATATAATTAATATATTTACTTGCAAAACATTTCACAGTTGGCAAATTGGAGCAGATATTGCTGAGTTTATTCCTAGAGCAGAGGTTGGCAAACTATAGCCAGAGGACCAAATCAGGCCCACCGCCTATTTTAGTATAGTCTGCAAACTACAAATGGTTTTTACATTTTTTCAATGGTTGAAAAGAATTCAAAAGAAGAAGAATATTGCATGACATGTGAAAATTAAATAAAATCCAAGTGTCCTTAAGTAACGTGCTACTGGAAACAGCTGTGTCAATTTGTTTATGTATTGTCTGTGGCTTCTTTGCTGCTACAGCAGCAGAGTTGACTAGTTACAACAGAGACCATATGGCCTGCAAAGTCTAAATATTTACTGCCTGCCCCTTTACAGAAAAAGTTTGCCACCTTCTATCCTAAAAGATAGAAAATCTCAAAGGAGTCAAATGATTCCCTAGCTAATGAGGAGCAGAACCTCATCCAGCACTTAACCTCTAAATTCTGAGTTCTAAATTTTCTAAATGCCTAATTAGACTGTTCTTTTTATCTTGGCACATAGATAATACATTCCCAGCGGTTAGAATGAACATAAATGACTAGCACTGTCAATTCTAATCAGTAATTCCCATGTTTAATGAGGCACAATGTGGCGTCACAGAAACAACATTGACTCTGAGCTCAGGAAGCCCAAGTTCCACTCCTGGACTGCCGCCTACCAGTGTGAAGCCTTGGGCCAGCTCCTTGATCTCTGGGCTTTGGTTTCCTTAATTTGACATTGAGCATCTTGCGTAAGATCTCGAAGATTCCATCCAACACTAACATGCTATTGTTCTCATGGGAAAACTTAGTATTATGAGTGAGAAGGGCCTGAGATCCTGAATGCTCCTTGATGTGCAGGCCTCAGTTGTAAATCTGTCTCACCTCAAACTGTCCTTCCTTGCAAGCTGACTGCAGTTAGATGGCCATCGACCTACTTGTAACTCCATTGGTTTGACTTCTCTGTGTTGGCTCACCCTGTGTTATTGTACAAACTTGAGGCCCAAGGTCTGCATCTTTTGCTCTTACACATCTCACTAGAGTTTGAATGAGTGACATGAACAGCATTGGAACCAGAGTTAAGACATGGTAGGTGTGTAGCTATTGTGATGTGTAAAAGTAATAATTAACATTACTGGATACCTTGGCTAGGCACCGTGCTAAGTGCTTTATGCATGAACTCATTGAATTCCCCCAGATTTCCCATGACTCCCATTTTATAATGAGGACACTGAGGCTTCAAGAGATTAGGAGACTTGTTCAAAGACACACAGCTGGTAAGTGATGGAGGCAGGATTTAAACCTGGGTTTCACTGCATTTCCCATCACTGGCTTTTAGCCATGATGCTCTACTGTGTAACCCTCTTAATTCTTGACCTGTGGCTATAAAGTATGTATTGAGAGACAGGCCCTCCCTGAGATAACTTTCCAGCCTTGACAAAGGCACACCCTTGGTTCATTCCTTGGAGTGTAGGACCTAGATTGTGACAAGCCCAGATGAGTGTGTCTGGCAGAGGGGAGCAGATCTGAGGCCACCATATGTGTTCACCTAGCCCTAAGGAGTGCCAGCTTCGCTGGTATTTGTACAGCTTCCATCAGGACTGCTCATTGGCCACGTTCTTTCCTCTCCCTGCCACGTTGATTAATACTCACATAAATTAATGCTCACATTAGTGTTCAAGTATGCAAATGAGTGCTTAAAATCATCACTCACACAATGACCAGACTGAGGATATAACACACAAGAGCCCCTCTCCTGGTAACCCCACAATCATGCAGATGTGTTGACTTCTCTGCATTACCAGTCTGGTAGGCAGGGGATATGACAGTTAGAAACAGTCTTTCAGACAGCAGTTCTCAACACCAGGTCCCTTGCTGCACAATCGAATCACCTGGGGGTTTAAAAAATATCATGCCAGTCAGCCACAATTTGAATCTGGTTTTGATCTTAGAAGTTCTTAACTTAAAATAACAATCTTTTAGAGTCTCAGTTTTCTCATCTAAAAATAGCAGGATAATAATAGCCACCTGCTAGCGTTATTATAAGCATTAATGTATAGAATGTCCTGACACACAGAATTTGATTTTTTTTTAAATCATAGCTATTGTTATTGTTAAGATTCCTATTCAGACCATGAAAAAAATGATACTTAATTGAGAAATGGAAGAGAGGGAGATAGAGATGAAAAGAAAGAACAAGCCAAACAAATAATTTTCTGTAGAGAATGGTCCTTTAATGTGGAATTTATGGATGTCTCTTATGGAGAAAGAGGGGCAGGCTTTAAACTCCCCTGAAATAATATGCAAGTTGATATGCAAATAGCATGCATGATGATAAATTCTATTTCCATTATTTCTGGAGATCTGGTCTTCATCTACATCTGACCTCTGGTTTCTTGGAAACCCCTCTTGCCCTGATCCTCTGTCCCCAGTGGGCCCCGCTGAGGTCCTCTTTTTCCAGCTTGCAGCAAGGTCCCTTCAAGTCAAGCAGCTCTGTGGCTTCTACACTGCATTTGGGGCAGTAGTATCCTTGGTAGGGTTGGGTGATCATGTGTTCAGAGGTCAGTGGTTTCTCTTCAAGATCTTACCATTTCCAGGCTGCTTGGGATGCTCAGACCTCAACTCTCTCCAAGACTTTATTTTCTCCCATGCTTCTTAAAGGCACACCACATACCATGATCTCCCTTGGAACCACCATGTATAATCTCTTCAATGGTTTTTCAAGTCTTCTTGGCTGGAACATTGGTCTGCCACAAGCTATAACATTTTAGCAGGAAACAGAAATATCTGTATTACCTTTGAAAATGATTCCTCTGGGGCCTACTGACCTAGTCATGACTTGCAATTTTGAGCTCATAATTCAGTAACAGTTACTAAATCTATGTTGTGTGTTTTTTGTTTTTGGTTTTTTACTGATTCTCTCAAATGATTTATATTAAACATCTTAAACTAGCATTGATTAAAATCATTTTGGGCTAAGTTCTTCCCCAAAGAGTAATTCATTGAAAATAAATGGATTCAGACCCTACTTTATAATGTGAAAGACTTTGTGCAGATTTGAATATAAGATGACCTGTTTTCTGAGGATAACATGGGCAAGGGACTTCCATTTAGGTAGGGCATTCATGGTAACCGCATACATAGGCCACAAGCAGAATTGAGAAATAGGCAAACTACATCTCCGTGGTGCCTGCAACCCCATTCTTTCCTCTTCTTGAGCACCTCCTCAGTAGGCAAACAATGCCTAGTGAAGTTGACCCTGGAAGGTAGGCTGCAACATTGCCTTTTACAGGTATGGCCAGAGATCCATGGTTCAGACCTGACACCTTCCCACTGTTTTTCCAATGAAACTTAGCACTACCTTTATACCTCAGGGACTTGATTTCCCTGAGTTGATCCTACAAGGTAATGGCTGAATGTGCTGCCGGGCCTAGAATCATTCTACATAATAACCACCACATTGTGCCAGGGAGATGGAAATTGATGTCAGAGAAAGCACCCTTTTCTTGCTCTCCAGTCCTTTTGTGGTACATTTATCCCTCAGTATCTGTGGAAGATTGGCCTCAGGACCGCCCACGGATACCAAAATTTACAGACTGAAGAGTCTCTTTTATAAAATGGCATAGTATTTGTCTATAACTGACACACATCCTCCCTTAAATCATCTCTAGATTATTTATAATACCTAATCCTATGCAAATTCTGTGTAAGTAATTGATATACTGTATTGTTTTGGGACTAATGATAAGGAAAAGTCTGTACATGTCCAGTACAGATGCAAATTTTTTCTGAATTTTTTTATTGTGGTTGGTTGAAGCTATGGTTGTGAAACCCACAGCTACAGAGGGTGGGCTGCAGTTGGACTGGGCATCAGGAGACCTGAAATTTGCTTTCTACATCTGTCAAATGGGGCAGTCATATCTGCCCTTCTTTTCTTGCCTTGCTTTGAAAACAAATGAAACAGTTGAATTTGAGCCACATAAACTTATTCACTCCTACTGAGTTTATAGATTTGAAAGTGTGAAAAAGTATTTTTGAACTCCCAAAATAAATGTGGTTTATCCAAGATGTTATTTTAATGGCAGAGTTTGTCATGGTTCAGAACAGGGTGCTATCAAAAGTCAGCAGAACTGGAAAAATATAAATAAATCTTGCTTGGTGAAAAAGAAAGTCACTAGCTTAGGAACCCTCACACAGCATGATGGAGTGTCTGGTGGTATTTCAGGCTATTTACCTATGATTAACCTACTAGTCACTGACTGCTGTGAATGGGTTTTTTAATCTTCTAGCCCTGAGGCCATGGTCACTTTAGTTCCAAGACGTTACACAGTAACGTGACCTGCTTTTACGACAAGGTAGTAAGAGGAAGGCAGAGGGAACACTGCCCTAAAAACTTCAATAAGTTACCACCTTCAGCTGGGATCTGGGTTTTAAGTTTTTTCTCTAGTTGTTTCCATAGTTTGACTTACTAGGAAATAAATTCAGAGGATGCTGACACTGAAGAGCATTTCTCACACCCTTCCTCATTATCTCAGGGTTATTGAATAGCTTTATCATGAGGTTGCTCCCTCAAAGGTGCTTCTCTGAATAGCCTGTTTCACATATTAGTTGCATTGCCCTGCATTTGACACTTAACTCGTTGTACCTTTTGTCATCAATGAAATGGGATACAATTTTCTTAACAGCCTCCTTTTAAATATAAGGAGACTGAGGCCCAAGACAGTTGAGGAACTGGTCCGGGCTCCTACAGCAAATTGTAAGGCAGGGATTTAAACCAAGGTAATGTGGTCTCAGAATTCCTGTCTTAACAGTTCTGCTGAGCTACCCATCTGGCATTTCTTCACGTGCCTGGTCCCTGGAGGCTTGGCCCTTAATCCTGAATATTGAAATCTCAAAAGATCAAAAGCCCTGAAGTCTAAAATCCCTCATGTCATATTTTTGGGATTTCAACATTCAGGATCATGGCATCTGGGATTGTGTCTTTCGGGATTGTGATCAGCACCGGGTCCCAGGACTTCAGAGACACTAAAAATTTCTAAAAACCTGCATCTGTTCCCTTGAAGGTTTGAAAAACAGTAAGATTCCATTCGGGGACATTTTCTCAGTATCAATGACTTCTATCCTCTTAGTTTCTGTTTCTCTCAAAAAAAAAAAAAAAAAAAAAAAAAAATCCTCCCCTTGCTTAGGGCACCCGGGAGACTAAGGAAGGACAGTGACTGTGGGAGGAAATGCAGAAACATCAGAACCAGCCGAGCTGGGGACATGCAAGGCCTCAGCACCGCAGGCTTCTGGGAAAGGGGACTGCAAACCTCTCCCGAGAAGGAGCAAAGGCCTGGGCAGCCAAGGTCTGAGTGTGTAAGGAACTTCCACCACTGCAGTCTCATCTGCTGCGGCCAGAGGGAGAGGTGGAATGGCAGGAAAGCCACATCACAGAACTCATGTCAGGCTCACAGCATTTCCAGATTTCTCTGCTGTTCCCCCAAGGGGGCTGGCAAAAGGGGGCAGGCCACCCAGGCCTCAGCTGGTTGGGAGGGGACGATGTGACTTGGACACCATGTGGACACCAGGGATTTACTTCCCCCCAGCCCCGATCTTGAGCAGAAAGAAGGGATAGGTGTAGGACGGAGTGGGTAAAATCCACTTTTGAAGTCTCACCTTTGTGGATCCATATTCCGCAGTGGGAAGCACGTGTTAAGTCCATGCCCTAAAGATAGTGGTGTGTGTGCTGCTTCAGACAGGGATTGCTTGGGACCTGCAAGGGGAAGAAGGAGGTTGGTGAGTAGATCCAGTTACGGAGCATAGGGACGGTATAAGCAAAGGGAAAGACAGAAACGGACACACATGTGAACGTGTGTTTTGACACCTTGCTGGTTTTACTTAAGGATTTCTGCTTATCTTTTCTAGTGGCAGTGTCCTTGTTAAACGGATGTTCCGGCCCATGGAAGAGGAGTTTGGTCCAGTGCCTTCAAAGCAGATGAAAGAAGAAGGGACAAAGCGAGGTATCTCTCCTGCTGGGGCATGCCCTCTCAGAAGGGATGCGGGGTGTCTCTCCCAAGAAGAGCTTGCAGCCCTCTTGCCCAGGCCCCCATGGCTCTGTGCCAGCCTGGTGACTTTCTCTTCACACAGGAAGTCCACAGTCTTCTTCTTTGCTTTAAACTCTGTCCTTTCAACACCTTAAGAAAACATTTGTCATTCCTGGGTGCTGGTTCTTTCCTTTGCCTTGGGAGAACGTAATGAATAAACAGACTCATCCAGCAGCAAGGTACAAGGTTAAGAACGAAACTCTTGCTGCGTGTGTGGACAGTCATACCTCATAAGAACTAGTGATTGAGCCTCATTTGATACATGCAAACTATTCATCTCACCCAAATAAATGAGCCTCAGGTTTCTGTGGCATCACCACTTACTCATTTTCTCCCAGTCAAAGGTCTTATTCTGCTTCACCAAGAGGGTAAGAAACAAAGCTTGACTGTGCCCATGTCTTGCCCAGCATGTCAATGCCATACAGGATTCCATGCCCTTCCTCGGAGTAAGAGGAAAGTGTGTGGGTGCACATTCCCCTCAGTATCCTGCTGCAGCCAACACTGAGGCTTCTATAGACCCAAGACCTAGCCAGTACTGGATTTTTTTTTTTTTTTTGAGACAGGGTCTTGCTCTGTCACCCAGGAGGTAGTGCAGTAGCACGATCATGGCTCACTACAGCGTCTACCTGATGACTTTCAGCTATCCTCCCACCTCAGCCTCCTGAGCAGCTGGGACTACAGGCATGCACCACCATGTCTGGCTAATCTGTCTAATGTTTTATAGAGACGAGGTCTCAATATGTTGCCCAGGTCTCAAACTCCTGAGCTCAAGCTATCCTCTTGCCTCAGTCTGCCAGCAGTACAGAATTTTTTTTTTTTTTTTTTTTTTTTTTTTTTTTTTTTTGACAAAGTCTTGCTCTGTTGCCAGGCTAAAGTGCAGTGGCGTGATCTCAGCTCACTGCAACCTCCACCTCCTGGGTTCAAGTGATTCTCCTGCCTCAGCCTCCCAAGTAGCTGGGACTATAGGTGTGTGCCACCACGCCCAGCTAATTTTTGTATTTTTAGTAGAGACGGGGTTTCACAATGTTGGCCAGGATGGTCTCGATCTCTTGACCTTGTGATCCGGCCGCCTTGGCCTCCCGAAGTGCTGCATGGACTTTTAATGAGTCAGTTCACCATGTTAAATATGCCCGCCATCTGCATAGGCTTGAGTACTTTGTTATTGAGAAATTTTATTTTTTTCCTGTTTGTTGTAATGGGATTTGCACTGTGGTCAAGAGAACCCGTCTGTAGCCTGCCACAGCCACCTGCAGTTTTGTGACCTTGGAGAGGTTCCTCACACTTCTGCTCCTCGGCGTCCTCATCTGTAAAAAGGAGATGGCAGGAGTGCCTACCTCATAGAGCTGTGTGAGGACTGAGGAGTTAATACCTGGGAGACGCTTCAGGCAGGCACCTCCCACATAGGCAGCACTCCGTGTTCGCTGTTGTAACTGTTAGTTTTATTATTAGTAACTAGTTAAGTGATATTATCATAACTGTGGATAAGTAATTAGTGCTTCAGAATGGAAACAGCATAAATGCATAAATGCTACGTTAGAAACATTTAAAGGTTTACAAAAATTTCTTTAAAAAAAATTTTTTTTTGAGACAGAGTCTCATTGTCACTCAGGCTGGAGTGCAGTGGCGTGATTTCAGCTCACTGCAGCCTCTGCCTTCCATGCTCAGGCGATCCTCCCACCTCAGCCTCCTGAGTAGCTGGGACCACAGGCACATGCCACCATGCCTGGCTAATTTTTTGGTAGAGATGGGGTTTCACTATGTTGTCCAGGCTGGTCTCGAACTCCTGAGCTCAAGCAATCTGCCCGCCACAGCCTTCCAAAGTGCTGGGATTACAGGTATTAGCCACCATGCCTAGCCAAACCTTTAAAAAATTTTCTGATTTCACAAACTCACCATCAAATATTCCAGTACATTTGAACCTCATTCTTGGATGGCTTTTCTATAGAGTCAGGGCAGTAACATGGAAATCAAGAATCACGGAATCACACAGGCGAAACTAATTATGGCTAGCCTTCATACAGAGTGCTTGGAGGTTAATCCAAAGACTGTTTTTCAGATTATTTTGAGATTGTGAAACCAGCACAAAAATTGCCTCTAGAAATTGTACTGGGCTGTGGCCTTTGAAACATCTGAATCATAGACACATGAGGGCGCTGTAACCTTCCAGCAATAACGGGCACTTTCCTCGGGAGTGATTTTTCTTTGGAAAAGGTCAGTGGGGTTACTGGGCCCCTTGCTTGGAGCATCCACTGAGCTGGTCTTTGACAAATAGGGGAATAAGGCTCAATTACTTTGCCTATTTGTTTATTTGTTAGAAGTTCTCCAAGAGAGAGAATGAACATAATTATTACCAATGCCACGATTATTGGTTTTTGCCTTTGTGGCAGGGTGTCTGTGTGGGAGTCCCTTGGGGGCTGCCCATGTGGCCACCTGCCTTTGGCTGCACAATGCCTGGGATGCATGATGGTTGTTCTTGCGACTATCAGCAGAGTGATTACTTCAGTTGCTCTGCCACAGACACAGAGTAATGAAAGCTGGCTCCCTGGGAAAGCTGTGGGGGTGGACTGTGAGCCCAGCACACCTTGTGAGTTGCTGTCAACAGGCCCAGCAGGGGAACGGTGGAGCTGCCCTGCCTGGTGCCACTCCAAGGCCCATCAACGCGGCTCCCTTTAACACTTTCCAGCCACACCTGAAGCAAGAAGAGCAGCCATATCATTTCAAAGACCACGATTTCAAAAGAGGAGATTTGTAAATCCAGTGGAAGCAGTACTCATAATAGAAAATGGTTTGGGGGACCAGGCGTGGTGGCTCATGCCTATAATCCCAGCACTTTAGGAGGCTGAGGCGGGTGGATCACTTGAAGCCAGGAGTTCGAGAAACCCCCTCTCTACTAAAAATACAAAAACTTAGTCGGGTGTGATGGCACATGCCTGTAATCTCAGCCACTCAGGAGGCTGAGGCATGAGACTCACTTGAACCTGGGAGGCAGAGGTTGCAGTGAGCTGAGATCACGCCACTGCACTCCAGTCTGGGTGACAGCGAGACTCTGTCTCAAAGAAAAAGAATATAGTTTGGGGGTCAGCCTGCTGGAAATTCCTTTTTTTTTCCTGTTGGGGGCTGCAGAGAGAATTGTAGACTATTTATCTGCAGCAGCAATCAATGGCTTTTTTCCTTGACTTTAATTTTCCTTATCTGGATGTAACTAAGGTCCTGTATTCTAATTATTTTTCCTTGTACCGCTAACATTGAGTCCTCTTATAATAGCCATTAGGTCATTAGATTATTTTAGCTGAAATGAAGGCTATAAAATATTCCTTCCAAAGAACTAAATTTGGAAATCTTTGGAGACACATTCTATTTATTTAATTGGTGTTTTACTTTTATATTTGGTAAAAAGAAGAGACTCGGCAATACCTGTTCATTATTTTCTTTTTCTTTTTCTTTTTTTTTCATACACTAACTGAACATCCACTGGCTGCAGAAAGGAAATGCAGGCAGAAGCCACATGCACCCGTGTAGACTTGGCCTTTGTGAAGCAACCAGCTTTAATGAAGTCCCCCCAGGATTGGGAGGAGGGGGAGGAGGGGTGGGAGTTTGGATGAGAGCTGATTTCATTTTCTAGTTTCAACTTTGTTCTTCTGGTTGATGGCTCTGTTGGTGTCTGAGTGTCGCTGGTACCCAGAGTTGGCAGGGTTTTTTGCCTTGTGCATTTTCCCTAGATGGCCATGGAGCTTCAGCCTTAACCTTCTTCCTTCCCTCTGAAGGAAGAATCAGAGGCCACATCACTGGGAGGAGGGAGACCACTCAGTGGGGATGAGGGTGGCCTCTGAATGACAGTTCCAAGTTTATTCTGGGAGCTGAGCTGCAACACAACTGCTGTAAGGATGGGGACAGGCAGAAAGGGCAATGGTGGCAGAAGGAACATCAGCCAGCAGCTGTCACGTCTGTGGGACCCTGGGGGAGTGTCTCAGCCTCTCTGAGCCTCAGTGTGCACATCTTAAAAGATAGCCAAGACTTCCCTATCATCTCTCATACTCTCTACGTTCTGAAATTCAGAATGTTATTTTGCAGAGAAATAAATAGAAAAGCTGTACTCCACTTCACTGAGGGCACTAGAACCATGACAACTGCTTCCCCCACTGATCGAGGACGGGTGCTTGCTGTGTGCAGGCCCTGGGCTAAGCGTGCCACATGGCTTTTATTTCATTTAACCCTCACAGTAGCTCTGCGAGGCAGATGTTATTATCCATGTTTCGCAGAGAAGACCAAGGCTCGGAGAGTTTAAATGAACAAGGCCCACAGCAGGGGTTGCACTCTGGGGTCAAACCCAGCCCCGTGGGACTCCACATCCTAAGCCTGCTCCTCCCCTTGTCTCGGACAGTGCCCCGTCTCCCTCCCAGGCCTGTGCAAGTTTGTTATCTGCCTGGAGTTTGCTCTCCCTCTTCTCCCTTTCTCCCCACTGCCCCCATCTCATCACTTGCCTGCATTCACGCACACACAATTCACAACTTGGATCTCTCCTTCAAGGGACCCTTCCAGGAACTTCCCCCAACCCCTCCAGGTCACGGCCAGGCCCCTATAAGCACTGTTTCCTGACATTTTCCTCCATAACCCTGTGTCTAGTTGTCTGCTTATTTGAGGAAAGCCTGCTTCTCTAAATGGACTGCAAAATCCTTAAGGACAGGGGCTGTGATTTAACTAACACTGCCACAACCCCAACTCCTAGCACACATAGCCTATGGGCCCAGGTGGGCATTCAGTAATATTTGTCAAAGGAACAAATAACACAGAGGAAAAGAGGTTGCAAAAAGAGATGCGATGTACCCCTCAGGAGAAATTCCAATGGGAACATTTGTGTCAAAGCATCCTACGGCCGGGTTGTCGGTTTATCTCATCTAATCACTCCTTCACAGTCCCTAGCCACAGGTTGTTTATGGAGATGTCTCAGTCACCCTTGTTGAATGTTAGTTATCTGGACCAGGGTTCTGAGGCTTCGCAGGAGGTGCCACTCTCCAACACCTGTGTGACAGGAAACAGTCCCCTGGAGCAGCTGTGGAATTGTGCAGCCCCTCGGTCACGTGGCTCTCTTGCCCATCTCTTCCAGTGCTCTTGTACGTGAGGAAGGAGACTGACGATGTGTTCGATGCATTGATGTTGAAGTCTCCCACAGTGAAGGGCCTGATGGAAGCGGTAAGCCATATACTCCTTTCAGCCTCCAGGAAACCTGCTGTGTTCTCTCTCCTCTGGAATCCATGTACTAACGTGCAGCCACCGAGATGGCTTCAGAATGAGCTTTATACAGAACAAGAAAAACCTAAGATTTGTGGAGGCATTGATCTCGCTACTGTCAAGGCTTATTAGCATCTTGAGGAGAAGGAAACTGAAAAACTGCCAATTCCCTGTCAGTTTAAGGCTAATCACAGTTAGATGCTATGGAGGAAGGTGAAACTGAGTTCTCACTTGTCTCTCGGTATGAAACCGAATTAGATATGATTAACTCCCAAATATATACAAAACAAAAACAATTAACAAGTGTTTCACTGGCCGTGATGGTGTAGTCCAAAAGAAATATGATCTCTTGGTTAAGAAAAAAAAATAATGCAGAATTATAGTGATTTGCAGTAAGACTTTTCCCTTCCTACCCATGGTCTTGTCTAGTATTACCCAACTTGGGCTCACAAGAAGCTATTTTACATTTTGTTTGTATGTTATTCACCTGAATATAACCTCACTAGAACTCTACTTTGAATACACTCCCTTACTCCCTTCACTCCCAACTGCTCCCCCACTGGACCACTGCCCCATACAACTATATTGTAGAAGATTTGTTTTTTTATAGTGATAGAGACAACAGGACTGCCAGGAACACAGTTCAAAATTGTTGGTTGGTTTGGAAAACTGCTACATTGGAGCAGCATCTTGGGTTATGAAGCTAAATGTTAAACTATATGGGATAGTTCCTGTAAGTGGAATCATACCATTTCTTTCATTTGGGATACTCTTTTTTGAGCTTCCTTTGTGTTGTAGTAATCGGGACTTCACTCTTTTTATGATTAAATAGTATTCCGTTGTGTAAATATACCACATTTTGTATTTCCACTTATCAGTTGATGGACATTGGAATTTTTCTACCTTTTGGCTATTGTGAATACTGCTACTATGAACATTCATGGACAAGTTTTGTTTGAATACTTGTTTCCAGTTCTTTTGGGTATGTTCCAAGGTGTGGAATTGCTCAGCCAGATTCAAAAAGCCACATGTGGTATGATTCAATTTATAGGACATATTGAGAATAAGCAAATCCATAGAGACGAAAGGCAAGTTAGTGGTTGCCAGGGGATGGGGGTAGGAGGTGGAACAACTGCTTAATGGGTTTTCTTTGGGGGGGATGAAAATGTTTCGGAATTAGATAGAGGTGATGGTTGTACAGTATTGTGAATCTACTAAACAGCACTGAATTATACACTTTAAGATGGTTAAAATGGTGAATTGTGATATCTATCTATCTATCTATCTATCTAGTATTCATTGTTCACCAGAAATTTTTAAAAACTGTACCAATGTCATCACGCTGCCCTCTGTGATCTGTTATTAACAAGTCCCCAGGCAATTCCGAGTGGAGCATCAAGGACCTCCGTCTAAGAAACACACTGATGGAGGATTAGGTCATCTTTTTTCTTCTATAGGATTTTTCCATAGTATGGAGTTTGTTGTTACTGGATCTGCCTCACATTAAGGAAAAACAAAAACAGAAATCAATGCCACAAAAATATGATCTATATATATTGAAATAAACCAAGATTTTCAAAATGAGTCTAAGATTGCTAGGGGATAGACTAAGCTGGAAGCTCATAAGCTGGAAAAGCTCATAAAATATTCAGACCTCTCTGGACAACTTTGGATAATTTCATACTCCAATCTGGCCTTTAAGACTATATTACCAAAACTGACTTAATGGGGACAGTGATATTTGAAAACCACAGAAGCAGTTGCTTAAATGCATATTCTCTGACTTCAACTCTAGAGATTCTGATACTTCTGAATTGCAGGTAGATCAGGGAAGGGAGGAAGTGGGGATCAGGAACTTATATTTTTAACGAGCTCCTGAGGATATTCTGAGATGAGCTAGGTGTGAGAACCTCTGATCTAGACCATTTCTGAATGGATTCATTACACTCCGAGTCTTCCTTTTTCCTTGGTGTCTTTTCTTTACCTTCCATGGCATCTGACCAGTTCTATAAGTGTTCTGTGGATGCAGTTGGAATGGACCACAGTGGAACTCAATGTCACCTTCGATCCCACCTAAACAGCAGCTCAGCAACCTCTGCCTACCCTCCCCGCCTCAGCAGCATCTGGCTGTTGATCCCTTTTAGTGGGAGCTCATTACACCTGCCTCACTTTGGTTAGCTGAAGGTACAGTGTGAGGGGTGGGGATGTATCCTTTGACCCTGTAAGCCACAGAGAGGTCAGGTTCCCTAGGCTGGCTCTGGTCAGATGTCTTATGGCAATTCTGATTTCATCTCCCCTTTATGTCTAAAAAGAAAAGGTTTCATTGAAGCACCAACACAGGCTATCTCCTTGCTTCCTAAGTTATGCAAATGGGAAAGCTGTGCAAGAGAAGTTCCTCCAGGATCCTCGGGTGATGCAGTCTGGAATGACAAAGCAGCCCCGGCAACTTGGGGGCAGCCATGAAGGACAGCAGGCTCCGTGTAAGCAAGGGCATAAGCATGCTGTGAAATGAAGCGGTAGAATTGTCAAGAACAGTGGCTCCTGCTCACTGTAGTTGTACCCTAAGTTTATTTGGGATCTGGGTGGGGTAAGAAAGGGTTTCCTTTCAGGGTGTGGGTTCTCTTTAGACCAGGGCCTTACTAGTGCACGACACTTTACCATAGTGACACCAGTGCACCCTCGTATATTGGTAATATGCATGTGTATAATATAAATATACACAATATGACATATTATATATCTATATTGGTATATACAAATGTATATTGGTAGTGTGTGTGCGTGTGTGTGTGGTGTGTGTGTATGTGTGTGGTGTGTGTGGTGTGTGTGTGTCTGATGTGTGTGTGGTGTGTGTGTGTGTCTGGTGTGTGTGTGGTGTGTGTGTGTGGTGTGTGTGTCTGGTGTGTGTGGTGTGTGTCTGGTGTGTGTGGTGTGTGTGTGGTATGTGTGTATGTGTGTGGTGTGTGTGTGTGGTGTGTGTGTGGTGTGTGTGTGGTGTGTGTGTGTGTGGTGTGTATGTGTGGTGGTGTGTGTGTGGTGTGTGTGGTGTCTGTGTGTGTGTGGTGTGTGTGTGTGGTGTGTGTGTGTGTGTACTATACAGACAGTATAGCTTAGGGGTCGGCATATGGGCTTGGCCTCAGAAAACCTGTGTTCAAATTCTGGCTGTGCCTCTTGCTAGCTGGACAAGTTTCTTAACCTCTTCTTCATTGTTAAAATGGAAATAATAATACTACCTAGCTCGTGGGATTGTTGTGAGACAACAACAAATGAGACAACAGAGATCTGAAACTCTGCCTGGCCCCTGGTATATACCAAGTCCACAGTTAAATTAGCCTTTGTTACTAAATCATTGTTTGGGTAGAAATCCTCAGATTTTGGATTTCTCAAGTGCTCCTTTTCTACTGTCCAAAAGGCAGAATGTTATTTTTGCTCGATTCCATTATGTAATATCCTATGAATTTGAAATTTCGGAGGAGGCACAGCATGGGGCTGTGGAAATGGTGCAGGTATCTGCATCCGAAACTCCGAAGTTGTGTGGGGAGGTCCTCTCTCCTGAGCCCAGAGGCAAAAAGCTGCTCCCAAGAAATGATCTTTATGCCCCACAGTCCAAAGCCCCACATTAAACAAAGTCTCAAGACAAGAAGGCAATGTGACCCTGGCCCCCATGTTTTGTTTTGACTTTTAATTTCAAAATAATATCATTGTGGGGGGGCTTATAGTTTTTAACAGCTGAAAGTTATATAGACAGAAAAAATGCTCAGTGAGTAGAAAAGGGAAAAACCTTAACTTTTAAGAAAACGTGATTAATCAAGAGATATTATGCTTGACCTCAGGCCATCACTTTGAACTCTGTCACTGGTTGAAAATGGCTTCCCATAAACACAAACATAGTCCCCTACTCATTACTGTGGACCTAGGGCATTGCTTATCTAACTGGGCCCGTCAGAATCACCTGGGGTACCTTTCAAAGATGCCATCCCACAGATGGATCACTTGAGGTCAGGAGCTCAAGACCAGCCTGGCCAACGTGGTGAAACCCTGTCTCTACCAGAAAATTAGCTGAGTGTGCTGGCATGCGCTGTAGTCCCAGCCACTTAAGAGGCTGGGGCAAGAGAATCACTTGAACACAGGAGGCGGAGTTCGCAGTGAGCTGAGATTGTGCCACCACACTCCAGACTGGGAGAGAGTGACTCTGTCTCAAAAAAAAAACAAAAACAAAAACAAAGATGCCATCCCAGAACCCCACCCATGATCTTCAGAATCAGATTCTATAGGGGTAGGCCCGGGAATCAGCACTGATAACAAGCTTCCTGGTTGAATTGAAGCCCATTAATGTGAGAGCCACTAGCTGGTGTGTACCTTGGCGGGGAACTGGTATTAGAGTCTGATTCTGCCCTAAGGTCCTACATGCATTATTCACTTAGGATGGTAATAAGTCACCTTATGACACTCTTTTGGTTGCACATTCTGCGAAGGTAGTTTTAAACCAAGACGTGGCCCTACAGACTATTATTTCATAACCGCATCGCAGCGGATTTTAGGAATTGGCCTGGGTCTAGGCTACCACCTTCATCAAGGGCTTGGGAAGACTAAATGCTCTCTGTTGAGAAAGGAACTCATAGTCTTCCAGGGCCAGCAGAATTCACAACTCCAAATGTAAAAGTATGCCTTGTGTGAGTCTTGCAATTGTTTTGGAAATAGAAACACCTGCTTCATATCAATATTCACATTGTTTTGCTCTCATCCTGGACTAATTATTGAAAGGTTGATTGTGCCTCAACTTCCTTATCTATAAAATGAAGTCATCAACAGCATTAAATGAGCTTAACACATATAGTCAGTAGATCTTAGCTGAGCAGATGATGGCAATGATGTTGATGATGCAGCTATTTCCACATTAGGGATATTTGGATTGCTTCCCATTGGAGAACCTGCTGTTATTGCCCCTACTGAACACCCAACTCCCTATCCTCAGCCAGGTGTTATTTAGGTGTAAAAGAAAGTCTGAACTGGAGAATAAGGAGCCAAAAAACGAACAAAGAGTTTTCTTTAAAAAAAATAATTTTTGGCAATTGGTGGTGAAATGTGGATTTGTCATCTTGATAGAATAGTGTTGCCACCCTTCCTTCCGAGCAACTTAGGATTGAGTCAGAAGGTGTCACATCAGGCAGATTTGTTGAACAGTTTGGCAATGGTGACAGTGTTCCTACAGCCTACAAGGGTTTCCTGGAGTCTGTAATTTAAGCCACTTGATAGGTTGGAGTTCTGTTGTTTAAAAATTGGGCTGTTCTTATACTCAGCAGACATTATATTCTTCCTTGAGATAGTATTTTTGAGTTTGTCTTCATTAAAGAAGTCTCCAGGCCAGGGGTAGTGGCTCACACCTGTAATCCCAACACTTTGGGAGGTTGAGGCGGGCAGATCACCTGAGGTCGGGAGTTCGAGAACAGCCTGGCCAATATGGAGAAACCCCGTCTCTACTGAAAATACAAAATTAGCCAGGTGTGGTGGTGCATGCCTGTAATGCCAGCTACTCGGGAGGCTGAAGCAGGAGAATCCCTTGAACCTGGGAGGCGGAGGTTGCGGTGAGCCAAGATTGCGCCATTGCACTCCAGCCTGGGCAACAAGAGCGAAACTCCAATCCTAAAAAAAAAAAAAAGAAGAAGGAAGTCTCCCTGTAAGAGTGAGGTCAGGACACTGCCATAAATGCAAGTGCAGCAGCATGAGAGGAGAGGGTAGACTGGGGAACTTGACTGACTTGGTTCAAATCATAACTGTGTAGTCTTGAGTACGTCCATTTTTGAATGTTTGGTTTCCTTCCTTGCAACATGTGAAAAATGCCTACCATGAAGAATAGTTTTGTTTGTACTACCCTTGACCTCTTACTGTTTTGGAAAGAACTCTTGACCACAACAAAGAGGAATGTAATTATGGCTTAATCTATGCCAAGCTGAGTCACTTTTCTGGATTATTCTTCTTATTCAGTAGTCCTAAACCCCCCAGACCTTCATTTCACCTGCCAGAAAATCATTATCTCTACAGATCTATACACCCAGCTAGAACAAGAAAAAAAGTTCTCTATCATCAGCCAGATGTTACTAAATATTCCCATACTTGGTATCATTTGGAGAATATAGACTATTTTTCTTTTCATTTGCATATTTAGTATTACATCAATCAAGCCATCCACATAACTTTGATGATTCAATTTGGCTTCTTTATTGTTATAATTAGGTTTTAAACTGCCTTAAAGACAAGGAATTTGGTGGTGGTGATGGTGGTAGTGAGATGAGTTTCCAATTCTTTTTATCTGCATTTCTAGTGATTTTTACCTAGTAATCTTGCAAATAAAGCATCTCTGGCCACTGTAGCTTCTGGCTAATCCCCAAGGCCAGCAGGGCCACTCATACCTCAGGGCCTTTGCACTTGCTGTTCCCTCTGCCTGAAATGTCCTTCCTCCATATGGACAAGGCTCACTTCTTCCAGGCCGCTGCTCACATGTTGCTTTATCAGATGGGCCTTCCCAGCCCACCCACGTAAATAGCATCTTCATCGCTCTCTGTCATTCACAGCACTTATCACCACTTGACGTAGTTATATTTGTTCCATGTTTATTGTTTCTCTCTTCCCCAGTTGAATGTCAAGTTCATGAGATCAGGGGCTGTGTTTCTTTTCCGTGGTGTATTCCCAGAGCCTTCAGCATAAGTTTTGTTGACTGAATTGGGCATCTGCTGTATGTATACCCCTAGACTGAGTGCTGTGGGTGGTGTGATCTTCACATGCCCTGCTACATTGGATTTTTATAATATCCCCATGAACATGGCAGGTAAATAGCATCATCACTACTTTACAGATGTAGAAACTGAGGTCCAGAGGGGGTGGTTTCCAAAGGGCTGACAGCTCCACAAATTGATAGAGCCAACTTAAGTCCTCAAGCAACTTAAGCCCAATTAGGGAGACATTTACATCTGAAAAGTTATCACAAGAAGGATAAACATTCCCATTCACAGCTCACCACATCTAAAGAGATCAGGCAATACTAAGCCATCAGGCAAGAAGTAGTCTGTGTGGTGTTGATCCCATGTAGTCAGACAGCTGAGCTGGGCGAGTTACTCAACCTCTCTACACTCCAGTGTCATCACTTCTGAAATGAGAATAATAATATGAGATAATATTATGAGGATAATAAAATGGGATATAGGATTGTTGTGAGGATAAATGAGTGTGTATACATGGTGCTTAAAGTAACACACAGAAATTATAAATTAATATATACTGGGTGTGTGTTCATGTGTCTGTCTGTGTGTCTGTTAGTGTATTTTATGTGTCTAACAGACACACACACACACACACACACACACACACACAGGCAATGACCGTGAGTGCTATGAGGTGGAGAGGCAGACTGTGTTTCCCCTAAGGTGAAGAGGCTAGAGAAAGGGATAGGGATGTTCTCTCTCAATGAAGCTAGCTGATGTCTACAAAGAAAAAGGTCGCTCATGGCCTTAGTAGCACCCAGTTTTTGTCCAACTGTGTCATTCATGTGTGGAGGCGATTCATGGATCATACCTGGTTCTCCTGAAATGTCAAACACGGCCACCTAGGCAGCATTTACAAGCAAGAGTCCACTGCTTTTTTGATGTATATCTTAAGCGCCCCCAGTGAATGAACAGCATATAACTCCACATAAAAATCATTAAACGTAATTGACTTCCAGAGCAGGCAGTTCTGTTGTATGCCTCTGGAGAAGGCTGGCTGAATTGGAATTGGTCTGTACCTTCTGCCTATCATGTACATGAGGTTTTTGGGCAAAGAGAACTTTCCACAAAATAAGTCCAAAAATTATAGATCATCAGACAACCAATAACATATTGATGAGATATCTCCAAGATCTAGAATCATCCTGGGTGTCAAGGAAGTCTTTGGGGTTTTTACAAATATTGATAATGCACTTTTTATAAAATGCACTTTTTATAAAAATGCATGCTCAGTTGAGACAACTTGAAAAACACAAAGAAAAGGCCGGGCGTAGTGGCTCACGCCTGTAATCCCAGCACTCTGGGAGGCCGAGACGGGTGGATCACGAGGTCAGGAGATTGAGACCATCCTGGCTAACATGGTGAAACCCCGTCTCTACTAAAAATACAAAAAATTAGCAGGGTGTGGTGGCGGGCGCCTATAGTCCCAGCTACTCAGGAGGCTGAGGCAGGAGAATGGTGTGAACCCAGGAGACGGAGCTTGCAGTGAGCGGAGATCCCGCCACTGCACTCTAGCCTGGGCGACAGAGCGAAACAAAAAAAAAAAAGACAGAAAAAGAAAAAAAGAAAAACACAAAGAAAAAAACCCAAGCACTCCAAATCACCCTGTTCCGACAGAACGATCATGTGCCACACGTTTTCCATTCATAGAAGGAAGGATTGTTGTGTGGGTGATCTCATCCAGCCCCTGGGCAGAAGGAATTTTCTGCCACCCCTGACAGACAGCCAGCTTCCTCTGAATGATGATATCCTGCCTGGTCTCACTTTCCAGGGTTCTGAATTTGGCAAAGCGCATCTCCCTGACGTGCATGCAGGCAGGGAACACTGTCCCAGGGTGGCACATTTGCAAGCTGCCTTTGATGCTGAGAGTTGCACTGAGAGCAGGACTTTGCCCTCCTGGAGGCAGAGGTTTCTGCCAGTTGCTTCTTTGTACAGTTGCTTCTTTGTACTGGATGGGGTCTGTGAGTCTTGCCCCCAAACCATCTCAACATATGCCCATTTTCTCTAGCAGTTGAGAATCTAAAGCCATCTGCCAGGTTGTTCCCTTTCAAATTCTGTCTCTGCCACTTACTAGCTGAGGGATCCTGGGTGAGTTACTTACTGACTGGAAGCCTCAGTTCTCTAATCTGAGAGACAGCGCTCACAAAAGCACTTATTCCATTGTCATGATGTGAGGACTAAGCAAGTGAATAGATGCAAAGCTCCACATGCCTGTGTGCTGGGGACCCAGTGACTCAATAAATGCTAGCTATGGCTGGTGCCGCTGCTACCCTAGATTTTATGCCCTTACCCAGTTCTGACTTACATCAGTTGATTTGTGAGCCGAGGTGTTCCCTTTCATGCTTTGGGGAGCTGGGAATCAAACCCCCAAAAAGAGAAAACCCAAGCATCAGATTCACTTTTCTTTAGGAACAGGGGGAACTAACAGATATAAGCTGCTTGATGTTGAGTGGAAAAAAGTCCCTATTTTATTTTTCCATTTTATTTTAAAAAGAAGTTCCAAGTAACCCTAACCAAAGTTCAAAAAAAACCAACTCTTGAAGGGCAAGGAAGTCAGAATGGTAGTTAGGTACAAATAATGTAATCTATAGGACTTCCGAGTATGCAACAAGCTCTTATACACAGAAAAATGTTTATCGGGGTGCTTACCTTTTTGTGCCATGGATACCTTTGGCAGTCTGGTGAAATATATGGACCCTTTACAGAATAATGTTTTTAGATGTATAAAATAAAATACATAGGATTATAAAGGAAACTGGTTATATTGATATTTATCATCAAAATAATAAAAAACCATGCTTATGATATAGGAAACATGTGCTCCTTATTCATGCATTAAATATGATCTATGGGTGAGACTAATAACAACTGTAATTTCAAAGTATGATGAATGAATGTCATCAGCATTTTGGAACATCTGCAGGATTCTAATATGACATGAAATATCTGTGATTTCCGTTGTTAAAAAAGACACAGGTATTGCTAATGTTACTTTGTGTTCATACTTGAAGAAAATGCTACATTCCAGTTTGAGGTTAGTGAAAATAAAGATGAATGTTTTCCCCATCCAAGTTCATATATATACTGTTTGGGCATCTGTAGACCCCCAGGTTAAGATCAACCATGCTGAGGAAATGGCAGCTCTAGAAATGATGTGGAAGCAGGTTGTCCTTCAAGGATTTTTTCCAGTCACCAGCTCTGTTAACTGGGTCATTCTAGAATCCCAGGGAATGGGGAAGGTAGTGAGCTGACTCCTGAGAATTGGCTATGTCTGGGGTTCTTTTTCCTTCATCCCTTCAGCAAATCTTCGCTCAGAGCCCTCTGGATGCAGAACCAGCTCCCCTTGGCAATTCCCTTTTAATTTGCATGTGCAAGTATGGCCACCAGGAGACATGACAAACAGTGCAGATGCCAGGCATGGGAGGAAGAGAGAAAGAAAGCATAAATTCTTCAAAACGGCGTTTTGGGGGAGGAGTGATGAAAGCTATGTCAACTGTACATTATTGAGTGTCTCGCCAGATTTGGAAACAGCATTAACAGCATTAAGATGTTCAAGGAAACTTTCTAGTGTTCATTTAGACAGATACAATATCTTCTCAAGGAGTCGCTAAAGGAATTTGATATTCTAAAGAGATGGTGAGCTGCTATACAGCCAGGGTTACGTAGAAGTATTTCAAAGAGGTTAAACATTTCTGGAAACTTTTTTTTTTACCTAACCATCTACTAGATTTGTTCAATTCTTAAAAAGGTCTATTGAAATCTCTCACTATAATTGCATTGTTTCAAGGTTTTCAAGTGAATCTCCCACAATAATTGCATTTTCATTTTGCAATAGCAAAGCACTTAAGCAAAAGTTATTACATCTGTAACAATTACCTATAATAATTTTTGCTTAAGTGCCATGTTATCAGATGCATAAAGTTTTATGATTGCTGTAGCTTCTCCGTCAATAGTGCTTTTTATCATTATATCATATATCCATTCATATCCATATATCATATCATTATATCATATCCATTCTTAACCTCATCAACCTTAAATTATACCTTGTCACTCCTCTTTTGCCTTGTTTGCATTTGATTGGTATGGTCACCCATCAGTCATCCTTCACTCACCACATTGTCTTCAGTGCTTTTCTTTTAAACACCATATAGCTGGGCTTCTTTCTTTATCTTTCTCTTTATTTATTTATTTTCTTTTATACTCACTGAGACACTCTGGCTTTTGCTGGAAGAATGAAGTTTATTCTCATTTGGTGTAATAACTGATACACTTGATTGTATTTCTTCCATCTTTTTGTTTATTATTTCATTTTGTGGCTTCTTACTTTCTCTTTAGTTTTGCAGTCAGATTCTAAGTTGTTGTATTTCAACTTTTAAATTTGAAAATTATTATTTACGTTTCCTAAATTTTCCAAATTCCTGAAGTAATTCTTCACTACTATTTGAAAATAAACTTCCAACTATTTTCTCCACCAGTGCCTTCCAGCTCCGCTCCTCCCTCTGTGAGATGAGACTTCAGAGCTGTATTTTCTCCCTTGCCTTCCCTCCTCTCACTAAAATTAGCCAGTTGAAATGCCTACCCTCTCCCCATCAACTTCCAACTTCCAGATTTTGCAAAAATAGTTTAATGCTTTATTTCTAGAAAACAATTAGATTTTTCTTTGTCCTTTTTACTTCAAGAATATTTAGCACATACATTTCACATTTGCAGTCCACATAACCCTATGTGCCGAGCTTGTCCAACCCACGGCCTGCAAGCTGCATGTGGGCCAAGATAGCTTTGAATATGGCCCAACACAAATTCGTAAACTTTCTTAAAACATTATGAATATTTTTTTGCAATTTTTTTAAAAAGTCCATCAGCTATCATTAGTGTTAGTGTGTTTTATGTGTGGCCCAAGACAATTCTTCTTTCAATGTGGCCCAGAGAAGCCAAAAGATTGGACACCTCTGCTATATATACTCAAGTTTACAGCATGCCACTGGTGGCTTTTTTTCCTTCCCCTTTTCTCTAGTTTGGTGTCTCCATTTGGATGCATTTGCTATTTGGATGGAGCTCTTTTGTGAATCTAGTGGTCCCTTGAGGTCCTGGGGAGGACTAGTTCCAGGACACCTCCCCCAAACTCAAATCCACAGATGCTCAAGTCCCTCATGTAAAATGGCATAGATATTTGCCTGTAACACACACACATCCTCCCATGTACTTTAAATAATCTCTAGATTACTTATAATACGTAATACATTGTAAAGGCCATGCAAATAATTGTTATACTGTATTGTTTTGATTCATATTACTTTTTGCCATTGTACTTTTATTTTTCATTTTTTCTAATATTTTCAATCCATGGCTGATTGAATCCAAGAATGCAGAACCTGGAGATACTGAGGGCCGACTGTATTTTTTCAAATGAGATATTTGGGTGAAATACACTGCTCTTTCACCCTGATAAGTGAGAGATAGCTTGTTGGTGTATGGGATTTATGGAGTGAAATACTTTTTTCCTGTAGTCTGTAAGAGTTCCTGTCCACTGTCATTTGGTTTCTAGTGTTGAGATGAGAAGACTGAAGCCAGGCTTATCTTTTTTGGAGGTAACTTGCTATTTCTGTCCAGGAAGTTCCAGGATGTTTTCAAGTCTTTCTTCTTTTCCGTCATGATTTCCATCTATGCTCTATCCTTTTGCTTTGCGCTTTGAAATTGTTTTTGACTTGATATTTTCTGACACTATTGAGATTGCTAAATTGACCACCTATCCTTTCATTTGCTCAACTTCAAAAAATGTTTAGATCAATAATCATATTTGTATATCAGAATTTTGCATGCGTGTGCTCCACAAGTCTTCTGTTTTTCTTAAGTGCTCTTTTATGTTCTGTTCGAATTGATGCCTCCAACAGAAGTTCTGCCAATTTTCTTTGCAGTTCAAAGGCCCCCACTGGATGTGTTGTTTTTCATCCTTGGCTCGTTTGGCTCAGGTGTGACTGTGAGGTAATCTCATCAGTGATGGATTAGTGATGTCTGTCAGGCCCGCTACTTGGTCCCAGTCTCCTTCTGCTCGCCCAGCTCTCTGCTCACCTGTTCCATGCCTTTGGGCCTTATTAGGGGATGGGGAGTTCTTCCCGTGGGGTGAGATAGATGGAAGGGTGGGAATCTGTGAGTCTCTGTAGAGTGAACTCTTCTTAGGATCCAAAGCTCCTCCAGCTCTGCTCTAGACCTCTTCAGCCTCTCTTTCCAGCCTCTGCTAGACTTTCCAATAATCCACATTTCAAACTTCACCTTTCTCAGCTGCCTGTGAGCCCCACCAGCTGCTGGGCTCAGAAGGGGCAGACAGAGTTGATTTGGGAGTAGAGAGGGTATGAAAGACATTTAGGGCAGGGCTTTCCCGAATCCATCTGTAAACTGTTACTACTTTATATTTATAAAAGTGAAACACAATGATTGTAAAAATAAATAGAACAGAATTTTTCAAAATAAAAAGTAAAAGGATCTCCTTGTTTCTGTCCATTCTTCAGTGGTAGTCCCTGCTAATATGTTGGTGGGTCCTTCAAATATTCTCTATGTACTTACATATATATACATATATATATTTAAAAATACAAGTGGGATCACACCATAAACACAGTTTTGCAACTTGGTATTTTCTCCTCAATATGTTAAGAATATTTTTGTTAATGTGAATTCATGTAGGCTTTCCACATTTCTTTTGATGACTGCATGATTTTTAAGTGTGAATTATCAAAATGTGTTTAACGGATGTTTGTTATACGCAGTTTTCTCTATCCTAAACAGTGATGCTTTGAAAATCTTTGTGTGCATCTGAAGGTATTTCTGTAGACCTGATTACTAGATATGGAATATGTGGGTCAAAGGATATATGCATTAAAAATTTTAATAGCTTCTGCCAAATTTCTTTCCAAGAGGTTGAGCATGTTATTCTTGCATCTGAGAGTAACAATATGGAATATGAGAACTGCTGTTTCTCATACTCTGGCTGATGCTGTATTATCAAGTTTTAGTTTTTTGTTAGTTTGAAAAATAGGCCGGGTGTGGTGGCTCACGTCTGTAATCCCAGGACTTTGGGAGGCCGAGCTGGGTGGATCACGAGGTCAGGAGTTCGAGACCAGCCTGGCCAACATGATGAAACCCCATCTCTACTAAAAATACAAAAATTAGCCAGGTGTGGTGGCACTCACCTGTAGTCCCAGCTACTCAGGAGGCTGAGGCAGGAGAATCACTTGAACCTGGGAGGCAGAGGTTGCAGTGAGCCGAGATCATGCCACTGCACTCCAGCCTGGGAACCAGAGCAAGATTCCATCTCAAAAAATAAATAAATAAATAAATAAATAAATAAAAATAAAAGTAGTATCCTACTTTGCTTTAATTTGAAAATTTTAAATTATGACTGTGTGGTGCATTTTTTTATATGCTCATTGTCCAATTATTTTTCTTCCGTGAATTGCTTCTTCAGGATTTTTCTTCCTTTGCCCATTGAATTGCTGATCTTTTTCTTGATTTGCAGGAGTTCTTTTTAACTTAAGGAAGTTAGTTCCATGTCTGTCATTTCTGTTGCAAAAATGTTTCCCAGTGTATTTTTTTGTCTTTAGCATTTTAGTTTTTTTTTTTCTGTACTGCGTTTTTAAAGTTGTGTTGTTTTTATTAACCTTTCGACCTTTTTCTTTAGGTTTCATGTCTTGCTTAGAAAGATCTTCCTTACTTTAAGATGACAGCTGTCCAAAAAATTAACTCATGGTTTCTTCCTCTACTTTTATGGTTTCATCTTTCACATGTAAATCTTTGATCTGTATCAAATGTATTTTGGTGTAAGGAGTGGAGAAGGAATCCAATATAACTTGTTAAATTTTTTTCTAGATGGCTACTATTTCATCCAACATCATAGTTACAGTCCATCTTTTTCTGACTGACCTGGAACGCTACTTTTATCATAGATTGAATTCCCATGAGGCTGGGTTTTTTGTTGAATGATTTAAAGTCTATCCAAAGGGAGAGGCTCATAAATGAGTGTTTTGAGAGTTCGACTCATGAGTGAAGAGCACTCTATCCCTGGGAAAATGTCCAAGGGAGTGAAACTGGAACTTTCCCCCTTGCCTCCAGTTGGGCGTCCTTCTGTGCTCATCTGCCTTCTTGTTATTGGTATTACAGATATCTGAGAAATATGGGCTGCCCGTGGAGAAGATAGCAAAGCTTTACAAGAAAAGCAAAAAAGGGTAAGAAAGAAACTGAACTTAAATTGACTTTCAAATCAGATAAATCCACATGATGCCTTAAAAATAAAATGATGCCTGTCTTTTGTTAGGTCTGTTGCCCACTTTTCATAAAAATTGTGTCCTTCTTCCAGAGAATTGCAGAGGAGATTGCATTTGGAAGATCTTTAGGAGAGAGGGAGGGAGGGAGGCAGTGCACTGGCACTATGTCAACTGAGATGCCTATTTCAATGACAAGACAAGCAGGAAGACCACAGAGGTCTGGAGGTGCTGTGGACACTGGGGAGAATGGCAAAATCACCTTTCTGCAGGGAGTGGAGTTTATAGGGAATCACGTATGGCCCTTGGGGTTGGTTTCTGGGTGGCATACTAGGAACAAAAAATGGTTTGGAACATAGGGGATTCCTCTAAGGTAATTATCAAGAAAATGTTCTCAAATGATCATTGGACCTGTGTGTTCTCATTGTTAAGAACAACAGGTCATATTTACTGGGTGTTCAGTAGGTTTGGGGTCCCTTCCTAAGTACTTTACATGTATTCCTCTATTTAGTTCTCACCACTTTATGAGGTGGAATCTCTTATCGCTGATTTATTGATGAAGAAAGCAAGCCAGAGGGGGCTTAAGCATGTCGCCCAAGTCTCATGTTCAGTAGGTAGAGGACAGATTTGAACCCATCTGTGTCCTCAAAGCTCAAGTGCTTAGCTTCCACGTTCTGCCGTCTGACTTTCTGTGTGGGCTTCCTATGTGTGACGGTCTAAGAGTAGGGGCCACAGGAGCTAGTGGAAGTGCCAGGAGAGGGTATCTGTTGACTCAGCTTCTGGGGTATTTTCCTACAAAAGGCAGAAGATGAGTCAACTCTTCTCCGGATCACTTTCATAAAGGAAATTGGATTATCTGGGAAGCTCAGGCTTTCTGAGTGATGAGTCCTGTTGGTTGATTGGAGGATCTGACAGGAAACCCTTTCCACCTGAGCTCTTGTTGGAAGATTCACTAAAATGCACGTTATACTTCTTGCCGAGGTCAATGTAGTAGGCTGGGTGTATTACTGACAGTGAGATTTCAGTCGTGTCTCACAGTCTTATTGCCGAGCAGAAATCCTCAGTGCAGAGGTACATGCTGATGATAACATTTTGCTTTCATCAAGCTCTGTATCAGGTGTTGTGCTAAATGTTTTTATCATAAAAACAATCCGTTAAAGCTAAGTGACTGTTCTTATTTTTACAGGAGGATAAACTGAGGCTCTGAAAGGCTAAACAGCTTGCCTGCTGACACATAACTGTAAAATGATAGAGTCAGTCAGTGGTTCATTCTCAAACCAGCATCTGTCTGACTTCAAATCATGAAATTGGCTTAAGGAAATTATGGAAGTCTCTGGAAGCTGTTGGCTTTCTTAAAACTCTATCAGGGATAGTTAGCCACAGGAGTAGGTCACAGGTGGTAAAGTACAAGTGTCAGAATGAGGTAAAGCTAATTTCAAAATCAAGCTCAGCCATGTGCTAACTGAATGAACTTGGGGAAACAATTTAACCTTGTTGAGGTCAGTTTTCTCATTTGCAAAATGGCAATGACACCTACCTTCACAGTTGCTGTGAGAACTAAACACAAGGTCATATTACATGCTCAAAAAAGGGTAGCTGCAATTCTTGCTTGTTTTCCTCTTCCTCCTAAGAGCAGAGGCAATGCATTTTTAAAAATGCATTTTCAAGGGCAACATGGTTTACTGAAAAGAGTTAGAGAGAGAGCCTAATGATTTAGGTTCTGGCCCTGGTAATCAGTAACTGTGATTCTGGGCTTCCTAACTTCCCTGGGCCTCAGTTTACTCATCTATAATGCAAGCGGTTTGGGTTGAATGTTAGTTCTGAGAAATTGAGGCTTTGCTTTCCTCAAACTAGTTTTTGGGCAAAGAAAACAGAATGAGGGTCTTTCCCTGCCTTGTGTCCTCTCTCCTCCACTCCTCCCAGCCTCCACCACAAAAGAATGGCTACGAGAACCCCCAGCCTGGAGCTCCCCTTGCCCTGGGCACATTGTTCACGGCGTCTTTGTTTTTCACACCCCTCCCCCCTCCATGGCAGCATCTTGGTGAACATGGATGACAACATCATCGAGCACTACTCGAACGAGGACACCTTCATCCTCAACATGGAGAGCATGGTGGAGGGCTTCAAGGTCACGCTCATGGAAATCTAGCCCTGGGTTTGGCATCCGCTTTGGCTGGAGCTCTCAGTGCGTTCCTCCCTGAGAGAGACAGAAGCCCCAGCCCCAGAACCTGGAGACCCATCTCCCCCATCTCACAACTGCTGTTACAAGACCGTGCTGGGGAGTGGGGCAAGGGACAGGCCCCACTGTCGGTGTGCTTGGCCCATCCACTGGCACCTACCACGGAGCTGAAGCCTGAGCCCCTCAGGAAGGTGCCTTAGGCCTGTTGGATTCCTATTTATTGCCCACCTTTTCCTGGAGCCCAGGTCCAGGCCCGCCAGGACTCTGCAGGTCACTGCTAGCTCCAGATGAGACCGTCCAGCGTTCCCCCTTCAAGAGAAACACTCATCCCGAACAGCCTAAAAAATTCCCATCCCTTCTCTCTCACCCCTCCATATCTATCTCCCGAGTGGCTGGACAAAATGAGCTACGTCTGGGTGCAGTAGTTATAGGTGGGGCAAGAGGTGGATGCCCACTTTCTGGTCAGACACCTTTAGGTTGCTCTGGGGAAGGCTGTCTTGCTAAATACCTCCAGGGTTCCCAGCAAGTGGCCACCAGGCCTTGTACAGGAAGACATTCAGTCACCGTGTAATTAGTAACACAGAAAGTCTGCCTGTCTGCATTGTACATAGTGTTTATAATATTGTAATAATATATTTTACCTGTGGTATGTGGGCATGTTTACTGCCACTGGCCTAGAGGAGACACAGACCTGGAGACCGTTTTAATGGGGGTTTTTGCCTCTGTGCCTGTTCAAGAGACTTGCAGGGCTAGGTAGAGGGCCTTTGGGATGTTAAGGTGACTGCAGCTGATGCCAAGATGGACTCTGCAATGGGCATACCTGGGGGCTCGTTCCCTGTCCCCAGAGGAAGCCCCCTCTCCTTCTCCATGGGCATGACTCTCCTTCGAGGCCACCACGTTTATCTCACAATGATGTGTTTTGCTTGACTTTCCCTTTGCGCTGTCTCGTGGGAAAGGTCATTCTGTCTGAGACCCCAGCTCCTTCTCCAGCTTTGGCTGCGGGCATGGCCTGAGCTTTCTGGAGAGCCTCTGCAGGGGGTTTGCCATCAGGGCCCTGTGGCTGGGTCTGCTGCAGAGCTCCTTGGCTATCAGGAGAATCCTGGACACTGTACTGTGCCTCCCAGTTTACAAACACGCCCTTCATCTCAAGTGGCCCTTTAAAAGGCCTGCTGCCATGTGAGAGCTGTGAACAGCTCAGCTCTGAGTCGGCAGGCTGGGGCTTCCTCCTGGGCCACCAGATGGAAAGGGGGTATTGTTTGCCTCACTCCTGGATGCTGCGTTTTAAGGAAGTGAGTGAGAAAGAATGTGCCAAGATACCTGGCTCCTGTGAAACCAGCCTCAGGAGGGAAACTGGGAGAGAGAAGCTGTGGTCTCCTGCTACATGCCCTGGGAGCTGGAAGAGAAAAACACTCCCCTAAACAATCGCAAAATGATGAACCATCATGGGCCACTGTTCTCTTTGAGGGGACAGGTTTAGGGGTTTGCGTTCGCCCTTGTGGGCTGAAGCACTAGCTTTTTGGTAGCTAGACACATCCTGCACCCAAAGGTTCTCTACAAAGGCCCAGATTTGTTTGTAAAGCACTTTGACTCTTACCTGGAGGCCCGCTCTCTAAGGGCTTCCTGCGCTCCCACCTCATCTGTCCCTGAGATGCAGAGCAGGATGGAGGGTCTGCTTCTAGCTCAGCTGTTTCTCCTTGAGGTTGCGGAGGAATTGAATTGAATGGGACAGAGGGCAGGTGCTGTGGCCAAGAAGATCTCCGAGCAGCAGTGACGGGGCACCTTGCTGTGTGTCCTCTGGGCATGTTAACCCTTCTGTGGGGCCAAAGGTTTGCATCGTGGATCCAGCTGTGCTCCAGTCTGTCCCCTCCTCCTCCACTCTGACTGCCACGCCCCGGACCAGCAGCTTGGGGACCCTCCAGGGTACTAATGGGGCTCTGTTCTGAGATGGACAAATTCAGTGTTGGAAATACATGTTGTACTATGCACTTCCCATGCTCCTAGGGTTAGGAATAGTTTCAAACATGATTGGCAGACATAACAACGGCAAATACTCGGACTGGGGCATAGGACTCCAGAGTAGGAAAAAGACAAAAGATTTGGCAGCCTGACACAGGCAACCTACCCCTCTCTCTCCAGCCTCTTTATGAAACTGTTTGTTTGCCAGTCCTGCCCTAAGGCAGAAGATGAATTGAAGATGCTGTGCATGTTTCCTAAGTCCTTGAGCAATCATGGTGGTGACAATTGCCACAAGGGATATGAGGCCAGTGCCACCAGAGGGTGGTGCCAAGTGCCACATCCCTTCCGATCCATTCCCCTCTGCATCCTCGGAGCACCCCAGTTTGCCTTTGATGTGTCCGCTGTGTATGTTAGCTGAACTTTGATGAGCAAAATTTCCTGAGCGAAACACTCCAAAGAGATAGGAAAACTTGCCGCCTCTTCTTTTTTGTCCCTTAATCAAACTCAAATAAGCTTAAAAAAAATCCATGGAAGATCATGGACATGTGAAATGAGCATTTTTTTCTTTTTTTTTTTTAACAAAGTCTGAACTGAACAGAACAAGACTTTTTCCTCATACATCTCCAAATTGTTTAAACTTACTTTATGAGTGTTTGTTTAGAAGTTCGGACCAACAGAAAAATGCAGTCAGATGTCATCTTGGAATTGGTTTCTAAAAGAGTAAGGCATGTCCCTGCCCAGAAACTTAGGAAGCATGAAATAAATCAAATGTTTATTTTCCTTCTTATTTAAAATCATGCAAATGCAACAGAAATAGAGGGTTTGTGCCAAATGCTATGAACGGCCCTTTCTTAAAGACAAGCAAGGGAGATTGATATATGTACAATTTGCTCTCATGTTTTAAAAAAAAAAAGGTAAATGTAACTTAATAGTTTTGTAAATGGGAGAGGGGGAATCTATAAACTATAAATACAGTTATTTTATTTTTTGTACATTTTTAAGGAGAAAAAATAAATATTCATAACATAAGAGTAAAACAACAGTGTCTGGTGCTTTCTGTGCAGCCAGTGTTGGGGATTTTTACCTTGTTGGAGAGAGGTTTCCATGTGACGTGGGAAAATTCTAGCTGCCCACCCTGCCTTCAGGTCCTGGGCTTCAACAGAGCAGGGATTTCCTGGTAAAGTTACTTTGCTGTGCTTCACCCCAGTGTTAAATGTGAAGAGGGCTGAAGAACTTCCAGGGCTTGTGTGTGACCACGGCAGGCTCCCCAGGGTGGTTATTCTTGGCCAGTCCCTTTGGGCAGGGAGTTGGTTCTGTTCACTTGCTTCTGCCCATCCTCACTCCCAGGCCCACTCGCCCGCCCTTGAATTCCCACAAAAGCTTTCTGCTTCCTTAGTTCACCTGCACCAACCTCTGCATGGAGGCTGAAACCATGTGGCTCTAACTCCAGTTTTCTCACAATCTCTTGCCCTGGAACCCACAGGCTCCCTAAGATCTGTTGGCTCGAATGTGAACACCTGGATGCACTATCCCAGTATCTGCTGGGGTTTCCTTGGTGGGTACCACTCTGTGGAGCCACCCACACTCCTTTAACTGCTGTCCATGATTATCTCCCAAGAGCAGCTCTGTTCCAAACAAGTAGCATTTCTACATTCTTCTACATCTTCCCATCTCTCTGTCTATACATGTCCACAGCTTTCAAATCTTGGCTAAACATCATTTGCCTTCAGGAAGCCTCCCTTGACCAACTTCAACCCCAGCAGCATCTCCAGCAGCCTCTGTGCCTAGACCAGGGACTGGGAAGTGAGGGCATGGAGGAAGCGCTCATTGCAGAGTCTTCTGGAGAGATCCTGGGATTAGAAATGGGCTCCAAGGCTTGTTGTCATGACTGTGTTCCACAGCCTCATTAGGAGGTCTTGGTGCTCTCCCCAGCTGTCCAAGTAGGTCCAGCTGAGGATACGAGCTGGTCTCCACATCTCCTGAGGCAGCCTCCCCCTTGGCCTGTGGCAGCCACGGTCCTGCTGTTAGGTGCTCGCCATGTGTGCCAACCAGTTCCCTGGAATGAGACGCTGGTTGGATAGGCGATGACGGTTGTCAGTGTCGTGAAGTTCAGTACCAGCTCTTGTCTCCCACTCTCTACACTGATTCAGTTCGATTACTCTGGACCTGATGTTTTGCCGTGTGCTGGAGAGAGAGGCAAGTTAGACACAGTCTGCCCTCATAGGAGGTGGGGTGCAAAAGGATAGTGATCTGGAAACTTTGGGGACTCAGGAATTCTATAGTGGGGCCTCTGATCAGCCAGAAGCAGCAAGAAAGAGGAAGAGGATGGTGAAAAGGCACCAAGGGGGGTGGAGCCAAGATGGCTACATAGGAACAGCTCCGGTCTACAGCTCCCAGCATGAGCAATGCAGACGACGGTTGATTTCTGTATTTCCATCTGAGGTACCGGGTTCATCTCACTAGGGAGTGCCAGACAGTGGGTGCAGGACAGTAGGTGCAGTGCACCCTGCGCAAGCTGAAGCAGGGCGAGGCATTGCCTCACTCGGGAAGCGCAAGGGGTCAGGGAGTTCCCTTTCCTAGTCAAAGAAAGGGGTGACAGACGGCACCTGGAAAATCCCACCCTAATACTGTGCTTTTCCAATGGGCTTAAAAAATGGCACACCAGGAGATTATATCCCGCACGTGGCTCGGAGGGTCCTACGCGCATGGAGTCTCGCTGATTGCTAGCACAGCAGTCTGAGATCAAACTGCAAGGCGGCAGCGATGCTGGGGGAGGGGCACCTGCAAGCTGGGGGAGGGGCACCTGCAATTGCCCAGGCTTGATTAGGCAAACAAAGCAGCTGGGAAGCTCGAACTGGGTGGAGCCTACCACAGCTCAAGGAGACCTGCCTGCCTGCCTCTGTAGGCTCCACCTCTGGGGGCAGGGCACAGACAAACAAAAAGACAGCAGTAACCTCTGCAGACTTAAATGTCCCTGTCTGACAGCTTTGAAGAGAGCAGTGGTTCTCCCAGCACGCAGCTGGAGATCTGAGAACGGGCAGACTGCCTCCTCAAGCGGGTCCTTGACCCCCAAGCAGCCTAACTGGGAGGCATCCCCTAGTAGGGGCAGACTGACATCTCATATGTCCGGGTACTCCTCTGAGACAAAACTTTCAGAGGAACGATCACGCAGCAGCACTTGCAGTTCACCAATATCGACTGTTCTACAGCCACCGCTGTTCTGCAGCCACCGCTGCTGATACCCAGGCAAACAGGGTCTGGAGTGGACTTCTAGCAAACTCCAACAGACCTGCAGCTGAGGGTCCTATCTGTTAGAAGGAAAACTAACAAACAGAAAGGACATCCACACCAAAAACCCTTCTGTACGTCACCATCATCAAAGACCAAAAGTAGATAAAGCCACAAAGATGGGGAAAAAACAGAGCAGAAAAACTGGCAACTCTAAAAAGCAGAGCACCTCTCCTCCTCCAAAGGAATGCAGCTCCTCATCAGCAGCGGAACAAAGCTGGATGGGGAATGACTTTGACGAGCTGAGAGAAGAAGGCTTCAGACGATCAAACTACTCCGAGCTACAGGAGGAAATTCAAACCAATGGTAGAGAAGTTAAAAACTTTGAAAAAAAATTAGACGAATGGATAACTAGAATAACCAATGCAGAGAAGTCCTTAAAGGAGCTGATGGAGCTGAAAGCCAAGGCTCGAGAACTACGTGAAGAATGCAGAAGCCTCAGGAGCCAATGCAATCAACTGGAAGAAAGGGTATCAGCAATGGAAGATGAAATGAATGAAATGAAGCGAGAAGGGAAGTTTACAGAAAAAAGAATAAGAAGAAACAAACAAAGCCTCCAAGAAATATGGGACTATGTGAAAAGACCAAATCCATGTCTGATTGGTGTACCTGAAAGTGATGGGGAGAATGGAACCAAGTTGGAAAACACTCTGCAGGATATTATCCAGAGAACTTCCCCAATCTAGCAAGGCAGGCCAACGTTCAGATTCAGGAAATACAGAGAACGTCACAAAGATACTCCTCGAGAAGAGCAACTCCAAGACACATAATTGTCAGATTCACCAAAGTTGAAATGAAGGAAAAAATGTTAAGGGCAGCCAGAGAGAAAGGTCGGGTTACCCTCAAAGGGAAGCCCATCAGACTAACAGCTGATCTCTCGGCAGAAACCCTACAAGCCAGAAGAGAGTGGGGGCCAATATTCAACATTCTTAAAGAAAAGAATTTTCAACCCAGAATTTCATGTCCAGCCAAACTAAGCTTCATAAGTGAAGGAGAAATAAAATACTTTACAGACAAGCAAATGCTGAGAGATTTTGTCACCACCAGGCCTGCCCTAAAAGAGCTCCTGAAGGAAGCGCTAAACATGGAAAGGAACAACCGGTACCAGCCGCTGCAAAATCATGCCAAAATGTAAAGACCATCGAGACTAGGAAGAAACTGCATCAACTAATGAGCAAAATAACCAGCTAACATCATAAGGACAGGATCAAATTCACACATAACAATATTAACCTTAAATGTAAATGGGCTAAATGCTCCAATTAAAAGACACAGACTGGCAAATTGGATAGAGTCAAGACCCATCTGTGTGCTGTATTCAGGAAACCCATCTCACGTGCAGAGACACACATAGGCTCAAAATAAAGGGATGGAGGAAGATCTACCAAGCAATTGGAAAACAAAAAAAGGCAGGGGTTGCAATCCTAATCTCTGATAAAACAGACTTTAAACCAACAAACATCAAAAGAGACAAAGAAGGCCATTATATAATGGTAAAGGGATCAATTCAACAAGAAGAGCTAACTATCCTAAATATATATATTTAGGATATATATATTTGCTCCAATACAGGAGCACCCAGATTCATAAAGCAAGTCCTTAGAGACCTACAAAGAGACTTCGACTCCCACACAACTTTGACACCCCACTGTCAACATTAGACAGATCAACAAGACAGAAAGTTAACAAGGATACCCAGGAATTGAACTCAGCTCTGCACCAAGAGGACCTAATAGACCTCTACAGAACTCTCCACCCCAAATCAACAGAATATACATTTTTTTCAGCACCACACCACACCTATTCCAAAATTGACCACATAATTGGAAGTAAAGCACTCTTCAGCAAATGTAAAAGAACAGAAATTATAACAAACTGTCTCTCAGACCACAGTGCAATCAAACTAGAACTCAGGACTAAGAAACTCATTCAAAACCGCTTGACTACATGGAAACTGAGCAACCCGCTCCTGAATGGCTACTGGGTACATAACGAAATGTAGGCAGAAATAAAGATGTTCTTTGAAACCAACGAGAACAAAGACACAACATACCAGAATCTCTGGGACACATTCAAAGCAGTGTGTAGAGGGAAATTTATAGCACTAAATGCCCACAAGAGAAAGCAGGAAAGATCCAAAATTGACACCCTAACGTCACAATTAAAAGAATTAGAAAAGCAAGAGCAAACACATTCAAAAGCTAGCAGAAGGCAAGAAATAACTGAAATCAGAACAGAACTGAAGGAAATAGAGACACAAAAAACCCTTCAAAAAATTAATGAATCCAGGAGCTGGTCTTTTGAAAAGATCAACAATATCGATAGACCGCTAGCAAGACTAATAAAGAAGAAAAGAGAGAAGAATCAAAAAGATGTAATAAAAAATGATAAAGGGGATGTCACCACTGATCCCACAGAAATACAAACTACCATCAGAGAATACTACAAACACCTCTACGCAAATAAACTAGAAAATCTAGAAGAAATGGATAAATTCCTCGACACATACACCCTCCCAAGACTAAACCAGGAAGAAGTTGAATCTCTGAATAGACCAATAACAGGCTCTGAAATTGAGGCAGTAATCAATAGCTTACCAACCAAAAAAAGTCCAGGACCAGATGGATTCATAGCCGAATTCTACCAGAGGTAAAAGGAGGAGCTGGTACCATTTCTTCTGAAACTATTCCAATCAATAGAAAAAGAGGAAATCCTCCCTAACTCATTTTATGAGGCCAGCATCATCCTGATACAAAAGACTGGCAGAGACACAACCAAAAAAGGGAATTTTAGACCAATATCCTTGATGAACATTGATGCAAAAATCCTCAATAAAATACTGGCAAAACGAATCCAGCAGCACATCAAAAAGCTTATCCACCATGATCAAGTGGGCTTCATCCCTGGGATGCAAGGCTGGTTCAACACATGCAAATCAATAAATGTAATCCAGCATATAAACAGAACCAAGGACAAAAACCACATGATTATCTCAATAGATGCAGAAAAGGCCTTTGACAAAATTCAACAACCCTTCATGCTAAAAACTCTCAATCAATTAGCTATTGATGGGACGTATCTCAAAATAATAAGAGTTATCTATGACAAACCCACAGCCAATATCATACTGAATGGGCAAAAACTGGAAGCATTCCCTTTGAAAACTGGCACAAGACAGGGATGCCCTCTCTCACCACTCCTATTCAACATAGTGTTGGAAGTTCTGGCCAGGGCAATTAGGCAGAAGAAGGAAATGAAGGCTATTCAATTAGGAAAAGAGGAAGTCAAATTGCCCCTGTTTGCAGATGACATGATTGTATATCTAGAAAACCCCATCGTCTCAGCTCAAAATCTCCTAAAGCTGATGAGCAACCTCAGCAAAGTCTCAGGATACAAAATCAATGTGCAAAAATCACAAGCATTCTTATACACCAATAACAGACAAACACAGAGCCAAATCATGAGTGAACTCCCATTCACAACTGCTTCAGAGAGAATAAAATACTTAGGAATCCAACTTACAAGGGATGTGAAGGACCTCTTCAAGGAGAACTACAAACCACTGCTCAAGGAAATAAAAGAGGATACAAACAAATGGAAGAACATTCCATGCTCATGGGTAGGAAGAATCAATATCGTGAAAATGGCCATACTGCCCAAGGTAATTTATAGACTCAACGCCATCCCCAACAAGCTACCAATGACTTTCTTCACAGAATTGGAAAAAACTACTTTAAAGTTCATATGGAACCAAAAAAGAGCCCGCATTGCCAAGTCAATCCTAAGCCGAAAGAACAAAGCCGGAGGCATCACGCTACCTGACTTCAAACTATACTACAAGGCTACAGTAACCAAAACAGCATGGTACTGGTACCAAAACAGAGATATAGATCAATGGAACAGAACAGAGCCCTCAGAAATAATGTCACATATCTACAACCATCTGATCTTTGACAAACCTGAGAAAAACAAGCAATGGAGAAAGGATTCCCTATTTAACAAATGATGCTGGGAAAACTGGCTGGCCATATGTAGAAAGCTGAAACTGGATCCCTTCCTTACACCTTATACAAAAATTAATTCAAGATGGATTAAAGACTTAAACGTTAGACCTAAAACCATAAAAACCCTAGAAGAAAACCTAGGCATTACCATTCAGGACATAGGCATGGGCAAGGACTTCATGTCTAAAACACCAAAAGCAATGGCAACAAAAGCCAAAATTGACAAATGGGATCTAATGAAACTAAAGAGCTTCTGCACAGCAAAAGAAACTACCATCAGAGTGAACAGGCAACCTACAGAATGGGAGAAAATTTTTGCAACCTACTCATCTGACAAAGGGCTAATATCCAGAATCTACAATGAACTCAAACAAATTTACAAGAAAAAAACAAACAACCCCATCAAAAAGTGGGCGAAGGATATGAACAGACACTTCTCAAAAGAAGACATTTATGCAGCCAAAAAACACATGAAAAAATGCTCAACATCACTGGCCATCAGAGAAATGCACATCAAAACCACAATGAGATACCATCTCACACCAGTTAGAATGGCGATCATTCAAAAGTCAGGAAACAACAGGTGCTGGAGAGGATGTAGAGAAATAGGAACACTTTTACACTGTTTGTGGGACTGTAAACTAGTTCAACCATTGTGGAAGTCAGTGTGGCGATTCCTCAGGGATCTAGAACTAGAAATACCATTTGACCCAGCCATCCCATTACTGGGTATATACCCAAAGGATTATAAATCATGCTGCTATAAAGATACATGCACACATATGTTTATTGCGGTACTATTCACAATAGCAAAGACTTGGAACCAACCCAAATGTCCAACAACGATAGACTGGATTAAGAAAATGGGGCACATATACACCATGGAATACTATGCAGCTATAAAAAATGATGAGTTCATGTCCTTTGTAGGGACATGGATGAAACTGGAAACCATCATTCTCAGCAAACTGTTGCAAGGACAAAAAAACAAACACCACATATTCTCACTCATAGGTGGGAATTGAACAATGAGAACACATGGACACAGGAAGGGGAATATCACACTCCAGGGACTGTTGTGGGGTGGGGTGAGGGGGGGATAGATAGCATTAGGAAATATACCTAATGCTAAATGAGGAGTTAATGGGTGCAGCACACCAGCATGGCACATGTATACATATGTAACAAACTTGCACATTGTGCACATGTACCCTAAAACTTAAATAATAACAATAATAATAATAAAAATAAAGAAAAGGCACCAAGATGAACATCACCTGCTTGATCCCTGGCAGCAAACACCCCTCATAGACCACTGAGGAAAGAACTTGATGTCTGTTCTGCCATGGGTTGTAGGTGTAAGCTACTTTGTAATTGTTTTCAAGGCATTGGCTGTGAGCTTGGGTTTCCTACTTCTTTGCTAATAACCCCGACCATCTCCACCCCCACGCCTACCTCCAAGATTGTATATAGTGCTTGGTTCTATGTTCGGCTGCCACTAAACACTGAACAGGAACCAAATAAAGTGATTAAATACTGGTATTGGAAAAAAAAAATACATCTTGAGACAGTGTCTTTACCTGTCTGTCTTCATGAGGATTATGTATTGGTAGCAGAGGTGAGTATTTAATAAGAGTTAGAAGGCCCCACTACCCCTGCATTTTGAAGTATTTTCACCATTTCTTTTAAGGAACTATACAATGTCAGCCATTTCCTGGAAAAGTGTTAGAAAAAAAGTCATGAAATAAGGCTGGGATGCTCTCAGAATAATCATTGTGCGCATTCCCAAGGGTGTCTGGGACCATACATTTTATGTTAGCACCCAGTACAGCAAGTGCCCAGGACCTAAGTCCTGGACATGTGGTCAGCGTTCACTGTAGAGAACCCTGCTTGAAATGAATAGATCATTGGTGATACCCTCAGCCTGAACATCTTTCCCTATGCAATAATCTGTCTTAGGTGGATTTGACTGATATTCTACTGACTTACAAAACATAAGACTCAACATTTTTTTCTCTGTTTCTTCGGCCACCTCAAAAACCAGAAAATTTCAGTAAAGTGTTCAGCACACTTCCGGCGAAGACAAGCGAGGGAAGAGAAGGAGGTCCGGAATAGGAACAGCTCCAGTCTACAGCTCCCAGCGTGAGCGACGCAGAAGACGGGTGATTTCTGCATTTCCATCTGAGGTACTGGGTTCATCTCACTAGGGAGTGCCAGGCAGTGGGCGCAGGTCAGTGGGTGCGCGCACCGTGTGCGAGCCAAAGCAGGGCGAGGCATTGCCTCACTTGGGAAGCGCAAGGGGTCAGGGAGTTCCCTTTCCTAGTCAAAGAAAGGGGTGACGGAAGAACCTGGAAAATCGGGTCACTCCCACCCGAATACTGCGCTTTTCCGACGGGCTTAAAAAACGGCGCACCACGAGATTATATCCCGCACCTGGCTCGGAGGGTCCTACGCCCACGGAGTCTCGCTGATTGCTAGCACAGCAGTCTGAGATCAAACTGCAAGGTGGCAGCGAGGCTGGGGAGGGGCGCCCGCCATTGCCCAGGCTTGCTTAGGTAAACAAAGCAGCCGGGAAGCTCGAACTGGGTGGAGCCCACCACAGCTCAAGGAGGCCTGCCTGCCTCTGTAGGCTCCACCTCTGGGGGCAGGGCACAGACAAACAAAAAGACAGCAGTAACCTCTGCAGACTTAAATGTCCCTGTCTGACAGCTTTGAAGAGAGCAGTGGTTCTCCCAGCACGCAGCTGGAGATCTGAGAACGGGCAGACTGCCTCCTCAAGCGGGTCCTTGACCCCCAAGCAGCCTAACTGGGAGGCACCCCCCAGCAGGGGCACACTGACACCTCACATGGCAGGGTATTCCAACAGACCTGCAGCTGAGGGTCCTGTCTGTTAGAAGGAAAACTAACAAACAGAAAGGACATCCACACCAAAAACCCATCTGTACATCACCATCATCAAAGACCAAAAGTAGATAAAACCACAAAGATGGGGAAAAAACAGAACAGAAAAACTGGAAACTCTAAAAAGCAGAGCGCCTCTCCTCCTCCAAAGGAACGCAGTTCCTCACCAGCAACGGAACAAAGCTGGATGGAGAATGACTTTGACGAGCTGAGAGAAGAAGGCTTCAGACGATCAAATTACTCTGAGCTACGGGAGGACATTCAAACCAAAGGCAAAGAAGTGGAAAACTTTGAAAAAAATTTAGAAGAATGTATAACTAGAATAACCAATACAGAGAAGTGCTTAAAGGAGCTGATGGAGCTGAAAACCAAGGCTCGAGAACTACGTGAAGAATGCAGAAGCCTCAGGAGCCAATGCAATCAACTGGAAGAAAGGGTATCAGCAATGGAAGATGAAATGAATGAAATGAAGCGAGAAGGGAAGTTTAGAGAAAAAAGAATAAAAAGAAATGAGCAAAGCCTCCAAGAAATATGGGACTATGTGAAAAGACCAAATCTACTTCTGATTGGTGTACCTGAAAGTGATGGGGAGAATGGAACCAAGTTGGAAAACACTCTGCAGGATATTATCCAGGAGAACTTCCCCAATCTAGCAAGGCAGGCCAACGTTCAGATTCAGGAAATACAGAGAACGTCACAAAGATACTCCTCGAGAAGAGCAACTCCAAGACACATAATTGTCAGATTCACCAAAGTTGAAATGAAGGAAAAAATGTTAAGGACAGCCAGAGAACAAGGTCAGGTTACCCTCAAAGGGAAGTCCATCAGACTAACAGCTGATCTCTCGGCAGAAACCCTACAAGCCAGAAGAGAGTGGGGGCCAATATTCAACATTCTTAAAGAAAAGAATTTTCAACCCAGAATTTCATGTCCAGCCAAACTAAGCTTCATAAGTGAAGGAGAAATAAAATACTTTACAGACAAGCAAATGCTGAGAGATTTTGTCACCACCAGGCCTGCCCTAAAAGAGCTCCTGAAGGAAGCGCTAAACATGGAAAGGAACAACCGGTACCAGCCGCTGCAAAATCATGCCAAAATGTAAAGACCATCGAGACTAGGAAGAAACTGCATCAACTAACGAGCAAAATAACCAGCTATCATCATAATGACAGGATCAAATTCACACATAACAATATTAACCTTAAATGTAAATGGGCTAAATGCTCCAATTAAAAGACACAGACTGGCAAATTGGATAAAGAGTCAAGACCCATCAGTGTGCTGTATTCAGGAAACCCATCTCACGTGCAGAGACACACATAGGCTCAAAATAAAAGGATGGAGGAAGATCTACCAAGCAAATGGAAAACAAAAAAAGGCAGGGGTTGCAATCCTAGTCTCTGATAAAACAGACTTTAAACCAACAAACATCAAAAGAGACAAAGAAGGCCATTACATAATGGTAAAGGGATCAATTCAACAAGAAGAGCTAACTATCCTAAATATATATGCACCCAATACAGGAGCACCCAGATTCATAAAGCAAGTGCTTAGTGACCTACAAAGAGACTTAGACTCCCACACATTAATAATGGGAGACTTTAACACCCCACTGTCAACATTAGACAGATCAATGAGACAGAAAGTTAACAAGGATACCCAGGAATTGAACTCAGCTCTGCACCAAGTGGACCTAATAGACATCTACAGAACTCTCCACCCCAAATCAACAGAATATACATTTTTTTCAGCACCACACCACACCTATTCCAAAATTGACCACATACTTGGAAGTAAAGCTCTCCTCAGCAAATGTAAAAGAACAGAGATTATAATAAACTATCTCTCAGACCACAGTGCAATCAAACTAGAACTCAGGATTAAGAATCTCACTCAAAGCCGCTCAACTACATGGAAACTGAACAACCTGCTCCTGAATGACTACTGGGTACATAACGAAATGAAGGCAGAAATAAAGATGTTCTTTGAAACCAATGAGAACAAAGACACAACATACCAGAATCTCTGGGACGCATTCAAAGCAGTGTGTAGAGGGAAATTTATAGCACTAAATGCCCACAAGAGAAAGCAGGAAAGATCCAAAATTGACACCCTAACATCACAATTAAAAGAACTAGAAAAGCAAAAGCAAACACATTCAAAAGCTAGCAGAAGGCAAGAAATAACTAAAATCAGAGCAGAACTGAAGGAAATAGAGACACAAAAAACCCTTCAAAAAATTAATGAATCCAGGAGCTGGTTTTTTATAAGGATCAACAAAATTGATAGACCGCTAGCAAGACTAATAAAGAAGAAAAGAGAGAAGAATCAAATAGACACAATAAAAAATGATAAAGGGGATATCACCACTGATCCCACAGAAATACAAACTACCATCAGAGAATACCAGAAACACCTCTACGCAAATAAACTAGAAAATCTAGAAGAAATGGATAAATTCCTCAACACATACACTCTCCCAAGACTAAACCAGGGAGAAGTTGAATCTCTGAATAGACCAATAACAGGATCTGAAATTGTGGCAATAATCAATAGTTTACCAACCAAAAAGATTCCAGGACCAGATGGATTCACAGCCGAATTCTACCAGAGGTACAAGGAGGAACTGGTACCATTCCTTCTGAAACTATTCCAATCAATAGAAAAAGAGGGAATCCTCCCTAACTCATTTTATGAGGCCAGCATCATCCTGATACCAAAACCAGGCAGAGACACAACGAACAAAGAGAATTTTAGACCAATATCCTTGATGAACATCGATGCAAAAATCCTCAATAAAATACTGGCAAAACGAATCCAGCAGCACATCAACAAGCTTATCCACCATGATCAAGTGGGCTTCATCCCTGGGATGCAAGGCTGGTTCACTATACGCAAATCAATAAATGTAATCCAGCATATAAACAGAGCCAAAGACAGAAACCACATGATTATCTCAATAGATGCATAAAAAGCCTTTGACAAAATTCAACAACCCTTCATGCTAAAAACTCTCAATAAATTAGGTGTTGATGGGATGTATCTCAAAATAATAAGAGCTATCTATGACAAACCCACAGCCAATATCATACTGAATGGGCAAAAACTGGAAGCATTCCCTTTGAAAACTGGCACAAGACAGGGATGCCCTCTCTCACCACTCCTATTCAACATAGTGTTGGAAGTTCTGGCCAGGGCAATTAGGCAAGAGAAGGAAATAAAGGGTATTCAATTAGGAAAAGAGGAAGTCAAATTGTCCCTGTTTGCAGATGACATGTTTGTATATCTAGAAAACCCCATTGTCTCAGCCCAAAATCTCCTTAAGCTGATAAGCAACTTCAGCAAAGTCTCAGGATACAAAATCAATGTGCAAAAATCACAAGCATTCTTATACACCAACAACAGACAAAGAGAGAGCCAAATCATGAGTGAACTCCCATTCACAATTGCTTCAAAGAGAATAAAATACCTAGGAATCCAACTTACAAGGGATGTGAAGGACCTCTTCAAGGAGAACTACAAACCACTGCTCAAGGAAATAAAAGAGGATACAAACAAATGGAATAACATTCCATGCTCATGGGTAGGAAGAATCAATATCATGAAAATGGCCATACTGCCCAAGGTAATTTACAGATTCAATGCCAAGCCCATCAAGCTACCAATGACTTTCTTCACAGAATTGGAAAAAACTACTTGAAAGTTCATATGGAACCAAAAAAGAGCCCGCATTGCCAAGTCAATCCTAAGCCCAAAGAACAAAGCCAGAGGCATCACGCTACCTGACTTCAAACTATACTACAAGGCTACAGTAACCAAAACAGCATGGTACTGGTACCAAAACAGAGATATAGATCAATGGAACAGAACAGAGCCCTCAGAAATAACGCTGCATATCTACAACCATCTGATCTTTGACAAACCTGAGAAAAACAAGCAATGGGGAAAGGATTCCCTATTTAATAAATGGTGCTGGGAAAACTGGCTAGCCATATGTAGAAAGCTGAAACTGGATCCCTTCCTTACACCTTATACAAAAATCAATTCAAGATGGATTAAAGACTTAAACGTTAGACCTAAAACCATAAAAACCCTAGAAGAAAACCTAGGCATTACCATTCAGGACATAGGCATGGGCAAGGACTTCATGTCTAAAACACCAAAAGCAATGGCAACAAAAGCCAAAATTGACAAATGGGATCTAATGAAACTAAAGAGCTTCTGCACAGCAAAAGAAACTACCATCAGAGTGAACAGGCAACCCACAAAATGGGAGAAAATTTTCGCAACCTACTCACCTGACAAAGGGCTAATATCCAGAATCTACAATGAACTCAAACAAATTTACAAGAAAAAAACAAACAACCCCATCAAAAAGTGGGCGAAGGACATGAACAGACACTTCTCAAAAGAAGACATTTATGCAGCCAAAAAACACATGAAAAAATGCTCAACATCACTGGCCATCAGAGAAATGCAAATCAAAACCACAATGAGATACCATCTCACACCAGTTAGAATGGCAATCATTAAAAAGTCAGGAAACAACAGGTGCTGGAGAGGATGTGGAGAAATAGGAACACTTTTACACTGTTGGTGGGACTGAAAACTAGTTCAACCATTGTGGAAGTCAGTGTGGCGATTCCTCAGGGATCTAGAACTAGAAATACCATTTGACCCAGCCATCCCATTACTGGGTATATACCCAAAGGACTATAAATCATGCTGCTATAAAGACACATGCACACATATGTTTATTGCGGCATTATTCACAATAGCAAAGAGTTGGAACCAACCCAAATGTCCAACAATGATAGACTGGATTAAGAAAATGTGGCACATATACACCATGGAATACTATGCAGCCATAAAAAATGATGAGTTCATGTCCTTTGTAGGGACATGGATGAAATTGGAAATCATCATTCTCAGTAAACTATCGCAAGAACAAAAAACCAAACACCGCATATTCTCACTCATAGGTGGGAATTGAACAATGAGATCACATGGACACAGGAAGGGGAATATCACACTCTGGGGACTGTGGTGGGGTGGGGGGAGTGGGGAGGGATAGCATTAGGAGATATACCTAATGCTAGATGACGAGTTAGTGGGTGCAGCGCACCAGCATGGCACATGTATACATATGTAACTAACCTGCACAATGTGCACATGTACCCTAAAACTTAAAGTATAAAAAAAAAAAAAAAAGACCTTGTCTTATACCTTAGGATCATCACTGCAAAAATAATAAAATCAACTAACATTCAAAAAAAAAAAAGTCAACACATATATATATATGTGTGAGAGATATATATCATATCTCTCATATCACATATTACATATGTGAGAGATATATGATATATATATCATATATGTAAGAGATATGTATCATATTTCTCATATATATATATGATATACATGGTAAAGAGTGCTCTGCAATTGTTGGATATAATGTTCTATAAGCCAAATTAGGTCAGTTTGGTTAATGTCATTCTAAACTTCTGTATCCTTTTCTTTTGTATGCTTTTTCTATTAGTTATTGAAATTGGTCATAGCCTATGATTGTAGATTTGTATATGACTCCTTTAGTTCTTTCAACTTTTGCTTTATACAATTAAATTTTGTGCTAATTAGGTATTGAAAACTTTGTGATTTTATAGCTTGCTATGGACTTAACCCTTTTATGACTTTGAAATGTACATCTTTATATTTTGCACTTCTACTTAAGATCTACTTTTTTCACTATTAATTTAACCATATAATTTTTCTTTTTGTTAATATATGGTAGACTTATTTTTGTCTTTATACTTTTTAACTATGTATTCATACATATGCTTACAATGTTACTTCTGTAAACAGAATAAAACTGCATTTTTTTCAAAAAAAAAAAAAGACATTTATGCAGCCAAAAAACACATGAAAAAATGCTCATCATCACTGGCCATCAGAGAAATGCAAATCAAAACCACAATGAGATACCATCTCACACCAGTTAGAATGGCAATCATTAAGAAGTCAGGAAACAACAGGTGCTGGAGAGGATGTGGAGAAATAGGAACACTTTTACACTGTTGGTGGGACTGTAAACTAGTTCAACCATTGTGGAAGTCAGTGTGGCGATTCCTCAGGGATCTAGAACTAGAAATACCATTTGACCCAGCCATCCCATTACTGGGTATATACCCAATGGACTATAAATCATGCTGCTATAAGGACACATGCACACGTATGTTTATTGTGGCATTATTCACAATAGCAAAGACTTGGAACCAACCCAAATGTCCAACAATGATAGACTGGATTAAGAAAATGTGGCACATATACACCATTGAATACTATGCAGCCATAAAAAATGATGAGTTCATGTCCTTTGTAGGGACATGGATGAAACTGGAAACCATCATTCTCAGCAAACTATCGCAAGAACAAAAAACCAAACACTGCATATTCTCACTCATAGGTGGGAATTGAACAATGAGACCACATGGACACAGGAAGGGGAATATCACACTCTGGGGACTGTGGTGGGGTGGGGGGAGGGGGAAGGGATAGCATTGGGAGATATACCTAATGCTAGATGACGAGTTAGTGGGTGCAGCGCACCAGCATGGCACATGTATACATATGTAACTAACCTGCACAATGTACACATGTACCCTAAAACTTAAAGTATAATAATAAATAAATAAAAAAAAAAGAGAGAACCACCAAAGCAAAAAAAAAAAAAAAAAAAAAGGGAAGGAGGTCCATTCTTTCAAAGGCAGTTCTTATGCTCTCCTTTCTACCTTGACTGAGAGAACACTTGGACTCTTCCTCAGCTGGTGGGTACCGAACTAGGATGTGTGGGGACTCAGTTGGGTTGGGGCAGCAGAACAATGTCCTGAAAATAGGAGCCTCAGGTTTGGAAATTTGCTGAAAATTCCCAGGTTGCTGGTAGGCAGGCTCCTGATGAGATTGGAGACGCCCAGCCACCTTCTCAGGATCAGACTTGTGTTATTCATGCTCAGGACTCATGGTGTCAGGGCCATCACTGGTCCATAGTGGCCAACTGTGTGCAGTAGGAAGACTCCCTCGAGGGCAACTCTGCCCCCACACATGGTCTAGTTGGCCCGTGAAGTTCTCCCACAGCTAACACTCAAGTTAGCAAGATGGCAGCTCCTTTTCTCTACAGTAACGGCCTCCTGTGCTGGAGGCAAGGCCAATGACAGCAACAGCCAACACCATGATTGGAACTGGCTTTCAGAGTGTAGGCTCTGCCTCATGTCATCTTTTTCACTGAACCTTCTCAGGCTGAGAGGGGTGAAGAGGTTATTTATTTCCTGAAGCTTACCCAGATCCCATTGAAGGGGAGGTTGCCTCAGTTTCTCCCTTTATTGTACCTAACATTTGGACTCTAGTTTGAGGAAGGAGAGGATATGGGAAGGAAGTGTAGACCATGGAGGGAGGGATGTAAGGAAGCCCATATGAAGACCAAGGATGCCTTTGGACAGAACTTTGGGGTCAGCAGCCTCTCTCATCCCCCCTCACAAACCTTGGTTCCTTGTGTCACTCTAGGCAGGAAAAATACCCAGGAGGAGGCTAGTATCAGAAGCTAGAGCCTCAGTAAGGCACAGATTCAGCTGGGGCAGCAGTTTAGGCATGAAAATCTCATGAAAATCATGTTAAACCAAAAACATGCTTTAATGCCAGGCAAGAGCTACACAGTCAACTGATTTACGGGCCACTCCATAGGCTATGATTTATAAATTATATATTATTAAATCCACCGTGGGCATACAGATGGGATGGGACAGCACCCCCAGCTCCCTCCCACTCTGAATGATGTATGAACAGTTGAGCACTCTGTAGAATCCTTCAGGTCGTAAGCCACTTTATTCCAGTCCCTTGAACATCACAGGCTGGTTTTATTTGGGACAGAACAGGTTTTATTTCCAAAGGTCCCTGAACACAGCAATGACAATGAACAGCCCAGCAGAGGAGTGACATAAACCTTGAGGCATGCAGTCTTCTGGGTGCTGTGGAGTCCCTTGGCCAAACTTGAGTGCACTGGATTCGACATACAAAGACCTTCCTGGGAAGGAGAAGGAGAAAAACAACCTCCGAGAAAATACAGACAGGGTCAGTGGCAGGCCAGGACAGGGACTATTTCTATACATTCTGGAAGTGTCGGCATTCATCAGCCTGCATGTGGCTCACTTTTCTTTCTGGAATAGCCGGAGACCTCTACTCCTCACTCCAGCTCTAGGTTCCAAGGAACAGAGTGGGTCTGGCTCAGCGAGATGTCATGACTAAGGGCAGAGCCCAGGCAGGTTTCTCAAAACATTAACTGATTCCACCTACCAAAGGAGAATCAAAGGAAGGAACTAGGACTTCGATTCAGAGCAGGGAAAAGTGGGATGCAGCTCCTGAGCACTGCCAATAGGGCATGCTAGGTCTCCTCACCCAGTCTGCCTTCTGTGTCTTAGGTTAATTCGCTATTTTCCAAACACAGATTTTAACACTTGGCCATGGAGGAATTTGGCAAGTTTTGGTACAGAACCACTGTGAGGAACTGACCCCTGGAGGAAGACTAGGATTATTTTTACAGAGTCTAGGTCTCAAAATTTCACCCTATGGATTTGGTTCTTTTTGGTCTACCATACAAATTTGGATTTCTGCTGCCAATTACAGCAGACTCAAGTCATATATAAAAACCTGGAGGTTAGCATGTCTAGTCACATTTTTCTCCTGGTCATGATGTCTCTCTTTCTGTGGTTCCTCTTCTTTGGCAAGTGGCTTGGCAGCAAATATACCCACTAGGGACCTCTCTGCCTTCTCTTAGTGGCAAGTTCCCCATCAACAACCTTGAGAATTTGGGCCTCCCTTTGCTAACTACTTGCAAGAGTATGACTCGCCTGTAACCAGCAAATTTTTACTCTTAGCTTTCAATTCAAATTAGTGTGTCTGAGGTCACCAGACCAAACAGCAACTCAGACTTGTGCTGTCACTTCTGGAAATAGAAGTCTGCATTCAAAGAGCACGGCAATGGAAAATACTTTTGGATTCTCCATAGGGGGGCCTTGGAAACCACAGACACACTTGCCCATGTCTTTATGATGAATTTGATGACTGCCCAACCTCTGATTCTTTAACAGGGGCAGGGAAACTGAATATTCCAGACCTGGCTCCCTAACCATGCACATAGATTAAACCACTGGGAAGTTCCAAGAATGTATGTGATGTTTTTTCGAGTCTGCAGAGTATTGATCTGCTCAGAAAAGCACCATGCCGCCAGTCTAATGCTGTCAATGGGCTGCTGGGCCTGAGAGGGAAACCACCCTACTGGTCCCCTGTCATACATGTTAACATTCCTGTGCTCCAATTGTCCTGTCCCACTACCACCTGCTCTGCATCTGCCCTCTAGGCATGGCCACTCTGGAAATGCATTCAAAATTAAAGTTGGGCCCTAGTCAGGGTTACTTTGTATTTTTATGGAATATATAAAATATACTTGTCGATTGGTACATTTGTGCAAAGACAGATATGACTTCCAAACAAGACAGACATTCATTATAGTTGTCTTACTTCACAATAAGCTACTAAAAACAGTCTTCTGGAATAAGATTGTATTAGTGCTCACTAAACATGCATTTCATTTAAACAAGGCAAAACACTTAATTTGGTCTGCATTACCCAATATGTTATATACAGCCGTCTTTTTATTTTATCACAATAGGCAACAAGATGGGTCTGGTTTTGGAATATGTTACCATTTGTGTTTAATTTCCAAAGACACGCATATTAGCTCAACTAGTGTAAACCTGTGAAAAAATAGCTGAGCCATCTTTTTCCTCTCCTCTGTTAATTTATCTTGAAATGTTCACAGCTTAGAAACTACAGCCTGCTGGGGAAGAGAGGGGAGTGGGCCCCCATGGGGAAATGTCCCAGCTCGCTGGAATAGCCTCACCCCAGAGGGTAACTTGTTCTTGGGGAATCCAGCATCCGGTGCCATCCATCACCCCTACGGCACGTGTGACAACAGATTCAGGTGGGGAGTTTTGTCTTTCAAACAAAAGCCCCTTGAAGCTTGCAATAGAATCACAGGACTGGATGGGTTTCCCTTCTTTTGCCCCAACCCCCGAGTCTTACGTTTTAGAACAGAGACATTAGAATAAAAAAAAATAATAGTAACGATTAAAAATCATCAAACAATGAACACCACGAAGTCTGTCCATGCTCTCCACAAGCACACTGGGGCTCTGGGCATTCCCACGAAGCATCCACGACAAAAGAAGCTGAAGGCGTCACGGAGGAAGGCGCATCAGACCGCACAGGGGACGGCATCACCATTGATATTGTTTGGCAAAAAAAAAAAAAAATTGTTAAAAAGAAGAATCAAAAGGGAACACAAGCAGCTCTACAATTCGATTGGTGGGCGCAGGGCTCAGAACTGGCCGGCACTGCTCGGGTCGCACTGCAGGAGGCGCACAATGGACGGGTCGCTTTTGGCTCCTCGGATGAACTCTTCCAGGGAGAGTTTTCCTAGGAAGCAAGAGGACAGGTGAGTGGTGGCTGGTGGCAGCTGCATGAGCTTACACCCTTCCCACTACTGCGTGCTGGGCAGTGTCGATTCACCTGCCTGCAGCCTCACTGCCACTGTGACACACAGCACTCACCTGTCCCGGGGAAGAGCCCAGTGGAATCTCCAGGAACACTGCTGCCTCATTCACCATGGCATTGCCAGCACTTAGGACAGTACATGTGGCAATCAAACGCCGCTGCCTGAGAGCCCACTGTGTGCCCGGCCCTGGGCCCGGGACTGGGGAGAGGGTGGTGGATGATGCTGACTTGGTCCCTGACCTCCTGGCTCCAGGCGCCCTGGAGAGGCTCACTCAGCATTTGTAAAGCAAGTGGCCCTCCTGCATTTATGAGAATGAGCTGGGCCCTGGCAGCACCCGGTTGGTTCCCATAATGTTCCCTGGAGCCTTCTGAGCCACTTCGTGTTCTTCAGGCCACTCTGTGTTCTTAGGTTTGCTGCAAGAGCCCATCCTATCTTGGGGAAGAAGCCGTGGACGTAAGTGTTTGTTCATACACCACGGGAAGACAGCTGTGCCTCCATCTGAGGTCAGGGAAGAGCAGGGTATGTTCAAGGCAGAGGGTAACCCATGGGTTTCTGCCTCTCAGTTAGGGTGCTCTCCTGCTACCCTGATGTGCTGGAGGAGGGAGGCTCAGCAGCCTGGGCTCCCACTCCGACCCCGGTGACCTTTCCTTTCTGCTTACTCTGGAGCACGTACAGAATTCTCTTCCAGGAAGGCCTGTCACTTGTGGAGAGGAGGGGAGGGGGTGGGGTAGGAGTTGGGGGACTGCAAGGCTTTTCCCATTCCTGGTGCTTCCAGAAGGACCCTTCCTCTTTGTCTACCCCGCCCCTGGGAGTGAAGTGACATGCTCGATTGGTAAATTTGGGAGGAATTGCTGGGCATCTCCGCCCAGCTTTGCCCTCCCTTTTTCTCTTGAAAGGAGCTGCCCCAGAGAGGATTTATTTCCATCTGCTCCTCCAAGGGCAGCACCCGGCCTGCCTGGCTCTGCACGCCTGTGGGTTTTTCAGCACGTCCTTGGACTCTCACGCTAAGCCATAGCCTCCAGTATCTATCTTTTGACCTCTGTCCTCTTTTATTTCTCAACTTACTCCAAACCTGACAGGAGGGGGCCTCCCCCAACAGAAACACCAACAAACATATCTTCTCCTCAGCCACAACTCCCTCCCCGCCAGAACCTAGTTCTTGTTTAATGAAACCCACTTTATCTCCATGAAGGAAAAAGATAGGGATGCATTTATTAATTTATTTTTAATTTGTAGAGCTGATCCCCTCCAAGCTCTGTGTGCTGGCCATTTTTTATGAGCCCAGCCCTGCCCACATAGTAGTTACAATGGTAATGACTTCCTCCAGCTTGGCAAGGCATGAGGGAAGGGAGACAGGCGTGATCTCTGAACACTTTGCAGTCTCTCAGGGGTCGGCTCTGGGAGGCACCAGCTGGAGGTAGCAGGGGCAGACCTGGAGCTCGGCATGACGTCTGGCTTTCTTCACTTAACTGTCTGCATGATTCAGAGTTGGCTCCTAGGAGAACTTGCCTGAGGGCCCAGATTTTTCTTTTCAAATCGGAGGCCAGAAGTTAGATTCCAAGAGCAACAGGCAAGCTAAATCTAAGGGTAGGAGACTCTAGGTGAGGACTGCTCTGCTCTCGGCAGGGAGGGGTGCAGGTGTCCTCAATCCTGGGGTCCAGCAGCCAAGCACTGAGCTGAAGCACCCAGTCTCCTGGTTGAGCTAAGATTCCTCTGACAGCTGTGAACTTACAGCCCCTCTTCCTCCTTCCTTCTACAGCTCCCACCCCCCTCTCCCAACCCTAACCTTTGAAAATTTAATTTAATTTTAAACATGAGGTTTTCCTTTGGAAAGGCACAGGTCTTTAGCAGTAAGTTGTGCTCTGAGAATGCTAACTCAGTCAGGGCTCTGCAATCCCATAGCAGCAGAGTCCCAGTGGAAAGACCCTAATTCATTGCCTGTGATCAACACACAGTTAGGGCTTTAGGGCTTTATCCTGTGACATCTGATCTTCTCCCATCCTTCAGCCCTATCCTGAAGAGCTGTCTGGACCTAGAGCACAGCACAAACCCATTGTGCTCCCTTGAGTACCAGTAAAACCTGCAGTTTAACATCAGCAAGTTAATTAACTATTAAAATAATCCCGTGCTTGTTTAGTCACAACTATTCATTGTGAATCAAAGCAAATAAGGGGACATAGGATGTTTCCAAATGGAATGGCACCTTTGTGGAGGAAACAAGCAAGCAGACAGGCCCATACCACACAAACCCAGATTCTTAGGCAGCTGTACCTGGGCGGGGGATAAAAGGAGACAGAGGCTCTCTGTACTGCGAAGCCGCCTTCTGCTGTTCTATAGATCAGCGCCAGGTGGGGGACCCAAGTGCCTGTGCACATGGTTGACAAGAATTGCCGAGGCCTCTGAACAGATCGGGTGAGCTGATAATAACAGCAAGAGCTACAGAGCCGGGCCCTGAGCTGAGCTCTTTAAACTCAAGTATAACATTTAAATAGGGTTGCCAGATCTGGCAAATTAAATACATGATGCCCCGTTAACTTTGAATTTCAGATAAACAGCAAGTGACTTTTTTAGTTGGCTAAACAATTGTTAGGCTAATCCTAACAACTGTTGCTGTTTATCTGAAATTCCAGGATAATTGGGCCTCCTGTATTCTATCTGGCAATTTAAGATCTAAAATCCTTCTGTTCTTAAGTTGGAAATGCAACCTTCTTTTTCACTTCGTTGGGTTTGAATTGTGGGTAGCACCATCAGGGTGGGAACCTGCTGGGCACCTTACTCCCTCACCACTACCCCGGGCACCCCAGTGACTATGGGAGCCCACTGTCTCTGGGAAACACAACATCTCAGTGCATGCACAGGAGACCCCAACAAAACCCCTTTGGCAGGCTGGAGTGAAAGCTGTCGGCATCTGGGTAGGATCACAGAATAACAACCCTCTCCCCATTTTGATGAACTGGACTGCAGGGACCCAGCCTGCTATAGCCTAGGCCTGTCCCAAGGATGGGTCTGTGCTAACAATGGTTTCTTGGTTCCTTTCATTCTTGCCCCACAAGATCCATTCTGTTTTCTTGGAGGTAGAAGTTGACCTACAAGGAGGATAGAAAAAACTAGAAATAAGGCATTTCCCCCAATTCTGGGCTCAGCTCTCCTGTGGCCACCTGGTCCTCTCCCCTCCTACCCACCCAGGAGGCTTGGAGGATGAGCCGCTCACATTGAAGGGCCTCGAGTGGCACTTCCCAGTCTGGACTCTCCAGTCCTTCCAGCAGCCCCCATCTGAGCAAAGCAGTGTAGCCCCCGCCTCCTACCGTCTCTATTGGTGTCCATCTGGCGGAAGATCTTTTCTGTTCTTTTCTCTGGGGTTGACTCATCTTCAGGCATTTTCATTACAGAGGAAACCATCTTATAGATTGCCTGGGGACAGAAGCGACATGGTGGTAAGACAGAAAAACAGTATGGCACACAATAGACCTATCATTAAACCTCCCAAATGCGGGCTGAAGGGAATGTCCCCATCCGCATTGGACCTAGTCCTACCCCTATTGATTGGTATAAGATGTGGAGGCACAGGTAGAAGAAGCCGGGCCCACAAAGCTTGTTCTCCTCCAGTGAGGACCTTCAGGAGGGACAACCAGCAGGAAGACCCAGTAGACCCCTGTGTCTCCAATGTTTTTTGATTGTTTTTTGAGACAGGGTCTCATTCTGTCACCCAGGCTGGAGTGTAGTGGCACGCTTACGGCTCACTGCAGGCTCCATTTCATAGGCTCAAGCAATCCTCCCACCTCAGTCTCCTGAGCAGCAGCTGGGACTAGAGGTACTCCCCACCACACAGGGCGTTTTTTTTTTTTTTTTTTTTTTTTTTTTTTTTTCTGTACAGACAAGGTCTCATTATGTTGCCCAAGCTGGTCTCGAACTCCTGGGCTCAAGCTTCTCCTCCCTCAGCCTCCCAAAGTGCTGGGATTACAGACATGCGCCACCTCTCCTAGCCGTCTCCATTGTTTATGTGCATACAAATCCCCTGGGAATCTTGTTAAAATGCAGAATCTGATTGGGTAGTGTGGGGGAAAGGGGTGGGGCTGAGAGTCTGTATTTTTAATAAGCTCCGGTGTGATGCTGATGCTGCTGTTCTGAAGACGCTGCTTTGAAAAGCAAGGTTCCCACTTTGAGGAGCAAGGCTGCAGATGACATTCTTCAGGCTAGAGAGGCAAGTGGATGCCTATCATGGACCCTTGAGAGTCCACAATGACTCCTCAAGGATGACAGACATGTAACACTCTGTAAGTGCATGCCACATGTTTCCCCAGGCAGACTTCTAGTCCATTCCAGTGCTTTTCTCCCTGTGTGTGACAATGGTCTCAAGTTCCTTCTCAGCAAGCTTCCAGGCAGTCCTGAGATGGAAACCACCTGCCATCAGAGCTCTGAATTATTATGCATCCTCAGGCCTGAGCTAAACTGGGTACAGCTATGAGATCTGATGGGCGAAAGAGGATTCTGTGGAGTTTTGTAAGCACTACTGAAACTATCACCCCATGCCTGTGACCTCCACATGGGACTCAGTAAGGGCCCTTTGACCTCTGTGGTCAAAGGTAGTTTTTATTTGGGAAGAGGAATGAAAAGTCATTGTTTTTATCCCCAGATCATGACTTTGCTAATCAGAGTCACTTTGGGCATCTTGGCCCTGGGGACAATTTTTAGAAAAAATAGATTTTGCCAGGGAGTAGGCAGAAAATTTCAGAGAGTTCTGGAGCTCTAGGGGCAGCAAGGCAGGTGCAGAGGACAGAGAAAGGAAAGCAGCTGAGGGGAGTCGCCTCCAAATGGGAAAGGTGAGAGCAGAAAAAGACACTGAAGCTTCACCTGAGCTGCTTTACAGTCTTGCTCAGGACCAACCCTGCCAGAAGTTCCTAACATGTTCTGGATAAGGTAGGGTAAGTACTCTAATCTCAGTCAAAATAAGAATGAAAACAGACTCACCCAGTGTGCTGGCCCTTAGGCTGATCCCATCCCTCAGGGATGCTTCTGGACAGGCTCCCTGAGTCTGTCTCAAACCCACCCAATGTGCTTACTGAACTCCATAGCTGACTCTGCAGCGACTTGGTCTGGGAGGTAAAGCGCAGAGTTAGGGTGCTGTCTAGGATTATGGGTGTCCCTGGGGTAAGCTGAGCCATTTCATTCCCAAGAAATGCTCACTGAAGTGTGCTCTGGAGACAAGAGGGGAGCCATCGTCTGCCCTCCTCATCATGGTCCCCTGCCTGCTGTCATCCCAGCCCAGGTCTGCTCCACCAACTGTGCTGGGGCTGTAGTGCCATGTGCCTCACTGCCGGGGACACGTAAGTTCTTGGGGGAGCTAGGAAAGGCCGGAGAGATGGAGCTGTTTTTGCAAATGGGAGAAGAGAGGCCCTGAGATTTAACACGCCCAGGTGAATATTTAGTAACAGTAGACAGCAGGTGTCTTTTCACACCAGCAAAAGTCTTGAGGTCTAGCAACCTCTCCCCAGCTTGCTTTGCTCCCACAGTGGAAGCTTTTCGTAACTCTTGACATAGTCAAAATGGAATCGGCACCAACTATGAAAACATGCACACCCCTCACATACATTTCAAGCTCATATGATCTAAATATTTGGTGAATTCATAAGCCCAGGAATCTTAGGACAACAATAACACAACATTTAGAAATTGGCATCCCTGCAGATCACATTAGCACAACCTCCTTAAAGGAGAGCGCATGGAGCTGTTTCAGGAGTTGCAGAGGTGTTGCGGGGAAGAGCACTTACAGACAAGGGATAAGTTTATTTTTGCCAGAAGTTTTAAGGGGGCTGTGTATTTATTCATTATCAATCTTCTTTGGGGCTGGATTGTTCCTTCTCCAAGTCTGTTCTGGCCTCAGTAAGTTTGTCTCACGTGGTCCTTCTAGATGCCACTGGCTTTGTGCCTGTGACTGGCCATAGGAGGTGTCTCCCAGCTCAGATGCTCCACAAAGGCTGTTGTCAAGAGTCTGACAACATGATACGCTCCTTGGTGTCCTGGACCAGCAGCTTTGTTTATATTCTTCTCTCACCTGAGTGCTCACCTACCCCATCTCCCCTCCTCCTTGGACTCTTACCCATGTGTTAAGAGCAGATCAAAATGTTACCCTCCTCCAGGAAGCCTTCCATCATCTTCCCTTCTTCTATTGCTATGTGCAATCTCCCTCCCTCTGTGCTAGCAAGGGGCTCCAACCCAACCTCTCTCATATCACTTCCTTCCATTTACCTTGAATTCACACCCAGAATGTTCTCCTTTTAGATGTGAGGGTAGCAGTCACATCTATTTTTTGAATCCCTGATAGTACCTAACATAGGGTCTTGAATACAGTCAACTTCACTTAGTTTAAAGAATTTATTCAGGAATAACTGTCCCCCAGTTGCCCTCTCATTCTTTCCCTCTCTCACCTTTATTCTGCACTGCTCCAATTTATAAAGTTCCCCTTTATCCTTTTATATGTTTTTTTTAGTTTCCTCTTTTCTTTTTCTTCTCTCTCTCTTCACATAATTAAACATATTCATGTGAAACCCCTTAAAGACTTAATCTGTCAAAAGATTTGAGCTTTTCCCTTAGAAACCATGCAAACCCACCCACCATTGCAGACGATCTCAGAGGTTTGGGTATTTAGAAGCTGATCCATAGACCCCAGGTCATGGAAATCCCTGCTCTTAGGTGACTGCCTCTTCATCCATCCACTCACTCAGTCATTCATCAAATATGTATAAGCAACTAATGTGTACCAGGTATTGACATTGACCTAATCCTTTCCCTCATGGTTTTTGCTGTGAAATAAGGCAGACATTAGTAAAATAAAGAAATACATGTAAAACCATTGTTGAGAAAAGTGCTAGAAAGAAGAGTGCATGGCTTCTGTGATGATATAGTGGGAGAGTTAGGTTTTGCCAGGAGGGTTAGGGTAGGCTTCTCTGAGGAATGATGATTGCACAAAGACGTGAAGAAAGCATAGGGCTTAAATAAATCAGGGGTGAGCAAAACACCATGTGGAAGCCCAGAGTGGGAGCGTGGCAAGGAGGTCAACAGAGTGTGGGGGCGTTCAGTACACAATGTGGCTCTAGAGCAAGCAGGGAAAGACCACTGAGGCCTCACAGTGTTTAGGGATCTGTATTTCTCCAACGAGCAACAAAAGATGGAAGTGACATTAAATTTGATTTTCCTATTCACATTCATTTCCCAAATTTACCTCTCTTCCCTTCCTTACTTGCAGTCAGTGGTGTTCAGAGAATTGAAAAGTAGTCATTTGCAACATACCAGAATCTCTGGGAGACAGCTAAAGCTGTGTTAAGAGGGAAATTTATAGCACTAAATGCCCACATCAGAAAGCTAGAAGGATCTCAAATCGCCACTCTAACATCACAATTAAAAGAGCTAGGGAAGCAAGAGCAAACAAATCCAAAAGCTAGCAGAAGAGAAGAAATAACTAAGATTAGAGCAGAACAGAAGGAAACAGAGACACAAAAAACCCTTCAAAAATCAATGAATCCAGGAGCTGTTTTTTTGAAAAAATTAACAAAATAGACCACTAGCTAGACTAATAAAGAAGAAAAGAGAGAATAATCAAATAGACACAATAAAAAATGATAAAGGGTATATCACCACCGACACCACAGAAATATAAACTATCATCAGAGAATACTATAAACATCTCTATGCAAATAAACGGGAAAATCTAGAAGAAATGTATAAATTCCTGGACACATACACCCTCCCAAGACTAAACCAGAAAGAAGTTAAATCCCTGAATAGACCAATAACAAGTTCTGAAATTGAGGCAGTAATTAATAGCCTACCAACCTAAAAAAGCCCAGGACCAGATGGATTCACAGCCAAATTCTACCAGAGATACAAAGGGGAGCTGGTACGATTCCTTCTGAAACTATCCCAAACAATTGAAAAGGAAGGACTCCTCCCTAACTCATTTTATGAGGCTAGTATCATTTTGATACCAATGCCTGGCAGAGACACAACAAAAAAAGAAAATTTCAGGCCAATATCCTTGAAGAACATCGATGGAAGAATCCTCAATAAAATACTGACAAGCCAAATCCAGCAGCACATCAAAAAGCTTATCCACCATGATCAAGTTGGCTTCATCCCTGGGATGAAGGCTAGTTCAACATATGCAAATAAATAAACATAATCCATCATATAAACAGAAACATATAAATGACAAAAAACACATGATCATCTCAATAGATCAGAAAAGGCCTTTGATAAAGGCCTTCATGTTAAAAACTCTGAATAAACTAGGTATTGATGGAACATATCTTAAAATAATAAGAGCTATTTATGACAAACCCACAGCCAATATCATACTGAATGGGCAAAAGCTGGAGGCATTCCCTTTGAAAACTGGCACAAAACAAGTATGCCTTGTCTCACCACTCCTATTCAACATAGTTGGAAGTTCTGGCCAGGGCAATCAGGCAAGAGAAAGAAATAAAGCATATTCAAATAAGAAGAGAGGAAATCAAATTTTCTCTGCAGATGACATGATTCTATATTTAGAAAACCCCATCATCTCAGCCCCAAAACTCCTTAAGCTGATAAGCAACTTCACAAAGTCTCAGGATACAAAATCAATGTGGAAAAATCACAAGCATTTCTATACACCAACAATAGACAAGCAGAGATCCAAATAAAAATGAACTCCCATTCACAATTGCTACAAAGAGAATAAAATACCTAGGAACACAGCTAACAAGGGAGGTGAAAGATCTCTTCAAGGAGAATTACAGACCACTGCTCAAGTAAATAAGAGAGAACATAAACAAATGGAGAAACACTCCATCCTCACGGATAGGAAGAATCAATATTGTGAAAATGGCCATACTGCCCAAAGTAATTTAAAGATTCAATGTTATTCCCATCAAACTACCATTGACATTCTTCATAGAACCAGAAAAAAAAATTTAATTTCATATGGAACCAAAGAAGAGCCTGTATAGCCAAGACAATCGTAAGCAAAAAGAACAAAGCTGGAAGCATTACATTACCTGACTTCAAACAATATTACAAGGCTACAGTAACCAAAAGAGCATGGTACTGGTACCAAAACAGACATATAGACAAATGGAAGAGAACAGAGACCTCAGAAATAACACCACACATCTACAACCATCTGATCTTTGACAAACCTCACAAAACAAGTAATGGGGAAAGGATTCCCTATTTAATAAATGGTGCTGGAAAACTGGCTAGCTATATGCAGAAAACTGAAACTGCACCCCTTCCTTACACCTTATACAAAAATTAACTCAAGATAGATTAAAGACTTAACTGTAAAACCCAAAACCATAAAAACCCTAGAAGAAAACCTAGGCAATACCATTCAGGACACAGGCATGGGCAAAGACTTTATGATGAAAACGCCAAAAGCAAAAAAAGCCAAAACTGACAAATGGGACCTAATTAAACCAAAGAGCTTCTGCACAGCAAAAGAAACTATCATCAGAGTGAAGAGGCAACCTACAGAATGGGAGAAAATTTTTTTCAATCTACCCATCTGACAAAGGTCTAATATCCAGAATCTACAAGGAACTTAAACAATTTTACAGGAAAAAAAAAACCATCAAAAAGTGGGCAAAGGATATGAACAGACACTTCTCAAAAGAAGACATTTATGCAGCCTACAAACATATGAAAAAGCGTATGATCATTAGAGAAATGCGAATCAAAACCTCAATGAGATACCATCTCATGCCAGTCACAATGGTGATTATTAAAAAGTCAAGAAACAATAGATGCTGGTGAGGCTGTGGGGAAATAGGAATGCTTTTACACTGTTGGTGGGAACATAAATTAGTTCGACCATTGTGGAAGACAGTGTGGCGATTCCTCAAGGATCTAGAACCAGAAATACCATTTGACCCAGCAATCCCATTACTGGGTATATACCCAAAGGAATATAAATCATTCTACTATAAAGACACATGCACATGTATGTTTATTGCAGTACTATCTACAATAGCAAAGATATGTAATCAACCCAAATTCCCATCAATGATAGGCTGGATAAAGAAAATATGGCACATATACACCATGGAATACTATGCAGCTATAAAAAGGAATGAGATCATGTCCTTTGCAGGGACATGGATGAAGCTGGAATCCATCATCCTCAGCAAACTAACACAGGAACAGAAAACCAAACACCACATATTCTCACTCATAAGTGGGAGCTGAACAATGAGAACACATGGACACAGGGAGGGAACAACACACACTGGGGCCAGTTGTGGGGTGGGGGTCAAGGGGAGGGAGAGCATTAGGACAAATATCTAATGCATGCAGGGCTTAAAACCTAGTTGATGGGTTGATAGGTGCAGCAAACCACCATGGCACACGTATACAAACCAACACGTTCTGTGCGTGTATCCAAGAACCTAAAGTAAAATTTTAAAAAAAGAAAACTAGTCATTTGTAAATTATTTAATAATTATGTATTGTCCACTATGAGCTAAGCAGTGGAGATACAATTGTCAACAAGACTGATATGCTCTCTATTTTTATTTATTTATTTATTTATTTATTTATTCATTTATTTATTTATTTTTTGAGAAAAGGTCTCATTCTGTTGCCCAAGCTGGAGTGCAGTGATGCTATCATGGCTCACTGCAGCCTTGATCTCCTGGTCTCAGACAATCCTCCTGTCCCAGCCTCCTGAGTTGCTGGGACCAAAGGCATGCACCACCACGCCCAGTTAATTTTTTAAAAAATATTTGTAGAGATGGGGTTTCTCTATGTTGCCCAAGCTGGTCTCGAACTCCTGGGCTTCCTGCCTCAGTCTCCCAAAGTGCTGGAAATACAGGCGTGAGCCACTGTGCCTGGCCGCTCTCTCTTATTTCATGTCTCACAATCTTCTAGCACAGGACTTGGGAGGTCTCATATGTGGCACAAAAAGCACCTTATTTTTCAATGATCCCCATTTAGATGGGTATAGTCATCCCAGTAATGCCTTGATAGCTGTTATGAAAGCCCTTGCCTAGGCTACCTCTGGGTCCCCTGGTGGCAAGTAAAACCCACTGGTCTGGAGCACTCTTTGGACCTTTCAGCCTCTAAGGTTGTGGCCCACGAAATTCTTCTTCTTGGGATTCTGATGAAAAATCAACTGTGTAATAATCTAGGGGTTATTCCCTTAACACTCCTGAAGAAATGAATGAAAGCTCAAGCAAGCACATGAATGTATGTGAAGCTCTCACACTCAACGGAAAGTCTTCCAGTCTTGCTATTCAGTATTAGGCTAAAGGAGTGGGGTTGGCACAGAGAAACGAGAATCAGTTAATACAACAAACAACTCCCACTACTTCCCCCACAAAATGAACGGCGTCCGAAGTCCCCGATGTGAACATATGTGCAAGCAGGGCTTCTGGAATGGGGTGGGAGGCACCACGTCTGAGTGTGTTGTGGGTTTGAGGAGGAAGTGGGGTCTTCTTTAAGAGGCTCACAGATGACTCTTTCGTGACACTCAGATCAGATGGGAATTAGTGGGTTATTTACAAAGCCAGGCCTATGCCAGGGGTGGTACAAGAACGGTGAGCAGAGAGTCGAGGTGACGAGTCCCAATGGCCCCCAGAGTGAGTGGGTGACAGCCCTGCAGAGCCACAGTGGCAGGATTGTCTGTCCCTTTGCTCCCTTCCCACGGCATCAACAACCGAGAGCTGATTGTATCAGAACTTTAAAATCTGGGACTGCATAGCACAGAGGAGAAAAATACAACCCCAGACAGCCATCTGAGACAAATCATGTCTTTTACTAGCTTCAGTCCCCACCCCTTCTACATTTAATGGGATTAAACCGTGAAGAGACCAGGCTACTTCCCTACTTTATTTTTAGCAATGTCAATGAGAGGTCTAGCAGGGTCATCCTGTTTTCAATTAAACTTGAAAAGTCCTTTTCTTGTCTCTGGGTAAATGCAGAGCTTTGGGACACCCAGGAGCCCAGCCCTGACTCTGCCCCAGCCAGGCTTGAGACAGCTCCCCAGTGTGACCAGAGCCCCTATCAGCTTCCTTGTGGTCTACATATATTTATTTTTAATTTTTCTCTTTGAAGGAACAACCTCTTGGGATGTTGGAAAGAGAGGACTCAGGTCTGGGAAGGGAGGACTCAGGTCTGCATTGATCAAGGTTGTGCAATTAACTGAGGGCAGGCAAAATTCCAAGAGTTAACACTCAACCTGTTTTCTGAAGGAAACCAGATATTTCATCACAAAATGTAGGGTGTTCTAACAGGAAACCAGACACCCACGTCTCTCTGACAGCAGACTACGGACAACAGAAGTTTGGCAGCACCTGGTTGTCCTTAGACTTTCTCACCTTGCTTAGACTAAGCACCTTGCTTAGAAGGATATTACATATCAGGAAAGGAGAAGAATGAAAATATTTTCAGGAAATACTTTTAAAATAGAATGAACACCTATATATCTGGAATAGCATAAGTACTTTCTCATTTAGAGCTAGAAGAATCAATTAAATCAGTAATTGTCATATTTTTGTAGTATTCTTCCAAGGTGCTTTAAGCATTTTCACAGGCAGAGAGAGTGTGAGAGACAAGCAGGAGCCCCACGCCTTTTCAACCGAGCAGTTCCATGTAAGATTTCACGTAAGATTTTACTCAGAAAACGAAGCAAAACAAAACCATTTTTGCTGCTGAAAATGGAGTTTGAACCACTGAACCACTTTGTGTACTGGTCCCTTTGTGATAGTGTCATTCTTTTTTTTTTTTCTTTGAGACAGGGTCTCACTCTGTCTCCCAGGCTGGAATGCAGTGGCGTGATGATAGCTCACTGTAGCTTCGGACCTCCTGGGCTCAAACCATCCTCCCACCTCAGCCTCCCGAGTAGCTGTCTGAGACCACAGGCATGTGCCACCACACTGGGTAATTTTTTTTTGTAGAGACAGAGTCTCACTATGTTGCCCAGGCTGGTCTGAAACTCCTGGGCTCAAGAGATCTTCCTTCCTCAGCCTCCCAAAGTGTGGAAATTACAGGTGTGAGCCACCATGCCCAACTAGATACTATGATTCTTAAATGGAATGAGAATGTCCAAGATCTGTACACTGTACTCTCTGCACACTAGGGGAGCTTACTATTTAGAATAACCCAGCACTATGCCCTTTTATAACTTGAAGACTTATGGGAAGTTAGATGTAGCCTTAACATGGGAAGAACTTTATGTTCTGTGGTGCGCAACGGCAGAAGAGCAAGAGGCTGCTCCGCAGAAGTGGCCTCATGGATATTGGAGATACAGAAACAAACGCTGAACAATCACACATTGACGATGCTATAAAGGTGTCTCCCAATGTGCTTTCCAAGAAATGTCAGCCTTCCAAGATGTGTTAAGATCAGAGAGATCCCATCATCAAAACAGTATTGGGAAACACTGCTTATTTTATCCCCTTCTCAAAACATCACAATGCACACGAACATATTAAAGATTCTGGTAATTCCTGCAGTAAGAGGCGTGTTGAAATCTATTTAACCCAGGTTTTCTCAAACTGGTTTGACCAGAACCCTTTTGTTACAAAACATCTATGAACAGTTTATGAAAGTAGTGCCTCAAGAAAGTTCTATCTGTGCCAGGACTGACTCTTATTCTGACTCCCTCTTCATCTGGGCTGCGTTCTCTGTTCCTCTTTTTTTTTTTTTCCCCCAAAACAAGTAGCCTAGAATGCTTCTTCATGAGATTTGTCTTCCCAGTGGTTTCTAAGTTTTTTCAAGACAGAGATATTGTAGATATTGTCTTATTCATCTTTGTATGTTTTGGAGTCTAACACTTACTTTATTCAACAAACATTTGTGGACTTTATGAATAGCACAAAAATGGTGCTAAATCCCTTGGCATCAGCACAGCCCTGCCTTGAAGGAGCTCACAGGACAGGTGGCAGCAGGACAGGTCAACACAGAAAACATCAGCATGAGATTAGAGAGTGTGGCTTCTGGCCAAGATAGAGTCACAGGGATTGAATCTATCCCCTCCCACCCGAAGCAGCAGCAACCACAAACCCAAAAAACAATGGACATGAAACAACAGTTTACCAGACGCTGGGAATTGGGCAACGAAGGACAGTGATCCCTGAGAAAATGAAAACATGAGAGCTAAGTCCTATGTTGGCCCCAGCTTAATGCCTTGAGAGGGTTTCCAAGCCACAGTGCCAGGAGCAGGGACCTATGTGATACCTGGTGGACTCACTGATGGGCAGATGGCGCTGAGAGTTTGGAGACACTAAAGTGGCTAGTGATCACTGGACAGAATAAAAGAGAAGAGAGAGTGGCACAGAGAGAACTCCAGAGAGCTGTGGCAGGTCTCCCTCAAGTATTCAGCACAGTCAGTCTACACAAGACTGACTACACACAAGACAGTCTACACAAGTCCTGGGAAGAAACTACCCAGGACTGGGAAAAAAGAACCAAGTGAAAGGATTAGAGGAAAGACTGCCTGGCCCTCCCACAAGGTCAAGAACCGTGCCTGTTTCCATCAGCCAGAGGGAGAGCCTCATGATTTGTGGGGCACTGGCTAGTCAGAAAGGTCTGGCCTCAGTAGTGGGAATAATCAGTCCTAGCTGAGTGCTGCTCTCGTGTCAGCTAATGAATCTGAAAAGCAAGACCTGGAAAGTTCAAACTGTTTCCAAGTAATTTAACTGTGTCTCGGAAGAAAGTTTAAGAACATTTATAGAGCTATAAAAATATCCAGCACTCAACATGGTAAAATCCTGTTGAAGAGACCATAAAGTAATTATATCTTTTAGTGGAGTGGTTCATGATTAGAAAACAGCAATCTACTTGAAATTAACAACAACAAAAAAGAAAGCATTATTATGATGGAGATCAACAACAGAGTTAAATGCATAGGACTGGGGTGTGGGGGGCAGAGGAGACACCTCCACTGAGTGAGAGGGAAATGTGGTAAGAGTGTACTCTAGGATACCGCATGAGAAAAGGCTGTGGGATGTGAGAGGCCGCGGTGACTTCTGGTATCTGCCAGCTGACACGTAACTGAGGCATGGAGAATTCAAAGATCACAAATGCGAGATGAGTCTTGAGAGAGATGGGGACCCAGTCACAAAGGCTGTTGTATGCCTCGTTAAGAAATTTAGACATCATTTAAAGTGAATGGGGGCCGGGCGCGGTGGTTCATGCCTGTAATCCCAGCACTTTGGGAGGCTGAGGCAGGCGGGATCAGCTGAGGTCAGGAGTTCAAGACCAGCCTGGCCAACATGGTGAAACCCCATGTCTACTAAACATAAACAAAAATTAGCCGGGCATGGTATCGGGCACCTGTAATCCCAGCTACTCGGGAGGCTGAGGCAGAAGAATAGCTTGAACCAGGAGGCAGAGGTTGCAGTAAGCTGAGATCGCGCCATTGCTTTCCAGCCTAGGCGACAAGAGCGAAAACTCCGTGTCAAAAAAATAAAAAATAAAAAATAGGCCGGGCGCGGTGGCTCATGCCTGTAATCCCAGCACTTAGGGAGGCCGAGGTGGGCGGATCACAAGGTTAGGAGTTCGAGACGACCAGCCTGGCCAACATGATGAAACCCCGTCTCAACTAAAAATACAAAAATTAGCTGGGCATGGTGGTGCGCACCTGTAATCCCAGCTACTCAGGAGGCTGAGGCAGGAGAATCGCTGAAACTCAGGAGGCAGAGGTTGCAGTAAGCTGAGTGCAGTGAGCACTCCAGCCTGGGCAGCAGAGCAAGACTTCATCTCAAAATAAATAAATAAATAAATAAAATTAAAATAAAATTTAAAAATAAAAATAAATAAAGTGAATGAGGAGATACTCAAAGATTTTAGGCAGGAGAGAAACATGGTTAACATGATCATATTAGGTCTTGAAAGATTACTCTGGCATCAGTGGGGAAAACCGAATTGGGGAAGGACCTGATCGGAGGCAGGAAGAGCTGTTAGAAACATGTTGTGAAGATCGTATTTTCCAAAAACGGCCAGAACAGGCTTTCTAATCCCACACAATCCTCCAGAACCTCGCCACTGCCTTTCTCGAGGTAAACTCTAGGTCCCCTCCCCTTGAGCCTGGAGGTCTTGGTGAGCCATAGAGACCTCTGTGACTGCCTGGAGTAGGGGTGGACAGGAGAAGTGATGCTCTGTGACCTCCAAAGTCAGATCATAAAAGGAGATACAGCTCTGCCTGGTTCTCTTTCTTGGGACCTGCAGTTTTTAAGCCCTGAGCTGCCATGTGAGGAGTCTGGCCACCCCAAAGCCACCATGGAGGAGAGAGACTACACAGAGGCACAGAGGGAGGTCCCAGGTCCAAGAAGCCTCAGCTGCTCCAGCTCCCAGGCAATTTCGAGCCACCCCAGCTGATGCTGCATGGAACAGAAATGAGATCCCACTGTTCTGCCCAAGTATCAGATTCATGGGCTAAATAAATGATTGTTGTTTTAAGTCAGTAACTTTTGTGTTGGTTTCAATATGCAGAATAGATAACTGGGGAAAAGTTATAATAATATAGATTAGAAATGTGAAGCCTGAAACACAGTAACTCGAGAATGTCTGTTTAGGAGAGTAAAGGCCTCTTTGGAGGGAGTCATCTGAAACTGCCTTTTGCAGAGCACTTCACATAAGATTGGAAAACTATTAATTGCTCATATCTAAAAGTGAAGAGTACCACCACTGACTTGAAATGAGACAGTGGCAGAAGGAATGCACAGGAATGAAAAGGTTAAAAAATACCAAAGAGGCAAATTTAATAGCTCTGGTGACTGTCTAAATGTGGAGATAGATGGTGGAGGAGTGCCAAAGATGTCTCTGACTTGATTAGAGGATAGATAGTAAGACTATTTAAAAAAAAAAAAGGGAGTGGTGGGGAGGTTTGGGCAATGATGAATTTGTTTCTGGAATATTGGCTTTGTACCAGTGCAACATCTTAATAGAGAGGTCCATTAAGAGTTGGACACAGTAGAAATGAAGATCTGGAAGCAATTTGTTTCTTCATCCATAAAATTGGGCTAATATGGTTGTTGTGAGGATTAAATGAGATAGTGCCTTTGTACTAGGTTGAACAATGTCCTGCAAAAATCCTTGTCTATCTGAAACCTGTGAATGTGACCTTGTTTGGAAATAGGGTCTTTGCAGATGCAATCAAGTTAACATGAGATCATCACGAATTTGAGTGCTCCTTAATCCAACAACTAGTGTCTTTATAAGAAGAGGGAAAATTGGACACAGACACACAGGGATAACACCCTATGATGACGGAGGCAGAGAATACAGTGATGCAGCTACAAACCAGGGAATGTCAAGGATTGCCAATAAGCACGAGAAGCTAGGAAGCACTCATTCATGTTTGCCAGATACCATACTTGATTTGACTTAAACTTTTAAGCCATAGTGTGATTTGCAATAAGATAAATCCCCTGATAAGAAAGGGACAAACCCAAAACATCCAATAAGCAAGCACTAAAGTCAGTTCTTGGAGGAAGTCACTAGCCTAAGCAATTGCATTGAAGAGTTTCTTCCAGGAAAGAAATCTAAGTTGCATTCCAGAGCCACATCTGTGGCCCATGCTCATAATTGAGAATTACTCAGGGTTTGGAGCTGAATTCCCAGGGGGTAATGTAAGATGAACTAGAAACTCTTCCCCTGCCCCCTCCTTTTTTTCCCCCAGAATCAGAAGACCACAGTGTTTCAGGTCTCCAAGGCCCATATTAAAAGTGACAGAGTGTCTATTTAGAACAGTCTTTGGGGGAAAAAATGCAAATGGTACTCAGAATGTGCTTCTAAAAAGAATATAAGGAAGTCTCTCTGGCCCTTATTTTGATCCTCTGTGGCAGAACTACTAACAGCCTGGTTGTCTGAATTGGTCAGGTGGGCAGTCTGGAAATGAGTGTGGATTAGTCTGTGTGTTCATCTGGTGCCCGAGGAGGATAAGCTGTTTTTGCATGGCTACCCCCATCCCCATAGCTCCCCATCCTCATCTGGCTGCTGTATAGATATGTATGCCTTATTCATCACAGGGGTGAATCAGAAAATTTTTTTCCCATACTGCTAAAAGTAGCAAAACCAAACTTTCCTGTTGTGGGTTGCCAGTATATTTCCAAATGCCTTCCTTCAGGTTTCACTCATTTAAAAGGTGTGAAGTGTATACTGGGGTGTTTTTAAGTTCACCTTGCCTTCATCAGAAGATGTCAGTTAACCCTGAATCACAACTAGGAGAGAAAGTTTGACTCTAAAACAACAGATATGTAGCTGGGCATGGTAGCAGGTGCCTGCAATCCCAGCTACTTGGGAGGCTGAGGCAGGAGAATCTCTTGAACCCAGGAGACGGAGGTTGCGGTGAGCTGTGATTGCACTACTGCACTCCAGCCTGGACGACAGAGCAAAACTCCATCTCAAAAAATGGTAATAATAAATAAATAAATAAATAAATAATAAATAAATAAATAAAACAGGTATGTGGACTCCAAGATTTTTGAAACAATCATTATTCTAAGTAGTAAAAGTGCTGATTACAAATTATTCTAACCTCGTCTTTAAAGTCAGAGCCCTAAGGACTGCCAGGAGTAACGTGATGTCAGCCTTTGGATGCTTTTCGAAAGGCTCTAACTTGAACTTAAGAACAAACCCAGACAGACTGTCCCCCAAACAGTCTCAATGCATGATGTGTGACTGTGGGCTCAGATCAATAAGGTTTGGGGAATTCCTGGGGCCAACTACATTCTTTCCTGGAAACATGATTATTTCTTTAATCTGAGTCCTGTGAACATCATAGCTCAGAAGTTTTAGCTTGTTCCCAGAGGGGCTGATCTCTGCCGGTAAAGACAGCAGGTAGAGAAGCTAGGGGTCCTAAAGTCAAGAATATCTCTTCTGTGATTTCCACCAATTGGAGATTTAGTGGGACACCTCCCTTTTCTTTGTGAACAAACATGTTATAACAAAATTTAACTGAAAGCTTAATGGAAGATTCTATCCATTACTTTCTCCATTGAAGTGGAAGTGAACTCCCTTCATTTAGTAGGAAGACATCCTGTCCCAGCTCTGGAAATTGTGGCAATAATAATGGTAGCCAACAATTATTGAGTGATAGCCCATGCAGGTGCTGTTCTAGGCACCTTACTTGTAATGACTGATTTAACACTTACAATCATCCATGAGTTAGGTGTTTCGATTAGCTGCAATCCACAAATCCGGAAATGGATGCCAGAGATGTTCAGTAACTTGTACAAGGGCATGTAGGTACTAAGGGAGCAGAATCATGACTGGAAGCCAGGTACTCACCCTGGGGTCTCTACCCTTAATACATGGATCCCTCCACCCCTCAAGATCCCAGAGCACATCTAAGCACTCACAGCAGAATCAGTGACACCGCTGTGTTTGTAAAAGGAGAAGTTGAGCTTGCTGCTCAAGAATAGAAAATTGTGACTCAAGGAGATGGGAAATAAGGAAACGGGAAATTTTAAAAAGGAGAGGAAATATCAATCTGCTTTGTCCAAGATGGCTACTCTTTTTAAAAATGAAGGGTGTCCAGGTTCTTGGCATCTTAAACAAAGAATTGGATAAAACACACAAACAAAGCAAAGAAGGAATGAAGGGACTTATTGAAAATGAAAGTACACTCCACAGTGTGGGAGCGGGCCTGCGCATAGGGGCTCACAGGCCCCATTACAGAATTTTCGAGAGTTTAAATACCCGCTAGAGGATTCCACTGGTTACTTTGGGTACGCCCTACGTAAATGGAGAGGATGAAGTAAAGTTACAGTCATTTATGGTGTACACCCTACGGAGAGGATATTTCCTGTTACAGCTGAAGTGTGAATTGGCCTTATGTTCCCTGCCTCCAGACTCTATTTTCCTGCCTCACCCTCACATGCCTATTCTTCCTTTGGTTCCTTCTTTATCTTTGCTTCAGGTACAGATGGTCTAATGTTGTCTAAGCCTATCATTTTCATTGAGTTGTAAGGATAAAGAATGCAGCGTGTATACATATAGTCAATGAGAATCCTGTAGTTAAAATTTGGCCTTTCAAGGGTCTTAGTTACTTTTGAGAACAGAAGGGAGGCAAATGTAATTCCATTTTCTTCCTACATTAGCTCCCCGGGAGTGCTGTGGTCCCATTGATGGATCCATAAGGTCAACATTCCCTCCACCCCTCAAGATGCCAGAACACATCTAAGCATTTATGGTAGAATCAGTGATGCCACTTGCTTGCTTGGTTGATCCCTTCCTCAGACACACAGCCTGTGCTGTGATGGGTGTGGGTATTCACACCTGTCTCCAGCAGAGCTGAGGGACAGGAACTACGTTGGGCAGGAAGAATTCTTCCTCTTGAGTGGTGGGTTGACCTCAGCCACCAATGGGAGGAGAGAATCTGCTGTAAGATGAGGAAAGGTCAGGGTTCTGATCTGGCCTAAGATTCCTGAGAGATGATTTTTGATGTGATAATAAAATATTGAGCCTAAATCATGTTCCTAAATTTGTCACTTATAAATAAACACATGAGGTTCCTGGGCAAGACAGCCAAATAGGAACAGCTCCAGTCTGCAGCTCCCAGCAAGACCAACGCAGAAGATGGGTGATTTCTGAATTTCCAACTGAGGTACCCAGTTCATCTCATTGGGACTGGTTAGACAGTGAGTACAGCCCACGGAGGGTGAGCAGAAGCAGGGTGGGCTGTTGCTTCACCTGGGAAGTGCAAGGGGTTGGGGAACTCCCTCCCCTAGCCAAGGGAAGCCATGCTGTGAGGAATGGTGCACTCTGGCCCAGACAGTATGCTTTTTCATGGTCTTCACAACCCGCAGACTGGGAGATTCCTTCAGGTGCCTATGCCACCAGGGCCCTGGGTTTCAAGCACAAAACTGGAGGGCCATTTGGGCAGACAACACGCTAGCTGCAGATGTTTTTTTTTGTACTCCAGTGGTGCCTGGAACACCAGCGAGGCAGAGCCATTCACTCCCCTGGAAAGGGGGCTGAAGCCAGGGAGCCAAGTGGTCTTGCTCAGTGGGTCCCACCCCTAAGAATCCCTGCAAGCTAAGATCCACTAGCTTGAAATTCTTGCTGCCAACACAGCAGTCTGATGTTGACCTGGGATGCTCCAGCTTGGTGCAGGGAGGGGCGTCTGCCATTACTGAGGCCTGACTAGGTGGTTTTCCCCCTCACAGTGTAAACAAAGCCACTGGGAGGTTTGGACTGGGCAGAGCCCACCGCAGCACCACAAAGTTGCTGTTGCCAGATGCCTCTCTAGATTCTTCCTCTCTGGGCAGGGCATCTCTGAAAGAAAGGCAGCAGCCCCATTCAGGGGCTTATAGATAAAACTCTCATCTCCCTGGGACAGAGCACCTGGGGGAAGGAGCAGCTGTGGGTGCAGCTTCAGCAGACTTAAACATTCCTGCCTGACAGCTCTGAAGAGAGCAGCGATCTCCCAGCACAGTGCTCAAGCTCTGCTAAGGGACAGACTGCCTCCTCAAGTGGGTCCCTGACCCCCGAGGCTCCTGACTAGGAGATGCCTCCCAGCAGGGGTCGACAGACACCTTATACAGGAGAGCTTTGGCTGGCACCTGGCCAGGTGCCCCTCTGGGATAAAACTTCCAGAGGAAGGAGCAGGCAGCAATTTTTGCTATTCTGCAGCCTCTGCTGGTGATACCCAGGCAAACAGGATCTAGAGAGAACCCCCAGCAAACTCCAGCAGACCTGCAGAAGAGGGGCCTGCCTGCTAGAAGGAAAACCAACAAACAGAAAGCAATAGCATCAACATCACCAAAAAGGACAACCACACAAAAAACTCCAGCCGAAGGTCACCAACAGCAAAGATCAAAGGTAGGTAAATCCATGAAGATGAAGAAAAACCAGTGCAAAAAGCCTGAAAATTCCAAAAACCAGAATGCCTCTTATCCTTCAATGGATCACAACCCCTCGCGGGCAAGGGAATAAAACTGGACGGAGAATGAGTTTGACAAATTGACAGAAGTAGGCTTCAGAAGGTGGGTAATAACAAACTCTTCCGAGCTAAAGGAGCATGTTCTAACCCAATGCAAGGAAGCTAAGAACCTTGATAAAAAGTTAGAGGAGTTGCTAACTAGAATAACCAGTTTAGAGAAGAATATAAATGACCTGATGGAGCTGAAAAAGACAGCACGAGAACTTTGTGAAGCATACACAAGTATCAATACCCAAATCGATCAAGCAGAAGAAAGGGTATCAGAGATTAAGGGTCAACTTAATGAAATAAGGCATGAAGACAAGATTAGAGAAAAAAGAATGAAAAGGAACGAGCAAAGCCTCCAAGAAATACGGGACTATGTGAAAAGACCAAACTTAACGTTTGATTGGTGTACCTGAAAATGACAGAGAGAATGGAACCAAGTTGGTAACACACTTCAGAATATTATCCAGGAGAACGTCCCCAACCTAGCAAGACAGGCCAACATTCAAATTCAGGAAATACAGAGAACACCACAAAGATACTTCTCGAGAAGAGCAACCCCAAGGCACATAATCGTCAGATTCACCAAGGTTGAAATGAAGGAAAAAATATTAAGGGCAGCCAGAAAGAAAGGCTGGGTTACCCATAAAGGAAGCCCATCAGACTAACAGTGGCTCTCTCTGCAGAAACCTTACAAGCCAGTGAGGGTCAATATTCAACATTTTTAAAGAAAAGAATTTTCAGCCCAGAATTTCATATCCAGCCAAACTAAGCTTCATAAGTGAAGGAGAAATAAAATCCTTTACAGACAAGCAAATGCTAAGGGATTTTGTCACCACCAGCCATACAAGAGTTCCCAAAGGAAGCACTAAATATGGAAAGGAAAAACTGGTACCAACCACTGCAAAAACAAACCAAAATGCAAAGACCGTCAACACTATGAAGAAACTTCATCAACTAATGGGCAAAATAAACAGCTAGCATCATAATGACAGGATCAAATTCACATATAACAATAATAATCTTAAATTGTAAATAGGCTAAATGCCCCCAATTAAAAGGCACAGACTGGCAAATTGGATAAAGAGTCAAGACCCATCAGTGTGATGTATTCAGGAGACTCATCTCACATGCAAAGACACACATAGGCTCAAAATAAAGGGATGGAGGAAGATTTACCAAACAAATGGAAAGCAAAAAAAAAAAAAAAAAAAAAAAATAGCAGAGGTTGCAATCCTAATCTCTGATAAAACAGACTTTAAATCAACAAAGATCAAAAAAGACAAAGAAGGGCATTACATAATGGTAAAGGGATCAATGCAACAAGAAGAGCTAGCTATACTAAATATATATGCACCCAATACAGGAGCACCCAGATTCATAAACCAAGTTCTTAGAGACCTACAAAGAGACTTATACTCCCACACAATAATAGTGGGAGACTTTAACACTCCACTGCCAATATTAGACAGATCAACAAGACAGAAAATTAACCAGGATATTCAGGACTTGAACTCAGCTCTGGACCAAGCAGACCTAACAGACATCTACAGAACTCTACACCCCAAATCAACAGTGTATACATTCTTCTCAGCACCACATCACACTTATTCTAAAATTGAACACATAATTGAAAGTAAAACTCCTCAGCAAATAAAAAAGAATGGAAATCATAACAAACAGTCTCTCAGACCATAATGCAATCAACTTAGAACTCAGGATTAAGAAACTCACACAAAACTGCACAAGTACGTGGAAACTGAACAAGCTGCTCCTGAATGACTAGTGGGTAAATAATGAAATTAGGCAGAAATAAATAAGTCCTTTGAAACCAATGAAAACAAAGACACAATATATCAGAATCTCTGGGACACAGCTACAGCAGTGTTTAGAGGGAAATTTATAGCACTAAATGCCCACAGTAGAAAGCAGAAAATATCTAAAATTGACACCCTAACATCACAATTAAAAGAACTAGAGAAGGAAGAGCAAACAAATTCAAAAGCTAGCAGAAGACAAGAAATAACTAAGATCAGAGGAGAACTGAAGGAGATAGAGACACAAAAAAAAACCATAAAAAAATCAAGGAATCAAGGAACTGTTTTTTTTTGAAAAGATTAACAAAATAGATAGACCACTAGCCAGATTAATAAAGAAGAAAAGGGAGAAGAATCTAATTGACACAATAAAAAATGATAAGGGGGATATCCTCACTGATCCTACAGAAATACAAACTACCATCAGAGAATACTATAAACACCTCTACACAAATAAACTAAAAAATCAAGAAGAAATGGATAAATTCCTGGACACATACACCCTCCAAAGACTAAACCAGGAAGAAGTTGAATCCCTGAATAGACGAATAACACATTTTGAAATTGAGGCAATAATTGATAGCCTACCAACAAAAAAAAGCCCAGGACCGGATGGATTCACAGCCGAATTCTACCAGAGGTACAAAGAGGAGCTTGCACCATTCCTTCTGAAACTATTCCAAACAATAGAAAAAGAGAGACTCTGAAAAGGCCTTCAATAAAATTCAAAATCCCTTCATGCTAAAAACACTCAGTAAACTAGGTATTGATGGAACATACCTTAAAATAATAAGAGCTATTTATGACAAATCCACAGCCAATATCACACCGAATGGGCAAAAGCTGGAAGCATTCCCTTTGAAAATTGGCACAAGACAAGGATGCCCTCTCTCACCATTCCTGTTCAACATAGTATTGGAAGTTCTGGCCAGGGCAATCAGGAAAGAGAAAGAAATAAAGCGTATTCAAATAAGAAGAGAAGAAGTCAAATTTTCTCTGTTTGCAGATGACAGGATAATATATTTAGAAAACCCCATCATCTCAGCCCCAAAACTCCTTAAGCTGATAAGCAACTTCAGCAAAGTCTCAGGATACAAAATCAGTGTGCAAAAATCACAAGCTTTCCTATACACCAATAATACACAAACAGAGAGCCAAATCATGAGCAAACTCCCACTCACAATTGCTACAAAGAGAATAAAATACCTAGGAATACAACTTAGAAGGGACGTGAAGGACCTCTTCAAGGAGAACTACAAACCACTGCTCAAGGAAATAAGAGAGGACATAAACAAATGGAGAAACATTCCATGCTCATGGTAGGAAAAATCAATATCATGAAAACGGCCATATTGTCCAAAGTAATTTATAGATTCAATGCTCTTCACATCAAGCTACCATTGACTTTCTTCACAGAATTAGAAAAAAGTACTTTAAATTTCATATGAAACCAAAAAAGAGCCTGTATAGCCAAGACAATTCTAAGCAATAAGAACAAAGCTGGGGGCCGGGCACGGTGGCTCACGCCTGTAATCCCAGCACTTTGGGAGGCCGAGGCGGGTGGATCATGAGGTCAGGAGATCGAGACCATCCTGGCTAACAAGGTGAAACCCCATCTCTACTAAAAATACAAAAAAATTAGCCGGGCGCGGTGGCGGGCACCTGTAGTCCCAGCTACTCGGGAGGCTGAGGCAGGAGAATGGCGTGAACCCGGGAAGCGGAGCTTGCAGTGAGCCGAGATTGCGCCACTGCAGTCCACAGTCCGGCCTGGGCGACAGAGCGAGACTCCGTCTCAAAAAAAAAAAAAGAACAAAGCTGGAGGCATCATGCTACCTGACTTCAAACTATACTACAAGGCTACAGTAACCAAAACGGCATGGTACTAGTACCAAAACACCATGGTACTGGTACCAAAACAGATATATAGACCAATGGAACAGAACAGAGGCCTCAAAAATAACACCACACATCTACAACCATCTGATCTTTGACAAACCTCACAAAAACAAGAAATGGGGAAAGGATTCCCTATTTAATAAATGGTGTTAGGAAAACTGGCTAGCCATATGCAGAAAACTGAAACTGGACCCCTTTCTTACACCTTATACAAAAATTAACTCCAGATGGATTAAAGATTTAAACATAAAACCTAAAACCATAAAAACCCTAGAAGAAAACCTAGGCAATACCATTCAGGACATAGGCATGGGCAAAGACTTCATGACTAAAACACCAAAAGCAATGGTAACAAAAGCCAATGGGACCTAATTAAACTAAAGAGCTTCTGCACAGCAAAAGAAACTATCATCAGAGTGAACAGGCAACCTATAGAATGGGAGAAAAATTTTGCAATCTATCCATCTGACAAAGGGCTAATATCCAGAATCTACAAGAAACTTAAACAAATTTACAAGAAAAAAACAACCCCATCAAAAACTGGGCAAAGGATATGAACAGACACTTCTCAAAAGAAGACATTTATGTGGAAAAACAAAACATATGAAAAAAAGCTCATCATCACTGGTCATTAGAGAAATGCAAAGCAAAACCACAATGAGATACCATCTCATGCCAGTTAGAATGGTGATCATTAAAAAGTCAGGAAACAACAGATTCTGGAGAGGATGTGGAAAAATAGGAATCCTTTTACACTGTTGGTGGGAACATAAATTAGTTTAACCATTGTGGAACACAGTGTGGCGATTCCTCAAGGATCTAGAACTAGAAGTACCATTTGACCCAGCAATCCCATTACTGGGTATATACCCAAAGGATTATAAATCATTCTGCTGTAAAGACGCATGCACATATATGTTTATTGCAGCAATATTCACAATAGCAAAGACTTGGAACCAACCCAAATGCCCACCAATGTTAGACTGGATAAAGAAAATGTAGCACATATACACCATAGAATACTATGTAGCCACAAAAAAAGAATAAATTCATGTCCTTTGCTGGGACATGGATGAAGCTGGATACCATCATTCTCAGCAAACTAACACAGGAACAGAAAACCAAACAGCGCATGTTCTCACTCATAGGTGGGAGTTGAACAATGAGAATATATGGGCACAGGGAGGGAAGCAACACACACCGGGGCCTGTTGGGGGGTGGTGGGCAAGGGGAGGGATAGCATTAGGAGAAATACCTAATGTAAATGACGGGTTGATGGGTGCAGCAAAACACCATGGCACATGTATACCTATGTAACAAACCTGCACATTCTGCACATGTATTTCAGAACTTCAAGTATAATTTTTTAAAAAAGAAAAAATTATAAAAAAATAAACACATGAATGTAAAAATGTTCATTTGAGGTCCTAAAAATAAATCTGCATATGGTTTTGCTTATTCACCCAGATGTTGATCCAGCACAAAAATATTTTCTTTAAAAAGGAACGCAACTGCATTTTGGCATATGTGGTAGACTGAACGACGGCCCCCAAAGATGTCCACATCCAAGTCCCTGAAACCTGTGAATACGTTAACTTGCACAGGAAGACAAACTTTGCAGACGTGATTACATTAAGAATATTGAGATGGAAGGAAAAATTCCCCTAAATTATTCACATGGTCCCAGTGTAATCACAGGATCTTTTTAAGTGGAAGAGAAAAGCAGAGTAAAATACACAGAGGATGGCAGCCTGAGAAGGACTCAATCTGCTGTTGCTGCCTTTGAAGATGGATGAAGAGGGCCATCGGCCAAGGAACTCGGGAAGCTTCTAGAATCGGGGAAAGGCAGGGGAAAGGATTCTCCCCAACAGCCTCCAGAAGGAACACACCCCTGAGGAAACCTTAATTTTAGCCCAATGAAACTGATTTCAGACTTCTGACCTCAAGAACAATAGGATAATAAATTGTATTTTTAAGCTACTGGCTTTCTGAAACATTGTTATAGCCACCAGAGGGGAACTAATTTGGTATGATTCAGAGCTACACAGAATCCACAGTAGTCCCATAAATTTTAGAGTTTTTTCCTACCAATGTTATGAAATACAAAACAATTTCAGCTTGTCACTACAAACAATATTCTGTGGATACTAAAGCTAAACCACAGGAAGCGATGTCAGGGAAGAGCAACTAGAAAATTTATGACTTGGAGTCCTATACCCCATTCATTGTCAAGCTTAATTAATTATAAACTTGTTTTCACCCCAGTCTTCACCCTGACCAGTTACTGGTGTTTGTAGGTAAACAATCATAAATTTGTATTTTTCATTAAATTGCTTGAATTTCTGAGTCGTGGAGGGACGGGATTCAGCTAAGAATTTATGTATCAACACTTGTTATCAAGTTACAGGTGTTACTCATATTAACAAATAGAACTTTAATTTGTTGACGGTTCTCCTGGTCCACAGCTTGCCCCCAACTCATCACTTTCTAAGAGATATTTAGAAAGGCACAAAACAGAAACTTGACAGTGACTGCTCTGAAGCAAAGGAGCATTTTCCTGAGTGCTGCAGACCAGCTACAACAAAGAAAAGACGGCCAGACAAAGGCACAAAGCTTCCTGCGGCAGTGACAAGGCTTGAGGAGTGTGGGTTTTCAAAAAGGGAGGGAAAAAACAACAACAACAAAAAATAGAATGGGAAGCTCTGTGAGATCCTACAGTAAATTCCAGTTTATCCAGAATAATTGAAAGCAGGGAGATTAGCATAAGAATGTGGCAGAATACATGAATTGTCAGTTTGCAAAGTAGCAGAATAGAATAACATAGCCCTTAATATGAAAATGGTTCTAAGTTTAATTTAATCTCTTTGATGATTTGGAAGTCACCTCGGGATGCTACAATATTTCCTTTCTGTGATCATGAATATTAATCATCAGGACTTAGCACTCTAGGAAACAGTTTAAGAAATTCAAGCTTTCCTTTGCAGTCTTCTTAAGAGCCATGAGTGTCTGAGCATTTTGTAAGGAATGGGTGTCCTTACAATTATAGCCTGGAAACACTGTGGGCCTGTGAATGGACTGAGGTGCTTTACAGTGAAGAAAATGCCTCTGGGAGGCTGAGGCACCTTCCTTTTATTTATTTCATTTCATTTCATTTATTTATTTATTTTTCCAAAGGACATTGCCCCAAAGCACCTTCCTTTTAATGATCACTTTTTACATTCCTTAGCAAATGTGGTGGAGTGAAGTCAACAGGGGCTGGGTGGGGGTCAATTCATACCTTCTGCATATTCTCTGCAATTCTCTCTGTCTCTTTCACAAACTGGATTCCACAGAAAAGGGACAGTGTCCATTTTCCACCCTATACTATTTGTTCAGGGCTGAGTTCTTAGCAGGGAGTGTTGATTTCATCAGCCCACGAAGACTAAATGTTCCTCCCTGCCTCAGCGTCTGCATCTTCATCAGTACTGATCACAAAACCATTGACCAACAGCAGCCAGGACGACTGGGCAAAAGTGTTGAGCAGGAGCTAACATGGTGCTGTAAACCAAAAAATAAAATTCTAAGGCTCCCCCAATCATCTGAATGAACCACTCCTCTCAGCCAAGGGCATTCTAAAGTTAATCTGAAAAACATGCTCAGGCCATGATGGAAGGGGTGTTGGAGATGCCTCATTATACCCTCCTTCCTCTTGGAATTCAGGAAAAGCCCACCAGCATTAACAGCAACACAGATTTTACATCTGATAAGAAACATTTCCAAGCTATTTTCTCTGAAGCCTGCTACTTAAGAGTCTTCATCTGTATGGTAAAACCTTGGTCTCCACAACCACTAATCATAATCTAGACATTCCTTTTTATTGATCGTAACTCTTACAACCAATTGCCAATCAGAACATTTTTAAATGCACCTATGACCCGGGAGTCCCACTAGTCTAGTTTTTCAAGAGATGCCGACCAGTGTGGATTTTTATGTGCAGTCTCCCCACACTGTAATGCAGTTTAAACTGTTCAAACATGCAGGGTGGGCCAAATGAAGTGTCCTGGTGACTCACCAGTTTGCAACCTCTGCACCGTGCTATACTGTGCACCTTCCAATTCTTACTTGAGATACATGCCCTTCTTTTTTTAAAGGGCTCAGTCTACGTACCTGCACGATCTCTAGCATCTCTGCCTTGCTGATATAGCCATTTCCGTCCAGGTCGTACATGCTGAAGGCCCATTTCAGCTTCTGCTCCAGCTTCCCCCTCGAAGTTACACTCAAGGCGATGATGAATTCTCTAAAGTCTATTGTCCCATCTCCATTTGCATCGAAGGTGCGGAAGACATGCTCTGCAAATTTGGAAGCATCCCCATAAGGGAAAAAGTTCCCATATATTTTCTTAAACTCTTCCATTGACAAATGTCCACTGGGGCAGTCTCTCAAGAAGCCTTTATACCATTCCTGGATCTCATGCTCTGTAAAGTCTGTGCTTTCCAGCAAGTCCTGCATGACCTCCGGGCGCAGCTTGCTGTTCTGTTTCCCCATCCTGGCGGCAAGAATTCAGCTGCAGATAGAAAAGAAAACATATATAATTTGTAGAGCTGCTCTTTAGGGCTGCATTTTATAATTTGTAATTGTTCCTTTGGGAAGAAGAAAAAACAAACAAATAAACTCTATACGAGTCCAGTAACACTGTCTAGGTTTTGCAACACACTGGTCAGCCAAACAAAATAATAGAAAGATAGGCCAGTAGAGGATGCACAGCAGAATTATCACTGACCAGAAAATGAATACTTCTTTTATACAGAGCCATCCTGAAAGCAAAAGGTTCAGAGAGAGCGTGAGGTAGAGGGAAATGAGGGCAGGGAGAGAGGGAGAATTAATTGCTTAGTTAATTTTGACATCAATTTGCCAGAGGTTGAGCTTAAATTTAAGAAGGCTGGGGTTCTGATAGCTAATCCAAGTATTAGCAGGGAAAATTAAAGGAAAGGAGGAAGAGAGAGACCAAGGGAAAGAATTTAGCAGGTTTTATTGCTAGAATATTTCCAAGTAAAATGCTGCTTGGATACCTTCTGAATATTATAAACACAGACATAAAGACAGAAAATGGAAGCAAACCTAATACCACCAAACTCCAACATGCTAGTTCAGGGATTTAAACGCATGGAATAAATCACTGACAATGTTGGGTTTTGATAGTAAAGATGATGCTTCATAAAGTTATGTCATGATTTTGGCTTATAAAATAGGTCAAATGTTTCTCTTTAAAATACAAATAACTTTGCATTTTCTTATCATGGCAGTAGCACATAGTTATAGTAACATAGTAAAAGAGTGATACATAGGGAAAAAAAGCAGTATCACTTCAAATACTAACCCTGAGAGATAACAATTGCTAGCATGTTGATATGTGTTCTTCCAGACTTTTCGTATGTGTACTTAAATATGCTGTTAATATATGTTTCCATAACAAGAATGCACACCTTTTTGTTACCTATTTTTAAACTTAACATGGTGTGGAAAATAAAGGTAACTTTTACTAGGTGGGGAAATACCTGTAATTATTATTGGCCTTGGGGGAAAATGCCACTTTTATATTTAAAGCTACTCCCTTAAAGAATGATTTATTTTCCTGAGTATAGAAAGCACCATTTCTTCAAAACCAAACTGAAGTTATTTTCTCAATGTATAAAAAGTGCTTCTCATTTATAGTGCTTTTGCACTAGAGACAAACTGCCTCAACATTTGGCTCTCAATTACCAGTGTGTTTCTGGTTCTGTGGATGCAGAATAAGATGTGGCCCCTTTTCCCTAAGGGCACCTAGCTGTGTGTGCAGGGGATGGTGGTAACAGTGAGGGGACGATATGACAGATATGCTACAGAATAGAGAGTGGATTTGGTGAAAGTACCTGGAAAAATGCCCAACCCAAAGGGGGCATGGGTGCTCTCAGGGAAGCTTTCTTGGAGGAGGTGATATACGAGATTAGTTCCTAATTCCCAAGGTATATGATTGAAGTGTGGTCAAGATAAACCCCATCTCAAAAAAAAGTTCTGCACTTGTATTTTGCATTTTTCGTCTATTGGAAAAAAAAAACCTGAAAGCAAAGCTTAGAAAAATTACAGAATACCTGAAAGACAGCATATCCCCATTTTAATGATTGCCAATCTTCTTTGCGATTTCACGCATTCTGGGGTTTGTTTCTGTCTCCCTCCTGCTACACAGTCAGGCCCTTGAGGCAGAGTCTCCACTGGGGTTGCTTCGTCTTCCTAGAGCCCACCGCAAATGGCATTTGGTGAATGAATGAATGAAGGCATGACTGAGAAAAATGACTGATAGGAAGGTAACTACAAAGTGGAAACATGGAATAATTTTGGAAAAGGAGGCTCACTGCCAGAAGCACGGGGGCTTGGTTTTCAGAACGCTATTTTACACACTGAAAACTATCTGGTGGTTAAGACTTGAGCTTAGGATCTCTTATATTGAATTTAGTGAGGCCTGTCTGGTGGCCTCACTAAAAATAAACTTCTACGGGGTGGTGTTTGTATCTCACGCTACTCAAACTGCTTGCATAATACTCATGGTTCAGATAATGACCAGCAATCCTCATTCATTGCCAAGTTTATTGATTTTGTTTTCTGACTTCTGCACTGGAGGCAAAACCTGCCCTGCTCATATGCAGGTGTCCAAAGTGATGGGAGTATGGGGCACTTCACCTATGAGTATGGCCAACTGCTGTAGGAAGGAACTTACTTTTTGGGTTCCCCCTGCCTTTTTTTTTTTTTTTAAGACTCTGTCACTCAGGCTGCAATGTGCTGGTGCAATCATGGCCCACTGCAGCCTCAAACTCTTGAGTTTAAGCAATCCTCCTGCCTCAGCCTCCCAAATAGCTGGTATTACAGGTGTGTACCACCATGCCTGGCTAAATTTTTTATTTTTTGTAGAGATGGGGGTCTCACTTTGTTGCCTAGCCTGGTCTCAGACTCCTGGGCTCATGCCGTCTTCCAAATTGCTGGGATTGCAGGCATGAGCCACCACGCTTGGCCCAGAGTTCCCTCTTTAGGCAGAATCAAGCAAACACCATTTTATGCAAAAGCAAAATTCAACTGCAACTCAAATGGAGAACAAATGGAATTTATAAATTGAACAGTCTAATATCTTTCACTTCCCTCTGTGTCCTTTTTTTCCCCTGGAGATTAAAAAAACAGAGTTACAGAGGCTGGTTTGTATTAGAATTGTAAAGCTGTCATTTAGTTGCTAAGTTGGCAATTTGCCTGAGGCCAGAATTCAGAAACATCCGGTAATACATAATACCCGGCTTTCTAGAGCTCTGAGACATTTTATGGAATTTACAAGTAATTTCAAGTTTTCCTTTTGGGGAGTTCTTTAGAATATATCTCTTTGGTGTGGTTTTCAATCAAATCACCATTTTTACAGTTTGTGCAAATTGCTGCTTGCCTGGCCTTGGGGAAAAATGCCATTCTGATATTTAAATCTACTCTCTTAAAGAATGATTTATGTCTCCAATGTATAAAGCACTGTTTCTTCACAACCAAACTTAAGTGCCTTTCCCAGTGTTTAAAAAGTGCTTCAAATTTATTAGCTGCTTTTGCACTAGAAACAAATTGCCTCAACATTTTAGCTAAGTCTCCCACTGAGACTGATCTGTGTGCAGCTATTTTTTGGTAAACAGTAATTAAACCACATTTACAAATTCATCAGCACAGAAAGGCCATAACACAAACAAGTCAGAAAAGCATGGAATAAGTTATTGGGAAAACGAGTGTTCACAATTAAGCCTAGAATTCATCTACAAACACTTTACTAAGTATGAGGACTAAACTTGAGACACCATCTGGACTTGGTTAGATGGTACAACACAAATCTTAGGGGACATTTGACAGAGTTTCATTCCTTAGGTGGTGAGGAGGAAGACAGAGGGAAGCCTGACAATACCTTTTTCTTTGGGAAGACAGGAATTTCTGCCCGTTTGAGTCGAAGGGATGGGGCAGGATAACATTAGGGAAATGCTACAGTAATTGGCAGTTAAGAGAAAAACAGTTTGGAGACAAAAATTGCACCTTGGGTCAAATCGTTTTCATAACTCCAGTCAGTCATTAAAACATTTATTTTGTGCTAGTTGAACATAGGTATGACAGGCTGTCTTTTAATAATTTTTTCTCTATTAAGTTAATTGCAGTATTATTTCACCGTCGCCATTTACATTTACTTTTCAGGTATCAGAGACTTATTGCTTTAAGTAGCAAATTACCTAAATTATGAACACATATTTTCAAAACACAAAATTGAGTTCAAAATTACCAAGTGTATATATACTGTGCAGAAGATTAAAAAAACTGAATTAGCATATATTTCTTTTCTAAAGTTCCTATGAAGAACTTACACTCTCCTATACTATCAATCCATTCTGTATATTTAAAATAACATTTGTTTTTATTTAAATAGTCAAAAATATAATGGCTTACACTTTTGTAAGACTAACCAATAAAAAAAGGACTCCAATTTTAAACCAATCCCTGAAACCAAAGCATCAAATATTTTAATATTAGTTCAATATTTCTACATAGCACAATAAGGTTTTCGCAAACAGTAACTCAAAGTTTTGTCTTTATTTTTAATCACGGGAATGGCCTACAATTCAGATAAGCCCACAAATTCATACTATCTTATAAACAGCAGTAACATTAATATAAACAATGTTAATTCAGTTATCTTAGGGGCCTTACCATATCATTAACCTATTTACAGAACAAAAATGTTTCTATGAAAGCTAATATATCTTTTCATGTTTGTTTGTTGTTAAGTGTGCTACAACAGAAATAGAGGTAGAATCACATTTTTCTTAAGTAACACTCTATAAGCCAATTCTACACAATTAAGGCATTTTTGCAATCTAAAATAGTAATGCTAATACTGCTTCAGTAAACTAGATTTACTAATTTAAGAATCCTAAGAAATTACGTATATGTGACTTTCAGACATCCATGTTAAACTACCAACTAATCAAGTTGTGGAACTGTTGTTCTCTGCTCACACTTAACATTCTTGAATGACCATAAAGTGGATAATGCTAAAATTTTTTCTAATCACAGTTTTTCTTATAAGTGACTATATGATATTTTACCATTTCTAAGAGGAAAAAATGAGACCTACTTGGCAGTCTGCATAGGCTGGTGGAAACTATAATCAGAGTGTAAAGACAAATCTTCAAGTGACTCAAAAAAGTTTGTAGATAACTCAGAATATAATCTGTTGGGAACTATGACACGTTGGCCTCCTGGATGTCCTGTTGGATGAACACTGGAAAAACACTAGAATAAAAATGCTTGGCTTCAAAGCCTGGCTCTATTGTTTACTAGCTGGTGGGTAATTCACTTAACATTTTGGTTCTCCTCAGTTTTCTCATCTGTAAAATGAGTTTAATGATATGAGTTCATCTCTTATTGATTCCATGTGAGAGTTAAATGAGACAGTCAAACATGTAAAGCTCTGGCATTCAGTCAGGGCCAGACGCTGCCATAAATGAAAATGATGCCTTATCCTAGATGATCTTTCATGTGACATCCTATTAAACTTTCACAACCTGTGTGATAGGCAGGCAGGCTTTCTCTATCTCATAAGCAAATAAATGAAAACTCAGAGAGGCTAGGTGACTTATTCCAGGTGACACTGCTTGTGAATGAGAGAGCCTAACTGTGAGTGTGGGCTGCTGCTTGGTTGCCCAGTGGTTTTAGCCCTATGCTCTACTAGCCCCAAGGACAAAGCATTTATAGAGATTAAGACAACAATCCATAAAAAGTCAGAAAGAAGTAGTGAAGAAGAAGGAGACAACCTCCTTTTGGAACTCATTTATTCCACAAACAGGCACTAAGTGTCTACTGGGGGTGAGGCACTCCTAGGCACTGCGGAATTCAGCAGGGAGCAAACAGGCAAAGCCCCTGTTTTCATGGTGATGTGGACAGGAGGCAGGGAAATACTGGGTAGAAGAGGGTGGTTCCCTGGCAAAGGCCCCACCCTCAAGCCTGGAAACCATGACCCTAAATAAGAACAGTTATCCCTGTTTTCCCACCCAAATGTTACATTTTTGGCCTGCACTGCTGCCCATCCTGTGCCTATATAAACCCCAGATCTCAGCTGGCAGAGAGACAAGCGGCTGAACATCAAGGGAGAAGAAGCAACTGAGCATCACAGACTGTGGATAGACATGGCTTAACTTCAGACAGCATGACTTCAGAGAGAAGCCTGGCCAGAGATGGTGGGCTCCGAGGAAAGATCACCTTCTTCCTGCACCATCCCCTTTCCAGCTTCCCTTCTGGTGAGAGCTGCTTCTACTGCTTAATAAAATCCTCCACATTTATCACCTTTCAAACTGTTCATGTGACCTGATTCTTCCTGGATGCCAAACAAGAACCCGGGTACCAAGAGGGCAGGGTGTAAAAGGCTGTCACCCTGACTCTCCACTGAGCTGGTTAACACTTAGCCATCCGCAGACAGCAACTGCTAAAAGAGCATTAATTGTAACACACCACTAGACACTGCTGTGGGGCTGGAGCCCAAAAAGGCTCACTTCGGCCCCACACCTTCTTGCCTGCATGCTCCCCATCTCACAAGGGGTTTGAGCATGGCGTCCAAGTAAGCAAGCCACACCCCTGTTGCAAGTCCCACAGAGGGGTCAAGGGAGCTCTCCCATCTCCGTGGCACTTATAGTCTAGTGGCAATAGACACACAATACATAAAATAAGTAAGTGAAATGATAGATGAAGACGTGCCATGGAGAAGAGTAAAGAAGAGAAGGGAGTTGTGGAATGCCTGCAGTGGGTGAACGGGTGTTGGAATTTTGAATAAGAAGCCAGGGAAAGCCCCACTGAGAAAGCAACACTGGGAAAAGACCAGAGGAAGTGAGGCAGGTCGCCATGGAGATAACTGTAAGAAGACTCTTTGAAGAGCAAGAACAGTGAATGAGAGGGGTCTAAGCTGGGAGGCAAGCCTAGCAAGATCCAGGATGTGGCTGGAGTGGAGGGCATGAGGTGGGGGAGGAGATGACATCAGCACCATCATGAGGGACCAGGTGATGTGGAACCTGGAGGTGACTGTAGGGACTTTCTGCTTTCCCTCTGACTGAAGCTGAGCCAGTGTAGGGTTTTTATCAGAAATGTGATAAAGCTGATTTATATCCTAACAGGACCACTCTGGCTGCTGTGTTGAGAGTAAGCTAAAGAGGAAAAGGGCAGAGCCAGGAAGACCAGGTATGATGTCCATGCAATGATCCAGGCAAGAGGTGATGGTGGTGGGAACCAGGGTGGTATCAGCAGAAAAGGGGCACCTGGTTGTATTCCAGGTACTGCTTGAAGGTAGAGCCAACAGGCTTGGTTGATGGTTCATATGTAAGATGTGAAAAAAGAGAACAGTGCAGCATAGCTCCAAGGTTTGGGCCTAAGAAACTATAAGGATAAAGTTAACATTTATAGAAATGGGGAAAATGCAAGAGAAGCAGGGCTTTTGGATGAGGCATGAATATCATTATTTAGTTGTATACGTGTTAACCCTGAGATGCCTATTACACATCAGTTGGAGATGTCAAGCAGGCAGTTGAATATATAAGTCTATAGGTAGAGGAAGAGGTTCAGTGAGGCGATATAAATTTGGTAGTCATCAGTATATAGATAGAGTTTACAGCCAAGGACTGAATGAGTGCACCAGGGACGTGAATGTGGATAGAAAAGCACCAAGGAAGTGAATGTGTATACTGTTTCTACGCAAACACCAGATGACAGCACCAAAGAAGTCAATGTAGATCAAGGACTGAGCCTTTGATCACATGGCATTTAGGCTCTGGGAGATGAGAAGGAGCCAGTAAAGGAGAACAAAAAGGAATGACCAGCGAAGTAGGCAGACAAACACAAGGAAGCTAAAACCATGCCCTCTTCAGTGTTGTGTCCTTCATGCCCAGTTCAAGACTGGACATTGAAAGGTCTCAATATAACGAAACAAGTAAGAATTGGAGCTCTTGGTATTTTCTCTGAATCTTGTGCTCTCTTCAACCCCAACTTTCCTCATCTCAGTGAAGAATACCATCTTCCACCCAACTGCTCTCTCTAAAGCACTGAGGCTCATCTGAGATTTCTTCCATTTTTGTTCCATCAGCAAGCTGTTGGATCTGCATCCAAAATTTGTCTTAAATCCATTCACTTCTTGCCGTTTCCATTGTCAGCACCTCAATACAAACTATTATCTCCTACCTGATCTTCTACAACAACTCTCCTCACTGAAATCTTACTTTTCACTCATCTTCCCACTCCCTACTCCTTGCCCCAATCTATTCTCTACTCAGCCTCCAAGAGTAATGAGTAACCTTTTATAAAATATTTTCATTTTTTAGAGACAGGGTCTCGCAATGTCACCCAAGCTGGAGTGCAGTACCTATTCACAGGCAAGATTGTGGTGCACTAGCATGCTACAACCTCAATTTCTGGATCAAGGAATTCTCCTGCCTCAGCCTCCTGTGTAGCTGCGACTACAGATGCACATTACCATGCCCAGCATAAAAGTATCTTCTTAAAAACACTTATCAGACTATGTCAATCCTTTGCTTAAAGTTCTATGAAGTCTTCTCATGCACTTAGAATAAAGTTAGAATTCCCTCTTTGGCTCACAAGGCTCTGCGTGAGCTGGCCCTGGGCCATCTCTGACTTACCTCTCAGTTCTCTCTCTGCTCCAGGCACCTTGGCCTCCTGGATGTCCCATCTTTTACCTCTTAAGGGCCTTTGCTTTGATCCTGCATTTCCTTATGTGACTGCGCACCCTTTTCTATTAGACACTGGCATCCTGTTATTCAGTAGTTTACACTGGGAAGGGGAATGTGAAATCTCTCAACTTATTTTGGGTCACACCCAGTCTCCTAGAGATCAAAAAATAAATCTGGAGTTGATATTGACTGCAGATGAAAAAGGTAAAATATATCCAAAGAGAAGACACCAAATCACCAACAAGGAACTACTATCAGGAATCTAAAATAAGAACTTAAGTTTCCACTAAAAAAGAAAAATCAAGGAATGACAACTAAAAATGACGCCACAGCAAGAGGAAATGGTGGCTAGTGAACAGGCTTTCAGGATGAGCACGTTCCCTTCTTTACTTTGTGTATTCGTGGAGGGAAAGATTTGCAGCCTTGCATTTCTGCGATTCCTCATAAGGTTCTGAAAGCTCCATGACTTAATTCCTCAGAGCCCAGAGTTAGATTTTCCAGGGCAAAGGACACAACTCATCCTGGACAGCCTGATTAACTTCAGAGGAAAAGCCTCAATGCAAACTGCACCAAAGTCTCCTAAAATGGAATTTGCAAGAATCGAGCAGCTAAAGACAAGCTTGGCTGCAACAAGGAACCCAGTAACCACAGGGATTCCTGAAAGAGACCAGTTTCATTAAAATGTTTGCCTAGGGCGGGGCGTAGCTCATGCCTGTAATCCCAGCACTTTGGGAGGCCGAGGTGGGCAGATCACGAGGTCAGAAGATCGAGACCATCCTGGCTAACACGGTGAAACCCCATCTCTACTAAAAATACAAAAAATTAGCCAGGCATAGTGGCACCTGCCTGTAGTCCCAGCTCCTTGGGAGTCTGAGGCAGGAGAATCACGTGAACCAGGGAGTTGGAGGTTGCAGTGAGTCAAAATTGCACCACTGCACTCCAGTCTGGGCAACAGAGCGAGACTCCATCTCAAAACAAAACAAAACAAACAAACAAACAAAAAGCACGCAAAAAAAGTTTGCCTAATTTGGGGCATGTAATCTTGTCCACTAACAGTTGCTTTGAATTTTCAGCCAATGGAATGTCTAGATTGTGGAGACACAACTTAAAAAATGTTCTTAAAATATAAGGAAGAGAACTATCAAAGTTGTGGATGAAGAGGAGTATGTGTTCATTTACCATGACTTAGACATCAGATATTTTAGCTGCCTAAATTTTACTGGTGACTAAAATCCCACAAATTCATTTCTAGGTCAATTGTCTTTGATTTTCACTAAGGAAAAATAAGGAAGACTAAATAAAAACCCGAAGAGCACATTGCTTCAGAATTTTTCTTCAATGGAACCAGTGGGAATTTGAAAGAAGACTATACATACAAACTTCATATTTATATATAACAGGCAAATTAGGAAATAAAACAGAGTAGTACATCAGGAAAAAATTAAAAGAGGGAGAATTAAAGAGTTATATAATAATCTCACTAACTTAGTCTTTATCTTGACCAAAGAATATTCTCTCCTCTCGCCTCTGCTAAGATGAGCCAGTGTAAGGAAATGAGACCTATGCCCTATTTGGATCACAAAATGGCTTTGCTGGAATTGCCCGAAATATGTTACAAAGCCATTGCCCCCAGTGAGGCCTCTTCCCAGCGAGGCTGGGCATGTGAGCTCATATCTCCTATGTGAAGGGTCATGGCCTGGGGTTCCCAGCCACACACCTTGTTCTCATAACCCCTGCAGAGACGTGACTGGGTTTGAGATGAGAACTGAAATGGTACAAAAAAATCTGGTGAGCAAGAGGCTCACTAGAAACAAATGTACTCTTCTTTTGCATTCCCTACAGCATGAGATAAAGCCCAGGAAATCATCTTGTCTTCTCCAGGTGAGCAGAGGTTATAGTCTCCAAAATATCAGAGACCTTGCTCTACTAGAGTGTGCATTTCAGGCTGAAAGGGGCCTGGCCTGGGGGTTTTTCCAAGTTTTATTTTTCATAAAGTGCAACCACATTACTGCCAATAAAACATACTTCTGATAAGAATCTGAGCAGAACCTCGTCTAACAGCAACACTTTCCCCCTCCTCCAAATATGGAAATACCATTTTTTGTTTTGCGGATTACCAAAGTATTACATCATTATTGAAAAAATCTAAGTAATAAAGGGATGTAAAAATGAGAAAGTGAATATCTTCATTCCGATCCGATAGCACTCCATAAAAAGACACTATTAACAGTTTAAATCATACGTATCCCCTTAGACATTTAAATGCATATGTATGAAACCCATATACTCTAACTATAAACAGGATCATTCTATATTATTCTTTAACCTTCATTTTCACTTAAAAGAATATTGGCTGGGTCCGGTGGCTCATGCCTCTAATCTCAGCACTTTGGGAGGCCGAGGCGGGCAGATCACAAGGTCAGGAGTTCGAGACCAGCCTGGCCAACATGGTGAAACCCCGTCTCTACTAAAAATACAAAAATTAGCCAGGGGTGGTGGTGCAAGCCTGTAGTCCCAGCTACTCGGGAGGCTGAGGCAGGAGAATCACTTGAATCTGGGAGGTGGAGGTTGTGGTGATCCAAGATCGTGCCACTGCACTCCAGCCTGGGCAACAGAGCGAGACTCCATCTCAAAAAAAAAAAAAAAAAAAAAAAAAGAATACTGTGGAAATTCCTCCATGTTATACATATAGATGTAGCTCATTTACCCTTTCAAATTGCTAAATTTTCATTTATCGATGGATTCAACAAATAATCAATTGAGCACTGCCCTTGTGCTAAGCATCGAATTAGGTAACAGACACAATGGTTCATAATGTGAGGCTTACAGCCCTTTGCTATTCCATTATGTGGAATTTAGTTAACTAATTCCCCTTGATAGACATTTAGGTTGACTCCACTTTTCTTTTATTCACTTGGTCATGGTTCCCGTATCCCTTAGGTAGAATTTATTGCAAAGAGGTTCTTCATGTCATTGGCAAGAACTTATTCTTGTACATCTATTGCCACTAGACTGTAAGCACCTGTTTTAATGGTGCTTATGGTGTAGTGGCAATAGACATACAATAAACAAAATAAATAATTGAAATGGTAGATGAAGATGTGCCACGGAGAAGAGTAAAGAAGAGAAGGGAGTTGCAGAATACCAGCAGTCAGTGAACGGGTGTCGGAGTTTTGAATCAGAAGCCAGGGAAGACCCCACTGAGAAAGCAACATTGGAAAAAGACCAGAGGAAGTGAGGCAGGGCACCATGGAGGTAAGTGTGAGAAGACTCTTTCAGGAGTGAAAACAGTGAACGAGAGGGCTCTAAACTGGAGGCGTGCCTAGCGTGATCCAGGATGTGGCTAGAGTGGAGGGTATGAGGGTATGAAGGAGATGACGTCAGCACCATCATGCGGGGCCAGGTGATGTGGGGCCTGGACATGACTATAGGGACTTTCAGCTTTCACTCTGGACTGAGGCTGAGCCAGTGCAGGGTTTTTAGCAGATAGAGCTGATTTATATTGGCAAGAACTTATTCTTTCCAATGACATGAAGAACCTCTTTGCAGTAAATTCTCCAATAAGCCAGTTTCCTCTAAAGCCGTTATAACCCAACTACACATCTTGCAAGCTTACATACCCCCTAAGATGAGAATTAAATTGGAAATGGAGTTGGAATTCCACGCCTCACTCCCCGCCCCCCATGGTCTGCCTGAGTTATAGTGACAGACATGTGAGTTTGGCATTTGCTATTCGAGAGCTTAGGAGGGCACACCCACCCTGCTCTTAAAAGAGTGCACTGTTGTAACCATGTAAATACGCTCTCTCCTGTTTCAACCTAAAGACATATTTTACCTCAACAGCACCCTACATCTTCTATTGCTTGAAATTCAACTCCTGATGGCATCTCCTTTCCCAGCTACTCCAAGTCCATCTAATGTCTAAGTCTGCCTCCACTCCCTCCCAGGTTGCCAGCAATTGGAGGGGTACTTTCACTGCATGCTTAAAGGGCCCATGAGAAAGTGGACAGAGGCCTTACTAAATGGTCACATTCCAGGCCTACAGAAACTCCAAGGCTGTCCCAAACAAAGAAACTGTGGGAGTGTCTGAAGTCAAAGGCTTCAGATGAAGTCCACATGTCTCTTCACCATCAGACCACCTGGCCGTCAGACCATTGCAACAGAGCTGCCTGTTTTGGCTGCCTTGGGAGCCAGATGCTGGACCAGAGCAGGCTGCATCCAGGGAAGAGGAGGGTGCTCTGGGGCCTCAACAGCCCCTCAAGGCTGCCATAGGTTAAAACCTTACTCTGGGAAACTTCTGAGGAATTCCTTTTGCAATAAATGTCCGCTTAACTAGGGTACTAAATATTATCTTACTTAAAACTCATTATTACTACTTTGGGTTCTGATAAAACCATAAAACAAAACAGTCGGCCCTCATGGACTGGGGAGGCAAATAAATCCATCATGGTGATCCAGGGCTCATCACTTAACTTAGCAGAGGAGGTATAGGAGGAGCTCAAGTCCCCATTTTTAGATATCCTCTAGAGGCCACAAATTCATTCGGTAAATTGACTCAAGACCCTCCATAGACTCTAAGAATAGTTCATAATTTTTTTATTTATTTGGCACACATGTGTTTAACATCTACAGCTTCCTGGTTTAGAAAGAATCTTTTTGTAAAAATAGTATCCTACATAGGACAGGGAAATAACAGGAATCTGAGATTCTGGTTGCAATTCAGAGTATTTCTTTTTCTTTGCTTTTTTTTTTTTTTTTTTTTTTTTTTTTTTTGAGACAGGGTCTTGCTCTGTCTCCCAGACTGGAGTGCAGTGGCACGATCTCAGCTCACTGCAACCTCTGCCTCCCAGGTTCAAGCAATTCTTGTGGCTCAGCCTCTGGAGTAGCTGAGACTTCAGGCATACGCCGCCACACCCGGCTAATTTTTGTATTTTCAGTAGAGACGGGTTTTTGGCATGTTGACCAGGTTGGTCTCAAACTCCTGGCCTCAAGTGATCTGCCTGCTCCAGCCTCTCAAAGTGCTGGGATTACAGCCATGAGCCACCATGCCCAGTCTGGAGCATTTTCAATAATATTTTATCCTCATGATTTCACTGTAGAATTGATGTGAGATATGCTATATCTTGGTTTTTCTCCAAGGATAAGGGGTGTAGAGAAGCTAACTGCCATGATAAATTCATGCAACTCACGGTCCCAGGGGTGTAGAACCAGAACCATCCTCTTCACCCTCACCCCTTCCATGTCTCTGGCTGGATCACTTTCAGGGTTTCAGTGGCTGCTTCTGTTGGAAGGTACTATCCTGGCCAACATGGCTAAAAGTATTAATGTTTGTCTATCAAACTTACGAAAATATTAACGTTTATTCATCAAACATATGTACAAGTGAGAATCCCATTAATTGGTGAACAGAAAGAGAATATGCAATAATTTCTTAACCTCTTGCATCTTTTGCTCCCCCCAGCAAGGTGTGTAGAAAGAGAATTGGACTTGGTAGCAGAACAACTCCACTGAAGTTCTAAATATGGTGCTGTGTTATGTGACCTTGGGCAAGTCCTTGAACATCTCTTGGTCTCATTTGCTCTGCAGTAAAATAGGCACAATAGCACCCTTTCCATAGGGCTGTTTTGGAGGACCAAGTGAGAAAGGGGGGAAAATTCATTTTTCCCAATGAATAGGGAAAAGGTCAGCATCATGGCCGGCATCTAGCAGGTGCTCGCTAAACATGGACTATTCATCTGAATGAGATAAAGGTTCAGTTTGGTTGGGTTGTTTACAACGATGAGCCCTCCAGAGTTGGGGACATTCTCCCCATTGTTTTACTTCCACAGAGAACTAGAAAGAAAAAGAGCATGAAAGTGATAGATGCAAGAAAGAACGAGAGAACCACTGTTGGCTTCCAGCCCGACTCCCCTCCTCAGATTGCTAGCCAGGGGTGAAAGACATCTGTGGATGTGCACCCAGAGTGGACTGCCAGACCCCCACTGAGGGTTTTCCTGCATGGAAATCCTTATTCTAACCTGAAATTAAGCAAAGACCCATTAGAGAAGCAGTTGAAGGTGAGCTGAAGGCTGCTTTTTGTTTTGTTTTGTTGTCTTTTTTCCTGGGGCTGAGGAGGCTGTGGCTCTGTATACAGATCCCACGAGCCCCGCTTGAGTGTCACTCATCAGTCACAGCAACCGTGTGATGCTTGGCTGTGTTGATGGCCTTCTCCAGGAGGAGCCCCAGGGCTCTCTTATGTTAGCAGTGCCCCAGGAGCAGGGAGGAGTTGCTTGGATCACTGCCTCTAGTTGGTCTTGTGACCTCTGCCTCTGCTCCATCAGATCTGTTCTTCACTCGGCAGCCATTCTCAGGACCTGAAACGCCCTCCTTTCCAACTCAACCTCTCCCATTTTCTAAACGTTCTCATTGCCCTAATTCCTACACACTCACCCTGCAGATCTCACTGAACATGCCCTCCTTGGGGAGGCCTTCTCTGACCACCCGGAACATGACTTGCTCCAATCACATCTTGTGCTTAGGAAAAGCATTTACTACAATTGGAATTATTTGCACAGTTATATGCTTAAAATCTACATCTCCTGCCAGATGCTAAACTCCACTGTAGGGGGATTCTGTCTTGTTTCATATTGTATCCCTGGCACCTAACGCCATTCCTGACAGATGCTTAATAAGCATTTATTGTCATTGACAAATTGACAATTTGTTGCCATTGACGAGCATTTTATTTTGCTGTGGCGCCAGCATCCCACCTTCAGGCTTTTTGCTCTTCTGGATAAATGCAGGCACCTCTTCCTTGTTGGACACAGCTCTAGTTGCAAGGGATATATTCCCTAAATGACCCAGGCCATTCATTCAAGGAACTCCTGCTGCAGGAATCAATGCTTTGTGGTAAAAACCACACCACATTTCTTCAATTACCAGGCTAATAAATAAGGCAACAACAACAACAACCCACAGTGTTTTCTAACTCCATTCTGAATCTCAGTAAAGAAATCTGTGTCATTACCATGATGTTCCTTAAGCAGAATCTGCATTGATTAGATTATCTGCATTGTGAGTTTGCTCTGAATGGGTCCAAAGCAGCAAGAAAATACTGATTTTGGATAAAAGAGGACGTAGAACAACTGTTGCAGATTAGAAATTAGGAGGTGCCCCAAAAAGCCATTGAAGGAAGGGAAGAAGAACAAGAGGAAGGAAAACAAAAGGAAGGAAGCAAGGAAGGGAGAAAAGGTAGATGGGAGGATGGATGTTGGGGTGGAAAGCAGGATAAAATGATAGATTGAAGGGAGGATAGGAAGTAACAAAGACTGAGGAAAACATAAATCAGGTAATAAACAAAACCAATTAGTTATGTCTGTGATTACCAGCACAGGGAGCCGATCTATTAAACTGACAAGAGAGAAAAGAGCATGGAAAGTTATAAGCAACCAGTCCTCTGGCTAACCTTGCCAGCTGTATAAGAATCTGTATTAAAGGAAGCTTTGCTCCTACCACTTTACCAAGCCCGTAGAAAAAGCAGCACCCAACAGCATCCTCGGGACAAAGATGGGTGTGTCCTGAGATGGTGGCAGGAAGGTGCTACCAAAAGACAAATGTTCCACCATCCTCTTCTCTTCCCCAGCCTCCCCTCTCAGGTCTGCAGGGCTTTTAAGGGCTCATTAAAGTTGTCATATAAAAATGCAGGATATCCAGTTAAATTTGAACTTCAGATAAACAATGAATACTTTTTTAAGTATGTCCCAAATGTTGATGGGCATACTTACACAAAAAATCTGTGGTTTATCTGAAGTTAAAATTTAACTGAACATCCCGCATTTTTATTTGCTAACTCTAGTAATCCACATCACTGAGTATATTATCCCCTCCTTCAGATTCCTTTGTGTTCATGGCTGAAAGAAGGCCATGTGTTTATATTTCCACAGTCTAAGGATTCCATTTGCATCAGGATTATATTGATCTACGCTGTGGCCAGCGGAGGCTAATATTATGTCTGAGGTGAGGAGTGAGGCTCCTTCTTCTTCCTTCTGAGTCACCGTTGATTCTCACTTCCATCCAATCCTGTTCAAACATCAGGCCTCTTGTAATAAAAAGTTTGACTCAATTTTTTGATGCTTGACTGCTCACAGCTTTTGGACATCACCCGTTCCTCTTCCTCCTTGTGCCCTACACATCTGGGCTAGCTGATAAGAAAAGGTGCTCCTTCCTCGACACCAGCGGGAGACTCAAACCAGGCAAGCCCCCGTTCCTATGCAGGAGCCCTCATTCTGTATGTACCCCCTAATGGCAATAAAAACCCCGAGCTGTCTCTTTTCCTCTTCTCTCAAGCCATCTTGGGACTAGTTTGGTAGGCTTGTCCTGCTCTGCTGAGAAGCTCCCATTATGTAAGTAGAAAACCTGTTCGTATCCCTTTAGTGTATGTATAGCATCATCAATCTTGATATCTGAACTAAATTTTGGATAGTGGTCCATTCTGTCTAAAGAGTGGTCACAACACCTCTCAAAGTCTTTCCCTAGTTTATTCATGTCTCAGCAACCACACTGCAGGGACAGGAAAGGAACAGAATTCCTATTTGTGTTCCTACTGCATGCCAATTACACTGCTAAAAAGTATATATATTCCCTATTTATACAGCAGGTGTGGAGATGCCCTAACTATACCTGCTGGTGTTTCCACATCATCCTGGAGGCTCAGAGTGTTGTCTTAAGGGCACAGAGTTAAACCTGGCCATGTCCGACAAAAACACCACTTTCCAGGCCCAGCCAATAGGATACCCCGTGGTGAGTGGAAATGGTAGCTATGGCTCAGAGTTCAGGGAGTAAAGAGACTCCAAAGAGGTAAGAACCTCTGGGGTTTTCAAGGCCCATCAATCACTAAACAGACCAAACCAAGTGGGGTCTGGGCGGAATAAGAACAGACTCAGAGAAGCCCCACAGCAAATGGCCATCCAACTCTGGAAAGGTCTTAGTGCTGTTGAGGGCAACTTGTCACCCATTCCCAGGCTCTGGCTGGACAAGAATTATATTTTCAGAACAAATTGGATGCCACTGAGAAGTAACAAATACAGCATATTGACTGATTGAGTGCATTAATTCTTTCTTACCCAGGGGAAGAAATGATTCTCAGTTGTTTTATTGCTGTGTTTAAAATCAGCTTTTCACAAGAATGTAAGAGAGGTGAGAAAGAGGAATAAACTAATTTTTAAAAAACACAAAACCACCTTTATTTGTCATAAGGAAAAGAAATACAGCCACAAGGAAATCCTTGTCTCTCAACAGTTCTTTTTTTTTTAGACAGGGTCTCACTCTGTCACCCAGGCTGGAGTGCAGTGGCGCCATCGTGGCTCACCAGTGTCACCTCCTGAGTAGCTGGGACAACTGGCATGCACCACCACACCTGACTATAATTTTCTTCTACTTTGTGTAGAGACAGGGTCTATGTTGCCCATGCTGCTCTCAACTTCATTTCCTGTCACTGCTACCATTTCTTAATCCAAGCCTTCACTGTCTTCACTGTCTCCCATCTGAACTCAAAAATATTAACTGCTCAGCCTCTTTAAGGCTCCCCACCTGTTCAAGTCATGTCCTTTCTCAAAAATCTTCCACGGTTCCCTACTGATGACAGATTAAATGCCAAACCCCATAGCCTCGTACTCAGGGCCTCTCAAGGCCGCACCCCAACCTGATTGGAGTCACCAAACTCCTCACCCTAGCTTGACCTTGACAAGTGTTTTTATTGCCTCTCCAGCCCTATAAAGGAAGCTCGGAGGAGAATAAAAACAAAACATTTTGTAAACATGGATGTGTTTCCCAAAAGTTAACATTAAAATTCCAACTCTCTCCTTCTCCTTGGAGTCTTCCTTGGTGTTTAGGTGGAGATGGTCACTTCCATTCGGTGTCTTTCCTCTCCCCAGGGAGCACTGAGTGCACCTATGGAGTTTTGCTGTGCTTCCCTCTGTAGCACTGAGAAAGGCGCTGGCATGTGGTAAATGCTCAAGAAACGATGGCTCCATTCTATTGCATCTATTTCGTATTGACTGTAGATGCTGTTACATTGCTTTTGTCATTTTTAAGAATTCCATGAACCAGAGGGCAGCTGAACTATTCAAAAATATTGGTGTTAGGTGAATAGCAAGGTAGCTGGCAAGTATTCCTGGCAATCATTCAGTTGGTAATAATGAAAGATCGTACCTTTCCAAAGCTACTGTCTGTGGTCATCTTTTCAGAGAGTCTTCTTTCTGTATCTGGGAAACTGAGACTTTCTTTATACAGGTCCAAAGTTTATCAGCAATGGTACCGGTATTGGTTTTCTCCTTATGTTTTGTTTTTCCTAGGAAACTGAGAGTAGTCTCAAGGGACTTTTTTGGTGATAGTATACTCACTACAAAGCTGGCAAACAATAAGAAAAAGTCACCCAGCCGGGCGCAGTGGCTCCTGCCTGTAATCCCAGCACTTTGGGAGGCCAAGGTGGGTGGATCACCTGAGGTCAAGAGTTCGAGATCAGCCTGCCCAACATGGCGAAACCCCATCTCCACTCAAAATACAAAAATTAGCTGGGCGTGGTGGCAGGTGCCTGTAATCCCAGTTACTCGGGAAGGTGAGGCAGGAGAATCGCTTGAACCTGGGAGGCAGAGGTTGCAGTGAGCCAAGATTGCGCCACTGCACTCCAGCCTGAGTGACAAGAGCGAAACTCCATCTCAAAAAAACAAAAAAAAAAAAAAAAAAAAGAAGAAGAAGAAGAAAAAAAGAAAATATCACCTAGAACACGGAACGCCAAAAAACGCTATCTGCGGTTGGCTTGCTTACACAGGAGACATGATAAGGCACAATGGTTAAGGACAGGCTGTTGGCATCAGAGGACCCTGAATGCCAGTGCTGGCTTCAAGACCTCGTGGCTGTGTGACCCTGAGGAACTCATACTTCTCTGTGCATCAGTTTCCTCAACTGATGCATCGGGGTTTTTGTGTGGATCACGTGAGATAATGCAACAGTACTGGCAAAGTAAGCACTCAACAGTATCTTAATCACCTTCATCATCTTCATCATCATCATCATTCTTGTCTCTCTGACTCTATGTCCTTCTATTTCAAGTTACCTCCCTCCACTTGAGCTTCACTTGTCTCTTTCCTCAAACTTGCCTGGCATTATCCCCCCATTTAGGGTACACGTGCTGTTCTCTGTGCCTCAAATGCCTCCCTACTCCCATATCCTCATGGCTTGAATGTCTCCATCCCCAATATTCTCATGGATCCAGGATCCTCTCATATCTTCACGGCTTGAATATCACCCCCTATGTCCTCATAGTTTGGATGCCTCCCCTCGTGTCCCTGTGGCTCCAATTCTCCCCACCATGTCCTCATGGCTCCTTACCTCCTCATTACCTCCTTCAGGTCTACCCCAGTCTCCCCTTCTCAGTAGTGTCCTCTCTTACCCCCCCAGTTAAAAAAATAATACCTGATCCTCCTTCTCTACATTTTGGGTTGCCTTAACACTTGCAATTCTAATATACTAACAGTTTTATTTAGTTTAGTGTCTATCTTTCCCTGTGTGATGGTTAATATTGAGTGTCAACTTGATTGGATTGAAGGATGCAAAGTGTCATCTCTGGGTGTGCCTGTAATGGTGTTACTAAAGATTAACATTTGAGTCAGTGGACTGGGAGAGGCAGACCCATCCTCAATCTGGGTGGGCACCATCTAATCAACTGCCAGCATGGCTAGAATAAAGCAGGCAGAAGTTGGAAGGACTAGGCTTGATGAGTCTTCCGGCTTCCATCTTTCTCCCCTGCTGGATGCTTACTGCCCTGGAACATCACACTCCAAGTTGTTCAGCTTTTGGACTCTTGGACTTACACCAGTGATTTGCCAGGGTCTCTCAGGCCTTCAGCCACAGACTGAAGGGTGCACTGTCGGCTTCCCTACTTTTGAGGTTTTAGGGCTTGGACTGGCTTCTCTGTTCCTCAGCTTGCAGATGGCCTACTGTGGGACTTCACCTTGTGATTGTGTGAGTCGATTCTCCTAATAAACTCCCCTTCATATATGCATCTATCCTATTCGTTCTGTCTCTCTAGAGACCCCTGACTAATACACCCTGCTAAAATGGAGGCTTCATGAGGCCATTGATTTGGGTCTGTTTTGTTCACTGCTATAACCCCAGTGCCTAGAACAAGGCCTAGCAAGTAACAGTTGCTTAATAAAAATCTATTGCCTGAATGAAGAAATTATTAAAACCCAATTTTGTCTCAATTCTAATTTGACCCCTGTTCCCTCTACTCCTAATCTCACCATACAGATTATAAAAGAGTTAAATTAGCAGAGGACACTGCTTTTAGAATCATGTACAGGGTCTCTTTTAAACACTCACTGTTACCACTAACATCTGCTGAACTAAAAGTGTGTGCAGGCACTAGACCAGCTGCCCAGTGCTATGGACTGAAATAAAGGCCAGTCCCTTCTTGCATGAGTCCATAGGACTTTCACATACACTATTTCAGCAGATCCTTGAAATATCATGAGAAAGGAAGAAGGAAGATTAATTATCCCAATATTAACAAAGTGGAGGGTGAAGAATTACGGGCTTACCCAAGGTTTTATATGTATAGCCAATAAGTACCCAAGGTGGAGGAGAACACAGATCTCTGTACTCCTTCCACTCTGCAGGGTATCTCATGGTAGAAAGCAGAGCAGAGGCTCAGAAAGGATGTGTGTATATTTGTGTGCTTAAGGAAAAGCTTTCCTGTTTAGCTATTTACTATCTGGTTACTATTTCCATGTCTTGTTAAGAGAAAATGAAAATGGAAGCTTAATCTAAAGAGAGGAAAGATGAACATATATCCACAAAGTGGTTTAAAAAAACCCAAACAGACAGACAAAAAAACCAACAAAGCCTCCCCACATCTCTATAAGACAGGTTCTGTGTGCCAGTAGGCAAACCACCTTCTATCTAAAGCTGTCTGTGTGTGCCTGGCTGGGTTTACTCACATACCATGCTGCACACCCCCATCCATCCCCCTTCCCAGCAGGAACCACCTAAGATTTTTCCTGCTCATTCTAAATGCTAATAAGATAATTTAACTTCTATTCAACTATCTTTATTTTTTCTAGTCTAATTACAGCAAATACTGTAAAAACAAACAACTCTGTAGAATCAGTGTAAAAAAATTGTATTCCCCAAATATTCTAAAGTTGTTCAAAATAGCTTGTAGTATTTTCCTGGACTATCACTATTCAGGCTAGGGACAGCTGAAGCAAGGTCAGGTAGATCCTACTCCCTGCTAGCCAGGCCAGGCCAAGGAGAGGAGGCACCCGGAATTCTGCATCCTGTATCCCTGTGTACACACACAGTAAACCACTTAAAAATACACATGCTGCTGAATCGCAAGATGTGCTAACTCCATTAAAAGAAATTGCAAAGAAAATTACATTCTGCTTTTTCCTGAATAATGTGACTTCTGGCCTTATCTATTTAATCTTGCAGCACAGACAAGCTTATTAGTACACATAGCTCAGCAGTTATGATGTCAGCAAACACAGCTCCATAGAGGTGATCTAAGAAGAGGAGACTTTACAGCTATGCGTTTATCATGTGTAGCTAGCAAACACCTTAAATTTATACAAATGACATACAGTATATCATCAGAAGCACAAATATAGTCATGTAATAAATGGCTGGGACTGACAACCTAAGCCTTCCTCATTGAAGATACAGCTAAAGTTTCAAACATGCTTACTCCTATAATCAAATTCAGCTTTATGGATGGGATTGAAACAAAAATGATTACAGTGAAAGGAAAAAAAAAAAGGAGGGGCTAGGTATGGTGGCTCATTTTCCCAGCATTTTGGGAGGCTGAGGCAGGAGGATCACTTGAGTCCAGAAGTTCGAGACCAGCCTAAGCAGCATAGGGAGACCTCATCTCTACAAAAAAAAAAAAAAAAAAAAAAAATTAACCAAGCATGGTGGCATGCATCTGTGGTCTCAGCTACTCAGGAAGCTGAGGTGTGAGAATCACTTTAGCCCAGGAGGTCAAGGCTGCAGCAAGCCATGATGGCACCACTGCACTCCAGCCTTGGCAATACAGCGAAAGCCTGTCTCAAAAAAAAAAAAAAAAAGAAAAGAAAAAAAAAAAGGGCCGGGTGCGGTGGCTCACACCTGTAATCCCAGCACTTTGGGAGGCTGAGGTGGGAGGATCACGAGGTCAGGAGTTTGAGGCCAGCCTGGCCAACATAGCGAAACTCTGTCTCTACTGAAAAAAAAAAAAATTAGCTGGGCGTGGTGGTGGGCACCTGTAATCCCAGCTATGTGGGAGGCTGAGGCAGGAAAATCGCTTGAACCCCTGAAGTGGTGCACCACTGCACTCCAGCCTGGGAGTGAGACTCTGTCTCAAAGAAAAAAAAAAAGAAAGAAAGAAAAAGGAAATTCATCCACATAATTTTATTGAAGAAGAAAGCAATAAAGGAAGGATGCTATATGTAAGTATTCCATTTGAATAACTGTGAAGATAAATTTGCTAGTTTTCTCTTTCCATTCATCATGAATTATGATGTGCAACAATGTATAAAATGATACAGAGCACTATGCTAATCCTGAGTCAATTGCTTATTTCTTTAAGAATAGCTTTTTCCATTATAAGAAAATTATGCAAATATAGAATTTGACTGTATTCATAGAGAAGTGATAATAAAAGAACATAGAAGCACAGTAAAATACTAGAATTAACACAACAGTGATCAAATCTGAGTTGAATCCATTTTTGTTTCGTAGCAAAAAATAAAAATTTATGTATATAGTTTGATAAACTGATCCTCATTAGATTACAAGGATTTTTTTTTAAGTTTAGGTTCCAGGATACGGTACAGAACGTGCAGGTAGGTTTGTTACATAGGTAAATGTGTGCCATGGTGGTCTGCTGTGCCTGTCAACCTATTGCCTAGGTATTAAGCCCTGCATGCATTAGCTATTTGTCCTGATGCTCTCCCTCCATCCAACCCCTGGACAGGCCCCAATATGTGTTGTTCCCCCTCCCCTGTGTCCCTGTGTTCTCATTGTTCAGCTCCCACCTATGAGTTAGAACATGTGGTGTTTGGTTTTCTATTCCTGTGTTAGTTTGCTGAGGATGATGGCTTCCAGCTCCATCCACGTCCCTGCAAAGGACATGATCTCATTCCTTTTCATGGCTTACAAGGATTCTAAATATATATTTACATATGTATTAAAGAGTGTATTTTAAAATATTTAAATTTATTCCCAGTAGATCAAATAGCAGGATTGAAAAATTAGAATGAATATCATTCCTAGAATAAAGGCCATGAGCTATGCACTTTAGCACATGAGAGATGCTTGGAATAGTGTCTTTACTCAGGAAGATTCCATCTCCCTTTCAGTTATTTCACAAGAATTTCCTGAAAACTCAGTGTGTTCCTGGATATTACAGTAGGTCCAAAGCATGATATGGGATGGAATGGCAGGGGAGACTGGTCAGCTGGTAGAGCAGATAGAGGACTGCTTTATACAAAAGTTGTGATATCTATATTCAAATAGCATAATCTAGTTAAGGCAATAACACGTTACACATGAAACATTTAAGTCTACAACAAAGGTAGGAGTTCTCTTCACTATGAGATTGGGTTAAGGAGCAATTAGAATTGTTGGGTTTTGCCTTTAACCTAACCTATTAAGAAAGGTAAAGGTGGTTTTATGGGCACAGGGGGATGTTGACAGGTGAGTACAAAGGGAAAGTGATACTTTCCTCTTGAACTTTCCCTGCCTTTCATTCCCTGGACTACCTCAAATAACACTGAGCTGTGAGTGACACTATCAATTCTGAGGCTGTTTTCATTATTCACAGATGCCAGAAGAAATAGGATGACAATAAACCAATCTCTTCATGAATTTATGAGGACAGATATCAGAATCGAATTATAAAAATGTCCTGAGGATGAGGCACACAGCAAAGCTGTGACCAAGTTTTGTCTGAAATCTGCTCCTAATTGCTAAGGGAGCAAAGGACTGAGTAACCCCCAACACTTGAGTAACCACAGTAAGTGGGAAAGGATCCCTTCGGGCCAAGGCTCGGCTGGGAAATCACAGAGGTGGTTTGGACAGCGTGTGAACTCCTTTAAACCCGAGAGAAGTTAAGAAGGCACTGAGATGTAAACAGCCCAGAGCCTTGACTTGGAGAAGTGTCTTCCAAGGAGAATGCAATTTGTTGGTGGAACGAACCAAAGACAGATCGACAGATCAAGGCTCAGGCCCTGGGCCATCATGCTACCTCTGATAGCCCCTTTCTCCCTTCCTCAGCTCCTACCATCTTTGGCATTCAGGGTCCTCATGATCCTCCCCAAAGACTCCAGTCCAGCCCCCTCAGTCCCCTGGTGCTCATCTACTGCAGGCAGGGAAGCACAGTCTACCTGTATCAACCTAGATGGGAATCCCAGCTCTGTCTTCCCAGCAGACTATCCCTGACCTCCACCTCTTCCCAAAGCAAATATATTTTTAGCTTCTTGAAACCAGAGCATTTTAAACATCTCCAATTTCAAACAGAACCAAATCCTTACATGTGCATAATTCAAAGTTCACTTGGGTGATTATCATAGTCAAAGAAACAGTTCCAAAGTAACGGAGAAGTCTCCATCTCTAGCAAGACACGTAGTGCTGGCAGATCTTAAAATGAGTTTTTATCTTTTATCTTCTTTCTATCAAGTTTTAAAAGTCTTAGGATCTGAGTTTCAGGCTGTGCAGAGATCCAGTTTCACTTCTAGTTTATCTACCATATATCTTCATTGTCAAGATCAAGCTTAGTCAGGCAAACTACCTATGGAAATTTCTACTAAGCACGTGTCCCTGCCATGGGAGCAGGAAGCTATTACAATCGGCAGGCTGTTACAGCAGTGCTGCTTGGCCCTTTATACTTCCAGGCACACAGAGAAAATGACACTATGTATGCAGTACTCTGGTAAGTGGATGAGAATGCTGAAGGCTCCAGGAAGCCGGGTACTCCTGCTGCCTGGAAAGCCAAGGGATCAATAACACCTCATTCACAGCTCACCTGGGATGAGAAATCCTGACTTAAATAACCAAAATAAAATTTAATAATCGTATGGTGAGGAAAGACTGCTGGTGCCTTTGTAGGAATCAAAGCAGTGGCTTTGAAGCATTAGTCTTTGGATCTTCATGTCATCATCAAGCATTTCTGGGGGGTAGGGTGGGGGGGACTATTCATTTCACCGAGAACGTCCTTGATAAAGCAGTAAAAATTAAAATTTTATGAACTCTCAAAAAACGTAGTAATTGCAGAAAAAAGAAAATCCAACAAACCTATTATGCATGCTCCACCATTGATTCAGAATAACTCAATTGCTTTTTCTTAGATAATAGAGCCACTTTACCATTTTAGCCTGTCATCTCTTATTGTTTAAAATACACATAAACCCAGACGGGTGATGTTCAGTGCCCAGCCATCACGCCCTGGTGAGCAGCAGTTTTCATTATGTGGAAACGGGCTTTGAAATGCAATGACTGAGATGTAGGGGGAGAAAATCTGTCCACAGAAGATTTTCTTTTCATTTCCCAGCTTCCCTCATACTGTGTCAGGTTTTCTTTGAAGACAAAATTAGATGTACTAGAGCCAAAGAATATTGCACGGTGGTCTTTCCAAGCATTGTGGAGTGACTCGAGTTAATTAGAAAACTTTATAGACAGGACTTGGTTAAGACAGTTCTTTTCTGGGAAAAGACTTAATTACAAAGTGATGTCACAATGCAGTGAGTGGGCCCTGCTTCCCTAAGTCTGTTCTGTCCTGCTATTTGGCATCACCACAATCACCTGCAATGTGATACGTCTCTAACTCATCCAAGGGCCTCCTAGTGTGCCAGTCCTAATGTTCACCCTCACTTCATTACTGGTCACCTGCCTAGCAATATGCTAAATGTTTTTTGCACATTATCTCATTTAATCTCTGTAACAACTGTAAGAGAGAGTATCACTCACCTCACTTCACAGATGAGGACACTGAGGTTTAGGGAGATTAAATAATTTATCCAAGATCTGGCAGACAGTAAGTGGTGCAGTCAGATTTGAATACAGGCACACCAGACTCCAAGTCTCTGCTTCGATCATTACGCACCACCATATCTCATTTAAAGAAAGAGAGCTGGGAATGAACACACATTTGTGTAATAGTGTACAGTTTTACAAAGCACTTTCATACCCAGTGTCTTACTTAATCCTCCACAATCATTCTATGCACTAGTTATCATTATACCGCATGTTACAGATTAAAAAATATAGGCTTGGGGAGAGAAAGTCATTGAGCCAGAATTCAGGCCTCCAGTGAAAAGATGAAATTCGGAAATGCTAAAACATGCAATTAAGTTTCATAATGGTAAGGAATGAACATAGACATCAAGGTCCAATATCTGGATTTGAGTTCCTGTTCTGTCACTTACTAGTTAGGTGACCCTGGGCAAGTCATTTAATCTGCTGTAAAATGGGCAGAATAATACCTTATAAGGTATGGACCAAATGAGGTACTGCATGTACAAGTGTTGCAGAAATTATCCAGTGTAATACAAATACTAATAGCAATAGCAACAACAATGGTTATGATACATATATATATATATGTTAGTGCCATAATTTCATGTTCACTTCAGCCTCTTCAGGATGGAAACACAAGAACACATTCAAGGCAGAGCTTCATAGCTGCTCATATTGATTCAGATTCCTGTGTTGAGATTTGAAATTCAGGTCTTCAAATGTGAAGCAAAATATTTTCCTTCAATGTTTGCAAAATGAGCTTCCTTGTTTTTTCATCAACCAAAACCAGTACCCCAAATGATCATCACCATGCATCTCTGAAACGTAAATTTTATATTAATTATAATTATATAATAATATATTACATTTATGTCTTTAACTGGATAAATGTAAATTTTACATAGATAAATCTTTGAATAGTAATAATGATGACCTTATCGTTAGCTAAGGTTCATTTCTCACTTGGATCTTTCACTAAATTCCACCAAAAAGATGTCATATCTGGGATGCCATGCTACCCTGATGGAATTACAACCTGGAATTGTTCCTCTCATTCTCATGGTGTTAGGGCAAAGATGTTCCAATCAAATATGTGCTGAGTAAGAGATATGGCCCAATCTCAATTATGCCATCACCAACACTGCCCTCAAAGCAGCCAACTCTACGATATCCAGTATAAGTGGTTCCAACATGAAACCCAGTTTAGACACCTCTGCTTTGGAAAGTTCCCGTGGCACACAGTCTGTTGGACCCACACCCAGCAGCTCTTTTCCTGCCCCACACACACAGAGTCCTGATGTCCTTCTGGCGTCTTCTCCTCCTTCCCACTGTGACACAGGCAAAATCTGGTTGGTCTAAGCCAATGATAGTGGTTGCATCTTTTTGCCAAGAATTGGTTAGGGGAAGGCTAATGAATCAGGAAAGGACAGCTGCTAGAAGCCTTTGGGGAAAGAGTCTCCTTGCTAATAAGATGGAACACAAGGAAGCGAAACAGCCTTTTCCCGCAGTTTGATGATATGGCTAAAATTGTTATGGTCATCTTGTGACTGCAAAGCCTTAGGATGAAGTGCCCCTGAGGCTGTGAGAAAGACAGATAGAAAAATCATGATGATATCATTGAGCCACCAGTTGGGCTTCCTCCCATAACTTTCAGTAGTGTGAGATAGAGAATAAATTTTCTCTGTGGCAAGCCAAGGTTGGAGTTTTTCAGACTTGTACCTGGAAGCATCCCAACTGGGACACCATGGAAACAACCACAGTTGCACTTCCCTACAGATTATCTCCTCTTTAAGCCTACTTTCCAGGGTTCCCTTTTTACACTGAGCTTGAGGAAAAGTGATTTTTTTTTTTTTTTTGAGATGGAGTTTCACTCTTGTTGCCCAGGCTGGAGTGCAATGGCACGATCTCAGCTCACCGCAACCTCTCCCTCCTGGGTTCAAGTGATTCTCCTGCCTCAGCCTCCTGAGTAGCTGGGATTACAGGTGCCCGCCACAACACCTGGCTAATTTTTGCATTTTTAGTAGAGACGGGGTTTCACCATGTTGGCCAGGCTGGTCTCGAACTCCTGACATCAGGTGATCTGCCCGCCTCGGCCTCCCAAAGTGCTGGGATTACAGGCATGAACCACCGCACCCAGTGGGAAAAGTGATTATTATACACTAATAATGGAATGAGAAAAGCTCTGATTTGAGTGAATTGCCACCATGGACTCAGACCTTCCTCCTCTAATGAAATGAGACATTTTCCTTTCAGAAAATATCCCAAAGGCTCAGGTTTGATCCCAGAGTTCAAGGGAGGCCTGGTCACCTGTCTTTTTTTGTGTCCCCATGGCTTATTAAAAAGGGAGGAAAAACAGATTTATAAAAATGGTGATTTAATCTAAGCATTTACGTTTAGCAGATTTATGACACAAGTAAAAATTCAATGCACTACAATTAGAATATTCACAAGCAAATTGTAGGATCATAAAGAATATTAATTCACAGTGCACCCTAGGTGCTGTGGTCTAGGGACCCAAGTTTAAGTGGCTTGATTGTCAGCTCGTTCATCAATCTCACCAGTATAACTCTGAGTTGACATAAAAACTTAGTGGAGAAAGTGACAAAAGTGTGGTCCTTCGTGAATATGAGGCCTTTCTCCATCTGCCTCCCACCCTGCCCATGGTGGGCTTGGCTGGCCACTGTGGTTTTTTGTGATTGAGCATATTCCTATAAAAGCACTCCCCATGAACCAGTGCTTTACACACACTAACTCATTTAATCATCATAACAACACTCTGAAGATGGTCTTACCATCATCCTTATTTTACAGATGAAGGATGAGGCACAGAGAGGTTAAGTGAGTTATGCAAGATGACACAGCAAACAAGTGGTAGAGGCAGCATTAAAATGCAGGGCCATAACCACAGAACTCTCGTTCTAAACCAGTACATTATGCAGTCTCTGTGCTGATACAATCATAAAACTATGGGGATAAAGAGAAGCAGATCTGGAGAACAGAACCAGGTTAGGCTCTCTCAAGGCCAGGGGGTGTGTGAGGTTTGTTGGTGCCACAGGATAATCACTGTGCAATATGAGTGTGGTCTCTTTTGCTCTTCTTACCCTGGAGCATGTGTGCATGCGCGGTATGTGTGTGTGTTTTCCATATGTAATTGTGCAGCAGCATCTTGTCAGTTTCATGAGTTTAATTCTGTGTGCTTTAAAAACTCCTTCAACAAAACTTCCCGAAGCCAATGCTTTGCTTTCTAACACTTATTTCTAACCAGGGTTCCACAGTGGATTAGAAATAAATCCTTAACATAATTACATTAGCCTGAAATAAGTCCATTTGTCTTTTTCTTTTAAAACAATTTTGCTATAATCACTTCAATTGTTTCTAAATTAAGCCTCATAAATGGCTCTGCAGAATGGATAGTCTCCATGATCAGAAGTGCTTCTCCAAAGAAGCAAAAACTAATCCTGGAAGTGACCTCTCACAGAATTCCCATTCTACTTTTTGAATAGGATTTAAAAAAGGGCTGACTGCGGCAAGAGTTCTGGGGGCCTCTGGAACCCAGTCTGACAAGAAGACTATTACAGAATAATTAATCACAGACCAAGATGTACAGTAGATCTGGGTGAGAGCCCTGCTTTTCCACTAAGTATATGACAGGCTAGCTATATATACTCTTGGAGCCTCAGTAATCTCACCTGCAAAATAGGGATAATAATGAGTACATGATATACAAGGTTGTATAAAGAAACATTCATAAAACCCTTAGCTTGGTGTCTATGCATATACAGAGGAAGGAGGAAACTACTGCCCTTCCCCCTACCCTCTATTCAGGTCACTTTTCAAGAGGCACTGATATCACTGGGTGAGCCCTCCAGTCCACTGTTTGCCAGAGGTGAGAACTACAGGTTGTTAAAGTCAAATATATTCCCTCTATCTCTCTCTTTCATCTGGCTCTCAAGATATGCAGAAATCCGGCACCCTCTTCCTCATCCCTTTTACTTCCACATAGTACAGGGCTGCTGTCTCTTCTGGCATAGCAGCTGGATGGTGGTGTACTTGTCTGTTCTCATGCTGCTAATAAAGACATACTTGAGACTGGGTCATCTATAAAGGAAAGAGGTTTAATTGACTCACAGTTCAGCATGGCTGGGGAGGCCTCAGGAAACTTACAATCATGGTAGAAGGGGAAGCAAACATGCCCTTCTTCACATGATGGCAGGAAGGAGAAGTGCTGAGCAAAAGGGGTAAAAGCCCCTTACAAAACCATCAGATCTCATGAGAACTCACTCACTGTAACGAGAACAGAATGAAGAGTAACTGCCCTCATGATTAAATCACCTCCCACCGGGTCCCCCCCCCATGACACGTAGGGATTATGGGAACTACAATTCAAGAAGAGATTTGGGTGGGGACACAGCCAAACCATATCAGGTGGAAACACTGGAATTTAACCAAAAGGGTGGAAGAGGCCGCATCTGGGCCTTGAGTCCAAACCATCCTCTTGACTTGATCACCGGAGAGGCCCACCCTGGTTGTCCAACTGGTGATAAAAGGTACTTTGATTTCCCAAGGTCTGTATATTTGTAGCCCCCAGAGAAACCCCCAGGAGAGAAGGGCGACTGGCAGAGCAGGATTTGGATATTTCCAGGTCTCTGGCTACAACATGACTCAACCACTACATGGAATAAAATGGCAACAGGCACGCCAAAAAGAAGTGTCACTCACCTAAACAAAGACTCCACTCATTCCTCCAAGTTGCTTCAGTTCTAGAGACAAGGACACTTTCATTCTCCTTTTAAAAATTCCCTTTTCTCCCTTTAAAGCAAACAGACAACACTTGGCCTGGAGCTTTCTGTCAGACTCTCTGAAGTCCCTCCTGCCTAGGAATGTCCGGGGGAAGTGAGAAGCCCCTACCCTCATCTTCTGCCAGGTGATGAGCAGGCCTGCCTTCTCTGGGAGATGTTTGCACTTGGCCCTGGGAAATCAGAACTCTAAAGAGGTCTCCACCTCTGATGACATGCCTTCTGCAGAGTGGCTCTCGTTTTCAGCAAGGAAGTCACACTTGCTTTTAGGGTATATCGCCTAAAAGGTTTTAGGTATGATAACAGCTGGATTTCTCTTTTCCATCAGAAATACATCCAAGTGCAGAAATGACCAGTGTCATCACCTTTTATATCACTGTTACAAACCACACATAGCTCAAAGGTAGAAACAACCCAAAAGTTCATCAACAGATGAATGGATAAACAAATGCGGCAGATACATACAATGGAATACTATCCAGCCTTAAAAAATGAAGCTCTGACACATGCTACAACATGGGTGAACCTCGAAGATATTATGCTACATGAAAGAAGCGAGACATAGGAGGACAAATATTGCATCATTCTACTTATATGAGGTACCTAGAATGGGCAAATTCTTAGAAATGGAAAGTAGAACACAGGTTACCAGGGACTGGGATGTCGGGGCGTGGGGAAGGAGATGACTGGAGAGTTAGTGTTTCACAGGTACATAGTTTCTCTATGGAATGAAAAAAGTTCTGGAAATGGGTAATGGTGACAGTTATACAACATTTGAATATACTTAATGCCACTGAATTGTATGCCTAAAATTAGTTAAAATGGTAAATTTTTTGTTATGTTTACTTCACCATGGAAGGAAGGAAGGAAAGGAGGGAGGGAAATGAATCGCCCAGCTGTCCAGGGATAACATCTCCATGAAAGGGGAGGGCCCAGAATTCTACCCTGGCTTCCCAGCAGCCACATGTCACTGGGGCAGAACTTTCCTCAGTGACTGAGAAAAGATCAAAGACAAAGGAAACAATGATCTTCACAAGACCTGGCAAAGAGCACTTACTAAGTAGTCCTACTGAAAAATAATGGACTCCACAGTGATTTCTGCTTATTCGGGAGACAGCCTGCCCCAAAGGTGGGGGTCAGCCATGACTCAGCTTTCAAAGGCTGCCAGGCCCTTTGACCAGATGATAACCACATAATCCTGCTGTATTCTTCAGCACATGGTTTATGACCACGAATATTATTTATTTCCAAGTTAGAAGTATAAATTTATCAGGCATTTCCAGAAAAAGATTATTTCCCCCAAACAATGGCATGTTTTGGCTACTGTAAATATAAAACTTAATTCCATTACTTCTGCTCATTAAATATATATTTTAAAGTTTCCGATTTTATTATGCCATTAGAAACAGGTTTTCTCTTAAATATTTTGTATAATATGGTCATTTTCTTGGTCTTCTAAATGATCCTTGCTAAGAATACAATAAACAGTAAAATATATATAATTCATCCATAAAAAATGCAACTTCCAGCTATAATTCAGTGAAGTTGAATAGAAAGCATAACTTACATCTGCTTCTTTATTTCTAATAACTGTAAAAATAACTAAAATATTCTAGAGGTTATAGTCATGGAGACAGCACCACTACCTTAAAAAAGTAAAATATAATTTGTTGAGGAACATCTAAGTGGAAGAATTAAAAACTAACAGAGAAAAACAAACCTAACCAAAATAATTAAATTCTAGTTTCTCTCTTTTTTCAACTTGGATTAGTCCATAACAACTTAGTGGCCTGAAGTAACCACAACAAAGAGTGATTTCCAAACCTGGCAAATTTTAAAAGCTTAGATGAGTTGGAACACACAAAAGATAACCTATGTATCAGAAATCCAGGAGTGGTGGTCAAATAACATGAAATTATCTTGTGCTCTTTCATCCCCAAATTGAGTTTTCTTAAGCTTTATTTTCACCAAGTAAAGTGTTTGGACTAGGTTCCAATGCTAACGGACCATAAGGTAGAAAAAGAAAGCTGGTGTGATAAATAACGGATAAATAAGGTACAGCCCTGCTCTGCAAGAGCTAGCAATCTAGTGCTCAGCAATATAATGTGAGCTACAAATGTCAAATGATGTATGCAATTTGAAATATTTTAGTCACCACATTGAAAATTAAGAAGAAAACTTTATTTAACCAAAATGGAATTTCAACATGTAACAATTTTAAAAGTCACCAATGAAATATTTTACGATCCTCTTTTTTTGTTCTAAATCTCTGAAATTCAACATGTATTTTATTCTTACAAGCCATCCCAATTTGAATTTCAATGCTCAATTTCACGTGCTCAGTAGCCACATGTGGCCAATGGTACCATGTTGAACAGGAAAGATAGCGGGAGGCACAGAGAATATACAAATAATTCAAATGCATGACTGTCTCTTATTAGGGCTATAAAAGAGACATAAATAAAACATCCAGGGCACCTTCAAAGAGGTGGTTGCATCCGAATTGAGTCTTGAGAATCTTAAAGTTAAGAAATGGTATAATCGGGCTTGAATTGTATAAAGGGCTGACTGGTGGATGAAGGGAAGATCAGATGGGTGGGATAAGAAGAGAGAGAAGGAATCAAGAGCGTAGATGGGAGATATTGAGAACCTGGACAAAGGCCAATGTGAATTTAAGAGGTATTTTTAAGGTAGAATTAGGAACTGGACCTGTAGAGACAATATATGACACTGCTGGTGGTTACCCACAACCATTTCTCTTCACTTTCCTGTTAACAAAAACTTGATTTCGTTCAGGAATTTTACACCCTCTACAATGTCATGTTTTTAGGGAAGATGAAAAGATCCCCAGTCCCCAGAGAATAGATATTGATTAGCGTAAGGCAGTTACAATAACTTTATCTTACCATGGACTGGCTTGGGAAGGGACTTGGGATCCAATTTTGGCCAATAGGACAAGTCAGTCTGCAAGGGTAGGGGTGGGGTTCCAAGAAGGGCTTCTTAGATCTTAAGACACAAGGAAGGGATAGTCTCTTTCTGCGTCTAGTGCGTGGTGTGGTGAGGATGAAATGCCTGGAACTGATGCAGCCAATGTATCACTCTGAGGTGGGTGAGTCAACCAAGAACTGAGATTAGCAGAGTGGAATTATGGACTCCTGATGGCATTATTAAACCACAGAATTAGCCAATCCTGGAAGCACTCTACCTCTGGACTTCTTGTTCTGTGAGATAACATATGATTTAAGATATTTTGGGTTATCTCTTATTTACAGTTGACAGCATCCTAATAAATAGGAAAAGAGAAGGATCCAGACAATGCCCCAACCACTGGTAAGAACCGTGAGGTCTTTCCTTTGCACAGCATGTCAGAGCCTGTGAAGTGCTTTCACCTTATGTCCTCATTGGACCCTCCTAACAGCCCTGGGGGGTGTGTCGACAGGTACCACTCTCTGCTTTCACCTGCAAGGTAGAGCCCTCTCCCTAGCTTTCCTTTGCATTTCCAGCAACCAGTACAGTATCTGGAATAATAATTTTAGCTATCATTTAGCTATCATTTCTTGGGCTTTTTCTGTATGTTGGAAACTGTTGGATGTTTCCTATACAAAATCTGACTTTATTCTCTCATTTACAATATCTTACAACAGCTCTACAAGTTGGGTATTGTCTTAGTCTATTGGTGCTGCTATAACAAGATGTCATAAACTGGGGAACTTACAAACAGCAGAAATTTATTCCTCACAGTTCTGGAGACTGGGAAGTCCAAGATGAAGGTGGCAGCAGATTTGATATCTGATATGAGGGCTGGTTTCCTGCTTCATAGAGGGCAACTTCTTGCTGTGTCCTCATGTGGTGGAAGGGGCAGTGGTCTCTCTGGGGCCTCTTTTATAAGGGCACTAATCCCATTCATGACATAATCACTTCTCAAAGGTCTCACCTCCCAATACCATCACCTTAGGGGTTAGGATTTCAACATATGAGTTTGGGGGATGCAAACATTCAGACCATAGCAGGTGTTATCACCATCTAACAGATGAGGGAATTGAAGCTCAGGAGGGTTAAGTTCAAGGTCTCCAGGTAGTGACAGAGGTACAACCTGAACCCAGGTGTCTCTCTGTAAAGGCTGTGTTCTTTACCACCAAGATACACTCGGCACAGGGCCAGTCCATATGTTTATTGAATGAATGAATGAATGAATAAATGAATGAATGGATGGATGAATCAATCAGTCAAAAAATAAATGGATGTTCCAAGAGATTAAGTACCTTACACAAGGTCACTCTGCTAAAGAGCGATCCAGACAGGTCTTCTAACTCCAAGGCCAGTGCCCTTCCTAGCACATCCTATGACTATACTATCACTTATTTGGTACTTGGTTAGACACCACCTTGGATGGTGACTGATAATTTCTTTGTGTGTGAGTCTCATCTCTGCAACTAGACTGTCAATTCTTTGAGGTGGCACCATCTTATTTTGTTTGTAGCTAACATAGCAATCAGAATAATGCACTGTTCACAGTTAAAGTCTTGATTTTTAAAGAAACTACCTTCAAAATACAAATGACTCTAACTCCTGGTTTGCCCTCAACAGTCCCAGTTGATACCGCTGCCCCAACTTCAGTATTAGTAATGTTCCTTTTTACTCTCAGAAGTATTCCCGTTTGGACAATCAATTATATAGTCACCTTAATCATGGTAAACAAGAGTTCAATTTGGCCTGTTTCAGATATGCTCTGTCAACCACGCCCAGCACAGCTGTCTTTGCCTAAAGATGGATCCAACAGCCATCAGGGTTCATGATCAATGCTGGGACACAGATCATTTTCATGCTCATGACTCTTCCTTACCTCTTTCCTCCACCATTCACCCTATCTTCTCCTGTCTCTCAAAATATCTTCTTTTTTCTATTACTGCTTTACCCTCCAGCAGCTTTTCCAGCCCGCATCTCACATCCTAAGGCTTGCAGGCAGAAACCAGGGAATAGGTTTTAAAAAGCCAGGGAAATACATTGTAACATTGCTCCTACAGCCTCACTGCTGTTCTTGGCTGAAATCCTTTCCAACATAAGATAACACTCCTTTGTAAACAGCAAAATAGGAGAAAACAAACCTTTTGTGACTAACCATTTACTTTTGGCTTCCATGTCCTGTGTGAATATGTATGCATTGTGAATGTGGGGACACACAGTAAATCAGATGACTCTTTTACCAGTGAAAACATATAGTGGTGACAAGAGATTCTCAACAGGTTAAATGCTACTATGAGCTCACTTTGAACCACTTCAAGTTCTGGAATCATGACTGATGTGGGGAGAATAAGAAGCAGAACAATTCCTAAACACACACTGTGTGCTGAGCTGTCATCAGACGGGACCTGCCAGAGATTAAGTTTTTGTCCATCTCCCTTCCCCCACCTTTTTTTTTTTTAAATCAAGACAAATGTCAGAAAATCAGATCAGAAGTGGCCTCATTGATGAGTATAAATGTACCGCTAGTGGCTCCATTGTCTATGGAGATAAGTGTTTCAAGGTCCTTTATTTTGAGGATTTAACAGAAAAGCTGGTTCACTGTTTTGGTGAAGGACCTTGGGAGAAAGCTTCCATGAGGTGACAGATCATTAAGAGGACTTCACTCAGCACAACTGGGGCTGTCCTGAGACCCAAGATGTCACTGTATAGGTAAACTCTCCTGGCTGGCACATTCTCTTGGCCTGAATGGTCAGCACGACCAGCTAGGATTCCCTGCAACAATGGATAGGCAATGAGTATCAGACTGTACCTGGCCCGTGTTCAACAGCGCCACTGTGTGGCAGTGAAAAGCAAGTGCAGGGTAGACCAATGAGACCTCAGCAGTCTATGCTATGCATTTGGAAGTCAAGGGCCATCTTTGCACGGAATAAGCCCTGGAGATTTCAGGACAATTAAGAGGAGGAAAAAGAACAAGACAGAGATACTGGTTTGCCTGCTAATGAGGTATATTGGATTTCCGAAGAATTAACTAAAATAAGAGGGATGCAACTTTACCTGCACTGCCGTTTGTGAGTGGTTCTCACCAGTTACAAATGCACCTGACAAGAGAATCTGACTGGATGAGATTTTTCTGGTAAGAATATGGCTTGATATACATTGTATGTCTTGTTTTGCAATTATTAAATTTATCCTATTAGAATCTCTACTATGCAGTACATAAGGAATTGACTGACTTTTTCACCTGGCAATGAATAATGCCACAGTACCATGACCACCTTTCCAACATGGGTGTGGCTGAGAACTTCTGGAAGGATGAACACAATCAAAGACAATACTGGCTCCCTTCTTAGTCTCTTATGTCTCTGTCTTTTCTTTAAGATTTATTATTCTTTAGGAACAACATTTTTCCAATAAGCAAAAACTATTTCATGCCATAATCCTTTTTTCTTCCTCTTGCTTCCTCCTGAGTTCCATGTCAATATTTACACATCGCTGCTCACTCCTACTGTTTACCCACCATGGCCTTCAGATCCTGTCCTCAACCTCTCATCAAATAACCTCACATTTTCCATTATTCACTAGAACCTCTCATAACATTTCCATTTCAACAGAAAACAACTTTCTAAGGTCAAGTACTAGTTTCTCTTTTAAAAAGAAAAGTAACTGAACATTCAAGGTGCTATGGCAAGCCATGAGAATACTAGGTAAAGCTATGTGTTACTTTCCAACTGTTCGCTCCATTGTCCTTATCTCTCCGGAACTTAAAACAGAGCATGTCCTGACCTCTGAGGGCTGCAGAGACAACTACTCATAGAGGGCCAGTCATCTCTAGTTTCTGTGACTTTCCCCAATGAATAAGAAGGAGGTAGAGAAGAGCAAGAAGAAAAATGGCTGTCATTCTTTTTATTCCCAGGTCTAATGAAGTATTTTGAATTCCAATGTTCCAAAAATATTTCATTTTTTTCATGAATTTGTGAAATAATTTTTCACTTGGCCTTCTTCATCACCCCAGTTCTAGATGGTAGGGTTTTTTTTTAATATCAATTTTACCTAAAAATTTATTATAGTGTTTCCCCTTTCTCTATCCCTGTATTAATTAACCTTGCCTCCACTCTACCTTCATTTATACCTAGCAAAGTGCCTGGGACACAGTAGGCCTTCAACAAATATAGTGAAGTAAATGTGAACATAATTTCTTGTTTGCACTACTGTACTCATTTCCTAACCCAACCATCAGAGAGGCTATTTTAACAATTTTTTTAGAGCCTCCCACCTCCCAAGTAGCTAGGACTACAGTTGTGTGCTATCACACCCAGATAACTTTTTATTTTTTGTAGAAATGGGGTCTGGCCATGTTGCCCAGCTGGTCTCAAACTCCTGGCCTCAAACATTCCTCCTGCATCAGCCTCCCAAAGCACTGGAATTACAAGTGTGAACTACCATACTGCCTGATTTTTAAACTCACATCTCTTTATGCCACTTTCCTGCTCACCAATACCAATAAATCCCCACTGTCTTCAATGTCATGTCTGATCCTTCAGTCTAATACTACAAATGGCTTTGTAATCTGGCCCCAGCCTGCCTTGCCTAAAGCACTTGACCCTCTCTCCACCCGCTCCTGCTCCAACTCCACAGAAAGGCAGGCCCTTCTTAGCAGGCCCCAGCTCTCCCCCTCCATAGGCTGTCTCCTGCTGACATCCCAGTCTCCACTGTTCCTACTCATCCTGCCTGGATTCCCACCAAATAAAGCCTGAAACAAGTGCTTACTTTCCAATGACAAATCACCATTGATCCTGGGTGACAAATACTGTCTTGAGCACTTTATATAACACTGCAGTATTTCCTTGAATCCCAATACCAATAAAAGCTATGTATTAATTCATTCAGTAATCTGTTCCTCCCATGAATTATGGCAGATCCAGGATTTAACCCTATATGTCTGTCATCAAAGACCAGGTGCTCTTACTCACCACATCCACCACATGTCTTCTGTCCCCATGTGTCCTGACTCTAGGCATGCACCTCTCATACCTCTCGGACCTGTCTATGGTATTCATTACATTGCAAGAGAGTTCTGTCTACAGATTAGAGTTCCCTCACAGGATTATGAACACCTCAATAGCAGGCCTGGTGTTTATATATCTGTTCATCTCTAGTGTCTAGCATAGTGCTGGGACACAGGATGTGTAAAATACTTTTTTTTTGTAGTTTAATTTGAATCTGTGCATCCAATAATAAGAAAGATCCCAACCTACTTAAATTGGAGAGTTGCATCACATGTAGATCTTAGAGCTCTTTTACTACAAAGTACAAATCCAGTGGCCCAATTGGATAATAAGGATGCTGAATCTCCACTTGCCATCCCCAACTTACTTCATACATCAATATTTTTAACTCATTTATAGGAACCTGGCATTGTGATATTCGTGACAACCATCTATAATTCAACCAGCCAAGCACACCAGCAGAAACCGCCCACATTTTCAATAACAGCATTGCTTAATCCGAAATGCTTTTTGGAAGACAAAGAAGCATTCATAAAATGGAACAGTAGTGAATGTTGATAATGAGAAAGTTTTATAACAAAGTGTCTTGCTGATTTATATAGTACTTCCAAGCCAATGGCTAGAAGAAATTTTGATAAAGATTCACTCTCCTAAGCCTAGGCGACATGCCAGAAAGTTGTCAGTGTCTTCGAAGACAAAGAAACTGAGAGAGGGAGAGGGGGAAAAGGAGGGAAGGAAGAAGAGAGTCAGGGAAGAGGAGGAGGAGGAAAGAGAGAGACAGGGATTGCTTTTAATATCTTGATACACCAATGGGGAAAATTGTATGCAGTAAAATGAGGAAAACATCCCAGATTATTTTCTGGAAGGACTTGTCATCTGAATTCAAAGTGGGTCTTGAAGGTATCCCAGGGACCTGCCTGCTGTCAGGGCTAGGAGAGCAATGTTCTCTTTCCTGCAATTATTTCAATTCTGCCACACAATAAGGAGTCCTGGGGGCCAAGGAACAGGGAACTGCATTACTAGACATACATCCCTCAAAGAAGACCAGACAAAATTACCAAAGTTTCAGGTGACCAGACTGAATTTCCAGGAGCTACAGTCACTTCCTTTGTGCAAAAAATATAAAAATGTACAGCTACTCCCAAAACTTGACGAGAGTAGTAACATCTGTCATTCGGGGCATCAGATAAAAATGTATCATCAGTAAGGGCACATGGCAGGCTTAGGTAGAGGGAGAGACTGGGCTGATCCCTGATTAAACAATACCTAGCACTTACTCTCCCTTAGTAGTTCAATTAAGGGCAGTGGCGCTTGCATTTAGACACTGCGGTTCCCAAGGCCACACCAGACCCCAAGGGGTTGGTCAAGTCAAAGATGGTGGGCAATAAACAAGCTGACCCAAGGTTATGGCTCCAGTCCCATGAGCCTGGTTTTGACATGATTCTCCAAGGGCTACTGACTGATAATACACAGATTAGGTCTGGTTAGAGAACATCTCTTCCCATTTCCTCCAGCAGAACACCTCAGATATTGACAATTTGTCACGCCAAGAACACATAGACTGAATTTTCCACTCCTCCCACGCTGTTTGGCTGGCCTGGCTAGCAACGGGCTTTATTTTTACAATGCTTATCACTCTGCAGCTTTACCTCCAGGCCAGTGGGCTCTGAAGCAGCTGGAAACCAGAGCCAGCTGGGGGCCCTCCACTGAGCAGCCACCACTCAGAGCAAGCAAGAAGAAAAGGATTGCCACAGGCCATACTGCAAAATATTCTGGGAAGGACAGATGACAACAGGAGGGGGAAGGGACCTCCATTCATCCTAAAGTAAATGCAAACTGACGTCTGGATTAGGGGTGGCTGAGGTTCCCAGAGAGCGTCTGGCTGTCTTAACTAAATGCAGCAAACCTCTTGCTAATTCAGATAGATGAAGAAAAGCCAGCGTGCATTCGTGAAATTCCAGAACCACAGCGCATAGGCTGTTTCTGTCAAGTCCATACAGCAACTCAGCTTTAAGTTAAACATAAGTTTTCAAGTTGAGGTGTGGCTATAGCCTATGTTATTGAATCTATCTCACTTGCCATAAGCAGTAGTAATTTACATTCAAATAGTTAATGAAGTTAAGTCATGCAAAGGTTTGCTTTCATGAATATAATAACAGCACCCCTTATACTCTTGTTTATTATATTTATTTACCCAGTTTGGCCTTTCTTCAAAGGCATCATAGAGATAAAGCCAAAGCCAGGTCAGGTCAAATCATAAATTTCAAGTTAGTAGAGTGCAAATGGGTGAAGTTTTCCCTTTATAGTTAGAAGCCCTGTGTTCTATCCACTTCCTCCTGGGAGCTGTGAAAAGTTTGAACAGATGTTCACATTCGGGTGGGGGCGGGGGGAGGGATGCTTTACTGCTGCTCTATTGACTTCCTCCAGCAGGATCCGTTTCCATGTCCTTATGGACTAGAGAGAACAATTCCACCAGCTTAACTGCTACCTGGGGGAGGGGCAGCCTGAGATCCTGGTTCCCATGAATCATGATGAATTAAGAAAGGAATGTGGGATGCCATGAAAACACACTTAGCTCTGTCTTTTAGTTCTCAAAATTAGGTCAGCAACTTTGCCGGAGCAGTAGCTTCATCTTTGGGTGCTTTAACGAGGCATCCAATCATCTGGAACATGAAGCCATTTAGTCAAAGTTTATTTTTTGCATCTGTGTTACTACAGCAGCCTCCCCCAGCTTAGAATGAAGGGCGTGTGAGCATGGGGAGAACCCACTTATGACTATGTTGCCCTGTGACATTTTTTTTCCTGCAGTGTTTACCCTGGGATTGAATAGTGTTTGGTTTTGGCAGTATAATAAAAACTCTCCAGAAAATCTCTTGGATGAAAGTGCATTCACCAAATCACCCAATCAGGAAATATTTATTAAGAACTTATCATTTGAAGGCACTGAGAGTGTAAAATGCAGCCCTACCCTTTAAGACCTTATTATTTAGTTGGAGGTGACAGCAGTATTTACAGATATGGCTAATCAGGGACTTATTTGTTTCCCAGTATTCAATCTCCCCTTCTTCCTTTTAGTAATGGAATCCAGAGCTGCGCACGCAGCTACCCTACAGACTAGGTTTCACAGATTGGCTTAAGCATGGCCAGGTGACTAAGTTCTGGCCAATCAGTTGTGAGTAGAAGTGAAATGTACAACTTCTGGGTCATACCTTAAAAAGAAACCACTTACTCACTTTTTCTCTTCCCCCGTTTCGGGGCCTCGAATGTACATGTGGGAGTATAATCCAAATTCCACTATCTGAGGAGAACAACATAGTAGGGAATGGTGGAGCAAAACTATGGAAGGAGTTGGGCCCCTAATGACCTTGGGAGCATAAGGGCAATTCTTCTCCCTTAATTCTTCAGCTGAGATGAGAGACAGCAAGAGAAAGAACCCTTCTATCTTGTTTAAGCCACTATTACTTAGTCTCTGTTAAATCAGCTGAATCAATATCCCGACTAATATATATGCATTTTCCCTAAATAGACCAGGAGCTTCTGGATACCTCTTTATTTCCCCAACCCCCCCACAGAGCCTTCATAAAGTAGGTGCTCACCCCATATTTGTGGATCATAATACAAAGATCTAGCTAATAAAAATTCCATTTTGCTCTGGTGAGATAATTTAATACTATTATATGTACTATAAAAAGATAAAAGGGTTAACTGTAAGTTCCTTATAAAGGAAATCTCCAAAATGATGTCTGGCTTGGCTTAAGAGACTTAGGAAAAGGCAAGAGGAACATAATATTAATCTATTAATTTCTGAAAGGTGAAAATATTTCAAAACAAGGAGATTTTATCAGATGGCTGACACAGAGATAAGAGAATAAACCTTAGCTTATGGTCAAACATGATTATATAAATCAGCACTGGTCTACAGACACTGCTATCTGGACAAAGTCTACTTTTTTTTTTTTTTTTTCTGTCACCCAGGCTGGAGTACAGCGGTGTGATATCGACTCACTGCAACCTCCATCTCCCAGGTTCAAGCAGTTCTCTCCCTCAGCCTCCCAAGTAGCTGGGGTTATAGGCGCTTGCCACCACGCCTGGCTAATTTTTGTATTTTTAGTAGAGATGGGGTTTCGCCATGTTGACCAGGCTGGTCTTGAACTCCAGACCTTGTGATCCACCCGCCTTGGCCTCCCAAAGTGCTGGGATTACAGGCATGAGCCACCACGCCCAGCCAAGGCCTACTTTTAATAAAAAATGGACAATAGATGCTCAACTGAAGAAACTTACCTAATATCAGCACCTCTTGCCTATGATTCTGTTAGGTACTGTTTTAGGATAGCTTTACTACTTATTAACTGTGGGACCCTAGCAAATTACTTAATTCCTTTAAGTCCCAGTTTCTTTATCTCTACAATGGCAATTCATCCAACAAATATTTATCGAGTGTATGTATACTACATATCAGGCACTGTGCTAGGCATTCTGTCTCAGGCAAACAGAAAAATTAATAAAATTATATGGAATATTAAAAAACAATAAATACTATGGATAAAGTTAGAGTAAAGGAGACCAGGAATACCGGTGGCAGCAATTCAAATATGGTGTTCTGGAACAGGGCTCCTTGAGCAATGATTGTGGCTTAAATTAGGGTGGCAGCAATGCAAGTGGCAAGCTATGGTTGAAGTCTGGGTAGGTGTTGAAGGTAAACAAAATTTTCTGACAGGTTGTAACTGAGATATGAAAGGAGGAAATGACTCCAAGGTTTTTGGCTTGAGCTAAAACTGGAAGGGTGACGTTGGTAACCAATGACAGGGAAAGGTACAGAGTCACATTTGCCCAAAAGATCGACAGTCTAATTTTCAGACGTGCTGTGTGTGATCGTTCATCTTATGTGTCAACTTGATTGGGCCACAGGGTGTCGGATATTTGGTCAAATATTATCCTGGGTATTTTATGAGGGTGTTTTTGGATGAGATTACCATTTGAGTCAGCAGACTAAGTAAAGCAGTTGTCTTTCCTAATGTGAGTGGACCTCATTCAGTCAACTGAAGGCCTGAATGGAACAAAAATCTGACCCTCCTCCAAGTAACAGAGAATTTCTCCTGCCAAATTGCCTTCAAACCATGACATTGGCTTTTTTCTTGCCTTCAGACTTGAACTAAAACATTGGCTCTTCCTGGGTGTTGAGCCTGCTGGCCTTTGGAATGGAACTACACCATCACCTCTCCTGGGTCTCCCGCTTGCCAAGTCACCCTGCAGATCTTGGGACTTGCACACCTCCACAATCAGATGAGCCAATTCTTTATGACAAATTTCTCTCTCTCTCTCCACACACACACACACACACACACACACACACACACACACACACACACACCCCCTATTGGTCTGTCTCTCAAGAGAACCTTAAATAATGCACTGAGCTTGGGATGCCCATTAGATATTCTAGTCGAGTAGTAGGTGGACGGATCTGAGTCTGGAATTGGGACTGAGTTGAAAACTGGTACTATATATTTGGGAATCACTGGCACAAAAACTGTATTCAAAGCCATAAGACTGGATGTGCTCATTGAGGGAATCAGTATTGATAGGAAAGAGGAACAATTACTGAATCCTCCAACATCTAAAGATCAGAGACTTTGGCTGCAGACATTGAGAAGGAGCAGCTGTCGAGATAGGAGGAAGCCAAGAAAGTGTGGTGTCATGACCAAGGGGAGTATCACAGCAAGGAGGAAGGGGGGATCCCCTGTACCAAATGCTGCTGTTGGTCACTGCCACTGGAAAATGCCATTGCATTTTTAGCAATATAGTGGCCACTGGTGACCTTGACAAGAAAAATAACACTGGAGAAGTGGCACCAAAGTCCCATTGGAGTGGGTTTAGGATGAATATGAGGAGGGAAGTCAGAGGTAATGAGTACAGCCCCCTTTGAAAGACCTTTGCTTAAAAGGAGTGCAGGAAAATGGGATAGTTGTTGGCAGGGAAAAAGAGGTCAAGAGAAAGTGTTATTTTTGTTTTGTTTTTAAAGGGAGCACTACCAGCATGCTAATAATGTCATTAGCTGCCATTTATGGAGCACTTCACTGTGGTGGCAGGTGCTTTGCATGTGACACTCAATTTAATCCTCCTAATAGTTTTGCAATGTAGACATTAACATCTTTATCTTTCATGCAGGGAAACAGATGCTGAAAGAACATGAGAAACTTTACAAAACCACAGTCAGAAAGTGGCTGTGTCAGGATTTAAACTCATGTTGTTCTAACTTGAACACAGGGACTTTTTACTACTACAGTCTATTGGCTCCCATGATAGAGTCTGCTAATCATAGAGCCTGCCTCCTGCGGCAAGATCAGGCATGTGAAGGTACCAGGCAAATATGAATCTTCAGGATTCTCATCAGTATGTAGGAAGCTCCTAATCGTATAGAGCAGTATGCAAAGAGATTTGTATCCTTCTGTGGCCCCAACCTTTAGGAACAAGATGTATAATACAGTTATCCTAATATAGACTTCTATACACGGCACTCCAGGCAAACAGAACTTACATCACATCCAAGGAGGGGAACGAACAGTAGCATGCAAATTCTATTTTCAGATTAAGCAGGGGAGTGAAAAGAAGTCCTGTCCTTTTTTACCTAGCACACTGGTGTGGATCCAAGGAGCTTCATAAATATTTGCTGTTCCTGCAGTTGCTGCATTAAACTGAGCGGGGCAATGTTCCAGAGAGAGAATGCCTTGGGAAGGCTCATCACTATCCTTGGCAATGAGAACTACTGGGGTCTCCGGCTATTGTCAAACCCCGACATGTGCAAAAAACATCAGATTAAACCAAGAATAAATCCATCTGCAATATTACAGATTCCTTTAAAAAACATGCATAATTAAAAATTTTCTTCTTGGTGAAAAGTAAGATGCTCCTGGAATCTTTGTTCATGCTCAGAATAAGATTTGATTATCTAGCTTATGGGGACTCCTGGGCTGAAGACAGGTGGGTGTGTGTATGTTGGGGAGGAGTAGGAAGGGGGAGAGAAAGTATCTTCCAAACTCAAAGCAACTGGCAGGGACCGCAACAGCGAGCAGGTCAAGAGCATAAGGAAACTCCCTCGTTAAGCACCAGGGTGCCCTGGAAACAGCCATTTCAATTAGTGCCAGACTGAGCTGAAATGAAGATTAAGAGGTCATTTCAAACAATAGCTCAAGGATAATTTGCTTAGCATACAGATCTCTACTACCATATACTTCTGCTCTGCAATGCAGCATTAACCTCATTTACTGTTTAGTTCTACAGGGCACATATTACTAGTCAGAAAGCCCCCTTGTTTCTCATATAGAAAACTCTACTGAAAGTCTCACGTGCACATGTCATTCTCAGTGGAGGCCACTGATGATGTTGTCCCACATGCTCTTTATGGTCCCTTGCCCGCAACCCACCAACATCTCCTTATTTTCGTTATTCTTAACTTTTAGGGAAAGTTTCTTTTTGGACAAAATAGCTCACATTTAGTGTATTCACAAAAGTGTCCTTTGAATTTTTTCAGAGGTCCCCCAATCATATCTGAGTATGACATGGGAAAATGTTAGAAGCCTGCCCATCAGGAGAAAAAGAAGCAGTAAATTCCATTTTAAATTGGAAACAATTGGCCTTCATTTATAATCTTTAACATGTTTTTCTTGATTACAGGAATAATACAAGCTCATTGAAAACAAATTCGCCAGACAGAAAAACATAAAAAATACATGAAAAATGTCTTGAAATCTTATCCCTTAAAGGGGATGATTAACAATTTGGTGTATATCCTTCCAGATTTTTCTTATATATGATACATACATATCAGAGATCCCTAACCTGAGCTTCTAAGTTGTGTGTGAAATTTTGTGTGCATCTATACATAAGTGTTTTAAAAGGGACCATAACTTTCATCAGTTTCCAAAGAAGTTTCTTTGTTTGTTGTTTTTGTTTTTGTTTTTTGAGATGGGGTCTGTCTGTCACCCAGGCTGGAGTGATCTCAGCCCACTGCAACCTCTGAATCCTGGGTTCAAGCGATTCTCATGCCTCAGCCTCCCGAGTAGCTGGGATTACAGGCGCATGCCACCATGCCTGGCTAATTGTTTTGTATTTTTAGTAGAAATAGGGTATCATCATGTTGGCCAGGCTGGTCTCGAACTTCTGACCTCAGGTGATCCGCCCACCTGGGCCTCCCAAAGTGCTGGGATTACAAGCGTAAGTCACTGCGCCTGGCCCCGCAAAGAAGTTTTAAAACTATATATGTATACATACACATAATATACACACTCCTGTTTAATTTACAACAATTTAATCATACTCTATGTATAGTTCTGTAACTCATTTTTTTCCACTTATGGACATCTTTCCATTTTAGTAATAGTTGTTGTTCCTGCTATCATTTTATTCTCAGTTGAGTTTTCCCCCTTCAGGTACCAGAACCTAGAGCTTAGAGACAGGCAGACCTGGCTTGGCCTCCTGGTTCCACCACTTACAATCTCTGTAAGTTTGGCCAGTTACATAGACTTTAGCAGTCTCAGTTTGGTTATCTGTAAAGTCAAAATAATAATAGATGTACTAGAATTATAATAAAAATACTGCAAGTAATAAGTAACAAAATGTATTTTAGGCAGTCAGCACTTAAACAATAACTGGCATAGAGTAAATATTCAATAAATAAATACTAGTGTTTTTCATTGATAGAATCCATTGACTGAATGGAAACACACACATACACATAAAACAACATCTGGAGAAGGTTTTTAAAATCAGGTCTTAGGATGACAATAAAGTAGACTATTGAGAATGAAGCTGAAGCCACATTCTGGGATAAGACGGTATTTTCCATTCATTGGGAGTAAGCAAGCAAATGATGATTATACAGCTGCATATGTTCTAATGGATAAGGTGTCAGCCCTAACCATGATGGCTAAGGAAATTGCCTATGGACTCAACTGATCTGGACTTCTCTCCTCTGGACCCTAACCCTCTTCTACGATGTTGAGAAGGTCATGATCCTTACCATTCCATGTTGGGATTTGCCCAGGTTTTACTACAAGTTCTTAGACTTTGCATCTGCAAATGCTGCAAGTTCAATGTAAATGCAGAATTCCACTTTCCCTGCACAATGCTAGCTGTCAGCCTCATGGATTAACTGGGGAATGGCTTTGCCTGTGGCCTGACCCACAGCTTTCTCTGCCCTGCTTGTGGCCACTCTTCACTCCTGGTGTTTGTTCTCTGCAGGTTAGAGCAAGAGTAGGCCTGTTGAACTACTCTGCCCATAGTCAGTAACTGGGCAACAGCTATATGTCAGGCGTGTGCCAAAAACTTTGCATATTTTATTTTCCTAATCTCACAGCAATTCTGGAAGTTATCATCTCTGTTTTTCAGATACAGAAATTGAGGCATAATTAAAATAAGGAACTTGGGCAACATTTCACATGTAGTAAGGGGGAGACTCAGCATTTGAACTGCTTCAATCTAGAGCCCTGTTACCTATAAACTCTACCACAATCAGCTTTTGATTCTGAGTGGTGAGCTATAATACATGTTACATTTGCAAGACTCTGGTGGAAAAGAAGAAAATGTCAGTCTAGTGCCCACCAGAAATTTCCCTCAGACAGAGCAGAGTCCACAGCACCAGCAGATCTTATTCTCACAGGAAGTCTGGCTGCAGGATGGCATGGTCACACCAATAGTCTATATCTGCAGGTCACAGCTGTAATTAACTCCTTCAGAGTTGTAGGAGGGCGGCCAATGAGAAAACCAGTCAGAAAGGGTAAATTAGCCTGGTGCGGTGACTCAGGCCTGTAATCCCAGCACTTTCGGAAGTGGTGGCCGAAGGGCCACCTGAGGTGAGAAGTTCGAGACCAGCCTGGCCAACATGGTGAAGCCTCATCTCTACTAAAAATACAAAAATTAGCCAGGTGTGGTGGTGCATGCCTATAATCCCAGCTACTTGGGAGGCTGAGGCACGAGAATTGCTTGAACCCGGGAGGCGGAAGATGCAATGAACTGAGATCGTGCAACTGCACTCCAGGTTGGGTGACAGAGTGAGACTCCATCTCAAAAAACAAAAAAACAAAAAAAAAAAAAGAAAGAAAGCAAGAAAGAAAAAAGAAACTTTAAAAAAAGAAGGGGTAAATTAATTTATCTATGATCTCAATGTCTGTGGTAGGCAGAATAATGGTCTTCCAAAGATATTCACATCCTAATCCCTGAAACCTGTGAATGGGTTGCTTTGCAGGGAAAAAGGGATTTTTGCAGAACTGATTAAGAATCTTGAGGAGGGAAGGTTATTCTTATTCTGGATTATTCAGGTGTGTCCAGTGTTATCACAGGTTCTTTTAAGAGGGAGGCAGGAGCTTTGGAGTCAGAGGTGAGGTGATGGTGGAAGCAAGGTCTGAGTGCTGTGGGCTGTGAGCTAAAGGAAGGCAGTCAATGTCAAGAAGCTGGAAAAGTCAAGAAGACAGCTTCTCCCCTAGACCCTCAGAGGGAAAGGCTGCTCTGTTGACCTTTAGGCTTCTGACCTCCAGAACTGTAAAATAATCAATTTGTTGTTTTTAGGCCACTAAATTTGGGATGATTTGTTATAGCAGCAGTAGAAAACTAATACAATGTCTACTTCTTGTGTTCTATAACCATAGTGTCCAGTATTAAACTTGACGTTCTATGCTCAATTTATTTATATCCATATAATGTCTCCTAGTATTTCAAACAGCTCATTAGTGATGTCCTAATTGCTCTAGTTCTCCCTCTTCATAAAGAAAATGAATTATAATATACTACCTATAAGCTTTTAAGTGAACATACTCTAGATATTTCCAAACCTAATAGACCATATTCCTTTCCGTTGGAAAATAACCTAGGCGTGCCATCCTCGAAGTGGCTCACATTGATTCACTGACCCACAGCTTACAAAACTAAAACCAGCAGGCATGATTAGAAGTAAATGCACATTTATTTTCTTCTTTCTTTCTTCCTTTTTTTTTTTTCTTTTTGCTGAGACACTGGCGAACATTTCCAACACTTACCTGCAACGGCATCTTTCACCAGCTCAACTGTATGAAGGTTAAAAACTCTTCCTAATTTTGATTCTAATAAATGACTTGAAGAAAAGTGTGTCCCTGTTTGTTTACGTCTATAAATTTAGAAGCACTGTGAAATCTCAAACAAAATTAGCCTGGGGATGCGGAGAATCAGGTAACCTAATTAACAAAGGCTGAGCCACTTACATTCTCAGGACTCTGGATCAATGCTGGCCAGCCTAACTGAAGGGAGAGCAGACAAGCCCTGGATGGGAGAACCAACAGCTCAGAGACGGAATTCTAACATGAACAAAGATCATTCACAGATTGATGAAGCTTTTGTTGTTCTTGGCATTGAGCATAAAGAAAAGAAGAGGCCTATAGTTGTAAAAGTTTCCTAACACCATCATTATTATTTGAATAAGCCAGGAAACATCAGATCCCAGAAATGCATCCTTTGTGGCCATATATTTCAGGAAGAGAGCTTTGATTTTCAGAAATCCTGCTGCATGGCCCTGTGCTCTCCAACTGGATACCAAAATAACCAATGTTTTCATGCAGGTACTAGACTGGTTTGAAGAGCTAAGGAACATTAGTTGGTTCTCTTGTATTATTCATTTCTAAAAATCAAGAGCTCCAAGCAGCTGCATATGCTTGACATACTAGACTAACCCCTTAAAGAAATGTCAGCAAGAGATGATGTTATAATCAGTAGCAAGATTATTGTAAATTTTTTTTCTGGATTTTTCCCCATTATCTAAAATCTCCTTATAAACAGATTCCTTCTTACTCTCTGATGGTAATGCTTTAAACTGAATAAATGATTTCAAATGACAGATTGACTATGCAAACTCCTGGGGGGGCTTCCTGCAAAGAAGAAGCAGGCTGGCAAGTAGTTGCTACTTCTTTACCAGGAAAAAACAAAGTTAGAGCGAGTGGCTTGTCTGTGTGTGCCAGCTGTCATCTGGGACAAGCAGGACTCCTGACACACTTGGCAAGTAGCACAGACTTCCAAGTCTTTCTTTCTCTCTCAAGGCACAGGGCAGAGACAGCCACAGTCAAGATTTCCCAAAAGTCATGATTTCAAATGATTTTATTTTCAACACAGTGATTTTTTAAATTTAAAACTAAATGTGGTTTCATCTTTATGCGGGTTGAAGACTGTTTATATAAATACATTTTTTAAAAAATAGATAAAATCTTTAGGCCGTATTACAATGCAGGGTTAAGAAAATATGGCCATTGTATTTTATGCATTGTTATGTGTGATAATAAGGTTTAAATTTAATGCTTCAATTCAAACACATCTTGCAACTAAGAGGGTTCAGACAAAATTAGTTCACTTTCCTTGCTATTGTAGCTGTGGATCTAAGTTCCAATTCCCCACCCCTATATCAAAGTTACTTTCTTTTCTTTCTACCTACCCCCTCCAAAAAATAAAAATAAAAAAAGAACTGCTATCGGGTAGGTGCAGTTGGATGAAACCCACAAACAATAACAAGATATGGCGCCCACACAAGGCAGAGCCTTGGCTAGGACTGTGTCTGACATGACCCTCTGCAGAGCCTTGGCAGGGACCACTCCAGCTAGCATCATGGTACCTCCAGATCAGCAAGTTCAGGGTGGAGGTGGGGTGGACAAAAATTCCCACAAAATGCATCATTCCTAGGATGCAGGAGCATGAAGCATAGAAGAAAAGCTTTGCTTATTTAGAAAACTGCTCAAAATAAATATTACTCAAGATAAAACAGTCAAGGAAAATAGCCCATTCTTGTTTCATCTGTCTTCTCCATTTAAACTTGCAAAGTCTGTGGTTATAAAACATGCTTGGGGGCAGGCTTTACTGCCATATGCTTAGATATTCACAAAGGTTCAGACCAGGTACTACAGGGCCTACCAGGACATCAACAAATGCATCTAATGCCTAAGGAAATTATTAGGATTATATTTTATATTTGTGAAGAGTTTAATTTTGGCAAACCATTTTCATGACTGTTTTGAAGTGAAATGGGCAAGGTTATTATGAAGTCATTTTGGATCAGTGAGAAAAGAAAGGCACCAAATCAGGACAATTTATGCCTTATTATTCTTAGTTTCATACAAAATAGCCTAAGAAAACACATCTCCCCAACAAGTTCAGGTCAGTTGGGTACTTAACCCTGGATATACGCAAGGTACTATCTATGTCAGCAATTAGAGCTTGGCATGAACTAGGTTATCCCATTCATTCAATGAATAATTATTCCACAAATAGGCACTGAGTCGCAATTATGTGCCAGACAGAATATGATCAAGGCAGGCCTGGGCCTTCCACTCAGTTTACAGCTTCATCTTGTGCCTCTACCTGAGTGGTAGGGACCTGGGAATGAGGCCACATCCCACAGAGAGTTCTACACACCCCTGAGACTAGACTTGGGTCTAGCCTAAAGGCAGAAGCTTTGAGTTGAAATGGCAAAAACTGTAGGAGTTGGGGATTCTAATGCCAAGAAGGGTCCCATGGTCAAACTAGTTTGGGAAACGTGTCTTATCATATCCTCCTCTTAGAGGTTTACAAGCAAATTAAAAGGACTGAAAAGTCTTCCAATTAAGAAACATGCTAACTTTCATTCATCTAGCAAATATGTTTATCCTGGAACAACCCTAGAACCAGCCTTCTGTAGGATCCACTGTGGGAAATGCCGACAGGCCCACAGTCTTAGAGCAGAATCCAAGGACTCTGATTTAGAAATCGTATCTTCCTAGTGGCAAACACACTTGTCAGAATGGCCTGTTAAGATTTGGACTTCAGGGAACCCCTTGGCTTAGCGAACTCTCCAAGGAGGCAGAGAACAAAACAACTCTCTACCTGTTCTCTAGCATGCTATTCCTGAACCCACTGCCCTCAGCCCTGGACACCTTCCTTGGTTTCTGGGTTATCAATTCTCTTAGGACTTGGCTCCATAATTTCAGGCTTTGATTGCTTTCTGTGTTCTTTGACCCAAGTCTGGTCACAATGCCATTTGGCCTCCTGGTACCTGTTCTCATTCTTTGGTCCAAGGACATATCATGGGTCCCATGGCTCTACTCTACTATTCTGAAGCCAAGGGCCTCCCTTCTAAATTGTTTTCCATGAAATCTCTTGCTTCTGGGACAACATTTGGTTCACCATCTTAAATCTAACCTTATATTTCCTTGTGAGAATGGGTTACCTCAAAGGAGAGGGTCATGGTCCATCCCCATTTTAATAGAGAGAATTTAATGGTGATCCAGTGACCCCAGAAAGGGGTAGGAGTAGACCCTAGTATATTATATCATATATTATCTCATCTTATTGTCCCCAAAAATTATGAAGTAGTTGCAATTTTTTACTTCTGTTTTCCAAATCAGGAAATGAATCATTTGAGAGACTGTAACTTGCCCAAGCTTCAGTCACAAAGCTTTAGTGATTGAGCCAGGATTTGAACCCCGGCAGTCTGACTTCAAAGGGCATGCTGCTCTGAATCAAGAAGCCTCCCTTGATTTTCCATTCCATATCAGGGTCTACCAACTCATCTTCAAGAAGCCCTGCCTGGGAGCATGGCACTCTTGTCCAGTCATGATCCTGAGGCAGCCTAGGGTTCTCAGCTGCACCCCTCCCTCACCAGTCAGTTCAGCGCACAATACCGTGGGTTTGTTCTTCTCTCCCTGTTCCTCTGCCAGAGCAATCTAGCTCTACTACAGCTCAACTGCTAAACCACTCTGTGCAAATGTTCCCTCTCTGATAACAAAATGCTGTAAGCCAGGCTAATTGTATAAGTTTCCAGAAGGTTCCACATGCAGGGGCTCTAATAGTAGGATGGTGGAGACCATGGGTGAAACTGTGGGGTCAGATTTAGAATTTTGCCAGGACCAGGATTCACAACCCTCCCTGCACCTGAGCATCACCTAGGAAGCTTTTTCCCCGCCTAATTCAAAAGACCAATGCCCAGGCCTCATACTTGACCAAATGAATCAGAACTCCTGTGAGAGAGGCCCCAGCAGTGGCATTTTATTAAAGCTCTCTAGCTGATTCTTATGTGAGACTAGAGTTGAATATTCCTTTTCTAAACATAGGACTAGTTATATAAATAAAAACACATTTCCTAAATGTTGGCCTATGTACCTCCCATTGAGGCTATTTCCCGCTGAAAAACACGTGCTTTCTCAGAGTGAAGAGGTTTAAGAATCATGGACACGACTCTGATTATTATGTGCTCTTGGGCCAGAATCAACTTTACTAGGACTTTGTTTTCTCATTTATTAAAGAGGACTAATGTTAACATACCTTAAACGTAGGTAATGAAAAATGACTAATTCAGTGGTCATGGAGTACCGCTTATGCAAAGTTAAAATGCTGCTATGACAAGTAAGGGGATTTTGGTAATTTGTCTCTTAAGCATTGCCAAGAAATCTCCAATAATTATAAATAGGGATCTAGAATGGAATTCAATGAATCATACACCATAGACTCACTAATTACCTGTAAATGGCTGCTATTCTCTCCTTCTGCTAGTATATTTCCTCTGGAGAGCAACTTGGGAATATGAATCAAAAGAATACAATATCTTGAAATTTCTTTGGCACATTCCCACAAAGCCAATGCTGTCTTGTTGGCCAACTGTTTTCCTTGAAACAGGTGTGCTTCAGCTTAAAGAAGGCGGAGACCTACTATGAAAGAAATAACTGAACAAAGTATTCTTCCACTTCACACAGCTTTCTTAAAATAGAAACTTCCCTTGTGCATAGTTCATTAATTTATTACCCTTGAGGAGAAAAAAAAATCACAATGATGATGTAACTCTGAAATGATCAAGTTAACCATTGGGGAAATGTGATTTAATTTCTGAAAACTTTACATTAACTCATGTGTGATTAGAAGAGAGGTTTACTCCCATGAAGGTAGAAAGAGCAAAAGAAAGAGACATATTTAGGTTACAAGGCACAACTTTCAGCGCCTGCTTGTCACATCTTGTCTCACAAGTGATGGAGTGCATGGGCAGTGAGTCATGGCGGAGGCAATAGGCGCCATGAATGTGAGAAGATCTACCCAAGGCATGTCAGTCCCACTAGCTGGGCTCTCCGCTTCCACATTCCCACATGGCCCAGCACCTAGGTCAGCCTTGTTTGCATAAGAACCATTTAACAATGGCTCTCTCTATCTACTATAAGCTGAATGCTGCACTAGGTCTTCTAGGAAGACAAAGACAAAGGCAGCATGCTCTCTGCCCTTTAGACTTGTCAACTTAGGGTGCCCAGATATCCAGGTCTGACAGCCTCAATCTTTTGGGCAGCCCTACTAAGGGGATCTGTGCCAGTTCTGTTGGGAGCTTCGTGGATTAGTCCCATCCTTAGGTTGCTCCTCACAAATAGGAAACTTGCTCAGGGTTGTTTTCCCAGTTGTGTAGTGATCTGGACTGAGAACTTCCTACTGGCATCGGATCTCTTTGTCACCAATGGCATAAATCCACTACAGGAGTTGTTAGTGATGCTATATGGTTCATCACATTGGGCTCGGAGTACAGATTATGACTTCATAACTTACTGTCCCCTAAAGGCAAGAATTGCCATCAAGGCCTAACATAGTGCCTGTATTCCAGCACTACTTGTTAAATTCAAGGGCACAGAACTTGCCTCTCATGTTATGTGCCAACCGCACATGTGCTTGGCTAAAATTTCTGGTGCTTGGCAATCTGTCCACAGCTCGAGATACCTATAGAGATTAGGAGGTACAGGAGGCTCTCAACGTTTAGCTGGTGTGCGTTAAGAATCACCACAGGTTTTATAGAGGCAGATCCCAAGCCCCACCTCTGTAGATTCTGATTCAAAAGTTCTGAATTTGGCCTTAGGAATCTGCCTCTTTCAACCACACTGCTGTGGCTCTGATTCTGATGCCAGTGACTGGAGGGCCCTGTGTTTAGACATTATACCTCTCCCCTCAGGCTTCTGGGAAGATTCCAACCAAGAGCCCTGGGGGATCAGTTTGGGCTGGTGCTCCTCTCCACTGACCCAGCAGCTCAGATCCAGATGGAGGTTGGAGTAATATGAGAACCTTATCTTCTCTGCCTGTGCAACCTTCATGCAGCCATTTCTCTCCTGGTGTCCCTAGTCTTGACTTCATCAAGGGCTGCTGAGAACGTGTCCCTTTATGCCACTGACTTTACACTTAGCATTCCAAGACCTCACTAGCCTATTAGGATAACCTAGCATTTCACTGATGGTTGCCAAGGTGGCTCCTGAGTCATACAACTGAGAATATCCTGTCTTATACTGTCACACTTCTAATGCTAGTGGCTTCATTCTTAAACAAACCCAGTTTGATGCTGAGAAGTTGGGGATGTGATGGGTACGCCCTTGGAGTCAGGGTCTCTGCCTCATCAAGTGAGGAGTGAGATCCTTGGGAACAGCATGAACCCCAGACAATCCTGTTATAGACAAACAAAAGAACTCCACTGAGATGTCTTTAGTAATGTTCTAAAACCTGAAATTAATTATTCCCAAAGACAAGAGATGAATGATCAGACTGAAAATGGCTAAAATGGAAAGAACAAATGGCCTGTGATCAAAAGCACATCCCTGTGCTTACCTGGGATAATTCCCAGCAAATGTGCCCCTTAACTCCAATTTCAGGAAAGACAAACCCAGTCTTTCCTCTAATGTGTCATTCATTCTTTCACTCACTGACAAACACTTATCAGGTACCTGCTTTGTGAATAGAATAACACATCTAAAAATTACAAGACTAATTTCAATTAACCAGGAATTAACAGCCTGCTTCCTTTTGACAACCAGTAATTTTTTTTTTAATATTAAGTTTGCAGAAATAGGAGGCAAAGCACTCCAACCTCTGGGGAGGACTTTCAGATGGTGACTGGAGTCGGAGGCATTGGAGCAAGGAAGTTCTACCAAACATCACAACAAGCAGCAGAGCTTGTTGGCTGAGGGGGTCATGCTTTATCCATTCCAGCAGGCAACAGGGGCCCAAGGACAACTTGAAAGCTCCATTCTAAGCTGTCTGTGATTTCATAATGTCCCTGTGAAGTGAGGACTTAGTACAAGTAATGCTACTTAATACAAGTATAAGCAGATGCTTTAATGTACATTTGCAAAGAAGACTGATGTAGGTTTTAAATCATGATTATATAGAACCATGAAAGAGCATTTACTGACACCTATTGAACTGCGGACGCAACCTTTCTGCTAAAACAAAACAGCTCTATTTAGACCTGCACTCACTGAACTGGCAAAGATAAGAACCCTGTAGTCAGACTACCACTCTGCAGAAGAGGATACAACAGAGATTAGAGATTTTCTTTGGATGAATTAATAATCAACAGCCCTTTGGGAACAATTTCCACCAGTCTCCCCCCAAAAGACATGTCCCAGTTTGCCACTGGGCCTTCATCCATACTGCTCCTTCTGCCTGAAACACCCTCCTCCAAAGCTTCACATGACTAAAAAGGAGGTCACTAGCCCCATCAGCAAAGAAAGACAACACACCTGTTTCCCAGGTCAACATCAAGCTTGCTCATTTCTTTGTTCATTCATTCAGTCCCTGAGTTATTCAGTCTGTGTTGGGTACTTAATCCCAGTCCCCGTGGGGTGCACTGAGGACACAGATATGAAATGAGACACCATGTTTACATTCAGAAAGCTTGTAGCTTAATGGAGAAGACAGACAGAAAATTGTAGAACTGTATGGTTAGTGGTCTAATTTAGGTTTGTATTTGACAGGAGTACTGGGGAAGTTAGGAATGGGACTCAGTGGAGTCCTGAAGAATGATACAGTACCTGGTTGAGGCAGATATTGTGGATCTGATGAATGGAATTGGCTCATGTGACCCACCTATTTTCACTTTGTTCTCCTTGTATAAATGACCCATATTGATCATATGGTCAATCAGGGTTGGGGGTGCTGTCTGGGCCATGAAAGAAGGAGAAATAGCCTTATAAAAAGTAAGGCATGTACCATGGCCTCGTGCCAATCATACATCAGCACACTGGGGCAGCCACTCTGATGTTAATAAAATCTCTCTTCAAGATGGCAGACTAGACATGACAGTCTGCCTATTCTTCATTCAAAAATTCCAACTAAGTGGTGGAAAATGTGTATGAAAAAGAATAAATCAAGAACTGGGATGGAAATCAAGAAAAGTTACCATCAGCAGACAGAAATTTTAAGAAATTTATAGAAAATAGCCAACAGATATGTTTGGATTGAGCCAACAAAAACCACAATGTAAAAGAGATTTTAGAGAGAGCTAATGAAGAGATGAGAGCTGTTCTTCTCAACAGAACCCTGAAGAATTCAGGTCTGGAGCCATAGGGAGAAGGAACAGTCAAGGCAATTAATAAAAAGACTATGAAGAATGTTGTTTTCCATCTCTTTCTACTCCCCTTTAAGATTTGTACAGAAAGGCAGTACATAAAAGTAGTTCATCCCTAAAAATAAAGCCTTCCTGGTCCTGGCAGTCAGGACAGTCACAGGCTTGCCTGTCTGCTTCCCACTGTCACATGTGCCTCCTGTGAGCCGAACTGCCAGCCTTTCCATTCAGGAAGAGAAGTGTGGTGGAAAACCATTCCTACGTAACTGCCAAAGAAATCCCTCCAGTCACCTCTACTAGTCAGCACAGTCGTTCATTCATAAATATGATTGGGCCAGTCAACCCAGCCCTTCATTTATAAATATGATTGGGCCAGTCAAAAGTTACTGGTTATTGAAGGAAAACATAGAACATATGAAAGAAGGATCCAGAAGAGCAACAGAACATCTGATACTAAAGGAAATGGAGTTGGAACAAAGGACAAAGAAGGTAACTTTTTTTTTTAAAGTAATACTTTTAGGGATATTTGAGAGAAAAGTCTACATTCATAAATATAAAAAATGATTTTACAAAGATGCTCAGTGGAAAGTCTGAATAATTGAAATGAAATGACTCAAAAATAAATTTGAGATCCAGAAGACAAAATTGAGAAAATCCTCTGAATGCACATAAAAGGGAAGAAAGAAAATATGGGAAAAAAGTTAAGACCATAGAGGAGAGATCCAAGAGACCTAACATCTCCTAGAGCTAAGGGACCTAGTATCGTTTCCATAGTAAGAGCTACTAGAGGAGAAAACAAAGAAAATAGAGATGAACACTTCAAATAAATCATAGAAGAATATTTTTCTGGGCTGAATAAACCTTGAATCTTTGGATTTAAAAAACCTGAAGAGGAATAATAATTTAAAAAATATCTGGACACTTCCTGGTAAAATTTATTACCTCCAAGTACAACAAGAAAATCCTAAAAGTTCATGGGAGAGGGATGGGGGATGGAGCTACCTATAAAGGAATCAAAATCAAAATGGCAGCAGACTCTGCATCTGCTTTCCAGGTTGCTAGAAGACAGTGAAACAAAGTCCATAAAATTGTGATGGAAAGTAATTTGGCGTCTATTTTTCAATTATGAGGGCAAAATGAAGATCTACAAAGATACAGCCCTTCTTCTATTATTTTGAAAAAAATTAAAAATATGCTCTAGCAAAATTGAAAATGAGTCTAAGAAAGGGGTAGATGTGGAGACAATGAAAATAATCCAGTTGTGATGGAAAGAAATTCTAGTAGAAGAGCTTAAATCTAGTCCACATTAAATGGTAGCACAGAGGGCTTAGTAGAGAGCATCTTCAATAAGAAAGAGGTTACCATGACTAATAATTAAGCACCAACAATTAAACTATGACATGCCACATATGTACTGAAGATTTTAGTTTCTCCAGGTCAGAGAAGACAAAGATAATTAGAAACTTTAGAAAAATAAATATACATAAAGGGCAATTATGGCCCAAATATAGCAAACTAAAATGTAGTATGTGTTTAAACAATTTGTGGAATGTAAAAAACACTGGTATTAGAAGCAAACAAAGTTAAGCCTCTCTGGTCAAAGGGGAAGGTCACTAGATGCAGTGGTTTACGACTTCATGAACTATATTCCTTACGGATTGCCCTTTTTTATATAATTTTCACCAAGAGAACAATCCTAAAGGTGGGATTAGGTTTTGAATTCTGTTTTAAAACCCCTTCTCCCAACCAAGGGTATTTTTGTTTGATTATCTGCAGTCTTTTCTGTCTTCCTGAGACAGTTAACTAAGCTTTATTAACTAAAAATATAAGCCTGTACTCATTATGAAACAATGTTTTTTTAAGTTAATCCTCAATCTCTTAAAGTTTGATCTTTAATTTTTAATAAATTAAAATTAGTTAGAAACAGTAACTCTTACTTCAAACAGCTGTGTGAAGTTCAAATCCTCAATTTCATTTCAGAGTTCTTTTTCTTCTGTTGAAATAAAGTAAAATTAAACGTAATGCTTTTTAATTTTAAAATATTAGTAGTTGTTACTTTGGACAGTAAAACATTAAGAATGATGTTTCTTTTCTTTTTCATATTCTTCTGTGTTTTCCAAATGTCCAACCATAAACATATATTGATTCTATACTTAAGTTATTTAAAATGAATATGAATAGAAGACTAACATAAGACTATCTGGGTATATTACTAGGACTAGAAAGTCTCCCAGGTTGAATGGCTGGTTAGTTGAGTGATTATATAAAAATTGCACTGGGTTAAGTAAGTGATTTGGAACACATGCTTCAGCCTACCATCTCCTTTCCTTTAACATCAAGAACACATTCCCAGTGTTGTAGGTCTAAAACATCTGTCATGAAACAGATGTTTATTTTTTTGTGTACATTTTGCCCATGTGTTTAAACCTAAGAAACTTCCAATTAATTTAGGACTTTTAACAGATATTTTATTAGTTGAATAGCTTATGCAAGAGAAGAGGAAGGACAGGTTTATTTTAAATTCCCTCAAAATGTCCCTGTTTAAAAACAGAAGAACAGTGGTTGGCAGGGGCTGATGGGGAGGGGTGAATAGGGAGTGAGTTTAATGGGGTTGGAGTTTCAGCTTGGGAAGATGAAAAAGCTCTGGAGATGTACAATAGTAATGGTTGCACAACAATGCGAATGTACTTAGTGAACTGAAACGTACACATAAAGATGGCTAAAATGGTAAATTTTACACGCATATTTTACCACAACAAAAAAAGTCCCTGTTAATTTTAAATCCAGACATGATATAACATGATTTCAGTGAAAACTTTCCTTTTTTACAGTATTTCAAAATCAGTGTCTTTTAGTTAACCTGTAGCATAACTAAGTTTTGTGCTGTTTGTGACTCTAACAAAATACCCCTCCTGATGGGGATGCTGATGGAACAGTTAATAAACTCTTGGTTCATTAACAGTATAGTCCTTGGCTATAATCCGTAGGCTGTTTTGACAGTCTGAGGAGAAAGAGAGTTCTATTTCTAAATAGTAACAGATCGACCTTTAAAAATTGGAAGTTGATCAACATTTTTCAAGGTGGGCACAAACAGATCTAATGACAATTTCTTTTGCAAAGTGGAATTTGGACCAAAGATTGCATCTTTAATGGTTAAATAGCTTCTATTTTGTGAAATATATTCTGAATATACCAAAATATATATATATACCCTGAGAGAGAGAATGGTTTGCTTTAACTACCCCTGGCAGTTGGGCTTGTACCAAGGTTGGTACCACGTTGTCCCATTCAACCTGGGAGACTTTCTAGTCCTAGTAATATACTCAGATAGTCTTATGTTAGTCTTCTATTAATATTCATTTTAAATAACTTAAGTATACAGATCTTGTACCAAGAGCTCAGGGCTCACCAAGGGTTCCCTCACCATTCCCTCCTGAATAGCTGGGAGGTGACAAGGAGCACAACATGGGCAATGGCCTTGGGGCAAAGGCCTCTCGACACAAAAACCAATTTACAAACCTTCACAATTGCCAGCAGCAATAGCAAGTGATGTTTTGTAAGTGGAAAACATACCTTTCATTCACCATCAGAGACTGAAATAAATGACTCAACTGGTTTAAAATCTTTATGTGATCAAATAGTTAAAAAACATATCACCGATTCAATTTCTTCTGGTGTTGGACCTTAGGGACAGTACTAATCTGTGTGCTACTAGAGTGAAATTATCATCAATATCAACGCATTACTCTTCACTAGAATGATTAACAGATGGTGTTTTTGTTGGCTACCCAGGGATTTGTTTTCTATTATTCTTTGTATTGTACATATATGTTATATACACTTTTTTGCATGTATAATTTATAATATTTTTCTTAAAGATGGCATGCTCTGGTTAAGAACATTCTGATAGTTGCCAGACACTTATATTGATGATCAGTATTCAAAGATTTCAGGTGTAATGTAATGCAATGCACTCATAACTTACAACTAAAATTTCACTGAACACAACCTAATTTTTCATTGGTGACATGATTCAAAGATTTTTCAGAATAATGTGCAGTGTCTCAGGGGTTTCAGTATATATATATTGTATGTTTTATATATATATAAATATACATATAATATATATTTATATAAATTTTCATTGTATACTCATTATAGTATAGTTTTATAGAAAATGTTTTAAAGGCTTGACTTGTTCATTTGGTTTGGAACTTATATGAGTATGACTTTGATGAGTAATAGGTTATATGTTTAAAACTATGAAGTTACACAGCTTTGCCTACGGATATAACCCAGCTAAAGTTAAAATGGCTACTCACACCTACGGAGGGCAAAAGATAATTCACATTTCTTAAAATTTAAGAAGTTAAAACTTTTCTATGAGAAAAATGGACAAAAATACTTAGCACATATTCAGGGATTTAAATGAGCTGTGTAAAGAAACAGAGTCACTAAAATATTCTCACCCCACTTAACATGTACATCACTTCCCTGCTCCCAGCTTTCCCCAGCTTCCTAGTGTCTATCAGATCAAATCCAGCTTAAGTGGATAAATCCTAGATCCTCCATGGACCCACCATATAGATTATATATTTTTTCCTTTTCCCAACCATGTTCTTGACTCCAGGTGGGGAGGTGTCCTATTTCTGTCACTAGAATGTTCTCATCATGCTTCTCAATGAAGGATTATCCTTTCACTTTTGCTCCTCATGCCAGACGCTCTCTATCCTTTAGGCCCAACTCAAAGCTCACTTCCTCTCCAAAGTCATCTCAATGCCATATATCCTCTGGGGTTAATCTGTTCACTAATCACCTAACAGAGATGTAAAGAGGAGGCACTGTATGTCCTGCATGATGCTGGGCACTGTGGGAAGTTGTAGCCAGTGTGGAAGACGTAGCTCTGGCCCTCAAATGCAGATGCCATCCAGCCTTCCTAACTAGACTGTTACCTTTTCAAAGACTGGCTGGTCCTATATTACTCATGCAGTATCCTACTTAGCTGAAATATCTTGGATGAGATGGGATATATCCCGGTTATTGAAAAGTCTGGGTGATTGCACCACATCTGCCCTGTGTCTATGGTAAGCAAATGAGGAACAGCTGGAGAAACCTTAGCAGTCCTTGGACATGAAAGGAATATTTTCATAGGCACTTAACTCTAGGGCTCACTGTACAGAGTTAACAAATGCTGAATGAATAAATGAATGAGAGTCTTCTTAAGGGAAGAGGAGTAGACTATTAGGATGGGGTGAAGTTTAAGTAAGTGAGAAGAGAGTTGGGGCATTGATTTCTCTACAGCAGAAGGGAAAGGGATGCCTCTTTGAGTAAGGACACAAGGACCACATTTCTGAGGATTTCAAATGCTAGATTTGACCAACACATGGAGCCACAGACCAATGGGACAGCTGCCATTTTGGCAATTTTGTTAAGAGGCATAAGATTTTGTTGAATTAGCTAAATTTTACCTGGCTAAGGAGAATACCCTAGCTTTACTACAAACCAGTAGAGCAGAAAACATTGCCCTAGAAGCATAGGAAATGGGCCAAAATAGTGTCAAAGATACAGCAGTTTCTAACAATAGAAAAGTAGGCAGCAATTTAGACAGAGTAGGTATGGGAGAGGGAGACAAAGTGGACAAGGAGGACTGAGCATGTCCTATGATGGTCTAGGACAGATGATACGAGTACTGCCATCCACACTGCACTCTCCTGCAGGGAGGGTCCCAGTCAGTGGGGGCCAATGAGCGAGATCTTGCTAAGGCATGCAGTCTGGCCTCAGTGTAGCCCAAATCTTTTCCTAGAACCAGCAACAGCATTAACCTGTAGGACATTGTTCCAAATTTCCAAAAGCTCATTTGTAATTTGGTTGGTAACAGAAATATATTTTCCTCCAGAAATTAGGTTAGGTTAGGCCAAATCACAAAAGTCTATTTAATAATCCATATGTACCTGAAGTTTAGCCCTCTACACAGGCATTTCACTCATTTCTAATTACCCAAATGTCCCAGTTACTCTGATTGCCTAAGAAATTACCCCCCCACACCCCAAATCTTACGGGCTTAAAACAGTAACAACTTTTATTTTGTCCATGAAACTGCAACCTGGGGCAGAGCTCAGCAGGGATAGTGCATCTGTGATTCCCTGGCATCAGGAGGGGGAAGGAAGACCTGATGACCGGGCCTGGAGTCATCTGACAGCTTGCTCACTCACATGCCTGCCAGTTGATGCTGGATGTCGGCTGAGACTTTAGCAAGAGATGTTGGCTGAAATACCTACTCTTGGCCTCTCTATGTGGTCTGGGTTTCCTACAATATGGTGACTGGATTCTAAGGGAAAATGTCAAGAAGAAAAAGAATAGCAAGAGAGAAAAAAATTGTATTCTTTTTATGATCTATCCTTGGAAGTCACCTAGCATTATTTCCACTGTACTCTATCAGTTGGACCAATCATAAGCCCATTTAGGTTCAAAGGGAGGGGCAATAGACTTCACCTCCTGATGGAGAGGAGCAAGATTCTAGAAGAACATATGGTAATGCAGTGGCTCATGCCTGTAATCTCAGCCCTTTGGGAAGCCAAGGTGGGAGGATCTCTTGAGGACAGGAGTTCAAGACCAGCCTGGGCAACATAGTGAGACCCCAAGTCTATAAAAATAAAAACAAAAATTTAGCTGGGCATGGTGGCATACGCCTATAGTCCTGGCTACTCAAGCAGCTGAGGTGGGATGATTGCTTGAGCCCAGGTTTGAGGTTACAGTGAGCTATGATTACACCACTGCACTTCAGCCTGGGCAACAGAGTGAGAACCCATCTCTAAAAAAAAATTTTTTTAATGTGGTAATGGATTCAATTGTAAGGCTATTTTTGAATACAATCTGCCACAACATATAACATTAATTCTGGGGAAAATACAATATATAATAGTAAGTCCTCACAACATCATTGACAACAAAACCAATTATTTTTTCTCATTAACATTACAACAAAACGATGTTGAATGAAATGACGGTATTTGAGGCTCTGCTGTATATTCCAAGTTGAAAGGCAATATAGTATAGTGAATAAAGAGCCAGGACTCTGAAGCCAAATGCCTAGAGCTCTATTGTATACTTGTGTGACACTCAGCAATTTGTTTAAGCTCTCTGTGCCTCAATTTCCTCATTTATAAAACTAGAATGTTGTTAAAAAATAGTTACTTTGAAAAGAACTTTGAAGACTATCCAGCTTCCTAAGTGTTAGCTATTATTATAATACTCTTCCAATTCTGACGGATTCTTCCTGCCTCCTCGGGGGATGGTGGTGGCAGCACTACCAGAAGTAGAAGATTAATAACAGCAGTTCACATTATTGAGTACCTAATACCTGTCAGTTTCTATGCCAAGTAAATTGACTCAAAAATCCAAGAGGGATGCCCTAATATTATTCACATAAGAAAACTCTGATTTAGGTAACTTGCTCAGAGTATCACTAGCAAGTGGTAGAAACAGGCCCCTGATCAGTTTAACTAGATAGAAGGAGCCTGAGTCCCTGGAGGACTGTGTGGAGCAGAGCCCTTCGCCCAATCCTGATTTCTGGGTGAGTGAAAAATGAACAGTGTTGGATTATGCCATTAAGATTGGGGGCTATTTATTACAGCAGTGACCCTGTCCTGACTGGGTTAGTACAGGGAAGACGGGAGAGATATTTTTGGAAATATCACTAATTTAAAGACTCCTTTCATAAAATACAATGGTTTTCATTATTTGTATGAAACAGGGTATTTGCATAAAAGAAAATACTCTCTAGGTCGGTCCCTACCAGTCTCATTTGTCTTCTGAACTAGAGGACAAATAGCCTCTGGCCAACTGGGAATAGGACTGAGCATACCGACCTGGAATCCCTGACACTGATGGGAACAGATTGCTCACAAATGAGGCCGGCTGTTCACCAGCTGCAGAATGTCTCTTCTGGGGTTTCACTCTGGTGTAAAACCTAATGGTTCCCAGGTTGTTTGTCTGTTTTGTTTTGATGTTCTGTTTTGTACTGTTTCCTTTTAGAATTCTCTTTTGGACTGCAGTGGCCAGTGTGGCTGTGGGAAAGAGAACCCCAGTTAATAGTACATATAGGTCTCTGGGCAAGTTCTCTACATAGTTAGACTGCATATTCCATGATGGAAGGGACCTGCCCTGTCTTGTACCTTATAGCAACCCTGGGGTCTGGCTCAATGCCTGACACGTAGTATGTGCTCAAAATTTGCTGAATGCATGAAAGACTGAATGTTTGAATAAAAGCTCAAGCAAACAAAAGCCAGGGTCCATAAAGGCCCTTGGGTTCTCTATGCCAGCAGCATATCTCACTTGAGGATCCCATCAGGGGAGGACCTCACATGCCTACTATAATACTGTGAATGCAGTAGTCCGTTAATAAATGTTCGCCAATTGAGTGACTGTGCTGCACATGATCCATGATAAGATGTGGGAAGGTATAGGACGGGGAAACTTTTGTGAGATGCTATTTTTGATCTCCAACGATATTGTAAATATGGTCGTCACAAACCTGATCATGGTTTGAGTTATATGAATCATATCAAAGTCTGTGGGAGTCAGCAGAGCAGATAGCCAAAGAACACAACAGTTTTCTTGACATTTACCTCTAATAGATAGGGCTTAAATTCATTAAAGCAAACAAAATCCAAAATCATCTTTTAAAAAAATTCATCCTTGCATAAAAGCAATGTGCAGCCTTTGGTCTTCCTGCAGTCACTGGGAGAGATTCAGAAAATGTGAACAATCCTCCCATGAAGACAGGCAACAGCTGGAATGTCTTTCAGGCTAGAGATTTATTTCCTACAAATCAAATATAAAACTGCATTGTGACCTGAGAATATTCTGGTTTACATTAATGTAAACTAAATTTTAAAGGGATGCCGTGTCTTTATTTAAAGGCACTTATGAAAATACATGCAAAAAACCCCCTAAAGTTCACTACTGAGATAAAAAGGGCAGACTGTTTTTAGTTTGGCTCCAGTGAATTTCAATATTTATCATATAATTTTTATATCAAAATCTTAGTGAACATTAACTTTTATGGTATCACTTCTGAAAACAATAAAAAATACTACATTTTGGAATGCTATTTCTAGTTAGATTTCCATCATGAAGCACCAGTTAAATAAATGTGGATTTTATGAAAAATAATGGCACATTCCTTTTTGAAAAGTTTCAAACACCTGGCTTGAGAAGCAAACAGTACAGCCTGGAGTCAGAGATTTTAAACTTTTTCCAAGTTTCTTTATCAAGTTGCTAGAGACTCAAAGCTCCCAAGGCAAGTGTTCTTTTCTAATCCAAAGAATAAGAAACGTTTGAGAACATCTCTTTCGTAATTCCTTTGAGAACACACGAAGACAAATTGCTAAGCTTCCATTTCAAATGCGAGGGATTTGGATTGAATTTAAACAACAGCTTGTGCAAAATGTCATAGCTCCCATTCTCTTACGCGGAGACAGTGGGTGTTGATGTCATAGAAAGGATGACTTTGGACATTCTGAATATAGGGCTGTGACGGCAGCTGACCAACTGCAAAGTTACGCTGTTGGTTTGGAGAGGAATATCAGGCACTATTTTCTGCACATTTAAAGAAACATGTTGAATGAGACAACTACTTACATAAGTCACACTAAACAATACTATTAATACCCCCTGTATTGGTCTTAAATATCCAATAAGCCAAATAAGGTTCTGCATTCAGATACTTGGGAAGTGTCTCCACTTCCAGCTTAATTTCAAACATGCCTCATCCTAGAGACCTCTGTCAGATAAACCTTTAGGGCTCTCTCTTGAGTATCTGGAATTAACATGACAATTGATCAATTCACACGTGTATGTGCTTTACATTAAGCTGGAAAGCCACATGCATTCTTTAATGCTTGCTTCAAATGCTATGAGCACATGAACTACCTTCTGTGGCCCATGGTTTTAACTCGCATAACTTGTACTAACACTATGAGTTTTCCTCTTAACCCCTGTCTAACCAGGTAAGGGTTTCCCAATCCAGGGGACATAAGACTGTTGTTAATGGATCTCAAGGAGGAAAATAAAAGAAAGTTACAATTTGGTAGCTATGTGAACATATTATTCCTTTTCATGCAGAATTTAGAGAACATTGCAAAATTCACACACTCGAAGAATAAAATCCGATGCGGTGGAACCGAATGTGGAAATGGGGTGATGGGTTTTGTCCAGTGCAGTTCTATCACCTTTTGGCATCACTAACGTACATATCAATTGACTCAGGGGTGGATAAAATTCAAGAGGGCCTGGGGAACTTGGTTGGGAAAAATATTATATCTTTAGTTTCACTAACCTCAAACTGAAATTTAGTATTTCCTTCAATTAAAATGTAGGCCACAAGCCACAGCACCTGTGATATTGTTGCCAAGAGAAATCACAGATATTTTCACCTCATTTTACAGTTGTTGTAGATATCCTGAAATATCTTTTATGCTCACCATTACTTCAAAATTATGGTAGTTATGGTAGTTATTATAACTGCTGTTAGTTTGTATTATGTAATAATGTGTTACTAACAAAGCATGTATCACAATTTTGTAAAATTTAGTTAACGTTTTTCAATGAATGAAAGTGGTTTGATTTGTAAACCTGCATACTTTATTTTATGCATGTAAAAACATAATTCTGAGAAAAGTACATAGGCTTCACCAGGCTGCCAAAGAGGTCCACAGCACCAAACGGGTTAAGAATGTCCGAAACTATACACAAAATATTTAATAATGCAACAGCCAGGTTTCTAGAGTACCTCGTTCCTTGCCAGCATCTTTTGAAGCTGCAACAAACATGACCTTGAAATCAACATAGTCTCAATGCTGTAAAATGATTCTGATGACAGTCTTTTTTTCTCTTATTTTCCCATAGGAAAAGACCTGTAGATTCTAGAGCATCTCTGCTTTCACAGCATAGGTTGTTTTCTTTTAGTGATAAACTTCATCATTGAGATTTTGCCATCAACGCTGAATTATTCTCTTGTATTTCATACCGCTGAAATATAGTCTATTTTGAAAGAGCATTGAATACAATTATTATAAGACTTTAATTTAAAATGTCATAGAGACAGCACCAAGAAAATCTCTGCTACCTGGAAAAACTATAATGATAATTCCACATTTTGAGTAAAAGAAGTAAATGTCAAAGTGTACCTCATCAAAGATAGTGCTGTTAAATGACGGTGCTACTGGTCTTATCTGTGCTCAACTGAAATGTTACATATAAATTATCATTTTTCTAGGGGTGTTAAGAATATGGCCTCTGGGTTATTATAATTTTGAGATCAATTAAGTGATGAGATTATGTCTCAGTAGATGTGCCTGGAATGAAAGCACATTAGACTTTTGGAAAATCCTCCACGGAGACCCTGACCAAAAACAGACATGTCAAATGCCAGCAAGTTAAATGAATATTCACTCATTGAAAGCTACTGAGAAATTATTGATATACCCACAGTTATTCACTTATTACTGTAGCTAAATACTGTTCAAAATTTTTCACCTCCAAGAGTAAAATAAATGCTATTAGAATTCTGAAACTAATAAAGAACATAAAAATTAAAACAATATATTCTTGCACTAAATTACGATATAATTCACACACTGTGAATATATGGTATTCATATATACAGTTAAACCAGTTTCTTCTACTAATTAAAATACTAGCTGTATTACATGTAGTGCTCTAAAATTTGCCCCTTTTTCTGTTAAACTTGTAAGATTTAGACACCTGGTTATAAATCTAGACTTTGGCTAACTTCAGTACTACAGGTATTCTTTAAATTAGAAGCTCCAAAACAATTCAACCTGTATGTCATGAAAGAAAATCTGAAATTACTAAACTTGGGAAGGAAAGGAACTACAATACAAAGAAAACAATTTGTAGTAAATAGTATTATAGGAATAAAGAGATAAAAATTCTTATTAATCACAGTTATCAAATTATTCATTTAAGATCCAGAGCAAATTGTGAGTGACTACTTCTATCTGTGTTTGAGTTAAAGTAGAACTTGTGTCAATGATACTTTTCATTTTAGGGCTATTGTTTTTTTCTTTAGGTAATTATGACGATTTTTAAAAATAACAACAGCTTACATGACTCCTTAGTAAAGACCACCTCATGCCATTCTCTTCACAGCTGAATTTTCAGGGGAGGATACTGGAAATATGCACTTTGCTCTAACAACCAAAAAGCAATTGCATGCACACATGTAAAAGGTTCCACCCCAACTTCCTTGGCATATTCCCGATTATTTCTCTCTAAACAGGAAACTGTTGACAATTTTTCCTGGTACTTTCAGAATACCAAAGGTTTTACTTACAAGCAAAATCCCAACTTTTGTTTCAGTTATAATGTTATTTCCCGTGGTTCCTATTGTTGCTAAATATGAATGCTGCAAACAAGATAGAAACCAAATTCCAAACTATTTTAGGCTGATTCAGAATTGAGTAGCAATTGTAAAAAGAAAAGTTAGAAACACATTGCAAGGCTATGCTGGAGTTTTTAAACCCAAAACAATACTGAAGGGAGGATTCCTGGAATTCAAGAGAGAATATTTGGCTCAAGCTGCAAAATCCGTATGTCTAAATAATGTTATGTTAGCAAGTGTTGAGCAAGCAAGACGATTATATTTTAACCTACTTCACAAAACATTAATCCAAATTTAACCAAATTCCAGAGAACCTGCCTGAAATTCACAACTAGAAGCTGCTTCACATTTTCCCCTTGGTACAACAATAATTGCTCATGAATACAAACTTGTAGGAGGTAAGAGAGAGGGGAAAACCACAATGAGCTATAAAAACATCTAACTATTGTATATAAAGCAAACTAATTACCTCACTCAGAAGAAGTGCAAGATTTAACAGTCCATGCTCTGCAGCCCCTGGAAACAGCAGTAGCAGCAGCAGCAAGGTCCAGCATCCACCAGATTCTCACAAGCCTTTGACTGTGTGGACTCAGCCACAGACTCTGCCTCTAGCTGACGTCAAAGTCCCTGTCACATGGCCAGATGAAAGCCAAGAGATCATTGGTTGTCGTAGCAACCACAGACCGGCTCTGAAATTATTTCAATAGGTCATCTGTCACTGTGGTGTGTGTGTGTGAGAGAGAGAGTATGTGTGTACGCACACACCATAGAACCATCACGGACAGCTCCTTGACAACCTCAACCCCCGAAGTTGTGACTCCAGAATGCCTACAACTTTCCTCTTTAAGGCTTTGGTGTCTTTTCTCTACAGTTACTTGCAGGAAAATATATGCCACCCTGAAGTTCTCATTTGTTTCACTACCATCAGCATGAAGCATGTCTCTCTCTCTCTCTTTCTCTATAACAAAAGGAAAGAAACTGAAAAATTCTGGAGTAGTTTTCTTAGCCAATTAAACTTATTTGCAAGCAAATATATAAAAACAGAAGCTCAGGGGGAGGGGTTGGAAGAAAATGTATTTTAAAAACTATATCAGAGTCTACATGGATATACTGAGACCATGCTTGTGATGGAAAGAAAAATAAAAAACAGTGGCTTGGGTTCATGACAGTGGCTTATGACTCAGAGACAGGTAAGACAGTCTAATGATCCTGACACCAAGTAGGATGTAGACATCAGATAACATAAATTCAGGATTCCTGTACTGTAAAATGTCTAGGTAAAAATGAGGACCGAAGGAGTTTCAAAACAGTGTTACTTTAAAATAACCATGTGAGTAAGCTGAAAACTGTGCTTTGGGGCCATACGGGTGCCAAATGCTCCCCTCTTGAGTCCTCTCATCCACACCCCTTTGCTGAGACTCAACATTGAGTAAACAGGGCCAGTGTTCCACAAACACAAAGTGTAATGAAAGCCCAGAGCCATAGAATGAAAGGGTTATCTCACATGTTTTCTAACATCAGCTTTATTTCCTTTACGACGACCCTAGCTTACTTTTAACTCTGCACACGTGCCTATTTCCCAGTTAATTCTCTTTCTTAATTAATGGGAAGCCGATTAAACAAAATCAATGAAACTCACAAGAAGGTACTCTGAAAAAGACATTCAGAAAATGTATGCCCAAACAAAGGACAAGGAGTTAAAAGGCAGGGGAGAAGAGACTGCCCTCAAAACCCTAAGGACCTTTATATGCTAGGCTTATAACGACTTCTATTCTGTTTCTTAAAATAAATAAATAAATAAAAAAGAGTAGCTCTGGGGTGCTACAAAATATAAATGGAACCTAAGTCAGCCAGGCAGATTACATTTGTGTCACTGTAAAAGAATGAAATTTCTTTAGTAGAATCAGAAATTGCTTCTTTAATAATAAGACTAATGTTCAAATCACTTGGTCATAGAATCGTCCTACTCCATCCTCCTTTTCATCTTCCTTTATTTCTGTCCCAGCCCCAATTGGGAGAAAAGATAGATTTTTATTTAAAAAGTTATTTTCCTGATGCGATTAGCTGTGGCACTGCAAAACCGAAATCAAACTATAAGGAACTTTCCTCCTTTAATTTCAGATTAATGACAGCTGGGAATTTACCTGTTTGAACAAGGACAATGGAATCCAATGTCTACCTAAAGCCTCACTAGGGGCAGATTTCACCAACAGCCACAATTCATAAACTGACAATTTGTTCCAATTATTGTTCTGCTTTTATGTTCAGAAATGCACATCATACAAATGAGGGAACCGGAAGAGGCAGAGAAACATACCCTTCTAGCTTTCCCTGGACCCACGTTCTCTGAGCTGCTTAATTTACCATCTCTCTGGCTCTAATCCATAGCTGCCTAATTAATTCTTCCTCCTCTTTATGCAGCTTTAGCATTTAAGAGAGAAAAACTGCAGTGCCACATTCTGCTAATAGGTGATGTCTTCTGAAATAAGAAGTTCTCAGTTCTAAAAAAAAAAAAAAATGCCTAAAATTCAGGACTTTAAATGGATTAATTTGAAAATTAGCAAAAAACCAACACTTTTACTTTGACTGGTTTAGCATTTTTAAGACTAAGTATACTTTATACTGCCTTGGGCAGTATTAAAATATTCAGTGAACTATTAAAATATTCAGTGAACTGGCTGGGCATGGTGGCTCACGCCTGTAATACCAGCACTTTGGGAGGCTGAGGCCGGTGGATCACAAGGTCAGGAGATCAAGACCATCCTGGCTAACACGGTGAAACCCCGTCTCTATTAAAAATACAAAAAATTAGCCAGGCATGGTGGCACATGCCTGTATTCCCAGCTACTCAGGAGGCTGAGGCAGGAGGATCGCTTGAACCTGGGAGGTGGAGGTTGCAGTGAGCCAAGATCATGCCACTGCACTCCAGCCTGGGTGACAGAGTGAGACTCCGTCTCAAAAAAAAAAAAAAAAAATGCAGTGAACTGACCTTCAAAATGAAAAGTGGGTGCATGTAGCCCTTTTTTTCTACAACATGCTTCAACCAGAAACTGAAGAGAGAGATTAAGTAATTTGCCTACCTACTCATTTTCCTTTGCAAACTACCTAGGTTTAGAATTTCCTCTTAGAGTGAAGGAAGCTACCAGTCTTCTGTGAGGTTGAAGGCATGATGGTGATCTCTTTAGAGCTCAGATTCCTACCAATTTGGTTAATTAACCCAAATGTAGTTGAAAGTATCACAGGAAATACACATGAGAGCTTTCTCCAATCACAGCCCACTACACTGAAGAGAATATGTGCCATTTTATTTTCTAATTGACAAGTCATTTTTTAAGGTGAAAATGATTCACCAAATTTAAAAATATCCATTCAAAAATAGTTCTGCATCTTATTTTTCACTCTTTGTAAAAATGTCAAGGCTGCCTATTATTAGTTTGACCACTTTGCCAGAAATAACTGGTAAATGCCACTAAACAAGCAGTCTGACCTGGGCTCACACACCTGAACTAACAGGTGGTTTGGGTCATGCAATTCTAACCAGTCTTTTGTCGATGTTTGTACATAGGGATGTTGCTGTCTCCTCTGTCTTAACGTTAATGGGCAGGCCTGGACCTACTGTTTAGAGCTACTGGGTTCAAATTTCATCTTTTTATGGCTGGACCTTGAGCAAGCTACTTAAGTCCTCTGAGCTGCAGTACCTACATCTTAAGGTTGTTTGGAGGATAATAAAGTTAATATATTATAAAATTCTGACACCTTGCCACAGGGTAGATGGCTCAAGTGTGTATGTCATTTCTTCTTTATCTGTCTGACTCTGATAAGCCTACAAAGATCTTCAGGGAAAGGATGAAATCTTATTCATCTGTACAACACTACAGTTAGCACACAACCCAGAACACAGTGAATCCTCAATCCATGTTGAATGACTCAACTATTGGGAAATAAATGTTGAAGAGTAGAAAGAAATGGTTCCTTTTTCTTCCTACTAATAGGGAAGAGAGCCTCTCTCCAACCCCCAACCTCAAAAAAAGGAAAAGAAGAAAAAAGAAAGAACAAAAATGTTGAGTTATCATAAACTTTTCTAAAACTGGATGGCTCCAAGTAAATCAAACTTAACCCTACTCATACATAAATAAATAAATATTTGTTATGAGTACATGTAAGTTATATGTGGATGTATTTAACGGTTCTTGCTGTTGATGTTGGAAAATTTTTACATTAACTGACATCGAGTGCTTACTACATGTGGAACATTTTTCTAAGTACTATACATTTATTAAATCATTTACTATAATAATCCTATGAGGCAGGCACTATTCCATATTTCACAATTGAAGAAACTGAAGAGAGAGATGAAGTAATTTGCCTACCTACTGCATAGCAGAGCCAGGATTTATACTCAGGAAGCTTAGCTCTGTAAAATTTTGGAAATAATTTACATTTGATATGCTTTTAGAAAAAATTGAATTATTTCTCATGTTTGTTTTACACTGTAGGGTTGTTTTTATTTTTAAATTTTTTGTGAAAGGGAGAAGGCCAACTTGTCTTTTCTTCATCTTGGAACTCTAAAGATCTTAATCTATCTTTGGCCTACAAAGTTCTATGGCAAGAAAATAATCTAGTCAGAAAAATTTGAATCAAGGAAAATGGGCAAAGTAAACTAGAGAAAATGTCCTGAATACAACTATGCCTAAATTATTATAGTCTTAGCTGAAGCAATATTTAGAATGCACAGGCTTGGGTGAGTTCTGTTTCCCACTATGATGAAGTAGCATGTGTTCAAACCAATACTCTCACTGAAATAACAAAAATAGCTAGCTAGATATATATTTTTAATGGCTGGAAGACATCAAAGAGTGGCAGAGGCAGCAAAAATTTTAAGTGCCAGGGTCTCAGATAAAAGGAAAATATATTGAGCGTCTTATTCCATTTGGACTGCTATAACAAAATACCATTAACTAGGTAGCTTATAAACAACAGAAATGTATGTCTCATAGTTCTGGAGGCTGGGAAGTCCAAGATCAAGGCTCCTACAGATGTGGTCTCTTGTGAGAGCCCATTTCCTGCTTCCTAGATGGCGCCTTCAAGCTGAGTCTTCACATGGTAGGACAGGCACACAGGACGAAGACAGCTATTTAGGGCCTCTTTTATAAGGAAATTTATCCCATTTATGAGGGCACTACCCTTATGATCTAACAACCTCCCAAAAAGGCCCACCTCCTAACACCATCACTTTGTGGGTTAGGGTTTCAACATATGAATTTGGGGAAGACACAAACATTCAGTGAAGCACTGAGGTATAGACTCTGCATTTCCCACTGCTTTTCTTCTTAAATTATTGGATGATTCTTAAGTGGTGTGGGGCTTTTAGCATTCTCAGAAGCTGAAGAGAGAAAAATTGGAGTACAAATATTTAAATGCATTCAAGACTTGAGGGACTAAGATTGTAGACAGAGAGAAAAAAATGGAATCACAGAGAAGATATTCCAACAATCTGTACCGTTTTCCCCTTGAAGCATTTCCCAATTCCTAAACGGCATAAGACAAGAGGACAAGAAGTGAAGCACAAAATGCAGCAAAGAGGCTAAAACAGAAAGGCAGAGTTTGGCAGTCGTGTAGTGACAGGGAGACCAAAATTATAGTTCAGATTCTCCAAGGAGTTGGAACCTGGTAAACCTAAGTTTTCATATCTCAAAACTGAAAGGCTAAGTCCTAGAAGAAATGAAAAACAGGAAATAGATGAGGACTCACAAAAGCCAGGATCCACCCTAGAATCATTACACTCTCTAATTGGATCAAGATAATTTTCCCCCTTTCTGACTACCTTCCAGAAAAATCGACCCTCTTTAAAGGAAGATGACATCTTTCAGAACCTCTAAAATTTTTCATACACCATTTTCAATTCAATCCCAAATCACTAAGCATGCCAGGAAATAGGTCTAACTGACCACAATCTCTGAGGAAAAAATAGGCAATATAGGTAGACTCAAGTTATTCATTTTCTGTAATCATCAGACAGGGACTTTAAAATAACTCTAATTTGTATGTTCAAGAAAATATATGGCAAACTGGAGAATCCTCACGCAAAAATGAAATTTTAAAAAAGGAAAATATTAAAATTAAGTCACTAAAAAATACAATGGAAGGTAAAAGTACAATAGATGGGTTTAAGAGCAGAGAACATACACAAAAAAAGAAAACTAATGAAAGAGACAGATCAGCAGACAATATCTAGACTGAAGCATGATAAGAAGAATAGAAAATACAGAAAAATGTAAGAGACATTGGAATATGATGAAAGGCTAATGTGAATTTGAAAGATGAGAGAAAAGGAGCATAAAGAATAAGCAATATTTGAAGAGAATGAAGAAATTTTCAAAACTTACAAAAAGACACCGTGAAAGGAAAATATCTTGGGCCCCCAAAATCACGAAGCTGAAAGGAAAATTCAAGCTGGAAACTGCTCAGGCCAAACCTGTCTCCCATTTTATTCAAAGTCATCCCTCTGCTCACTGAGATAGATGCATTTTCTGATTGCCTCCTTCGGAAAGGCTTATCAAAAACCCAAAAGAATGCAACCATTTGTCTCTCTCCTACCTGTGACCTGGAAGCCCCTCCCTACTTTGAGTTATCCCCGCCTTTCTGGATGGAACCAATGTACTTCTTACATATATTGATTGATGTCTCATGTCTCCCTAAAATTTATAAAACTAGGCTGTGCCCTGATGTCCTTGGGCACATGTTATCAGGACTTCCTGAGGCTGTGTCATGGGCATGTGCCCTCAACCTTGGCAAAATAAACTTTCTAAATTAACTGAGACCTGTCTCAAATGTTTGGGGTTTGCAACGCAAAACAACAAATTTAAAAAGTTCTATATACCGCCAAAAGGATAAATAACTATAAAGAAAATCACACCTAGAAACCTCATAATCAACCTGCTAAAAACTAAAGACAATGCCAAAAATCTTAAAAACAGCAAGATAAAAACACCACATTAACTTTAAAGGAGCAACAAAAGACTTTTCAACAGAAACTGTCAAATCCAGAAGATAATGAAATAATAAACTTTGAAATGACAAAAGGAAAAAGTGCAAATTTTTTATTATATATACAGAGAAAATGTTCTTTAAAAATGAATGTGGAGGCCAAGTGTGGTGGCTCATGCCTGTAATCTAGCACTTTGGGTGGCCAAAGCAGGCAGATCACGAGGTCAAGAGATTGAGACCATCCTGGCCAACATGGTGAAACACTGTCTTTACTAAAAATACAAAAATTAGCTGGGTGTGGTGGCCTGCACCTGTAGTCCCAGCTAATCCGGAAGCTGAGGCAGGAGAATCGCTTGAACCTGGGAGGCAGAGGTAGCAGTGAGCCGAGATCATGCCACTGCACTCCAGCCTGGTGATACAGTGAGACTCCATCTCAAAAAAAAAAAAGAGGAGTGTCTTCTGTTCCCAAGAAGACTACAGACTGCAAAAAATAAATTAAATAAAATAAGAAACAGAGCTTCTGAGACCCATGGGACTATAAAAAAAAATCTTTTATGTCTTCAAAGTCCTAGAAGAAATTCAACACAATTCATGATAAAAACTCACAGAAAAATGAGTGAGAGGAATGTCCTTATCTTGATAAAAAGTATCTACCAAAAGTATACGGCTAATTTTATACTTAATAGTGAGAGTAAATATTTTCTCCTTAAGATTAGGAACCAGGTAAGGATGTACACTCTCACCACTGATTCAACAGCATGCCAAAAGTTCTAGCCATTTCAATAAGGTAAGGAAAAAACTTAAAGGCATACAGTTTGGAAAGGAAGAAATAAAACTGTTTCATTTGTGGATGAAATGATTATCTATATAGGAAACCCCAAGGAATCTGCAAAACAAACAAAACTTCCTGTAACTAATAGATGAGTTTGAAAAGATCACAGGATACAAGATAAACCTGAAAATCAATTGTATTTCTCTACACTAGTAATGAACATGTAGAGACTGAATTTTAAAATACAGTGCCATTTACAACTGCTCAAACCCAAATGAAATAAGTATAAATCTAACAAAACAGGTACAGGACTTGTATTCTGAAAACTACAAAATGCCAATGAAAGAAATCAAAGAAGGTTCAAATAAATGGAGACAGATGCCATGTTTATAGATTGAAAGATTCAACATAGCAAAGATATCAACTAACCTCTAACTGATTTACAGAATTAACACAATTCTAATCAAAATCTCAGCAAGATTTGTTACAGATATATATAAAATTATTCTGAAATTTATTTTGAAAAAGAAAGGAAATAAATAGCTGAAATAACTTTGAAAAAAAGGAATAAAATGGAAGCCATCAGTCTAGCTGATTTCAGAACATATTATATAGCTACGATGATCAAGACTGTGGGATACTGGCATAGGGACAGACATGTACATCAATGGAACAGAATGGAGAACCCAATAGCTCACCACATAAATATGACCAATGGATTTTTGACAAATCTGCAAAGGCAATTCAATGGAAGAAGAATATTTTTTTCAACATATGGTACTGGAACAACACCAAAATCATAATCTACAAAATAAGTAATTGATAATATAGACAAGGACCTGTTAAGAAGATGAAAAGACAAGCTACAGGCTGGTGGGGAAATATTTGCAAATCAAATATTTGACAAAGGACTCATATCTAGGACATATAAAGAACTCTCAAAACTCAACAGTAAAACACACAATCCAACTAGAGAATAGACAAAAGACATGAAGAGACATTTTATCAAAGAATATACACAGATAACAAACAAGTATAAAAAAAAATTTTCAACATCATTAACCATTAGGGAAATTCAAGTTAAAACCATAATGAGATCAGAATAGCTAAAATAAAAAATAGTGACACTACCAAATGCCAGCAAGGATGCAGAGAAACTTATTCATTCATTGCTGGTGGGAATGTAAACTAATAAAGATACTATGAAAAACAATTTGCCAGTTGCTTTGAAAAATTAAACAAGTTACTATCATGCAACTCAGCAATTGCACTTGGACATTCCAGAGAAACGAAGACACGCTAACACAAAAACCTGAACCTGCTTGCTTATAGCAGCTAGCTTTGTGACAGCCGAGAACTGGGAACCACCCAGAGGCTTTGGGTGGATGAATGAGTAAATGAACTGTACTATATCCACACAATGGAATACTACTTAGTACTAAAATTGAATGAACGACTTATGCATACAAAAGCCAGCATGAATATCTAGAGAATTTTACAGAGCAGAAAAACAAGTCTCAAAAGTTCACACACTGTATGAATCCACTTCCGTAACATTCTTGAAATGACAAAATTATCGAAATAAAAAATAGATGAGTAGTTGCAAGGGGTTAAGGAGCAGGTAGGGAAGCCAGGAAAGTACGCTGGCTATAAAGGGTGGCAAGTAGGACCCTTGTGCACTGGACACCTTCTGTATCTTGACTGTATCAATATCAATATCCTGATTGTAATTTTGCACTGCAGTTTTGCAAGATGTTACCTTTGGAAGAAAATGGGTAAAAGGCATATGGGTTCTCTCTGTATTATTCTTACAACTGTATGTGAATCTACATTTATTTCAAGATAAAAGTTTAATTAGAATTTTTAAAATGAAGGTGAGATAAAATATTTTCAGTAAAAAACTGAGAGAATTAATTCCAACAGAATCACACCAAATTTCTCAAGAGTCATTTAGGCATAAGAAAAATGATTCCAGATGGAAACACAGACATATAGAAAGGGTAAATATATAGATAAACCTAAAGAAATACTAATTTTATAAAATTAGAATGTTGTGTGGGATATAAAATAAATGTAGATTTCAAATATAGACTATTAGCACAAAAGTAAAAGAGAGGAATAGAATTAAAGTGTCCTAGGACTCTTGCATTCTTGTATAAGTACAAATAGTCCCTTATTAGGTACAATGTAATCCTTGCAGTAGCTACTAAAAATAAACAAACAAACAAAAAAACTAAAGAACATACTGCTAATAAGCTAATAGAGGAGAAAAAATAATTTTAAAAATTACTTGATTCCCAAAAGAAGGAGGAAAAAAGAGCAATAAATAATAATAGAAAGAAATGGTAAGATTAAAGATGTAATCTTAAACATATCAATAATTACCATAATATATAAACTGACCAAATATTGCAATTAAAAGAAAATAAACATCATACTGTATTAATAGATATATTCTAACTCTTTGCTGTATGCAAGAGACACACTTTGAAATCAAGAGTACAGAAAGGCTAAAAGTAAAAAGATAGATACATATATATCACACAAACTCTACCAAGACAAAGCTGGTGTAGCAATATTACTATCAATACATAATACTTTATAGCTACTAGAGGCTGAGACAAGAGGATCACTTGAACCCAGGAAGTTGAGGCAGCAGTGAGCTATGGTTGTGGAGGAGAGGAGAGGTGGGGAGGGGAGGGGAGGGGAGAGGGGAGGAGGAAAAAGGAGAGGGGAGGGGAGAGGGGAGGGGGAAAAAAGGGGAGGGGGGAGAGAAGGGGAGGGGAGAGGAAGGGAGAAGAGGGGAGGGGAGAAGAGGGGAGGGGAAAGGAGGGGAGAAGAGGAAGGAAAGAAAACAAGGAAGGAAAGGGAAAGGATGAAGGAAAGAAAAGGAAAGGAAAAAGGAAAAGGAAAAGGGAAAGGGAAAGAAAGAGGAAGGAAGGAGGAAAAAGAAAGAGAAAGAAACAAAGAAAGAAAGAGTATAGCTATAGTACTTTATAGAAATATAAGCAAGAAGTGCTACTAAAGATATAAATACTTCATAATTTACCTTTCCAAATATGTACACATTTAATAGCATCAAGATAAATTTTAAAAATCACAATCAAAGTCTTAATTTAAAACATCTTTCTTGGTAACTTACACAACCAGCAGAAAAAAGTAGAAATATAGATTTAAATTACAAAATTAACCAATTTGACCTAATTAATATATTAGTCAATATTTGAAAAACGGTGACCTCAAAAATTGCAAAATACACATTTTTTTTTCAAATGTATTCACCAAAATTGGCTACATGCTGGGCCACAAGTAAGGTCTTGACACATTATAAATGACTGAAATCACAGAGAATACTCTTTGCAAACAGTGGATTAAAGCTAGGAATCAATATTAGAAAGACAAATAGAAAATCCCTGAATGGAAATTAAGCAATGCATTTCTCAGTTGTCCATGGGTTAAAGCCACATCTCTATGATTTACAAGCACACTTACTTTTTTTTTTTTTTTTTTTTTTTTTTTTTTTTTTTTTTTTTGAGACGGAATCTCCCTCTGTCGCCCAGGCTGGAGTGCAGTGGCACTATCTCGGCTCACTGCAAGCTCCGCCTCCCGGGTTCACGCCATTCTCCTGCCTCAGCCTCCCAAGTAGCTGGGACTACAGGTGCCCGCCACCATGCCCAGCTAATTTTTTGTATTTTTAGTAGAGACGGGGTTTCACCCTGTTAGCCAGGATGGTCTCCATCTCCTGACCTCGTGATCCGCCCGCCTCGGCCTCCCAAAGTGCTGGGATTACAGGCGTGAACCACCGCGCCCGGCCAGCATACTTCCTCTTATTGTGCTTTGCTTTACTGTGCTTCACACATACTGTGATCTTTACAAACTGAACGTTTGTGGCAACCCTGCATCAAGCAAGGCTAGCCGTGCTGTTTCTCCAACAGCATGAGCTCAAATCATGTCTCTGTGTCACATCTGGGTAATTCTTGCAATGTTTTTAAACATTTTTCATCTGTTATGGTGATCAGTAATCAGTAATCAGTAATCTTTGACGTTACTTTTGTAATTGCTTTGGGGCACCACAAACCATGCCCATAAAATATGAAAAACTTAATTGATAGATGTGTGTGTTCTGACTGCTCCATTGATTGGCCTTCCCTCATCTCTCGCCCTCCCCTGGAGCTTCCCTATTCCCCGAGATACAACGTTAAATTAATAATCCCACAATGGCCTCTAAGAGTTCAAGTGAAAGGAAGAGTTGCATGTCTCTCACTTTAACTTAAAAGCTAGAAATGATTAGACTTAGTGAGAAAAGCGTGTTGAAAGCCAAGACAGGCTGAAAACTAAGCCTCTTGTGCCAAACAGCCAACTATACTGCAAAGAAAAAGATCGTGAAGGAAATTTAAAATGCTACTACAGTGAACACACGAATGATTAAAAAAAAAAAGCAAAACAGCTTTATGTTCATATGTAGAAAGTTTTAGTAGCCTGGAGAGAAGATCAAATTAGCCACAACATTTCCTTAAGCCAAAGTCTGTTCTTAAGCCAGTCCCTAACTCTCTTCAATTCTATAAAGGCTGAGAGAGGTAAAGAAAATGCAGAATAAAACTTTGAATCTAGCAAAGGTTCATGAAGTTTAAGGAAAGAAGCCATCTCCATAACATAAAAGTGCAAGATGAGGGCAACCCGCTCGGGTCCCCTTCCACGCTGTGGAAGCTTTGTTCTTTCGTTCTTTGCAATAAATCTTGCTGCTGCTCAAAAAAAAAAAAAAAAAAAAATGCAACATGAAGCAGCAAGTGCTGATGGAGAAGCTGCAGCAAGTTATGCAGAAGATCTAGCTAAGATCATTGATGAAGGTGACTATACTTCAAAACAGATTTTCAATGTGGATGAAATCGCCTCTGATTGGAAGAAGATGCCATCTAGAACTTTCATAGCTAGAGAGAAGTCAATGGCTGGCTTCAAGGCTTTAAAAAACAGGCTGACTCTTTGTTAGGAGCTAATGCAAGTGGTAACTTTAACTTGAAGTCAGTGCTCATTTACCATTCCAAAAAATTGTAGGGCTCTTAAGAATTATGCTAAGTCTACTCTGCCTGTGCTCCATAAATGGAACAACAAAGCCTGGATCACAGTACATCTGTTTACAGCATGGGTTACTATGTTAAGCCCATTGTTGAGACCTACTGCTCAGAAAAAAAGATCCCTTTCAAAATATTACTGGTAATTGACAATGCACCTGGTCACTCAAGAGCTCTGATGAAGATATACAAGGAGATTAATGTTGTTTTGATGCCTGGTAACACAACATCCATTCTGCAGCCCATGGATCAAGAAGTAATTTCAACCTTCAAGTCTTATTATTTAAGAAGTGCATTTCATAAGACCATAGCTCTTAAAGTATATAAATAGTGATTCCTCTGATGGATCTGGGCAAAGTAAATTGAAAACCTTCTGGATAAGAGTAATTATTCTAGATAACATTAAGAAGATTCATGATTCATGGGAGGAGGCCAAAATATCAATATTAACAGGAGTTTGGGAGAAGTTGAGTCTAACCTTCATGGATGACTTCCTATAGGGGTTGAAGACTTCAGTGGAGGAAGTAACTGCAGATGAAAGTGGTTTCTTGAGATGGAATCTACTTCTGGTGAAGATGCTGTGAATGTTGTTGAATGACAATAAAAGATTCAGAATATTACATAAAGTATGTTGACAAAGCAGCAGTAAGGTTTGAGAGGATTGATTCCAATTTTCTACTATGGGTAAATGCCATCAAACAGCACTGCATGCTACAGCAAAATCCATGATGAAAGGAAGAGCCAACCGATGTGGTAAACTTCACTGTTGTCTTATTTTAAGAAATAGCCATAGCCACCCCAACCTTCAGCAATCGCCAGCCTGATCAGTCAGCAGCCATCAATACTGGGGCAAGACACTCCACCAGCAAAAAGATTAGAACTTGCTGAAGGCTCAGACGATCATTAGTAATTTTTAGAAAATAATTTTTTATATCACAGTAATTTGTGAAAATGCATTATTAGCATTTTTAGAAAAATTATTTTCTAAAAATTAGCAATTTTAGAAAATAATATTTTATATTCCAATAACCTATAAAAATGCATTATCTCTAAATATATACTATTTATAACTATTATATATAATTATATCAATTATATATTATATATAATTATATCAATTATATATTATATATAATTATATCAATTATATATTATATGTTACTATATATAGAAATATATATATTTCTAAATATATACTATTTATAACTGTAATATATAATTGATATAATTAATTATATAATATATAACAAAGATTATTATATAATATATAATTAATATAATTAATTATATAATATATAACAAAGATTATATAATATATAATTAATATAATTGATTATATAATATATAATTAATATAATTAATTATATAATATATAATTAATATAATTAATTATATAATATATAATTAATATAATTAACTATTATATATTAGTATAATATAATTATCATATAATATAATTAATAAATTAATACCTAATTATATATAAATAATTATAATAAAATATAATGCTTTTAAAAACATAATGCCATTTCACACTTAATAGATTACTGTATAGTATAAACATAACTTTTATATGTACCGAGAAACCAAAACATTTGTGTGACTCACTTTATTGCAATGTTCACTTTCACTTTATTGCAGTGGGCTGGAATCAAACCTGCAATACCTCTGAGAAATGCCTGTACACTGCAACCTATAAACATTTTGAACTGAATGACAAAAATATATCAAAACTTACATGCAACACTACTTAATGACTCGGCATATATATGTTTATGTTAAAACTGAGGTTCTACTTTTGAAGTGGCACTTTGAAAAGCTCCATGGACCTGTTCCCCAATGACTTAAGTATAACTTGTGAAAATACTTTTTAAAATCATATATATAAAGTCCCTAATAATCCTTCTAAGGGCATATAGACAATGCAGAAACATTCATTCAAGAAAATATACTAAAACTCTGAAAGAACACTGAGGATCTGGAGCACTTGAATTAAGATCCAGTTCCTCCTTAACCCTCAGCTCAGTTTGATAAAAGCTCCTCCCTTGAGAAGATGTGGCCAATAAGTCTGGCCTCCTTTTCCCATTAGCTCTCAGTCAAGGAATATAATTATCTCCTTGGAAAGGTAGGACACCAGCCTTTCTTCAGCTCTAAGGTTAGTGAGTGCACCCAAGAGGTTGGAGACTCCCTTGTTCTATCTATCCTCCATTCATAAGGCAGAGACTCTACTCTAAGCACAGCAGATCAAAAATACCAGGGCTCGTATTGCCCTCAATGCAGCTTGCTTTTAGAGTAGAGGTTCTATGCCAGGGAAGGCAATTTGAGAAGACTAGAGTCTACTATCACTGCCTCATGCCTAAAGCAGTTATTCAGAAATTTTTCCCAGATGGAGAGGCCGTCCATAAGAACAGAGAGCTCTGAAGCTCTCCCCCAAAGGAGCTGACTTTATTTGTAATAGAGTGTGTAAAAGTTCAAGTTTAAGGGTGCTCTCAAAAACAATGGAGATTTTGATGGTAAACAATTGAGAGGAGGTGGATAACTATAGAAGAGCAAAAGCTAACCTGCAGACCAGCTAGTTTATCAAAGAGAACTAGGAAAGGAGATAGCTAAAAACATCATTCCTGGGATGAGAACAAGCCTCAAATATCAACCGCCAGAACTTCACTGGATGAATTTAATTGGATCAGACTTAAATAATTTATGCCCAAGAGCATTTAAGAAATACTAGAAAAATCAGCAAAAAATTAGTGGAGCCTAACAGCTGGGTGTGATATCAAATGAAGCAGACCATATAACAGAGAGACTGGGAAAGAGACGGCCAAATATAGCTCTACCAAAACCAGTCATTCCAGGGTGATGTGAGTATGCCCAAGGCTGTGCCCTCTGAAAATAAATAGTGAAGGCTTTGCAGTGTAGGGAAAATAGACCTCACTAAAATAGTTTAATCAAGTCATTAAAAACAACAACAAAAAACCCCCAAGCAAACAGCAACAGAAACTCCAGAGAAGAGAGAAGAATCAGAATCCCAAATTCCTATACTATATTACCTTAAAGGTCCAGCTTTTAATGAAAAGTCATGAGACATCCAAAGAAAAAGGAAAATGTAACTCATACACGGGAAAAAAAGCAGAGAAAGAAACTATCTGTGAGATGATTTAGATGTATTTTAGAAAGATTTCAAAGCAGCTATTATAAATATGTTAAAAGAACTAAAGAAAATCATACTTTATGAAGTAAAAGAGGCTACAATGACAATGCCTCATCAAATAGAGAATATCAATAAAGAGATAGAAATTATATTAAAAAACCAACTGGAAATGCCAGAGTTTAAAAGTAGAATAACTGAAATGAAAATTTCACTACAGAGAAATGATAGTAGATTTAAATGGGTGGAAAAAAGAATGAGTGAGGCTGAAAATAGTTTGGTAGAGAACATGCAATCTGAAGAGCAGAAAGAAAAAGAATGAAGAAAATGAACAGAGACAGCCTCAGAGAATTATTGGACATCAATATGTGTATAAAACACATGCACCTATGCACACAATTCCCAATTTAAATAAAAGCATTAATGTACACATTAAAGAAGCTAATGAACTCCAAACAGGATAAACACAAATAGATCCACACCCAGACATATCATAGTTAAAATGCTGAAAGACAAAGACAAAAAAAAAAAATTGAAAGCAGCAAGAGAAAAATGGCTCATTACATGTAAGGAAACCTTAATAAGATTAACAACTGACTTAGCAGAAACAATGGAGGCCAGAAGCCAGTGGGATTACATATTTAAAGTGCTGAAAGAAGACAGCTGTCAACCAAGAAGCCTATATCCAGCAAAACTATCTTTCAAAAATGAAGGCAAAAATAAAGATATTACTAGATAAACGAAAACAGACCAAATACATTGATAGTAGATCTACTTCACAAGAAATACTAATGGAAGTTCTTCATGCTTAAAGCAAGTGACCTCGGATAAAAAGAGTATCAGAAAAGGTAATTGTGTAATTATAAAAGATGTCACAAATGCATATTTCTTCTTCTTTCTTCTCTTGGCTCATTAAAAAAGCAATTGTATAAAACTATATATATAATTGTATATTGGAGTTGTAAAGTACAGAATTGTAAAATATTGTTGTAAAATATTCAACAACAACAGCACAAAGGAAAAGGGGGAAGAGCAAAGCTGTATTAGAGTAAGAAAATAACACCATATGGTAATTTGAATCCACAGGTATAAACAGAGAACCAGAAAAGATGCAGAAACATAGACCAGAAAAATTAAATCATTTGCCCAGGATCAAAAAGCCAAAGAATTTTGATACTAATTCAACACCTTATTAATAGGGTTATCTGGTTTTACAACCCAATAGACATAGCAAAGTAGAATAAAGCCAAGGTGCTCAAGAAAGCAAAACCAACATCTGAAAGGCACATACAAACTGTTAGAAGCAGACACAAAAATCTTCCAAATCACCATCACTTGCAGTCATAAAGGGTTACAGCAAAGTTACTGAAATACTGGTAAAAATAGCACCCTTGCATTGTGCTTTATAATTTACATAGCACTTTCACAATTCTATTTTCTTTGACCCTGAATTAATAAAAGCATTTAATTTTTAAAATGGCTGATAATCCATGATTTAAATTTCTATCTCATAGTTGGGAAAAGAAGAGCATCATAAAACTAAAGAAAGTAGAAAGAAGGAAATAATAAAATGAGAAGAAACTATGGAATGGAAAACAAGGTATAATAGAGAAAAATGAGAAGATAGAAGTTGGTACTTTGAACAAATTAATAAAAGTAATAACTCCTTAGAAGAGTGATCAAGAAAAAAAGAGAAGTCTCAAATTACCAATATCTGTAATAAAAAGGGAACATAATTACAGATCTTACAGCTGTTAAGAAATAACAGATTTCACAGGCTCTAGAAGATACCTTAGTGGTCACCCAGTCCTAACTACCTTTCAGTGAAGAAATCCCCTCTAGACTGTCACTAAGGAGTAGTAAGCACCTGCTGCTTGAATACTTTCCAGTAACAGTGAGCTCTCCATTACAAAATGTCAGGTCTTACAATTGTGGAACTACTCTAACTGTTAGAAGGTTCCTTATGATGAACCAAATGTCTCCTCCCTAAAACTTTACTATAAGATTTAAGTTTTTCTCTTTGATACTATGTTCACATGGCTGCCCTTCAGAGATCTCAAGGAGCGGCTATTACATCTGTGGCAGCAGTTGCTAATTGTCCTCTAATATCCATTTTCTCTTTCTTCCATAGATATAGAATCTTTAGCTTGTTAATAGCTGCAAAGAATAAAGACATTTCCTAACTCCCCTTCTAGCTCTGTGGCTTTATGATTAAGAACAGGCCAATGGGATGTAAATAGATATGTCATGTGGTAGCTTCCAGAATTTTCCTTAAAAACAAATAGGCAAACAAACTTGTCTAAGACTTTTGCCCCCTTTTTATGTTAATTCCTTTTACCATTCTACTGCTTGGGACCATGAGTATGGTGACTACCACTGTAGACCATAAGGAAGTGGGCTGTACACCCTAAAGATGGATGGCGGGGCTGTAAGCTGGAAGAAGCTTAGGTTCCTGAAGACTTCTTGGAGAAAAGCTGCCATTTCAAGGCTACATTGCTTTTCTATGGACTTTTACATGAAAGAGAGAGAGGGAGAGAGACAGAGAGAGAGAGGGAGAGACATAAAGAGGGAGATTTCCATTTTATTTAAGATACCACTATTACATGCCAAACCTATTCCCAACTGTTAGCATGTCCACCATCAAAAACATCTTGTGCAAGTGAAATATCACATGTTTAATAAGCTGTGGAATGTTATAAAATTTCCAGGAGTCCCTAAAGAAGAAAATAGAAGTGCGTTCTAAAAGCATTGCAGAAGAAATACTGGAAAACAGCTCTTTATTTCTCTGAGTATTAAATTAGTAAACTTTAATATTTGGTAATGTTCATGCAAAGACTGTTTAAAGTCTTCCTGGACATGGAAGAGTCATATGGATTGATGTCTAAGAAAAAGAAGAAAAGAGACATCAAAATCACTACAGGAGTAAAAATGGCCTCTTCTTTCACCCTGCCTGCCTGCCTTTTTGCAGTTTGAATGAGGTAAATAATTCTTTTCTCAGAGAGAAAGAGTTTCTCACAGGAAACTAAGGATTTTGTTTTCTAAGAAAATGGTCCACAAATCACCTCTTTATATTTAATCTCCCATATAAAAGGAAAGTTACAAAATATTATTTTTCCATCAACAGCATCCAGTACAATTAGCACAAATGTTATAATAGAATCTGTGTTTTTGCTCTTTTTTAATTTCTATTTATTTATTTGAGACAGAGTCTCACTCTGTTGTGCAGGCTGGAGTGCAGTGGCATGATCTCAGTTCACTGCAAACTTCATCCCCCGGGTTGCAGTGATTCTCCTGCCTCAGCCTCCTGTAGCTGGGATAACAGGCATGCGCCACCACACCCAGCTAATTTTTGTATTTTTAATAGAGACGGGGTTTCACCATGTTGGCCAGACTGGTCTTGAACTCCTGATCTCAAGTGATCTGCCTGCCTCAGCCTCCCAAAGTGCTGGGATTACAGGTGTGAACCACCGCACTTGGCCTGCTCTCTTTTTTTTAAAGATTGTTTCAAGACCATGAATCTCTCTTTGCTGTCAGGCTGACACTACTGTACATTTATAAATCTGACTTTTATGAATCATCACAAATTCTATTTCTCTCTGTTCCAAAGAATGAGGAAGTAGGGCTGAGCAGAGTGATAAATGTAGATTCTTTCCATGTGGTGCCTGTGTTGACAGTGCAACGCCTATAAACAAGAACAGAGAAGCAATTCTAAAATTGATCTCCAGCTTAAAGTCACACATTTTGTTGAGTTTCTGTGCAAAATGTTGGCACCAAGGACTCTTGCTGTGTTATAATAGAGAGAGTATAAACTTTGAAGTCAGGCACACTCTGAATTAAACATGGACTCCCCAAATATGACTTTTTATCTCTGTGACTTTAGGACAATTTACTTAACCCCTTTATGCCTTGATTGTATTGTCTGTAAGTTGGCAATATTTGTAACTACCTTGCACGGTGGTTATAAGGAGTAATGTTCAAATTTAGCAGTGTATCTCGTACAGTTAGACTGAAAGAGCTACTCTCTATAATTAAGGAGAATAATTAAGAAATGTGCTATTTAAGGTCCAGTTTACCCTAAGTTATGCTTTCTAAAAAATGGATCTGCTAGAAATGTGATTTTTCTGCTTCCACTCAATTCCTTAGTCAGTAAATTAAAACAGTTCTTAACATCAGGAGAATTATGAATTTATATTTATATTTTCATAGCCCAAATTTCCATTTAGTAGCATCTGATGACAGTATAAACCACAGCCTAGGATAATATTTAGCCTATTAAATTCATTTTTTTACAAGAGAGAGGAAATAGGACATTAGTTTATTACTTTGCTGATATTAGCATCTCTTCTAAAAAAGCTTTCCCTAAAAAAGCACACACCACATACTCCAAGAGCTGCTAATGCCTATTTCTTTTTTTAATGCAAAAGCTTTTCTATCATAACCCTTACACAGATTTATATAAATCAATGTTCTAACACTGTAATAGAGGTGAATCTTGCTTTAATAAAATCAAATATATAAAAATCCTAATGCAGAAAAATAATTAATTAGGACATTTAAAGCATAACTATCCGCTCCTGGGAATATTTTAAAAAATCAATTTCAGAAAAAAAATGTTTATTATGAATTATCAGAAAGTCACTTGAATAAAGGAAGCAGCCATCAATATTGTTCCAATAGTCAGACTACTGATTTCAGTTGTGTTTGGGCAATGTGATAAGCAGATTCATGCTCCCCTGTACCTGCCCCCCATGTGTCCTGTCCTAATCCCTGGAACCTGTGAGTATGTTATCTCACATGTCAAAGAGGAATTAAAGTTGCCAATCAGCTGACCTTAAAATAGAGAGATTATCCTGAATTATACAGTGAACCCAATGTAATCACAAGAGTTCTTTAAAGTAGAAGAAGAAGGTAGAAATAGGGCAGCATAAGAGGGTCTTGGACCACTGCAGTTGGCTAGGAAGATGGAGGAAGGGGCCATGAGCCAAAGATGTAGGCAGCCTCTAGAAGCTGGAAAAGGAAAGGAAGTTGATCCTCTCCTAGAGGCTACAGAATTGAACAAAGCCTGCCTACACCTTAGCCCAGTGAGACCATTTTGGAGCTCTGAACTCTAGTACTGTAATACACTAAATTTGCATTGTTTAAAGCCACCAAGTTTGTGATAATTTGTTATAACAGCAATAGGAAATTAATACAGGCAACAAATGCGTGCTGAGTGCATGGTCTGAGCAAGACTTTATGAAAGAAGCAAAGATAAGCACTTAAAACGGTAATAGGGAAGAAAATGGGAGAGAGTTTAAGTATCCCAAGAGAAGTACAGCAAAGTGCTGTGGGGCCTCAGGGGAGGGAGATGTTCCTTCCAGCTGGGAGTGAACCCATTACGGAAAAACCTACTGCAGGGTCTTCACAACAGGCCTCCCAGAGGTAAAAGGTTGCCTAGTTGGCTTTTGGTAGTTTCTGTCAAGTCCTCTGATTCTAGAATTTCTATTTACAAAAGGACTTAAATTGCATGGACAATTTTCAAGAACTAGCCCATGTGGCTTATATCAGAGAACGTGCTAAACACAAGCAAGAAAAGAAATCAAAGAACTGCACTGCTCTTTTTCTATCATCTACAATTCAAATCTAGCATTGCAGAAAAGATTTGTTCTCAGAATGGAGTGGGATGGTTAATTTACACAGCTATCCTGGGAACCTGTCCTGTTAAACCTGCCTTGAGGCTATGTTGCTTTTCCATACTCTTATCTGTGGAAAATGACAACATCGGTTTTCTAAGTAGTTATCAACCAAAGAACCAAATGCAAGTTCTCTCTTAAGAGGCAGTGTGGTCATTCAAAGGGCACTGGGTAGAGACTCAGGGATAAAATCCAGCCCCTTATTACTATCACCAAAGCAGTCTATGAATCAAGCTCATCACCAAAGCAGTCTATGAATCAAGCTCATCACTAAAGCTTTTAGGGCCTAAATTTTTCTACATCCAAAATGAGATGTTCAGTTATTGAGTTTTCCATAATGTAAAGTCAATATCCTCTGAGCTCAGCAACTTAACTAAAGAGAAGTGAGAGCCCAGACAGTCTGGATCCACTTTGTGTCATGGCTGGGAAGGACTAAAAAAAAATTTCCAGAACATCAAGACTTGACACTGGCTTTTTCTCCAAGCAATTTTTCATAAGAAACTTCACCGTGAAATCCTCAGTTGACAGTAAAGAGAGTCAAAACAAAAATGGGAACTGAGAGGCAATAGGGAGTTACCCTCATCAGAGGAAAAGAATAATGGATAAAACGAAGATGTATGACCCATGAAGTCTGTCCACTTGGGATTGAGTAACAATGGAACCTTCTAAAAGAATTAGGGGCTTGAAGTCAGATTCCTACGAGCAGGAGTTCCCAGTTACAGTCTCTGAACTCCTCAGGGCCTCTGTAGTTCCTACAATTCCTCTTTAGATTCTCTGAGCCACCTCAGTATCATACCAATAATTCCTCTTTTTTCCTAAGCCAGTTTGAGTGGGTGTTCTATCACTTGAAAGCAAATGAGCACATACAAACACAATCAGCACATCTTTGTTCTTTACTGAATTAATGCCACTGACTCCTGAAAATGGAAAAAAAACTTGGAGATTTTCCACCTCAGTTCATTTGTTCATTTTTTCCTTTGAAAATCTTCAATGGGTGCTTTCTGTGTGGCAGGCAATGTGCTAGGCTGGGGGAGATAGCAGTGAACAAGAAAGACACAGACCTTGGCCTCATGATACAGTTATTGAAGAATTTAAACATTTAATAAATAATGAGTGATACAGAAAGATAGCTACTGGTGCTTGTCCAGGAGGATCTAACTCAGTCTTGAGTTTTACAGAAGGGCTCCCTAAGGATATGACCTTTGAGTCAAGAAGAAAGAGGAATGAGCCAGATGAGGAGTTGGGAGAAGTGCTGAGCAGAGAAAAAGGTGTGATTAAAACCACTGCAGCATGGCATGTTAGAGGAATTGAAAAGGATACCAGAATTCCAGAATGCTAAGAAGAGTAAGGAGCACATGATGAACTGGGCAAACATGGGACAGCTTAGGGAGGGTTTTGTAAGCCAGTGTATCAAGGAGGTAACTGAGTTACTTGCTCAAGGATACACAGCTAGTCGGTGGCAGATTGAAACCTATGTCATTTGATTTCGAGACCAATTTAAAATATTTTAAGTAAAGTCCTTTAAAAATTTTCCCCCATTTCTAAAGGTAACACATACTCATTATAGAGTGAACATATTTTCTATTGGCACAAAAACCACTATGTAAATGCCCCCCAGGTTTTGCATTACACAGCTTGCACAATGTACATGGAAGGCTTGAATGACATCACATCATCACCCTCAGAAAATAGAACATCTGCAGAAACTAGACATCTTTAAAATGGCTTTTATTATAGGATTTGGTCCAGATTTTGCCAAAGAAAACTCTCAAGATTAGAATTCATGGTGAAAATCTGTCCATATACATAAAAGACCCCCTATCCTTCCCCACATGTCAGATGCTTGCCCATTTTTACTACATAAAACTGCAGACTTGAAGATAATCTGGTGATTATACTCGGAAAAGTATCTCTGGAAATGTTATCAAAATAAATAATCTGAATAGGCCTTTATATATTAAAGAAATTGAAACAATAATTAATACCCTTACAAAATAGAAAACACCAGGCCCAAATAGGTTCACTGGTGAATTCTACCAAACATTTAAGGAAGAAGTTATACCAATTCTCAATGATCTCATTCAGAGTACAGAAGAAAGCAGACTTCCTAACTCATTCTATGTGGCCAGCATTATCCTAGTACCAAACCCAAAGACATAACAAAAAAACTATGAACTAATATCTTTCATAAACATAGATGCAAAATCTTCAATAAAAAATTAGCAAATTGAATCCAACAATATATTTTTAAAATTATACTCCATAACCACATGGGATTTATGCCAGGTATGGTTTAACATTCAAAATCAATTAATGTAATTAATCGCATCAACAGGCTAAAAAAGAAATATCACACGATTATATCAAAAGATCAAAAAAGCATTTACAAAATTCAACACCTACTCATGATTAAAAACTCTCACTAAACTGGGAATAGAGGGGAATGTTCCTAACTTGACAAAGAATATCTACAAAAAACCTACAGCTAGCATCATACTTAAGATGATAAACTCACAGCTTCCCACTAAGAACAGGAATAAGGCAAGGGTGTCTCTACTCATTTGCAACATCATACTGGAATGACGCAATAAGAAAAAGAAACAAAAGGTAGACAGATTGGGAAGGATGAAATAAAACTTTGTTTGCAGGTGACATGATCATCTAGGTAGGAAAGCCAAAAGAATCAAAAAACTCCTGTACTAATAAGGGATTATAGCAAGGTTGCAGGATACAAAGTTAATTACTTTTTTATATACCACCAATGAACAAACAAAATTTGAAATTAAAAACACAATACCATTTACATTGGCATCCTCCAAAGTGAAATACTTAGGTATTTCTAACAAATATGAATGAGATCTAACATAAATCTAACAAATATATATGAGATCTTTATGAGGAAAACTATAAAACTTTGATGAACAAAATCAAAGAACTAAATAAATAAAGAGATATTCCATGTTTATGGATAGGAAGACTCAATATTGTCAAGATGTCAGTTCTTCCTAACTTGATCTATAGATTCAAAGCAATCCCAATTAAATTTCCAGCATGTTATTTAGTGGATATTGACAAACTTATTATAAAGTTTATATGGAGAGGCAAAAGACCCAGAATAGCCAGCCAACATTGAAGGAGAAGAACAGAGCTGGAGGACTGACATTACTTGACTTCAAGTCTTACTATAAAGCTACAGTAATAAGACAGTGTGGTACTGGTGAAAGTGGACAAATAGATCAATGGAACAGAATAGAGACCTCAAAAATAGACCCACATAAATACAGTCATCTGATTTTTGGCAAAGGAGAAAAGGCAATACAATAGAGCACAGATAGTCTTTTCAACAAATGGTGCTAGAACAATTGGATATCCACATACAAAAAATAAATCTAGAAAAAGGACTCTTAAAACTCAACAATAAGAAAAGAAACAACTTGATTAAAATGTGGCCCAAAGACTTTAACAGATATCTCACCAAACAAGATATGCAGACGGCAAGTAATCATATGAAAAGATGCTTCACATTAGATGTCATCAGGGGAATGTAAATTAAAATGAGATACTACAACACATCTATTAGAACGCCCAAAATATGGAACACTGACATCACCAAGTGCTGGTGAGAATGTGGAGCAACAGAAACTCTCATTCACTGCTGGAATGCAAAACAGTACAGCCACTTTGGAAGACAGTTTGACAGTTTCTTACAAAACTAAACATACTCTTAATATATGATCCAGCAATCACACTCCTTGGTATTTACCTAAATAAGCTGAAAACTGATGTCCAAACAAAAACCTGTACACAGGTGTTTATAGTAGCTTTATTCATAATTGCCAAAACTTGAAACAACCAAGATGTCCTTCAGTAGGTAAGTGGATAAACTGTGGTACATCCAGACAATACAATATTATTTAGTGCTAAAAAAGAATGAGCTACAAAACCACGAAAAGACAGGGAGGGTCCTTAAATACATATTACTAAATGAAAGAAGACAATATGAAAAGGCTACATACTGTATGATTCCAACTATAAGACGTTATTTTAAAAAGGCAAAACTATGGATACAATAAAAAGATAAGTGGTTTCCAGAGGGTCAGAGGGAGGCGGATTTACATAGATGGAGCAGAGTATTTTTATGGCAATGAAACTATGCATATGATACTGAAAGGTGGCAGAATATGCACCCCAAAATATTTCACTGTGGTATAAGGATTATTTTGAGAAAAACACACTTATAAAACAGTATGCAAGAAGGAGACTCTAATCTCCCTAATTTCTTCCTGAAAACAGGAGATAAAAACTACCATGTGAAAGACGTCCTCTCTGTACCAAAAGAAAAGAAACATTCTGTGGTGGAAAGTCATGGCTGGAAGAATTCTATACAAACAGGCCTTGTAAAAATAATTCACATCTTACTTTTGCTGTGCCCCCCGCCAACATAATTTAGTTACTTTTTCACAATTGCCTGTCTTTGTTCAACCTAATGTAGAAGCATTTATGTTTTGTCACTTCTTTGGGTCTTCATTTCCTTATGAGGAGGGCTCCTGTGTCATATAAAACTTGAATTAAATTTGTATGTTTTTCTCCTGTTGATCTGTCTTATGTCAATTTAATTCTTGGGACCAGCTAAAAAACCCTAAGAAGCAGAGGTAAAATGTCCCCGCTACAATACTATGATGGTGGATTCATGTCATTACACATTTGTCCAAACCCATAGAATGTACAACACCAGGGGTGAACTGTAATGCAAACTATGGACTTTGGGTGATTATGTGTCAAAGTAGGTTCATCAGTTGTAACAAATGTGCCACTGTGGATGTTGACAATGAAGGAGGTTATGCATGTTGTGGGGGCAGGGGTAAATGAGACATCTCTGCATCTTCCTCTTAACTTTGCTATAAACCTAAAACTACGCTTTAAAAAGTGTCTTTAAAAAAAAAACGAAATCAGCACATCCCCTGCTCTCTTCACGGCTTGCCCTTCAGAGTGTTTCTATCCATTTTAAGCCCAGAAGATGATATTTTCATCACACAAGCCACAGAAGCCATTTAGGATGTTCCTGCCTCTCTTTGCACTTCTGGCCAGTCCAATTCCTTGGTTGAACCCAAACCGAGCCCTTCTGAGAATGATTCTTGTGCCAGAATAGAAGCCCCTGTTCTTCCTTCTGGGAAGGTGCTCTACAAGGCTAACACAGAATCAACTTTCTCCTCCTACTTGGTGGAGCCAGCAGAAGAGCCTCAGGGAGCGCCTGGGAAGCAGATCAAGCGCTTGATTAGGATGCCATCCTCTTCACAGTTAATTGGCAGATGATTTTAAAAGTTCATGCCTTGGAGTTTGTTCTTTCCGGATTGTCATTTCATTTTCTTGTCACCCACATTAAAAGAAAGTCTCTTTTGCTTGTCCGCACAGTTTCCAAGCCTAATAATAAATCACGGTTTCAGCCTCTTGCCTAGAATTTCTGACAGCATAAATAATGCAGGTGCCCAGAATAAAATGTAGTTATGTTGGTTTTTGCTTCTTTAGCCAAGCAGCTACCAAAAAAAAAAGGAAAGAGACTGAATTGATAGATACATTTTACTGTCCAGCTGCCAAGAAGGCATTGCCGACAATGAGGATTTCAGAATAATAACCCTAAAGAGAGGAGTTCAGAGCATCCCATTCACTGCCCAGCAGCCTGAAAGATGCATTGTTCCCGACAGGTCAGGTGGAAGACCCCTCCCGTGAATGCAGCATTCTGAGGAAATGCTAAGCCATCCATTTTTTAAAGACCCTCTGACACCAGAGATTTCAAACATGATTTGGTTCTCAAGGAGCAATACTATATCCTCACAGGTGTGGAATAATCAGACATCTAAGAACAGCAGTTTCTCCCAAAACAGCTGCGGGAAGGATAAAGATACAATCAGTTCATTTTAAATCTGTACGGTGGACTCTGTAGTTTCGTATTTGCATTCTGAGCACTTGTGGTCGGGCTATGAAGTCAGGCTTTCCAGCTGCTCGAGAGATGAGGCCCTGGTATGAGGACTTTGCCCTGGGAAGTATTTGGGCTCAGAAATATATTCTTTAAAATGTCAACATTTAAAAATTATAAAACATTATAAAGGGAAATGCTTAAAAATAAAACTTCCATCCATTCCATTATCATGCACAGGACCTTTTCTCCATTTTTCTCAGGCTCTCTTCTAATCTTTAATTTGACAAAGAAAAAAATAAACACTGTTACAGTAATAATATTTAGGTAGCGATTTCCTTGGTTTGTTTTGCAATTGGCACTGCACTGAGTGTTTCATGCAAATGACCTCACTTGATCTTCACGCTAGCCCCTGGAGGTAAGTACCATGATTACAGACAGGAGAATGCTGTCTTAGGAGAGCACACGGCACTCACCTGAGACACTAGACTTCACAGGTGGAGTTACATATTCATGTAAGAGCTGACACTCAATTCCAGAACATTGAGAAGCCAAAAATTTTCCCTCTATTTTTCAATCAATGTGGGCTAATAAATATCTTCCACAAGACTTCAACACCTCCATGTTTCTCCTCTTCATCTCTTTTTCAGTTTCTAGCCAAATTCCAGTGAACTAATATATCATACTATTTTTACCCATTTTCTGATTGCCACAGAGTTCAGTTGCTTCTAGATTTTCCCTATTATAAATAACAATATATAAGCATCTTTAGGGCCAGACGCAGCGGCTCATGCCTGTAATCCCAGCACTTTGGGAGGCCAAGACAGGTGGATCACCTGAGGTCAGGAGTTCAAGACCAACTGGTTAACATGGTGAAACCCCATCTCTACTAAAAATACAAAAATTAGCCAGGCATGGTAGCACATGCCTGTAATCCCAGCTACTCGGGAGCTGAGGCAAGAGAATCTCTTGAATCTGGGAGGCAGAGGTTACAGTGAGGAGAGATTGTGCCACTGCATTCCAGCCTGGGCAACAGAGTGAGACTCCATCTCAAAAAATAAATAAATAAATAAAAATAAGCATCTTTATACATCACTTTTCTTCCTTCAAGTTTCTTCTTTGGGAATAATCCTAAAGAGAGTGATTACTTAGCTGTAGGTATGAAAATTGTTATGCTTGTTGACAGAATTTCTCTTCAGACTTTTAAATGAACTGTAATTGTTACTGACACTAACAAGAATTGAATATACCATTTTCCCACAGGCTTGTCAGCACTACATCACATATATTTGTTTACTTATAAATACATAACTTTATTTATTTATTTATTTATTTATTTATTTATTTATTTATTGTTCTTAGTTTAATAAATGCCAAATAGTAGCTTAACATCATTTGGGTTTTTATTTCTTGAGTTACTGGAAAGGTTGAACATTTTAAAGATGTATTTGTTTGCCATTTGTATTTTCTTTTCTGTAAATTGTATTATGACCATTACTCCTTTACTTATTGAGACCCAGTTTTCAATTCTTCACCAGACATAGCTTTGCACATTCTTTCCCCAATTCCCAATTTATCCCAGTGAGATTATTATTCCTTATTTTTTACTATATAAGCGCTACATTGCTCTCCCCTGTAAATCTCTTCCCACCCCTTGGGTTTTGCCAGAATTGTTTGTTTGACAGCACCAGGCCATTTTTGACACTCATCCCTCATATATATCTGTATATATTATTTAAAAGATTTGGGATCTTAAAGAAGGAATGAACTCATTTGCAGTTGCATTATTCTAATTCTTCATATGAATAACACTTAGCGAGATAAACAGCAGCAGCGGCGGTGGTACAGAGTGAAGAGGAAAGGAGAGAACCCACTGTCCTACTGCAAACACACTGCCAGGAGCACAGGAGCAAATGAGCTGGCGGACATTCCAGGAGAATTTCAGACAAATGGGGCTGAGGCCCTGTCACCTCCTGAACCTGTGGATGAAACAGTGCCTAAAGCCACTCTTCCTTTCAGTGTTTTGTTTTGTTAAACTCTCTTTATTGTCTAACCATTTTAAATTAGGTGAGCTCTTACTAGCCATAAGTATTCTAACTGATGTTCTCCTTTACAACTCTGAGGGTTAGATATTTTAATTTGTTTTATTATTAAGAGGGACTTCAGGAATGAAGCAGAGTTGGCTGTCTGGAAGACAATTCGCCCATCTCCTGCCTACTGACCTCCAGTGATTTTGTATACTTATATAATCTTGCCTTTAATAAAAATATAGCACCAAAATTTAAGGTGTCTTTTAGCTTTAACATTTTTAAACCAGGGACTTTGCCTATTTTGTTCACTATGTGTGTGTTCACAGCATTGAACAGTACCTGGCACATTGCAGGCACTCAAAATATATTTGATTAAATATATTTTTATTTGTTAAATAAATAAATGAGTAGATGAATTTTTAAATGTGTTTAATAAATAAACGAGTAGATGAATCGATTAATGAATGAATAAACATACATTTTGAGGGGAAAGACTCCCCAAACAGACAGAGTTATGATTTGAATTTAGAGAACTGTCTCAAGTGTGGTTTCTTAAACTTGGACTAGGGTTTTATACTGTAAAAAAATTAATACCGCTTTAGAATTTTCTGAAAATTGATATCCAGTCTCTATAGTTTTTGCCAAAGTAATATGTGCCCTGTTAAGGAAAGAATCCCTGCTGTAGATGGGATAGGCTGTAAAAAAAATTCTGGCTCCGTAATGGTGCATGACATGGCTAATTCCAAATTAGCTTTTCCAGGTTAAACCGAAGCTACAAATGCCAGGATATGCTGTCCCTTGACCCTTAACTTCTCCAAAACAATATACTTGGAAATATGCAGGCAATATTTGCGTTAGCTACATTGGCAACCATCTTCTAGTGCTTTCATAGCATGAAATGGCAAATAACCAGAAATTTGGGAAAGCAATCAGAGAGCAAGACCAAATGGGGACATTTTAATCATCAAGTATACAGAAAACTCATGGTAAGTAAATCAAAACATGAAGTTCCAAAGAATTGTTCTTCAAAAGAGAATAATGTCATAAAGACACCACATGCACAAGTACACACACGCATATACACAAGATTTGATTCATCCTCCTTTATCCAAAACTCAGGCCATTTCAAATTCAACCAGTTGATTTTCCCTGCAGAAAGCTTCCAGGCACTCAACATATAAAAGAAGCAAAGTTCATTTATATATAGATGGTCTCTTATTTACAAATATTTTCAAATCAGTGCATTGCTCATGAGTAGTGATCAAATTGATTTTTAATATATGTTAACTGCAGTAAGAAATGATACAATGGTAAACAGGTAGTTATTAAGCATTTATCATATGCTCACCATAATGTCCAGAACTTTATGTACATTAACCAACATATTCTTACAATGACCTTTGATAGGTAGGTATTATCTCCATTTTACAGAAGAGATTATAGAAAAAGTAGTAACTTTCTCAAGGTCACACAGCTAGTAAGTAGTGAGTCTGGATTTGAACCAAGTTGTCTCTGAAGATTATAGGTCCTGTGTGGTCCATGAAGGACGCAGAGCCTTCCAACACCCACAGTTAAATAGCTACACATTTGTTGAGCCTCTCTAGATGCCAGCCCTCCACGAGGTCCTGTTTAGGATTCAGAGATGAACATGACACTATGGAAGTCATCAAAGTGCTTCCAATCTATTGGAAGTAAATAAAAACTATAAAAGACAGACTGGAAGCTGTGCTGTCAAGAAATTCAAGCAAAGTCCTCTGCAAATTCAAGATTGGCACCTCTATCCACTGGAGTATACGTTGTTTCTTTGTAGCAGCACTACAAATTGGGGAAAAAAACCACTTTGGCAATCTACTCATAAATCCTATTCTTCCCATATCCAGGAACCTCTTGGGTTCTAAGTAAAAAAAAAAAAAAAAAAAAAAAAAATGTAATTTTTTTCCAGCATACCAGGCCCCCACATGCTGGCTGGATGGAAAGTGTTAGACAGAGGTCTCCTGGCTGTGGAGATGAAGAGCTTGTGAAACTTTCCTCGAGACACTCCTTTTTGGGGATAAAAGTTATTCTTACTGCATAAGGTTGTTGTAAGTATTAAATGAAAAATGTGTGTGTCACCTAACATCTTTGTAAAAGCATAAATCAATGTCAGTTGCCTTCCTTCCAAAACCTTCTAAAGAAACAAATTATGGAAGACAAATTATAGAATGTATTCCTCGATTTTTGTAGTCATAGTCTATCTTTAAATATTAAGTAAGTTGAAGCTACTCAAAATTAAAAATATTTTGGGGAATGAAAAGAAAGCCAAGTGAACATTTATTCATTCACAGAGCTGGCAAGGACATGTCACACATTGCCATATTCCATGGCAGGTTCATCCAGAACACATTCCACCTCTTCATGAAGGAGAGAAAGGAGCTGGTCGATTGCCTGTTTGGTTTCAATTCCATTCCTTCTCTTCCAGACTCAGCAAACCCTGCAAGCTACATTCCCCAGAATCCTGCCAACTGGCTTCCAATTAGATCCAAGCAGTGGGAGACATCGGTGGGCATGGAAAGGGCGAAGAGGGAGAAACCATTGTTCTTCTCTTTGCTCCAGCTACGTACCCAGTAGTGGCAGTCAGTTCTGGTAGTGGTGGCAGCCAGCAGTTCTGGGCTCCTGTGGTGCTGGCTGTTACAGCAGCAGCAGTAGCAGCAGCCTTGAACAGCTGTGAGCTCCTGCAGCCTTTGTAATTCCAGCAGGCAGAAACAGGAGGTTCCAAAAGATGCAACTCCAACAGTTCCAGTGAGCACAAGTCAGGGTGCTGGCCCCCCTCTGCCCTTCCATTCTTCCAGTGGTAGCAGCCTCACAGTCTAATTTCTGGGTTACCCAACACTCCCTCTTTTTTGTTCCTTCAGCTCTTACTTTTACAATCAGGTCCGTTTTAAACCTCCTTTGTTTGACATACCTAACATGGCTTCTGTTTTCCTGAGTAGACCCTTACTGATGCAATTAATCAAGGAGTGAATGAGAAATCCCTTTCTGATGATCAGAATCATATTCGACCCAAGCAAAACCCATAAAGTACAGTCTAATTGTTTTTATAAGCCTTGTCTGGATATAAAAATATCCTCTAATACTTTGCATTTATGTAGAGTTCAAAAGTTTTCTGATGACAAATGGCATCTCTTCATAGAATGCCAGAATAATTTTGGCAAGTAGTCACAGTTTTAGGCAATTAAAAATATCGTGAGCATGTAGAATGTAAAATTCTTTTGTTTTCCTCCCGCTATTAGCAAGGCCATTTTTTCTACATAATTGAAAAAGAAGCAAAAGAGAAATCTTAGAACTGGCTGAAAAACTAGGTCCTGGAACCTCTGTTTAAAAGGCTACAATTCTAACAGGCATCAATAGGAAAGACAAGAAGAATGCTTCAATGGTCTTCCTTCAAGTCTAAGTTTCTCTTTATAAGGGCTCCCATTGGTGAACTTCAGCCAACATGCTGAGTTTGGCCTACCTTGTAATTTCACAGAGCTTTTTAGGACAAAGGTTTTAAAACAATATTTTTGGACAATCCTGGCAAGACGTTGAGCAAATAAAAAAAATGTAAAAACCACCAGTCTCCTGGCTTCTTAATGTCAACAGTATGAAAAAAAAATTCTAAATAGGGAGAAGGAAGGAGCCAATGGACATTACAGGTCTGATGAGCTCTCAAAATATTAGAAAACTATCAAGACTATCCTCAGGATGTGCTGTTCTTTAACTGGGATTTAAGATCACAATGTAGCAAAGCTTTAGGAGGAAGCCACGCAATTCTCTGAGTATGGTGGAGGCTGACAACCACCCAGTGGCAGCACCATTGAAACAATTATATAGGGGAATGCCAACTGAGTCAACTGAAGAGGAAAATTCTGGAAAGACTCCTAAGTTTGCCTTCCAGAATCCTAGGATGAAAACTGAATGCACTAGCTTATTTATTGACCTACATGGGGACAGTTAGCCCTGTACATTTAAATTTCCTTTTGATCAACTGTCAAAAGGAAACAATGCAAACGCTACAATTATCCTGAACAAAATGTCATTTACTTGTCGTGAAACTTCTATATCCAGTCAATTGTTTCTTTGTTCTGATCTCAAAGAATAAGGGAAGAACAAAATACCTCCTGGAAGTAGCACAGAACCTATGCTCTATTCTAACTTCCATCCTGGCCCAGTCCCAACCTTTATATAGAAGCTGGAATATGCTATTATTACTGGCAGTATTTGTTACTATCAGTGCCAAGCTTCCTATCCATCGAGCCCTCTCAGCTTCCACTGGCCTTTTGTACCAGGGTCCTGATGGGGCCCAACGCTGTGTCCATAAATGAAACATTGTTATTGCTATTTTCTCAGGCTGACAACAGCTTCCAGGATTACAGAGAAAACCACCATACTGGGGTACAAATACACACAGAGCCTGCCTTCCCTTAATAACAACTGTAGATCTATCCTCATTACTTTATACTAATCTTTAAATTTTATTTTATTTTTTTTTTTGGCTGAACCAAAGCTCCTACCACCTCTTCAATAAAATGTGTTCAATAAATTTACAAATCTCCTTGGGAATTTTGTTTAGCTCAACAATAAGACAAGCTGAAAATGGCAAAGAATTGAGTGACTACTATTTTTTCCAGCAGCGTGGAAGTCTTTTCTATTAACTCTTTTACTTCATCTTGACAATAACATTATGAATCAAGAAACAGTATTCCCATCTTACAGGTGATAAAACTAAAGGTAATTAAATTGACCAAAGTGGCAAAGGCAGAATGAAGTAAGCCCAAAATCTGAATCCAGATCTGTCTGATGTGAAAAATTTGCTTTTCTGAGTGTCCCACATTTGGCTGGCAGGCAAACAGAGGCCATCATTCATTCTGTACAAACTAACAACCAACCACACACCATACTGAAGAGGAATCTGGACGCTATCATCCACCAAGGTCATTACATAGTGGACTATGTTTCTGTAACATGATAGGGAATCTTTTCCATGAGGCAATTATATAGGCATCATTTTGTTTCCCTCTTCTTTCTTTGTGAAGTGTCCCAATGTAGATACCCCCACAACTGACCCAGCTTGCAGAATTTGATATGTATATCCCACCCTGCAGTGATTCCTCCAGACCCACAGGTCACCGCTGTCTTCAAATGGCAATTCCAAAATGGCAATCATAGGACAACTTGCATCCATCTGTTGTCATCCTCTGAGCAGAAGGTTGGGTCTCGCAGTTAACATAGTATACAGTAGGGATACTCCTGCACCTCCAGTGTGCACAGCACAATATGCCAGTGGATCTTGAGGAAGAGCTCATTGTCTGGAAGGTCTGTCCTTCAGCATCTTCCAGTCTAGTTCGTCCACACATGAAGCAGCCTGAGGACTTGTGGAGAATGTGTGAGGAAACCCAAATGGACAGAGGGTACAGTCTCAACGGAAGCATCCTTGAACAATCCAGTTAGATCTGGCCTGCCTTGGAATGTGGGTAAATGGAGAGTGAGATCATCTTTGGGATGTGTGTTGCCACCATCCCTGCAGTAGCTCAAGAGCAAAGGGTCATTAGGAATTGGACAGAAATCATGTTGGGCCTCCAGTTAACTCAGACTTCCCACAACTTCTGGACCTAAGTGGCAGGATATCCTGTGGCAGTAATTCAGTCGGGTTCAGTCCTCTCAGTACCTTCCATCTCTGTTAAAAGATGATAATCAGACTCTGAGTTCCCTTGACTTAAAGCAGGGGTCTGTGAACTTTTTCTGTAAAGGGTCAGATATTAAACATTTTAGGCTTTGCAGGTCATACCATCTCCGTCTCAAGCACTCAACTCTGCCACTGTAGCACAAAAGCAGCTATAGACAATATATAAGTAAATAAGCATGGCTGTGTTTCAATAAAACTTTATTTTTTAAAAAAGAAAACAGGAGGCAGGCTGGATTTCGCCCACAGGCCATAGTTTTCTCACATCTGACTTAGAGGATTTAGATGGCAAGGCCAAAAAATGTTACCTGAAGGCTTGTCCCTTATGGCTTTTGTTGCTAGAATCAAAGTTCATTGAAAATATTTAGAGGAGAGGAGAGAATTGAGGGCTTTTGGAAGGTAGAGAAAAGCACTGAGTCACAGTGATACAATATTGCCATGGTTCATAGGTTCCATGAGTAGCTGGAGCCATACCTCCAGCACTCAAGATACTGGGGAAGACAGCAAGACTTCAGAGAAGAACAGCTTCATAGTCCACCTAAGAAGACTGGACCCTAGGCGGGAGTGTTTCCATCTTTGATAACAAATTCCACATCTAAATGGGGCAAATTAGCAAAGAATCACTCCCAGAGATTGTGGGAACTTAGGCAATAAGCCTCTCAGCTAAAATATCTTCAACATTCCTCAGTGTTTTAGTCTTCATGAGACTTCTAGAATCTTCCCATGATTCAGGGGTTAGAGGGTTGTGAGGTATCAAGATGAAGAAAGATCAAGTAAGATTGACTTTGGAGTCACATTTAACTAGGTTTTTAGCATCATGCATAGTGTAAACTCATCTGCTACATGTCCAACAGAGCTTCTACTCCAGATAAAAGCTTGCTCTCAGTTTTTTCAGGGAAAACAGAAAGATGGATATGTGTGTGGGTGATTTGAAATCTTTGAATAGATCGATTTTTAACCATTAAGTAAGTAAAATCATAAAGCAAGATGGCTCAGTCATATAATTTCCTTTCAACCATTATTTGCTATTTATAAAAATGTTATTTACCAAATAGACTTCTCATACCCTAAATTAGGAGGATCCTGGCTTAACAATTCGGCAGGCATTAGGATATTTCCTACCAGAGAGTGCTATAATCACCTTGCCTCCGCTTTAAAATCACTGTTGTGCATAGAGTCACTGATGAAATATTCATAGACAAATCTAAAGACAATGTAGTAGGTCTTTCAGAGGATAAATGACCACACAAGAAATAGATTAAAGCTACTACCATATTACTATATTTGTTTCCTGTGGCTGCTGTAACAATATTACCATAAACTTCCTGTCTGAAAACAACAAAAATTTATTATCTCACAGTTCTGGAGGCTAAAAGACAAAAAATCAGTACTGCTGGGTCAAAGATATGATGTTGGAGCTCCCTCCAAAAACTCCAGGGTAGAAGCCCTTCCTTGCCTCTTTCAGATTCTGGTGGCTGTCAGCATTCATTGGCTTATGGCTGCGTCACTACAGTCTCTGCCTGGGTGTCACATTGTCTTTTCCTCTTCTGTCCATGTCAAATCTCCCTCTGCCTTTTTCTTTTCAGGACACGTGATTGTATTTTGGGCCCACCCACATAATCCAGGATTATCTCTCCATCTCAAGATCCTTAATTTAATCGCCTCTGCAAAGACCCTTTTTCCACATATGGAAATATTTATAAGTACCAAGGATGAGGATCTGACATCTTTGGGAACCATTATTTAATCTACTATAACTATCCAAAGCCACAAGTCCCTGAACAAATAGTACGTGAGATCATGCCTTTTGCTTTGTTTCTGCAATTATGTGAATTTGAGACACCTCCCAATAGCTAGAGACTTCTCAAAGATATAGATAGATACATATCCATAAATCATCACTACATTGCACAACCTCAGGGATTCACACTGCATTCTGTGGGAAAGGCATGTCCTGGAATTGTGCTATGTGATGGTTCCAAGTTATTACATCAGATAGAAACAGTTTTCTGTCTTAGACCAAAACACACAAGGTTGTTAGGAAAGGAAGATTTTCCTTAAAATTAGTCTCTATGACAAAGAATATACTCCCCCAATCATCTGCTTTCTCTTAATAACCCACAATCAACCACTGATTTTTCCTTTAATCCTTAAGTAACTTTTTCTACCTCAATTGCCTTTGTAGATAGGTCAGCCACAAGGAAATGAGTTCTATACCACCCTCAAAATGGACGTGGTTCATTTCCAAAAAGGAGATAGTTTGTAATTTTGTAGGGCTGAGGCATTGTGGTAGGTGCTGGGAATGCACTATGTAGGTGGAGGATATAAAAAGTAAGTAGACAATTTTAATGTAACATAGCAATTGAGCATGCAAACACTTAGCATCTTCACTCTGTCCAGGCCACCTTGTGCCGTTTCTCACCTTGATCCCTGCCCTGTCTCCTTACAGCTCTCTACTTCTGCACTTGCCCCCATTCAGTCTGTCCTCCATAACGCAGCCAGAACAACCCTGTTAAAACATGAGGCAGACCATGTCATGGCCTCTGCATGGAAGGAACCCTCCAGGGACTTCCCATCTCACGTGGAATGAAAGCCCAAATCTTGCAAGACCGAGGCTCTGCCCAGCTTGCCAGCCCCGCTCCCGATTACTACCCCGATTCAATGCTTCCTCTCCCCGTCACTCATTCACCTAAAACTAAAACAGAAGCACAATCCCTCTAGGCTTTTGCACTTACTGTTCTCTTGCTCGGTAAACCCTTAACCCCCGAATCTGCAGTTCTCACTCTCTCACCTATTTGGGGTCTGTATTCTCAGTGATGCTCTCTCTGATGACTGAAGTTAAAATTGCAATGTATTCCTTGGCACTCCCTAATTTCCTTCTTTTTTTTTTTTGCCCATAATATTTATCACCACAAACTTATATAACTCATTTTTTTTTAAGAGACAGAGTCTCACTCTGTCACTAAGGCTAAAGTGTGGTGGCACAATCATAGCTCACTGCAGCCTCAAACTCTTGGGCTCAAGCAATCCTCCAGCCTCAGCCTCCCAGGTAGCTGGGATTACAGCTCAAGCCACCATGACCAGCTTCTTATTCATATTTTAAATGATCTGTGTCTCCTAGTTGGGATGTAAGTTTCATGAGAGCTGGGTTTTTCGACGGTTTTGTTTACTGTCTGTTTTGTATAACCACCATCTAGAACGCTGGTACCTAATAAGTGATCAATACATATTTGTAGTATGGGTGGGTAGGTGGGTGGGTGGGTGGACAGAAGGATGGGTGAGTGGGGTGGTGGGTGGGTAGGTGAATGAATGAATGTGTATACAGAGTGTTATAGGATTGCAGAGAGGAGGAGGGCATTTAATCTAGTCTGAGGTGATGGGTTTGAGGAAGACACCTTAGTCACAGCCTTCCTGGGTCAGTTAAGACAATGAAAATGTCTCCTTCTCACCTTCCTTCTTCATGATGATTTTACAGTGCTAGTATTTTTTTCACAACCTATTTTCCAGATAGAATATTTGTTATCAAAGAAAGGCCAGCATATTGAGGTCTCATCTTTTTCTGAGAGAAAAATGAATAACTGAATAACTCATCTTAAATTCAACAATCCCTTTAATATTTTGATAGAAAATAACTTACAAGGAACTTACAAAGAACCTGGTCTATGTATTACAAAAGGTTTTCATGATCACTACCCATCTCATTATACAGTGTTATAAAGACTCCACTATATTTTAAAGGTCTTGTTTTTATAAAGTTAACCCATATGGATGACATCCTGTAACATTTTGTGTACTTCTGGCATTAACTACTTTGTTATAAAAGCTTTCCTGTGAATAATTCATGGAATGACTTTTATCTGGCTCAATCTCTGCCTAGTGGGCACACTTAACCTAGGTTTTCCATAAAACATTTTTTTAATTAAAGAAGTAATTTAATTGTTGAGGAAATATCTTTTCTGGTACTTTTTCCCATACGTGGCACACACACACACACACATACAAATTTAAAGTAGTTTTTTAGGTTCTGAATTACTGAAACTGAACCTGACGAATACCCTAAACTGAAACATTGACAAGTATGCTTTCATACAACTAAACAGCAAACATCCTACACAGCATCATTTGTTCTCATCCTTGATTCTTCAGACATTCAGCAATATTTTCTCTCTCTATTCCAACAGTATTATGTGACTAATAAAGGCATTTGGCATTTTGTTTGTTATTATATCTATCTTTAAGTGTTATTTCCACCATTTTTAATAGCATCAGGAAGAACATTTACCCAGTCACATGGGTTTTTTTTTTTTTTTTTTTTGCTAACAAGTCTCAAAAGAAGCTGCTAAATATTTATCAATAAATTTTGCAAAATTTTAAAGTACTGTTGAGAATCTTATGTTTTTAATCACCACAGGGGTGGGATGGGGGAACTGCAGAGGTTTGTCTTTCCGTTTGGATGTCGTGAGGTTAAATGAATTGCTGATCTCAATGGAGTGTTAATATCCTTGGGCTTATAAGATACAATTGATACTTGGGTGACATTCATTATCAAGGATGGCAAAGATAATTCACATTTCAAATAACCTTCTTGAAAATGTTTTGGGCCAGGCATGGTGGCTCATGCCTGTAATCCCAGTACTTTGGGAGGCCGAGGCAGGCGGATCACCTGAGGTCAGGAGTTCGTGTCCAGCCTGGCCAACATAGTGAAACCCCGTCTGTATTAAAAATACAAAAGTTAGCTGGGTGTAGTGGTGCATGCCTGTCATCCCAGCTACTCGGGAGGCTGAGGCAGGAGAATCACTTGAACCCAGGAGGCAGAGGCTGCACGCACCACTGCACTCCAGCCTGGGTGACAGAGCGAGACTCCGTCTCAAAAAAAAAAAAGAAAGAAAATGTTTTGGCCACTTATTAGCTCAGATGACATTGTCATTGTTCTCAATCTCACATTATGGCTGACGAAGAGCATATAGGAATAACAGAAGTGTGGGGCTCCACTGCCTTTGGGGTTTGCTGTGTGCTTGCACCACTGTTATTACCCTCATTTGCATTTTTGGAGAGGAATACTTTTTTTTTTTTTTTTTTTAGACGGAGTCTGGCTCTGTCTCCCAGGCTGGAGTGCAGTGGTGCGATCTCGGCTCACTGCAAGCTCCGCCTCCCGGTTCACGCAATTCTTGGAGAGGAATACTTTTAAGTTGCTTGTCCATTCTGTCAGAGTAAGGAAGAGAATAAAATCAATAAATTCATGTCACATGCTGAGTGAAGGGCAACATGAGACAATATGCAGGAAGTGAAGAAGCAAGCTGAGGGCACTTGGATCCTCTGAAAAGTGCAAAGTCCCTCCATCCTCACCTGACCTGGCTTGAGTGTACATGATGTGGGGCTGTCTGACATAAAACAGACACGATATGGCAGCCTCAATCCATATTTTCAGTATTAGTAAAGTTTAATTTCTTCATTATTTTTAGAAAAAATTATCTAAATAGTGTTCTTTTGCAAGCAATAGATTCTCCTGTACACCCTACATGTATAGGCCACTGGTCTAGTGAAATAGCATGAACCCTGGGCTGTCTGGGCTAATGAGAGGGAAATTCCTCCTAAGGTTGCCATGAGGATCAAATAAGAATGGTCTATAAATCATGAAAAGCCATGCCAATGTCAGATATGATTATTACTGCTTGGGAAGATCTACCTGTGCCATTGGATTATCTTCACCTAGGTTCATTACCTTGCATGTACCCACTCTCAAATCCATCTCCAATTCACTGGTGAATCAGAATTGTAATAGTCTGATAAGTTAAACTCATCAAAGGGTATTTGAAATTCTGAGTAGGTCATCGTCTCTTTGCCCCCTCCCCATTTTTATACTTCTATATATTCTTTTGAAGAAAAACTGGGATCATGAGACAGACTTGCTTTCCCCTAAAAGGCTGTTTACTTTGTGAGCTCCTCTTAACCTTTCCCATGTACCCACAGTTCCTTGTGGCCCCTGAGAATCACCTGCTCAGGGCCCCTTTCCTGTGCCCCCAGCATCTTCCCTTCTACCCAGGGTCATCTCAGTGCAGCAGCCTAGATCAGAACCACCCTGTGCTCCCTCTGACCTCATCTAGACTATTCTAGATCTCAATGGCTCCTATCACTTCAGGGTGAGGCCACAGGAACCCTAGTTCTCATTAGGAAATCCAAATTCCCGATGCCCCCAGAGGCATGGAAACTCTGCACTGGCTGCTGCTGTTCCCACGAAGCAGCCATGATTCACAGAGCAGCTCTTTTCTTAGTAACAATGAAAACATTCTCCTTTGTGTTTTGCCAGTGCAGATAAAGGCCTCTTAAGCAAACCAAACCTGCCTCTGGGTTTTGCCTGGACTGTGCCATCAGCTTGACTCTTGGAGAGAAAAAGAGAAGACAGTAAGGAATGAGCATCTCTGGAGTGCTTCCTATATACCAGGCTTCGTGGTCTGGTGTGCATTTTAACTTACATTATATCTGACTTAGATGCTTCCAATCCTGTCACAAAGGAATGCAAATCTTCCTTTCTCTGTCTCCACCCGGGGAAAGAAACAACTCCCTCTCTCCCACTCTCTGTCTCTCTCTCTCTCTGCCATAAATCCATGGGACCTCCTCCTTGAGGCCTCTAACAGCCTGACCATTCTGCCCAAGGCAGGGAACTTAGACCCACACACTGGACGGAGCATTTGAACTTCTTCCTCTCCCATCAGAAATACATGGCATTTGATTCTCCCCATCTTGGCTTCTAAAATAATTATTTTCATTGCTTCCCAGGCACATAGCAAAGTTGGACAATCAAAAATGATTTCTTCTTTATAATGACAGTAACATGTTAGAATCTATGCATGGCTGACTAATTCTGTTGAATTTATAGTCTCATTTACAGTGAAAATAAAATCTAATACAGCCCCAAAGAGCTAGAGGTAGTTATTGCAACAAACCTGAAATATGAGAACTAGGTTATATTTATTTTTTTAAGCAAACACCTGATTTCAGGGACTTAATACACGTTTGAGATTAATGAAAATATTTCCTCATATAAATAGTGAAAATGCCAACATAAATATTGTGGGCTTTGCCCTCCAGCTTTCTTGTGGAGTGGACGACTGCCGTCTTGGCACCCCTGAGAAACTGCCCGCAGCAGTGATCCAAATAAATGGTGACTCATTATTCACCTGCCAGGTCTGAAATTACCATGTCAGCCCCTGTCTGTCCACCAGGCAAGTCTTTCCCAGTTATTTTTAGAAAAGTACCCACAGTAGAAGCAGCTCTAGAACATTTTCTTATATTGTGGCCATGTTTAAGTATGATTGAAAATGGATATCATGAAGCTTTCAGCCACACCCGGAGCCTGGATCTGAAGAGGCTATGAAGTTCATGGCAGCTTGCTTTTAAGGTGTCGCCCTTCTTCCTGAGCCACAGCTTCCCCTTCTGGAAACTTGCCTGGGCCTCACTTTCCTCGTATGATGGAGTCAGACTAGACCAGTGAGTCTCAAATTTTAATGTGTACACAGATCACCTCGGGATCTTGGTAAACTTCAGATTCTTATTCAATAGATTTTGGGAGAGGCCTAAAAGTCTACATTTCTAGCAAGCTCTCAGGTGATACCAGTGCTATGGATCCACAGACTTTGAGCACCAAGAGGCTAGATGACTTCCCAAGAAACTTTCAATACTGAAGTTTTATCCCATTCAAAGTGATGCAAAAAGGTTAAGTAACAAATGTTGCAACATAATATAGGAAAGCTGAACATCTAAGTTTTGAAGTCTCGTAACAATAACACAGTTCAGCAGACTGTCCAAACTGCCTTGGCTAGGACTGTTCATGGTTTAGTTTAATAAAGCATATAGGACCCCAAATGTCTACAGACTTCTTTACCTTTTTTTCCATGAGCAATTAAGATGAAATTACTGTTTTTTGTTTCTTGTTTTTTTTTTTTTTTTTTTTTTTGGTAACAATTTTGTTAGCTCAGGACAATTCAACAATTAACCCCCCAGCTCGGATATCCCCAAGGCCAAGGTTTAATTCCAAGAACTATTATCCAAACTGAAAAAAAAGAAAAAGAGAAAAAAGTGTGTAAAACTGGTGAAAATATGCCAGTTTAAAATACAATTTGTAATTCTCAAAGAATGAGGATAATTGTTCCCCTTCTCTCAACTTAAGTTTTGGCTGGAAGGAATAGTTAGCACAAGAGAAAAACAACGGCTCCAAATACACTTGGCAGTGGTAAGGCCAATGCTCAGCTTTCCCTGGTGGGTGAGAACCTGGCTTCTGCTACTTGTGAGAATTTATAGAAGCTTAACCACCTGGGACAGATGATCATTGTTTTATAATAGCCCTAGGGAAAGTTAAGTCCATTCTTTTCTCCATAACTGGCAACAAAGATCTAGAAAGAGAGTCCATGATGAGTGCCTTCTGGGGGGATTTGTAAATTCAGAAATGGCACAAAGGCTCACACATTCAGAGCTGGCTTGAGGGAGAAAGGGAGCATGAAACAGAAAAAGGAGGGTGTGAAATGTGTGCAAGGTACATCAGTCGATGCATTTACTTCACACCTTTTTCCAGAGGACACCACCATAACGTGTGAAGAGGTGCCGGTGTCCCCCTGCTGGGGCTGGCCTCACCCAGCTGCCCCAGGAATGGCCTGCAAGCTGAGCCCCACCCAGGGCCCAAGCCAATGCGAGCCAGGCTTCACGTGAAGCTGGAAACATCTTTTCCACTGGCGACTCAGCTATTCACTCCGTGCCCCTGCCAGGTGTGGCTAGGCCACCGGATGGGCCTTCAGTTTCCCTTGTTTCCTCGTTCCTCAGTCTTTTCCTCATCCCAATCAGAAGCCCATGCTGGCCCTATTTTGGGGACTGAGCTGCTCGGGACCTGATTTTTGGGCTCTCCCTGTTCTTCAGGGGTACCTGACCAATGTGGTAAAGGGATCTGTACTGCCAGGTAGCACATGTAGAAGTATGATTTTCCCCAGGAAATAACCTGGTTTTTAACAGGGTCTTTGACGAGTGAGGCAATGCCTTCCCCCTAAATAGTGACTCAGAAGATACAACACAATAAACAGGAGGAAGAAAGATGATGGGGTCAGGGGAGGAACTTAAGACACTTTATCAACCTATCCTACATGTAGGCCAACTTAAACTGTATCAAGTGTGGCTGGTTTTATCACTTCCATCTGTTCCTGCTTAGAGAAAGTTAAAGGTAAGTGGCTTCAGGGTAGGGCACAGGGTGAAGCACCTGAAGTCCTCAGTTCTGGACCTGCCTCTGCAGCTCCCTATCTGTGTGGTCTTAGACAAGTCACCTCACTTCTTTGTAACTGGTTCCTATCTGTAAAGGGAAGAGATTAACTGGGTCAAAAGTTTCCAAAGGTTATGTTTATTTCATTCTTTTTGAGGGATACACTTTCTTTAAAAGGAATCTTACATAGAAGTCCAATTTGTAAAGCAGATAAAAAGCAGTGTGCTTGGTTAGGTACCATCGGATGCTGTAACAAGTAAACCTCAACATTTCCATAGCTTCACAGCCCCGTGCAGTAAGTGCCACTTGGCTTTCTATCTCAGGTGGTGCAGGGCCCCTTGGCCCTTCCATCATATGGCTCTGCAATACTCTAGGCAATAGTTCTCAACCAGGGGTCATTTTGCCCCTCCCAACCCCGCTTCCCTCCACCTTCTGCCAAACCAGGAGATATCTGGCAATGCCTGGAGACATTTTAGACTGTTACAACAGGGGAGATGCCCCTGGTATGGAGTGGGCAGAAGCCAGGGATGTTGCTAAACCCTCTACAATGCACAGGACAAGTCCTCACAACCAAGAATTCTTCAGCCCCAAATGCTGATAGGCTGAGCTCAAGAAACATTGGTCTAGGTGCTTAAATTCTATGTATCCAGCCAACAAACAGGGAGAGAGCCCTGAGGAATGCTGCATGGGAGGGTTTGCTAGGGCAGGGCTAGAAATGACACACATCACTTCCATTCACATTTCATGAGCTAGAACTTGCTCATATGGTATACCTAGCTGTGTGTGTGAGTGTGTGTGCATGCGTGTGTGTGAGTGTGCATGTGGCCAGGGCAGAAGGGGAAGATAGGGGTGGTCCCTGACTCAGTAGCTACTTTGCAGAAACAAATCTACACCACCAAGGGGAGCATGCACAGCTGTGGACATATCTTAGAATAGAGGTTAAAAAGATGGAGCTAGATCACCTAAACAGTAGTAAAGCAGAATTGTGTAGGGCCTTGTTACCCAAAGACAACCCCTGGAAGTCTAGAAAAGATCTCCCTGTGCTCATAAGCTGACCTGCTCTAGCTACTAGATGCCAGAATCACACAGAAGCTCTCCAACAAAGATGCACATGGAAATCCATCATCATCTGTGGAACTACATTTCCCACTGAAGGGACGGGGCTGTGGCTGGGGTTTGCGGAGGCCTCTCTTTTCCAACTGAAGAGCCAGGATAAACACCATCAAATACAAGAAGGAGATAAAGACAGACAGTGGATTTAGCCCATTTCTCTCTTGGCTCAGGATATAGCAGTCACTCTTTTCCTCAGTTACAAACCAATCAGAAGCTTAACTTGGAAACTTGCCATTTGTAAACACAAATGAAAAGATATACAAATTGTGTTAGGTTTTCAGAAAAAAGCTCAATGAAATAAGCCAAAATAAGTCAAAAACCCTAGACCCTTTTCCGCCTCTAACAAGCAGTACTATGCAGAGACTCACTTACCCGTCCTGGGCCTTGGCACTCTCATTTATGAAATGTGGAAAATGACCCAGAGTTGCAGTTTTCTGTGTCTTGGGGAATCCCTGGGGACTCTGGGGGATCCCTTTGAGATTTGACTGGAGTAAATCAATAAGGATTAGCCCCCACACCCAACTCCACTTTTGTCTGTTTGACATACCACAGTTCAGTGTAAAACTTTGTTTAGACAAAGGATTTTATGGCTAAACAACATTTAAAACCCCCTAATAAAGATGATCACTCATTTCTAATTCTAACATGCTATCATTACTCCATAAGACTAGAACGATCTTAGTAAGAAGTCTGTGCATTCCTCAGTAAGACAATTTTTTACCAATAAATTTTAAATCACCATTAAAAAGGCAAAATGAGGTTGGCCCAATCCCCTAATTCTCTGTTTGTGATTGTCAGAAAGACTTTAAGTTTTTATGTTAGTCTCATTCATGTAGAAGAATACAAGAGGAAATTCCTTATGGCTTAAAGAGAATCTTGATAGATTCTAAATAAGTATTAGTTAAGTTGAATTATTCCATATTTAATGTAGGTAATCTTGATCTCAAAAATCTATAATAAATTTGATTTTTAATGTAACCTCTGACAGTTGTTCTTAAGCCCAGCACCAGCTAATATCAACCACCCTGCTTTGCTAGGGTTACAGGATTCTTCTTCCTGCTCTCAGACCTAGGGGAACTCTCCATTGCCAATCACTTCACTGGTATGAGTTTTTAAAACAGACCTACACAACACTCTTGTTTTCTCATTAGGAACCTAAATCTACTTCCATTCACAGCTGGCACTCTCCCTGTGACCTTGAACATGCATGCCCTGTGTCCTTGGTTGATGCCATTCCTGATCTGTAAACCCACTGAGACCAAAACAGAGTCCTCTCAGTGTCTAGTGCGGTTTTCTACAAATAACATATATCAAATAAATAGTGTAAGTGACATGTGACAAAGACCACATAGGCATAAATCAAACCATTTAATTCCGTTATTTACAACATTTGGATATCTACACAGTTCAATCATATTTTGATGAATAAGCAAAACGTGTTTCCAGAAAAGCTCCAAGTAGAAACTTCTGCTCCAACTTCCAGCAGCAGTAATTACTTCCCATGTTCTCTACTTAGACACAGTCTTTCCCACTGGGGCTACTGCTGGTGACTACCACCTACTACCACTGATAGGAATCACCATTATTCTCCACATACAGGCCACTGAGATTACAAATATAAATCTTATGAACCTTAGCCAGCCCTACAACCCTACCACAAAACACCAAAAATAACCATGCCCAGGGAAATTACTATGGACCTTTATTAAAATCCTGATTCCTGCCACCAGAGCAATACCCTGGGCCCTAGTCAAGGTTATGATGGTCTCTTGAACTGGTGATGAAAAGGTTGTAGGAATTTCAAGTGATGGTAAAGGTGGCCTATGTTTTATAGGCTGGTGAAAGTCTCAACATTGAAACATTCTATATTGCAATTCTATTTGTTGGTCTGTCCCTCCTCTTTAAACATGAAGACCCTGAGCAGGAATCATGTCTATCTTATATACCCCTACTCCCTCAGATCTTACTTAGCACAATACACAGCAAATTGTACTTGTTGAATGACAGGGTAGAGAAAAGACAGACAAAATCATTTAGTGTGCTATTATTAATACAGTGTATTAATATAACATTTTTGTTGTGACAACAACCTGATTCTCTAAAGGAGGTGAAAAATTATTTCATGACAAATATAATATAGATCAAGTTCATATAACCTTTCTGTAGTCATTGAATAGTTAAGTGTTTCTTTTATTTTCTTTTTTTTTGAGATGGATTCTTGCCCTGTCGCCAGCCTGGAGTGCAGTGGCACGAACTCAGCTCACTGCAGCCTCCACCTCCCAGGTTCAAGTGATTCTCCTGCCTCAGCCTCCCGAGTAGCTGGGACTACAGGTGTGCACCACAATGCCCAGCTAATTTTTGTATTTTTAGTAGAGATGGGGTTTCACCATGTTGGCCAGGATGGTCTCTATCTCTCGACCTCGTGATCTGCCTGCCTTGGCCTCCCAAAGTGCTGGGATTACAGGCATGAGCCACCGTGCCCAGCCCAGTTAAGTGTTTCCATCCTGAATATTAATACTTTCCAGAAACAGAAAACAGGGGTTTTCTAAGAAGTTCACAGTAAATAATCTGAAAAAAGAGAAATATATTCCAGCTGCCTTGTGAGCCAAGTAAACCTGCATTCAATCATTGAAATTGAAGTCTCATGAAATAAATTTTGGTGCTTCACTGGAAGGTCACTGGGTGGACTCATGCTTTTTGATTTTTGTCAGTGTGTATGTTTTATTTAAAGTTGCATTGGTTGACACCATTATTTCAGGGCACTTTCATAGGACGTGCAACACTGCTAATATCAGAGGTCAGTATCATAACCAATGTTCACAATGATATTCTTGAGTCTTGAAGTAAAACATATGTTAGATCTTGTTACTAAGGCAGAGACTTGAGATGTTTTTCATCCAGAAAGTGGTTCAGCATTTATAGGGTTATGTTTCAACTACCCATGTTATTGGGGAAACTCTCCTTCTCTTCTGCTGATAAAGACAGAATACCATAGTAACAATAAGAGCTTAACACAATACATTTTCATTGAGTGCCAGTCAAATGTCAGAACCCACCTGGGTACTCATGATGCCCAAGTGACTAAGATATGGGCCTTGCCTTCAAAGAGTTCACAGTCTGCACTGAGGAAAGCTGTATGTTGAACCACTGGAATTCCACACCCGACCTGTGATGGTAGTGGTGTGCAGGAAGTGTTGTTGGCATCGGGGAGAGAGGGCCAGATCTAGACCTTGGGGACACCAAAAAGTAACAGAAGAGGGAAAAAAAAAAGCTGTATGTCCTGTTCATGGAATTATTGCAGTTTGGCTGAGTGGGAGGTTGGGGTGGCAGGAGAGGTGGAACGTAAGGCTCAAGGGATTGGTTGATGTCATACTCCTTAAAGTCATACTAAGAGGTTTGGCTTTCAGTGGTGGCACCAAAAGGGGCTTTCCACAAAGAGAATAACCTGTGGCTCTGCCAAGGTGCAAAGGGTGACTTACGGAGCCTACACTCCCTGCCAGAACCAAATATCCATCAACCTCCTCACTAAAGAATACAATTAAAATGAAACAAAGTATGTTTTCCCTGCAAACATACATTCATTCAAGCCCCTGGCCTTCTATATTGCTACCCCTAAGCTCCTATATGGAAATTCAGGAGTCACCCCAAGGGCTTCCATATTCCACAGGGATGGGTATGGATAAAGTCAAATGTCTTTAGAATAAATCAAGCCGAGGAGGTGGTTTTGCCTTCCTTATGTCAATCATGGCACCAAATCAAAGATGGTCAGGGTAATGAGGAACGCTGAAGTCCCTGAGAGGGAAGCTGTCTGGGAAGCATGTGTTAGGTTCGGTCTCGGAGGGCAAGGATCTCACCAATTAGTTCCAGGCTCCCTGTGGCATTAGCTGTACATATTGGCAGTAAAGTAACTGAGAACCAATTGTGTCACCCCAGGCAGTGCTAAATTAGATGTATAGTGCATCTTCAACAGCTATTAATAGTAAGGAGCCTGGAGCCAATTAGAAATATGTCCATGTAATAAGGAAATGAAGTACTCTTAAATGTGTAAAAACATCATTATCTGTCATCCATAAGCAACAAAATAAAAAAAAAAAAACACAGCTGAAGAGCATGTTCAAATTGAACAAATATTCCTGTGAGGATCCTAGGTCTATAATAAGCCAGAGATTGAATTAAAGATGATGGTTCTTACTTCTAGACACTGGCTGATTGAAGAAAAGAAAATAGTGATAGAAATGTATGTGCACACACAGGAGCTGAATAAGTGAATACATTTGTGGTAATTCTTTAAGAAATGAAGAGTCCACTGCAAACTCTGACAATTAAGTACAGAACATTTAAGCAAGTATGCTGCTTGGTAGGTCTTGTAATATATAGCCTGAAAAACAGAAAATGCTTTGCAGTTTAAGCTACCTATGTGTTTTTTACTATATCAAAAGCTGATACATTACGTATATATAAAAGTAGGTGCATGAAAACTTGGAACCAATATCAAACATGATGAAACTGTTAGCCAATTTGGCCAAAGTCTTCTATGTCATTTTTAAATTTTTTATTTAAGGGGAAAATATGATGTTGCAAACAACAGCCATAAAGCAAGCAGGACAAGCTACATATTTGCAAAGGAAATTGCAGGTCATGGCATTAATTTTTTAAAATTTAGCCACCTTTGTAGATATGTGTGCCTATCACTCACATACATAAACTGTATTCAAGTTTTGCAAAGAAGTTTAAAAAGTGCTGAGGTATTATTTGAAGCGCAAAGACATTTTATTACACCATTTATTACTTATGGCAAAACATCAAGATAAGTGAATATAAAAAATCATTGATTCGAATACTTGAAGAGCTACTGTTTGAAATTATTAAATTTAAAATTTACCAACCTACCAAAGCAAGATTATTAATATCTTTTAAATATTAAAAAGCTTTAATTTAACACGGTGACTAAGGCCTTATTAGATTCAGAGCTAGTGAAATCTAGTGAATAGAATGACAGGGTACCATAATTTCATATTTTTAGTCTTATTTATATGTCAGACTGCAGTCTTGGAGGATCTAAATAGGCATATTCAAATTTATTTCCAAATAATCACTTTTCATCTCTTTTCTAATTTTAGTCTGCACAAATCTTTCTAATTCACTGGGTCTCTGACAGACAGTTGTAGACTGAGGGCTGGTTGGCCAATGTAATGAGACCAGCTTCTGTCACTCAGGGATGCTGTGGCCTGAAGCCAGTGAGACTCACAGGGAGGCTGTGAGAACATCACGTACATGTGTTTTTCCATCCATGACAAACACCCCTTGCTGTCCTCCTAATAGCCACCCCTTCTTCCCTTCCTCTAACACAGGGTTCCTCAATCCAGGCATGAGTGACAATTGTGCCAGATACTTCTTTGTTGTAGGGGACTTTCCTGTGTGTCGTAGCTTATTTAGTAGCATCTCTGGCCCCTACCCATTAGGTGCCAATAGCAACTCCCCTCTTCCCCCAGGTTGTGACAATCAAAAACATCTCCAGATATTACCCAAATGTCCTTTGAGTTGGGGAAAGGCAGATGCAAAATTGCCTTAGGCTGATAACCATTGTTCTTACAGAACCCTGCTTATAGTCTTGTTGTCCCCAAAGTTCTGTAAGCGTCTATAAGCTGTAAGAAAGGCAGCTTCCATTCCAGCCAAAGAGGGTGAATCTTGACTGGTTTAGATTAATTATGGTGGTTCCATTCCCCTTCTCAGATGTTGGTTTACATATGAGCATGCAACATAATTCTGGCCAAGGAGACATAAGAAGTCTGCTGAGGGGCCCTAATGAAGGGATTCCTCACTCTAGGCTACCCCTTGGAGATATATATATATCCACACAAATAAAGAAAAAGAAAGAATACGGGGGAAATGAAAGGCAGGAGAAAGAAGTATATTTGCTCAGCAGGGCTCCCATAACAAAGTACCACACACTAAGTGGCTAAAGCAACAGAAATTTATTTTCTCACAGTTATGGAGGCTAGAAGTCCAAAATCAAGGTGTCAACAGGGTTGGTTTTATCTGAGGTCTCTTTCCCTTGGCTTGTAGATGTCTGTCTTCTTCCTGTGTCTTCACATGGTCTTCCCTCTCTACATCTCTATGTCCAAATTTCCTCTTCTTTTAAGGATACGAGTCATACTGGATTAGGGCCCACCCTAATGACCTCATTTTAACGTAATCACCTCTTTAAAGACAGTCACATGCTGAGGCTTTGGAGGTTAGGACTTCAACTTATGAATTTGCAAGGAGGACACAATTCACACATACCAAGGAGAGAAGGAAAATAAAAAAGGAAAAAAAAACAAGAAGAGGAAGAAAGGGAGAATGGGATGCATCAGTTGGGAGTGATTTCCTCTGCAAGTGATAGAAATTAACAGTTCATTAAAATAGAGCTTTGCTTTTATCACTAACAAGTCTGAATATGGGTGGTGTGCTAACAATGTTGGTTGAATTGGTCAAAAATGTCATTAAAAGCCAGTCTCTGTCACTCTGCCCCCTTTGGAATTATCCTTATGTTAGTTGCCTCATGGTCACAAGATGGCTATTGCAGCCTTAAGGCAGGAAGACAGGGAAGGGGGCTGTGCCAGTGATCTTCCTCTTACCTCTGTCCTCTTGTATAGAAGCAAAATCTTTCCCAAAAGGCCCCCAACCTATTTCCATTTATATCTCATTAGCCAAAACTAGGGCATGTGGCCAGCCCCAGCTGCCAGTGAATCTGGCAGAGCAAATATCTGGCTTTTCAGAACCTCTGGTAACAGGCAGCAGCAAGGGGTGGCTTGAGATAGCTGTTGGATGAGCCCATCAACCATGTGTATCCCAGGGAGGGAGAGAGAGAGAAAGGAGAGAAAAAAATAGGAGGTGGTTGGGGGGAAGATGAGAAGAGAAAAAGAAAGTTATCTGTATTCATTATGAAATACCATACATAAAAAAGCAGTTTTTGTACACAGCCATCCCCATGGTGTTCCCCTATCCTACTGATTAGCTATTACAATACCCAACAGCTTGCTTAAGGGTTTAGATGATTGCTCACCTTTTGGCATAAACATATAATATGTATTTAACGATTGCCTCTAGATAAGGAGTTATATGTGCACAATAAACCATATATCCCTAGCATGTAACACAGTACTTGGCACATAGTAGGTAAGTACTAAAAATCTGTTGAATAAATGAGTCAAACTAGTCCAGGTAATTGTAGGAAGAGTACACAATATCTACTCAAAAAGATATCATGAGGATTTGCTGTGGGAACTTCTCAAAAATGCAAATTCTCAGGCCTCACGCTAGACCTACTGAATCAGAACTAGACGGAGTCAATACTCTGTGGTTTAAACACCCTCCAGGGGATTTTGATGCAAGCTAAAGCTTCTGAGTATGTGCATGTACATGTGCATGCACACACACACACACACACAACTAAACTATCTCTGCCCTTCATAATTTTAGGGCCATGAATATTTTATTTACTGCAGCTTCTCTTCTTCTGTGCTACATTGATCATCTGATCTGTTCTATGAATCTTTAAAAATTGTTTTTTTTTTTTTTGAGACAGTCTTGCTCTGTCACACAGGCTGGAGTGCAGTGGCACAATCTCAGCTCACAGCAACTTCCACCTCCTGGGTTCAAGCCATTCCTGTGTCTCAGCCTCTGGAGCAGAATAGCTGGGATTACAGGCGTGTGCCACCATACCCAGCTAATTTTTGTATTTTCTGTAGAGATGGGCTTTCACCATGCTGGCCAGGCTGGTCTCGAACTCCTGGCCTCAAGTTATCTACCCGACTCAGCCTCCCAAAGTGCTGGGATTACAGGCGCGAGCCACCATGCCCGGCTGAGGATCTTTTTAAAAATTTTAAATGTTAAATTATGAAATATTAAAACATAAAATAAAGTACAGAGAAAAAATAAAACACCCACATGCATACTCCTCAGATTTAACAAATGTTAACATTTGCCATACTGGCTTGCCAGTCTTTTTAAAGTCGCTAGGCCCAGCACAGTTCTCTTCCACCCTTCCATCCTTCTCTGACAGCACGTCCCTATTCCTGAACATCCTGACCTTTTCCTGTGGCTTCCTAAAGCCCTGGGCCAAGAGAATTCAAGCACCTGTGGAAGTGCATATTCTCACTGGCATCCCACTAGGGTCCAAGTTACTAGTAATTTTCATTACCTGCAGCTTTAGTCCACTTTCCCTTGAGTTCCGATGATATATGCTGAGATGGCTTTATGTTCAGACACCAATGAAAGAGGTTGGGAATGAACTGAATTGTCAATATCATGTGCTTCTCATCTGAAATGCAACTCTAAATTCTTTTTTTTTTTTTTCTTAGAGATGAGGGTCTGGCTCTTTGATACAGGCTGGAGTGCAGTGGCACAATCAGCTCACCACAGCTTCAACCCCTGGGCTCTAGCAATCCTTCTGCCTCATTTTCCCCTGAGTAGCTGAGATTACACACACACACCATCATGCCCAACTAATTTTTTTTATTTTTCGTAGAGACAGGGTCTCGCTGCGTTGCCACAGCTGGTCTCAAACTGCTGGCCTCAAGTGATCCTCTCACCTCAGCCTCCCAACGTGCTGGGATTACAGGTGTGAGCCACTGCACCTGACCCTCTAAATTCTTTTGCCTTCTTAAGCTCAAGAGCAATGTTCTTTCAGATGAGACCCCTATAGAGAGAGGAAAAAGTGAAGCAAATTCAGCTAGTGGCCAGAGAGCGGTGAGTTCTTATTCTAGCAATATTGTGCAGGGTGCTTATTCTCTTTGCACCTTTTATTCCATCTAAAGAAGGAAAGAGAATACTACCCAATTCTTAAGTATAATTAGGTTTATGAAGTACTTCCACACATACTGTCCCATCTGATACTGCCATTTGATGTCAACTTGTACCCTTACAGATTGTCTGTGCTATTGCCCACTGTGTTCCCAGCATCCCAACTGTGCTAGTATACCATAGACCTCAATTAATGTTTGTTAAAGAAATGAAGGACAGAAGGATGCTTAAAGTGGCAGCTACAGAATCTCCATGAAGGGCAGAGGTGACTGTCTAGTTGGAAGGGAGCCAGGGGCAGTGCCACTCGAAGGAGTCAGTCTATGAACGATTTGTTTCTTGTTGTGCACTAATTTCTTTGAGAAAGTCTTAGTTTGAAAAAATGTCAGCTGAACTAAAGAGTGAGCCCAGTAATGTATTTGATTTACATTTGGATTTAAGTTCTTTATCTCATTGCAGACCAGTAACAAAGAGTTCTCAGGCTGGATCTGCCTGTGGACCATGCTTGGAGGAGCCCTGGGCCAGAGGAGCCAACTTAAAGCTGCATGTGCTCTGTGTGCACTTTTTATTATACTTAATTGTACTGAGTTCATTATGGGTTACTTGGGGGAGAAGCAGATGGATATTATGGGATGACTACAACCCTCTCCACACAAGCCATCCCTATTGGTCCCATTGAAGCTCAAGGATTATACATTTCAAATACTCTTTCTTTTTCATTGATTGTGATTGTAATTGTAACTGTACATATTTATGGGGTCCAGGTAATATTTTGATACAGGCATACAACGTGTCATGGTAAAAGCTGGGTAATTGGGATGTCCGTCACCTCCAACATTTATCATTTCTTTGTGTTGGAACATTCCAAATCTTCTCTTCTAGCTATTTTGAAATATACAGTAGATTATTGTTAACTACAGTCACCCTACTGTGCTATTGAACAATATAGAACTTATTCTTTCCATCTAACTGCATTTTGTACCCATTAACCACCCTCTCTATATTTACCCTCTTCTGCCCCACCACTCCCAGTCTCTGGTAACTATCAGCCATTCCACTCTCTACCTTCATAAGATGACCTTTTATTAACTCCCACATAGGAGGGAGTATCTGTGATATTTGTCTTTCTGTGCCTGGATTATTTCACTAAACATAATGTTCTGCATCCATGTTGCTGCAAATGACAGAATTTTATTCTTTCTATGGCTAAATAATATTCCATTGTGTATATATACATTTTCTTTATCCATTCATCTGCTGAAGAACACTTAAGTTGATTCCATATCTTGGCTACTGTGAACAGTGCAGCAACAAACATGGGAGTGCAGATACCTCTTCAACTTACTGATTTCCTTTCTTTTGGATCAGCAGTGGGATTGCTAGATCAGATGGTATTATATTTCTATTTTTAGTTTTTTGAGGACTCTCCATACTTTTTTCCGTAATGGGTATGCCTATTTATATTCCCACTAATTGTATACAAGAGTTCCCCTTTCTCCACAATCTTGCCAACATCTCAGATAATCTTTAATTGCAAGATCCTAGAGTAATACTTTTTGTTTGGCAACTAAAGCCCTTCAACTGAGAAGAATGGAAGATAGTTTTGAGAGGAAGGAGCCTCTGGCATTTGTTGGCATGTTAAAGTTGGTTGGCCTGGTTCTACTTCCATGCCAGTTTTTCTTCAAGCTCCCCCTACACCCAGCAACATCAGGAACCTGGATCATTCTAGCTCTATTTGGGTGAACTTAAATTGCTTTGTAAAGATTATCTAGTGCCTATCTTGGCCACCAACACATCCCAGACCACTCTGGTGATGTCGAGACAAGCAGAGCATGAGAGTCTAGAACTTTCTGCATGATCATTCTAGGCCAGTGGTCCTCAGACTCTAGCAGCATTAAAATCCTCCTGTAGGGCATTTAAAATACAGATCACTGACTCCACCTACTTCTGACTCAAACTGTCTGGGCTGAGGCTGAAGAATTTGCATTTCTAACAAGTTCTCAGCTGATGCAGCTGGTCTGGGACCACATTTTGAGAACCACTCTTCCAGGTACTCAACACAGGCGATCATGGTGGGAGTGGACATTTCCCATTCCAGCCACAAGGAGTATTTTTGCATACTTATTCCAGTAGAGACTGCAGGTTGTCACCAAATATCTACTATCTCTTTCTTCTTTACCAACAGAACACCAATTTTATTAACAATATATCCAGCCTTAAAAACACTACATTTTCCAGACTTCTTTCAGCTAGAAGGGTCCCTGTGACACAGTTTTTATGAATAAAATGTAAGTACATGTCACCAAGTGGGACTTCTAGAAAGTCCGTTAAAGAAGCTTGCTTGACTATTGCTTTGCTGCTGTCTTTCACCAACAAATTTTCCACCACAAATGGCTCAATTCCTTTCCCTTCTTCTTCTTTTTTTTTTCCCCAAGTCAGGTCAGACAGGTAATGTGCCAATGTCGTAACAAGGTTCAGAGGGTGGCACATCTCACACACGCACATGAACACCCAATTATCACGCTCATGAGCTACAACAGGATCGCCCTTCCCTTCTTCTTTAGTGGGATATGGACATGATGCCTTCTAGAAGGGGTTCTTCCATCTTGAGACAACAGTTGACAAGCAAGTGCCAAGGACGCTTGAGAGGACAGAGGTGCCTGGGTCCCTTGTGGCATCATGGCTGTCATGTCAGCTCCAGACTCCCCATCTCTAGACCTCTGATTATATGAGAAAGGGAAAGCCCCTCATTTATTTATTTAAGCTATTGTTTGGGGGTCCATGTTATTTTTAGCCAATGAAATTCTTAACTAAGACACCTACCATGTTAAAAACCAGTGCTAGATGTGAAAATGGAAAATATATGTTTCCTACCCTCAAAGAGCTTTGGTGCAGCTTTGAAGACAGGAAAGAGACACAGCTCCTGGGTGAACATGGGACCCAAGGAGACTTAAGGTTTATGGCAGCCAGAACACCTCCCAGGTGTCCTGAGGAGCTGTTTTGAAAATATTCAGATCAGGGAAGAGAGTGTGGAGTTGAGGTATGAGGCTGAACTTAGGGATCTTAGATAAGACAGTTTAACTTCAGGCATTTACGCTCGTAAAAAACAGTGGCCCTTGAAAAGAAGATGCTGGGAAGCGTTCAGGTCTGTAGTAGGGATGGGGAATGGTACAAAAGGGAAAAGAGAAGGAACAAACCTTACAAAAGTTGATATAAAGAGACTTTGGGGGTTGAATGAGGAACACTGAATGAGACAAGCATGTGGTTTTGGTCGGGGAGAACAGTGGCTTGAAAACATTTTCAAGCCATGGAGCCCCTATCTCAGGAAAGCATCATAAGAAAAATAGCTAAAAATTGAGGTATTCTGGTTCAATAAGTTGTAGAGAGCTCAGAGGCTTAGCTAACAACCTTCCTTTTCCTATGGCACCTCAGGGTCTCCACGGAGCAGCAGGGAGTTACAGGGACCAATTTATGGGGAGAATAGGAAGGGAAAGGTGGAAAGTGAAGTGGCTTGGATACTATAAAATAATTTTAGAATGAGGAAACAAGAGAAAACTTGAAAAAAGTTTTGTCTGGAGATTTAGGAGATCTAAGTTCTAGGTGAGCTATTAACTCTCAAACAGATACAGCAAGAAGCTGTTGGACCCCTCAGAAGATCCATATCCAAGATGCTTTCCAGACCTAAAAGTGTTTGATACTAATTTTAGGGAAATTATATTTACAAAAGAAGAGGTCATGATTCCCATAATCTATGGGTTTTATATGGAGAGTCACATTGAAATGGTCCTAAGATTTTTAATGTTTGATTGCTTTCGGCTCTTGAAAGTTAAAGTTTCTCTAACTCAGTGCCTTCTCTGTTTTCCATTTAAAGGATAAGATTTACAATATTAACTTCAATTTTTTGCATGTATCTAGTAATAACAGAGAAAAGTGAAAGGTAAAATTCAGCCTGGAATATGTTGTTCTACAACATTGCTTCTAAGAATTTTAAGACAAATGAATAGAATTTGGTATCTGTTTGACCCAGCAATCCCATTACTGGGTATATACCCAAAGGAATATAAATAATTCTGTTATAAAGATACATGCACACGTATGTTCATTGCAGCACTATTCACAATAGCAAAGACATGGAATCAACCCAAATGCCCATCAATGACAGACTAAAGAAAATGTGGTACATATACACCATGGAATACTATGCAGCCATAAAAAGGAATGAGATTATGTCCTTTGTAGGAACATGCATGGAGTTGGAAGTCGTTTTCCTTAGCAAACGAATGCAGGAACAGAAAACCAAACACTGCATGTTCTACTTATAAGTGGGAGCTGAATGATGAGAACACATGGACACATTGTGGGGGGACCAACACACACTGGGGCCTGTGAGGGATGGGGAGGGAGAGCATCAGGAAGAACACCTAAAGGATGCTGGGCTTAATACATAGGTGATGGGATGATCTGTGCAGCAAACCACCATGGCACATGTTTAGCTATGTAACAAACCTGCACATCCTGCACATGTACCCCTGAACTTAAAATAAAAGTTGAAGAAAAAAATAGAATTTGGTATCTGATTTAAAAAGCACTAGGAATTTGTGACTACCTTGGTTATTTATAAGATAAAAATTACATGTTGATTCATAGCATAAATACGGAGCTATGAATTTGTAAAGTGGTCTGTAATCAATTTTTTTCCATTATTCCTAATGTCACTCTGTAAATGGTCTTCATTTCCCTGCCCATTTTTCCGATAGGAAACCAGAAAGACACAAAAGTAAAATTCAGTTAACACAGCCAGATGATGGTAGTAACTTGCCTGGCTGTATTAGCATAGGAACGGAAGTCTCCTGCATTCTAATCTTTCTAAAATTAGCCAACTGTGATGGAAAGAATCATTCATTCCATAAATCTGCCCTGAACAGAATTACGAGCAAGCAGAGACAAGCTAGCGCTAACTTCTTTTATCTTTGCTGCCATGACTGGCATTGAATTTGAAAGGAAGAGCTACAACAAAGGCAGGGGCTCTGAGCAAGGGAAGACAATGAATTCACACTGAAGACGGGGGCCCTTCCCTGTGTTTCCCCAGCCATTCACAGAATTCAGGAAGTTCTTCTACATTCAATAAAACCAATTTAAGAGGTGTTCCCCCACTCCCCAGACTGACTATTCATTCAAGGTACTTTCCACATCTGATTAGCCATTCCCTTGTCACATCTGAAGAGGGCTCTGGACTGAGCATGTACCTAAGTCTAGCTCTGCCGGGTGTTATCCAGAAAGATCAGTCACTGTGCTTTGGAGTCCATGTCACTGAAGAGGCCTCTGAAAGAGCCAAAGGAGTGTCACAGGCCCGGGCATCAGTCCCTACCCTGCAAAGGAAAATTCTCGCTTGATCTGGGATTGCCTCTCTCAGCTCTCTAATATCCTGAAGCACTCCTTAGATGAAGCAGAACCCAGATGACTCTTGTGTCAAGGCAATTCCAAGACACCATCTCCTGCTCGCCTGCTGTATAAACGAACCTAACATAGAACAAACTGCTTCTTAACAGGTTTTATTTTCTGTAAGTAAATGATGAGAGAAAAAGAGAACAAGTATGTGCAGAGCCTGTGAGGGAAAAAGATCGCTACACACTTATTTTAAAGAAGAACTTGTGTTAGGTTAATGTTTTCCTTGAATGCAAGTCTACCCAGGAAAGAAAAGGATCTGCAAATCTATAGGCTGTTGCGGGCTCTTGGATGTTTTCACAAAATAAAACAAAAACAATGATAAAACCCCACAAAAGTTACTATATCTTGAGCCATAATAAGGTAGAAGATATAGAACATTTTTAAATACTTGGAACAACTTTTACTGTGTTGTATGTTTACTTTCTCATGACGTATCCTTACACTTTCAATTACAGTATATATGAAGCAGAGGGTAGAAGATATGCTCTTCTGATTTTTTTTAAGTTAGGTCTTTGGGAGGAAGATAAATCTATAAATATAAAATGTAGCACCTTTAATGAAAGCAGCAGTAACAATAATCAGTCCAGTTCCAAGGTTAGAAAGTCATTTAATGAGAAGACCCAGATTGACAGTTGTCCAGTTGGATCCAGCAGGGTGTTAATAGGGTTTACTCAAGAAAGCAAAAGTTTCATGGCCAAATGCATTTGAGAAAATATTGGACTAAATGTTCTGTGTTTTTTGTTTTGGTTTTTGTTTTACTTCAAGGCAACTGAAAGCCTTATCAATGTTTCAACATGTTTAGTAAATCTTAAAGAAGAGATGAAATATAAAGCATTTCCTAAATTTATTTGATCACAAAAACCTGTTATCCCTGGAGAATCTTACGAGATTAGTGTTCTTTAGCTTACATTTTGGGAAATGCTGAACTAGATTATAAGACAAATCTATAAATTTCTGTAAGGAAGAAAGGGAGTGAGGGAGAAAAGAAGTGAAGAAATAACAAAATGCAAAATCTTAGCTCAACTGAAGTTGCAAGCATCTTATGAATTCATTGTTCATACAATATTTCTAGATGTAAAGAGAGAGGGAAGTGTATGGCATTCTCATTAAACTAAAAAAAAAAATACAAATAGTAAGTGTGATAAAAGCATTTAGCATTGTCACCCACAGCTCTCTTGCCTACCCTAGCTCTCTTGCCTACCCTAGCTCTCTTGCCTATCATATTTACTTTTGAAACTAAAAACTAAATATAAATAAATATACTGAAAATTAAAATAAATGATGGCAACACAATGTTAAGGTTATGAATAATCAAACTCTGTCTTGGATTTGCCCCCTGAGAACTGACTGGACCCCAGCTACTCCATACCTGCCTTTGCACACAGGCAGACTGCAAACACCCATTAGTATTCTTAGCAGCCACTCGAGACCTCCTGGATCCTTTGGGTTAGCATTGATCACACCAGGCATGCTAAGTACTTAGAGTACACTATCTCATTTAATCTTTACAACAGCTCCATGAAGCTGGGGTATTGATTTTATTGTACGGTACTATGGTCTCAATATGTCCTTCCAAAATTTATGTTAAACTCTAATTTCCATTATAGTGATATTAAGAGGTGGGGCTTTTCGAGAGGTGATTAAGTCATGAGGGCTCTGCCTTCATGAATGGGATTATTGCCCTTATAAAACTGGATGAAGGGTACATTCTTGCCCCTTCTACCATATGAGGACAATTCACCCCTTCCACCATGTGAGGATGCAGTGAGAATGAAGAACAGGCCTTCACCTCACTGAATCTTCTGGCATCTTGAACTGAACTTCCCAGCCTCCATAACCATGAGCAATAATTTTCTATTATCTGTAAATTACCCAGTCTAAGGGATTTTGTTACGGCAGCCTGAATGGACTGAGACACTTGGATAAGGAAGTGTGAATTCAGCAGACAGGCAGTAACTTTTCTCGAGGGAGTGATATTTGCCAGCCTGGAGCTCCTCCTCTGATACACTGTACTATGTTCTTTTCACTTCCTTATTCTCCTAACACCTTTTATGTCCACCTCTGAACTTCTGGCCTCTGTGAAGCCCTTGGTCCCTCAGACCTCAGGCTGGTCTTGGCCTTTCAACTTTGCCTTTCACTATTAGATGCAGGTGTGTCTGTCCTGCAACCCAGCTCTGGCTCTGGAAAACCAGCTGACATCAACCATGTGGCTGGAACCTTCTCCAGAACAATGGAGGCCAGGGCGAGTGACTCACTGCCATTCAGTCTCCATCTTTGGGGCAGATCCACCATGAGACATAACTTACCAGAAATCCAGTTACAAGGAGGAATAAGTATTGAAGACTAAGAAATGCATTTTGCAGCAGGTCCTCGCTGTACTGGGGCAGCGTCCATTCATAGAGCAGCTAGAATAGAGGTCACAAGCTCAGAAGCTTCTCTAAGGCAGGCAGGAAATTTAAGTCGATACTATGATCTGCATTGGTGGGGACTGTGGAAATTGGAGAGCGAGTGCCTAGTCTAAACAGCTGCTTGTTGCTCAGCTGTTGTTGCCGTATTGGGAATTCAAGCCTAATGATGTTTGGTATTCCCATTTTCAAAAGAAGTCAGGAAATGCAGATTTCTATGTAAATTTTTAAAACTTCTGAACTGTGTATGAGCCATACAAAATACATTTGCAGGCCAGTCGACATCCTCTGATCCAGAATATCAATTTGTGAGACAAGTTGTTGGTGAGGCAGCATTACATAGTAGTTAAAAGCATACATTTTAGAGCCAGACTGCCCATGTCCAAACCCTGGTCCCATCACTCACTACCTTTCATTTCACTTCTCTTTGCTTCACTTTCCTCATCAGTAAAATAAAAATAATATCAGTACCTACCTCATAGGGTTTCATGAGCATTAAATAAATTAAAACCCATAAAGTACTTTCAATGCTATCAGGCATTTAGTTACATGGTAAATAAGTGTTTAAAACATTTAAAACAAAAGTTCAAAGATAATAAACAAGGAAACAGAAAACCTGACAGGCCAGCTTTGGAACCTTCTTGATGGCAGATCTATCAACATTTCTCCCTTTGGCTGGGATGAAAAGGCATTTGGGAATAAAAGATCCCATAAAAATAAATGAGAAGAAGTGAAACACCTTCATTATGGCAATTTTGGTGTCAGAGCCTAAAAGACAGAGGGATCAAAATATTGCAGTACTAAAATCTGATGGTTTCATGTAGAAATGAGATTTAAGCTTATTAAAATGTATTTCTTTCTGGTGTTAATAACCCTTCACAAGACCTGGGCAATTTTGAAAGAAGGAAAGAAAATGGTTCTCCCTGTGGACAAGAAGAAACAAATGACTATTAAATTTTCTAATTTGGAGTGAACTAAGTTGATCCCTAGGTTTTTGTGGGGAGGCCGGGGTGGGGGAGTCCAGTGGAAAGCAATTGCTGGAGAGTAGTCCTTGTTCTTTGCTGACAGAACAGGAGCAGAGTGTGGAATGAAAACTCAATAGCCTCCTCTATTCTCAAGAGACAATTGACTTCCATCTGTTTAAACCTCCCCAGGGGACCCTGCTCCCCCCATTTCCATTTACTCTCCTTTCCACCAACCTAGGGTGACATTAAGAAAACCAAACCCATTTGAAACACAAGCTCTTACACATCAAAAGTCAGGGGAGAAGTCTGGTTGACCTGTAAGCCACTGCATGAGGCACAAAGATGCAAAAAGGAACTTTCAGGAACAACTGCTGCTCCGAGGACTCTATGTCAGATATAACATCCGCTTTGGCCCAAAAGTAGGCTTGAGCCCCAGAAGAGGAGGAATGTAAAGTATGTTTAAAATGTGAAACCTTTAGTTCTACTTGCTCTTTACTCAGAAAGGAGAGAGTATTCCCTTATGCCAACGAGGTCTCTCTGAGTTGTTTGCACTATTGGTAGCAGGTGCTGCCTGGGGTAGCTCTTATGGTCTGTGCTTGAAGTGTGCACCAGCTGCTGCCCTGGACATGACTGTTGGTCCCTGCATACAAGCAGCCACCTTTAAACAGATCAAATGACTCTTATGATGACAGCTGTCTCACTCTACTTTCAAACTGGTTTTAATTTGGTTACTTGCAACCTAAGACAGCAAACAGCATTTTAGGGATGAATTGCGTTCCTGAAGTGCATGGGTCAGAAAGCTCCTACATTCACTTTCTACTGTCCCTGCACTTTTTCTCTCCTACTTGCTGCCTTTCCACTTCCCCTCATTTCCTGCATTCTAATACTCTATTGTCAAATTTTCCTGGTCTTGACAGCAAATCTTTTCTTTTTCTTGATGCTTTATTCCTTCTAGCATAAGACCAGAAATTGATCAATAGTTTATTTAAGTTCCAAACTGTATTTTGCTGCTGAATAAACATATAGCTTTCCTAGACTCCCATGGAAAAAAATGGGACTTATGCTGAAATTCAGGGCTAACACACCGATTATCCTAAAGTATAACAACATATTTTGATATAACATCATATAGCTTTAAAAAATTTTCATAAAGTAACAGAGTAAGATTGGGCATCTGAATCACATGTTTAGGAATTTGCAACATTCATTCATCTTACACAATAAACCTCAATGAGTACCTACAAGTAGCATGCACTATTAGGTACTAGGGATACTGAGATCAATAATGCCATTGTGTTGGTCCAACTGGGGAAGACTGGCATGCCCACACAAATATAGCAGCAAGGGCAGGGTTGGGTTAGAAGTGAGCACAGTGCTTGGACACATGGGTCAGAGTCTCCTGATGAGGTTGCTGGGGAGGAAGAGGAGCGGAGGGAGGAAGAAGAGGAGTCAGAGAAGACACGTGGAAACAAGCATGAAGAATGAGCAAGTGTCAGGCAGTCAGATGGGACCAGTATCCCTAACAGGAAGAAGAGTAGTTGCAAGTAATGGAGAGGGAGTACACCCTCTTCTCTTCTAGACACTTAGGAGGATAATACCCCATCCCCTTGCTATTGGATAGGACTATATGACTAGCACTAGCCAATGAGTTGTGAGCAGAAGTGATATTTGTCACTTCTAGGCCAGAGCACTAGATTGCTCATGTGAGATCCCTCAGTCTTACCTTCTCCTGGAAGTGAATCATCATAAGATGAGAGGCAGCCTAGAATGTTGAGTGCACATCTAAATGAGCAACTCCAGAGAGCCATTTGTACCCATAGAGGATTTCATGTGAGTGAGAAATAAACTTTAGTTTCAATAAGCCACTGAGATTTGGGGGGCTGTTTGTTAGAGCAGCATAATATAGTCAATCCTGATAGAAATGGCTACATTTAAAGACATGGATATACTCAAGAAATTGAATCTCAAGTTTAGAGGGGATGATAATAAGAATTTGCAATGATCATCACACATCTTGACAGAGATGCATCAGGGCCTCAGATGGAAGGTAGAGTACAAGTGCATAGGTGGAAAATGACATTATGGGTGAAGAGAAAGCATGAAACATAAGACATAAATCAGAGGGAACAGGGATGATCCCCAGAACCAACAATGAGAAGCCAGAAAGACAGAAATAAAAAACAGTGGTGTCTTAGAAGCTCAATCTCTTAACATAGCAATTGTATTGTTGATGTCATGTTATTTGCTTCTAATTATAAGGTCTTAGTAATCATTTTCCCTTCCTTTATTTGAAGTCCAGAGACGATCAAATATAGATATCCTCATGAACACTCATACATCTTGCTGTGACACCCTCAGGGTTTAATCTCAGGCTGTTGGTGGGTTTCAGACTCACCTCTGCAGGACACCAGGGGTTCCCTGGAGGCAGCTTTGGAAGAGGAAAAGATGAAGAATGGGATCTAAGCCCCAACCCTGGATCAACTACAGCAGCTCTGATCTTACCTGTCTCTTGTTTCGTTTGTTTATTTTTGTTTGGTTTGGTTTGGTCCTTTTTAAGACAGGGTCTTGCTCTGTCACCCAGGCTGGAGTGCAATGGTGTAATCTTGACTCACTGCAACCTCCACCTCCCAGGCTCACGTAAATTCTCCCACTTCAGCCCCCAGAGTGACTTGGACCACAGGCGCACGCCACCATGCCTGGCTAACTTTTATATTTTTCTTTGAGATGAGGTTTCTCTATGTTGCCCAGGCTGGCCTTGAACTCTTGGCCTCAAGCCATCTGCCGACCTTGGCTTCTCAAAGTGCAAAGACTCCTTTACTGTCATTTTTCACATGTCCGAGCCACCACGCCCAGCCTGATCTTACATGTTTCTACATGGCCTTACGTGTAAGATTTTATTTGAAGAAATGGTGCTGCTATTAAGAAAAAAAAAGAAAACTGCTAGTCTAAGTGAACTAAAATATCAGAGCTTATTTATATGAATATGAAAACTTATGGTATACTTAATGAGCCAATAAAATATCCTCTATGGTAGAAAATCCTCCTCCTTAGCAAGGTATAAAGCAGCCCCTGGAAACCAGGCTCATCCTACTTACCCAGCCCCATAGCTTGCTGCTCTCCACAAAGCCAGATCCAGTCCTCAAACACATCATAGCCATTCACAGTGCCACGTCATGACACACACACAGGTTGCTTATGATGTCCTGACTCCTTCTGCTCCTGGCAAATTGCTGCCTCTCCATTAGGAGCCATTCAGATGCCCACCTCTGATACAGCCTTATCTACTTTGACTCTCTTCCCCACTCCTCAGGTAAACTAATTCCTTCCAGTGTAAATACACTCACAGCACTTCACTAATACCTCTAGTGTATTATATATGTGACTCTCTTCCCCACCGTGCTGTGAGCTCCTTTACCTCTAATCCCAAGTGTCCACTAAGTAAATAAATGAAGATAATTCCAGAATTGCTTATGAACCAAGCATTGCTACCATAAGGTTGTATAATAGAAACATAGTGAACAAATAATAGGATGTTAAGATTTGCTTCAGATTTTAACTTTCACTGAGCATATAACACTGTCCATCTTCCTCCTCCAACTCTGTCTCCTTTTAGATTCACAGTTCTTCTGACTGAGATAGTTTCAATAAGACCTATTTGGGAGCACAATTTCTCAGTTTCTCTTTGGCATGAATTTCCAGCATGGCTCCTATCCCAAACACAGTCTAATACTGACACAGCCAAAAAGGCACAGATGTGCATATCTACTCACTCAAAGGCATTCTGACTTCTCTCTCCCACAGAACTCTGACTTTTCACTGAGTTTAGTCTTCAAGCATAAAGCCCAAAGAAATAATATAATAGGGACTTCAGACTTCTTTGCTAATACCATTGATCCTGCTAGCACACCTCCAGACAGCACCTTTGATTTGCTCTGCTATTTCCAGAGGAAAAGAAGGCAGAGATTTGCATGCAGAAGAGGACAGGAAGTCAAAGTCTGGTGATTGTTGAAGCAGGGGGAGATGTCAAGTCAATGGAAGTAAAAGAAGGAGAACAAGATAGAGTTCTTTCTTCTTTCAGCATCAATGATTAATTCCGCTTTGGAGAGTTTTGGGGGAAATTATAAGTTAATTAAATTAAAGCAATGAATAAGGTGGCCAACCTGTTTTGGTTTGCCCAAGACTTTCTTGGATTTAGCACTGAATATTCCACATCCCAGAAAACTGTTAGCTCCAGGCAAACCAGTTCACCATAGCAATGAGATATAAAATATTTCCTGACAAATTAGCAAAGATACAAATATATACTTATAATACCTAGTGTTAGCAAGGATGCAGAGTAATGAGCACTGACATTGTCAATGGGATAGATATTGATTCAGTCTTTTTGGAGAGCAATTTGATTAAAACAACAAAACCCTTACCACCATATATACAAACTTCATGTTAAAAATGGCAAATTAAATAAACTCATTGGTATTGTTTTCCAGCCACAACTCTAATAAAATGACAGTAAAGGAATGTAAAAATTTACACACATAAAAGAGGATGAAGAAGAGATAACATGAGAAGAGAGATATCAACAAAATTTCAGAAAATGGAAAGCAGTTTCACACGTCATTGGATCTATAGAGTGGAGCAAAACTGAAATTAACCATCTGCAGCGATTGAAGTCAATGATTTGGCCTTCAAAAGCCAGAAAAAGCTCAGGAACTAGAGGCACCAGATACCTCTGAAAATAAAGGTGAGAGGTGGAACTGAAAACAAGAAGGGTGATAAAAAGGTAGTTAGAAAGCATTTTTGTTCCAACACACTCTTCTCTACCCCACAGCTAGGCAACTTCCTCCCCTATCCCAGCCTGATACTGGAGGTTTACTCACAAAAGACTGAACCGGAGATGTTCTGAACGAAAGGCACAGCAGGGAGTGGGAGTAAGACCAGAGGCTGAAAATGGGATTCACAGTTCCCATCCTGTACTCAGCATCTAGAATGTCAGCAGCCTGGCAAAATACTGGAGGATTTCTCTTGGAAGAAATAGAATAGCCCTAGGGAAAAGTCTACAGTACAGATATTTATGGGTTCCTCAACAAAATGAACAAGTGTCTGGATGATAGCCCCACGGAGAATCCCAAGGAGCTCCATTCCTGCACACACAGCTTCCAGCGAGCTTGTTAGTATAGTGCACTTAATTATGAATGGAAAACAGAATGACCAGATACTTGAGAACAATCTCCAAAGAAAAACATGCAACAAAACAAGAGGAGAAATGAACTTGGAAGAAACAAAAAATGTCAGAGGCAGAAAAAAATTCAACAATTGTGATGGTTAATATTGAGTGTCAACTTGATTGGATTGAAGGATGCAAAGTATCATTTCTGGGTATGGCTGTGAGGATGTTGCCAAAGGAGATTAACATTTGAGTTAGTGGACTGGGAGAGGCAGACCCACCCTCAATCTGGGTGGGCACCATCTAATCAGCTGCCAGCATGGCTAGAATAAAGCAGGCAGAAGTTGGAAGGACTGGGCTTGCTGAGTCTTCTGGCCTCCATCTTTCTCCCGTGCCAGATGCTTCCTGCCCTCGAACATCAGACTTCAAGTTGTTCAGCTTTCCGACTCTTAGACTTACACCAGTGATTTGCCAGGGCCTCTTGGGCCTTCAGCCACAGACTGACGGTTGCACTGCCAGCTTCCCTACTTTTAAGGTTTTGGGATTTGGACTGGTTTCGTTGCTCCTCGGCTTGCAGACTGCCTATTGTGGGACTTCACTTTGTGATCATGTGAGTCAATTCTCCTAATAAACTCCTCTTCACATATACATATATCCTTTTAGTTCTGTCCCTCTAGAGAACCCTGACTAATACAATGATCATTAATAGCCTCAGAAAGGCATAAGATACTATATCCATGACCAAGAATAGGAGGCTAGATAAAGACCCCTTAGCAAATTAACAAAGAGATTCTAGAAGCTAAACGTATGATAGCAGAGATTTTTTAAGTTTAATAAAGAATTTTGGAGACACAATTTAAGAAATTTTCCTACACATAGTATAAAAAGAAAGAAAAGAAGTGTGAGGAAGAAGAATAGAGAGAAAGGATAAGAAGAGTAGTGCATTAAACCAAGATGTCCTTGTTCTATTATGAACAATAGAAATTCTGGAAGAGAAACTATCAGCCTGTTCCCAAAACAGTAACATAAGAACATTTCCCAAAACAAAGGGTATGAGTTTCCAGACTGAATGTGCCCGTTTGCCCAAAGGCCTGGCACAATAAATTTTTTAAAGACCCCAATAGGGCATATCATTGTGAAATTTTTAGGATGTCAGAGATAAAGAGTAGATTCAAAAGTTTCTAGAGATACATGATAGGTTATTATTTTTTAAAGGCTTAGAAATCAGAATTGCATTTTTGAAACTTTTCAAAAGCAGCATTGTACTTAAGAAGACCATGGAACATTGTCTTCAAAATGTTAAGAGGAAATGATTTCCAGTGAAGAATTATATTCAAAGCTAATATTGAAATCAAGAACTGGACCATGACAAATATCTTTTCATACATGCAAGTATTAAAACTTACCTCCAATACATGCTTTCTTAAGCTGCTGCCTCAGGAAACTACCGGAGGTTAGGTTCTATAAAAACAAGGATTAAAACTTGGAAAGACAAGGACATGAAGGCCATGGAGGACATCCAACACAAGAAATAGGGGAATCCTCCCAAGATGATGATGAAGTGGATTCTCAGAACAAAAGTATGTAGTAGGTTTAGAGAATAATCACTCCTGATTGACACAGGAGAGCAGAGAGTTCCATAAAGACAGCTCCAAGAAACACATGAACAAGAAACCACTAGAGCACCAGAAATGTTGACCCTTACTGAGAAAATTGTTCTGCTCTCCTGGAGCTGTAGCCATTGGCAATTAAGTCCAGGAGAATAAAAAAGTTGTACAAGAAAGGAAATGTAATCATCACAAGTATCCATGTGGCTCATATGTTAGCTATAATGAGTCAACCATAATAACATAAACAGTGAAAATTGTTTTAACCCATAATTGTGATAGTATTATATTGGGAAGATGGGAGTAAGAGAAGGTGTGCACTGGAGAATTGAGGGAGAGCTGCGGAATGGGGGAATGAGAGGAGCTAAATCATCATCTTACACTATAAGGAGATTGTGTCAAAATTGAAAAATCGAGAAACAGCAGTATATGCAGACTGTTTAGAAATATGGAGGCAGTGGTGAGCTGTAATTGCCTGTACCGACCCCTGAAAGCTGAATGTTAAATTTTTAGAAATTTTGTAAGCTGGTTGTAAAATACAGTCAATATTTAGAATGAAATTATATAAGCTTATGGTTAAATAAATTATATCTAAAAGCCAAGGTAATATATTTAAAAACTCATCACTCCTCTAGAATTGGAAAAGCAAGGAAAGGATGCTCCCCTAGAGTCCCCAGAGGGAACCAGCCCTGCCTACATATTGATTTCAGCTCAGTGCGTCTGTTTAGACTTCTGACGCCCAGAATGGTAAGATAGTAAATCTGTGTTACTTTAAGTCATTAAGTTTGTAGTAATTTATTACACTAGCAAAAGAAAACTAATATGGGCAACTTTGTTCCTCTTGATTTGGGTTGTCGGTGGAGCTGAAGGGGAGGAAACTGAGAGATACCTGGACCACGGGAAGTTGACTGTGGAGCTCACTAAATTCTTGCCACCCTCCGAGTCAGTGGCGTTTCTCAGCTTATATTGGGAGAGACCGCTGTGGCTCTAGCTATCAGACCACACTATATACAGAACTGCTAAAAACATGGGTGGAACACACAGGTAGGAGGAGCAGAGGGAACAAAGACCTCATGAGAAACCTGGAAGACATAGTTTGAGCAAACCAAAATAAATATTTTAAGACCATATATGTGATATTAAAAAAAAAACCAAAAACAAAACAGCTCACCAAAGTATACAAGTGCCCTACCTCAAGAAAAGTAAACATGAAAATTACAATCTAAAAGAACAAATATATCCAATGGTAATGAATCATTAGACAGCTCTGTGTTGAGCACCTGCTATAAAAGATAACCTTAGGTTTCTATTGTGTTCTCTCACATGTTATTGCATTTCTCATATGTATGATTCCATTTGAGACCCTATGCATTTGTAAGATAGGAAGGCAGATGAGAAAATTAATGTTCACCAAAAGTAGGTGCCTTGTTGACATAAGTTAGCTGTTAAGGCTGCGTGTGTTCCTGGGTCTCGACTTCATGTCCAGGTACTGTTTATTTTTTCACTGTACAGTGCTGCAGTAAATAGAAGATACATTTCCTTGCCCTCAGGGAATTTGCAATCATTTATATTACAATTATATAACTGTCATTTAAAATAATCATAATAATTCCACAAATCTGCAAAAGGATTCATCACCAGGCTGCCCTTAAGTAGTAAACAAGACTGTTGCATTCCATGATACCACCAAGTATTCATGTACATGTTTTGAACTGTCATGTCTGACAAAGAATTAGAAGTTACTGTGACTTAAAATCAATCCAAAACAAAGGATTGACTTTCACAGACATTACAATATGTTAATAAAGAAATGAATAAAATTATAAAAATTTGTTTTAGTTGCAATTTTTCAGGAACACAGTTCCTATGTAAAGTAAATCTACACAATAATTAATAAACTACTTACGGCAATTGTGATATTTTCTAGGACTTACAGGATTTCCCTCAACCAAGTTTGAGGCCACAGGCACAACATTTTTTTTAGGAGCTGGTTCCAAATGAATGGTGTTTTAATTACGATCCATGAAGCCTCCTTAGTCTTAATCTTTCAAAGTCTTGGACAAAAGTTAGAAAATGTTTAGCATGTGCTTCACTTTGCTATGCTTTTTTCTAATAGCAAACTCTTCAAATTACAAGCAAATAGTAGCTAGTGATTAATATCTAATAGCATAATAAAGGAGGCACTCAATTTTAACTAAAATTTTCAAAAATGACAAATATCCAAGTACAGCTGTGTACATTTCTCACTGACTTTTATTGCTGCCATTTATCATTTAATCTCATGCTAGTTTTCTCTAACAGGGACAAATAGAAAATCCCTCCTTCATTTGGGGAAGAGTCAATGTTAGGTCACATGCCCTGTCCTCAGCTCCCTGGGATGAGTGCTATGTGACTAAAGAGAAATTTTTCCAGCTTTCTCTGACAGCTCACTCCCTTTTAAAAAGGCATTATTAATAAAATCCATTTGTTAAGCACTTACTGTCTTCCAAGTACTCTGCTACAAACTTTTACATATTATTTCATTTAATCTTCACAACAACCCAAATGAATCAGGAGTTTCTGTCATCTTCAGAAGTGAAGGCCCAAGAAGAAAAGTCAAGTGTGTAAGTCCTCACAGCTCCTGAGGTTAAATAAATTATATTTAAAAGCCAAGGTTCTGAAATGAAATCCAAGCAAGTTGACCCCAGAGCCTGTTTCTCCACACCGTGTGCTCACCTCCTCAGAACTCCCACCCAGCTCCCAAACCTCCTCCTCACTCCATCACCTCTCATTCTCTTTCATCTGGGAATCATTCTCATGGTGCAAGGTGTGGTATAGAGGAAGATTGGAGCCCATCTCATCTGTGACTATTTTCTTATCAACCTTGGGGTTTTTCTTTGACCAACTAGATTTACCCACTCAATCCGGATCTTGGTTCTGTAATTGCAGGGATGAGGTTTCTTTCCATTTGCCAACTTGGCCTCTGCCAAAGTCTTGCTTTCAATTTTTAAAAAAGACTGTATCACCTCTATCACCTCCCCTTTCTTTTTGAAATGTTTTAAACCATGTTTCTCACTTTTTTTTTTTTAACCCAGGCTTCCTCTATCATCAACTGCCTTCTCCCACCAGCTAGGGGGATTTAGGCTGGCATTCCATTCTGTGGTTGGTATTCTTAAAATAACAGGGGATTGGAAATTTAGAGATGCTTCTGTGGGAGGGCAGGTCTCCATTCCTGCACTGAATGAAATTCATTTCCTTATTATTCCACATATTAATATCATATCAGGTAACCATTAAATGCTTTGAAAAACACAAAAGCACTTTGAGAGGCTAGAAAGCTATGGGTGAGAGTGGGGAGGACTAATTCAGACAAAGGGGTAGAGGAAGGGCTCTCTGAGGCAGTGACATTTGACAAAGATCTGGATGAAATGCAGGAGTGAGTTGTGTGACCATTGGGGGAAGACTTACTTGGCAAGAAACAGCAAACCAGGGTTGTGGTTCACTTAGGGAGAGGAGCCTTTAAAAAATGCTGATGCCTGCTTTGCATCCCTGAGCAACGAACTCAGAATTCCAAGGGGATGGGGCCTGGGCATTAGAGATTTTTTAAATCTCCCCATGTGATTCTAACATGCAACAGAACAGAGAACTAAATAAACTACATTAACCAACAATCAGAACAGCACCTTGTAATCAGATAGTATTACATACTTTCCAAAGCATTTACATGTCCTGTGTATGATTTCAATTAAGCTCAATCAATCTATAAGACACTTAAAGCAAGTCTACTTCCTGCTATACGGTGGCTCAAAGAACACAAAACTTTCTGCTTCAAGTCACCTGTGGAGTTGTGAGTTCCAGTTTCCTTTCAAGAGGCTAACTGTGTGCAAATGTGTCTACTCGACACACAAGGATATCAACAACCAACAACAAAGCAGGACCATGACCTACAAAAGCCACAGTGCACACAGTGCATGTGAGTGATGGAATGCCAGTGCTGATGAGAGCTGGTGGGATTAATTACGGATGGCTCCATGGAAAAGTAGAATCTTAAATGCCAACGGAGTAAAGGAGAGAGATCTGGAGAGAGAGAGGTGAGACAGGCATTTTAAGGTAACAACAAAACAACAAACAGGATCTTCATAAAGACTCGACAAGAAAAGCCATATTTTATATGACCTGATAGGATTGTTCCAATTTTCTTTCCTTTCTTTTTTTTTTTTTTTTCTGAGACGGAGTTTCCCTTTTCTTGCCCAGGCTGGAGTGCAATGGCACGATCTTGACTCACTGCAACCTCCGCCTCCTGGGTTAAAGCGATTCTTCTGTCTCAGCCTCCTGAGTAGCTGGAATTACAGGTGCCCAACACTACGCCCAGCTAGTTTTTGGTATTTTTAGTAGAGACGGGGTTTCACCATGTTGGCTAGGCTGGTCTAGAACTCCTGACCTCAGGTGATCCGCCCATCTCAGCCTCCCAAAGTGCTGGGATTACAGGTGTGAGCCACCACGCCCAGCTGGATTGTTCCAATTTTCTAGAAGGACAAAGAGTACTTGTAATCTTTATCTGTCTTAAGGACTCAACACAGATTTGTTCACGAGTTTATAACAGATTGGTTAGAATGATATTTTCATTATAATAAGTGCTCTCATCAGCAGATGGGACAGTTCAAGGACTCAACAAGAAGTAAGGGGGTTCTAGTTTCTCCCTGATCATGGACAGACATGCACACATGCACATCTAAGATTATGTGCATAAATATTCTACATCCAGAATAAGAGAGATTTTGAATGATGAAAACTCACGTTTCTAATTTCATTGTAGCCAAAGACATATTTATCATTATTCTCAATCAATTTTATACCAAGGAACCAATCAAATAAAATGGTTTGAATTCCCTTTCCTGTTGTGTTTGTTGGAGTTTGAGGCACAGAAGTCAAATATTTTCCCTGAGTTTGTGTTTAGGAGGACTCCAGGAGGGCTATTGCTAGCCTCTCTCCTCCCTGCCTCACTGTCCTAGGGGAGAAGGAGTGTTTTCTCTAATCAGTCCTTTGGGAATAGAAACTAGGAATGTGGAGCCTCAGCCCTTCGTCACTCAATTTTTCTCTTTGGGGTGTCAACTGCCTGCAGGAAACATGAACACTTACATGGTCCCAGTCTGTGCTTTAGGGAGGCAGAGTTTATACTGTGTGGAAATCCTCTGGGGTTCCCTTTCTCCTCTCTCTCTCTTTCTCTCCTCTCTCTTTCTGGGTGGCTGCAGTGGTAGTGTTTGTGCATATGATATTTCTTCCATTTAGTGTGAATTCACAGGTCATGCTCTCCAGTATGGTAGGTTTACTGGATCCTGGTGTAACTGAAATCAAGATTTTCTCCACCTACCCTCCTTTACTCAGTGTCATTGTATTTCTGCTATTTGTATTTATTATATTTGACAATAATAAATAACTGGTTTGGGGAATATCCTTGTGCCTAAAATACTTTTTTAGGAGCCACAGACTGTCTTATTTTTAATTTCAAGTGGATGGGGATGGTTCTATAATAATCTTAGGTCAATTATCAACTCTTCAGACGTATTCAAAAGTGATCCACTTGGGTGATCTTGTGTCTCACTCTACTTCCTAGTGCTCCAGTACTTGAGAGAACTACATCCATTCCAGGATGATAGCCAGGCTAGAGTTGTTGAAGGAGCCTCAGCTGTACTCAGGCACAAGAGTGTCCATCAGTCTAGCTGAGTCTACTCATATCAAAGTCTCCATTAACTTCCATGTTGCTAAAGCCAATGGTCAATTCTCAGCCTCACCTCCCAGCATCATTTGACACAGCTGTTCAGTACCTTCACAAAATGATTTCTTCTTCCTACCTTCCCAAATGCTTGTTCTCATTTTCCTTTGCTGGTTCCCCCTCATCCTCCTGATCTCTACATTGGAGTCATCCAGGGCTTAGGTCTAGAAACTCTTCTTTTTTCTGTCCACACATACTTTCCAGGTGATCTTATCCAGTCCGATGGCTTTAGATAAAATCTACATGCTGACAATCACCAAATTTATATCTCCAGTCTGGCTCCTCTCCCCTGAACTGCAGATCTATACCTTCAAATACCTACTCATCTACTTTGCATGTCTAATAGATGTTTAGGACTTAATATGTCCCCAGATTGTCCCTTGATCTTTCCTTCAAACTCTGTTTCCTTCCCAGTCATTCCTATTCTCATAACGGCAATTCCATTCTGGTTGTTTAAACCAAAACCATGGTGCTATTCATGACTTCTCTTCTCCTTACACCCCAGCCAGATACATGAGAAAATCCTGTTATATGAACTATCAAAACTGATCCAGAATCCAACCTCTTCTCATTACCACCATTTCTACCTCCAAATTTTAACACTAACAGCCATTCCCAGGGGGTATTACGACGGCCTCCTAACTGGTGTCGCTAGTTCTGTCCTTACCCTCTTTAGCCTCTTCAGAATGCGGCAGCCAGAGAGGTCTGACTTAAAGAAGTCAGAGCATGTCACTTCTCTGCTCAAGATCTTTCAAGCACTCCCATCCTACTCAGAGTACATGCCAGAGTTCTTATCCTTAAGAACCCTCTATGCTCTGGCTCCCTTCTCTGCTCTGACCACCACCTTCTACTATCCCCCATCTCTGTTCTCTCTGCTCCAGCCACTCTGGCCTTCCACCGTTCCTCAAGCACACCAGGCCACACCCAACACAGGCCTTTGTACTTGGCACTCCCTCGTCCTGGCATGGTCTCCCACCAAGTATCTGCCAGGCTACCTCCCTCATTTCCTTCAGGCTTTTTCTCAAAAGTCACCTTCTCAATGGAACTATCCTTGGCCATTCTATCTAAAATTTCAAACCGCCCCTACCTTCAATTTTCCTAGTTTTTTTCCCCTTAGCAATCATCACTACCTAAAATACTACATATTTTACTTGCTTATGTTGTTCCCTACCTAAATATCAACTCCATAAGGACATGGTTGCCTCTTATTCACCGCTTTCCCCCCAGGACCTAGCACAGTGCCTGGTGCACAGTAGAAGCTCCATAAATAATTGTCAAATGACTAAATGATGATGAAGCAACTTCTTAGAAATTTCTGAAGTAATTTTGAACTTCAGCTTTGTGACTGGAAATTTGATTCCTTTGGATTTTTAGCTCCACAGAAAAGCTTCCAATTTTGGACTTTAATTCCTCTGGACTTTAACTTTGGAATTTTCACTGGCAAGGGGATTTAATTTGTAGGCTTTATTTTTTATCCGTGAAATTTATCATGGAAAAGGGTTTATACAAATTGAAGGCATTGCCATATCGTGGACATTTTATTAATATTTATCTTAAAGTTGTCATGTTATCTCCCTGCTGAATCTCTGATGAGCCTACTGAAAAATGTGACATAATTAGGGATGAATTTTTCGGCTTTGGGTAATTTACTTAATGCACCATCTCTGAATTTGACATTGAAGTTCATTGTTCACTCATTCAATAAAATGTCATCTATGCCTAGGTATGCTGTGCTCATTCATTTGAACCAGGGGTCAGTTGCAAATTGAAGGGCTAAGAGCCATATCTGGTCCCCGCCCCCCGCCAACCTTTTTTTTGGCTTGCACATTGTTTAAAACAAAATGAAAATAGGTTTTTAGTTTTGCTAAGATGTAGCAACACTGGGCCCCTTTCCCTGGCACTGTATTTCTACTGCCTCCTTTATTATGGACTGACAGTCTCCATTTGACCACAGCCCACCTCCAGGCATTCAATCATGCTGCTTGCCTGGCTGTTGGAGGAACACTGCTTGTAGACGCCAGCATCTGGCCCCTGCTCTGGGCCTCTAGACTTAGAGGGCCCCACTTTTGCCTTTTTTTGTGTGTGCTCCTCCTCATGCATCAAGGAGTCTGAGAGCCCTGTGCCCACACTGAGCTCGCACTGACCTTCTCCTAAACCCTGACAGCCTTCCAGGTACCAGGGATCCCGGAATTCCCTGTTCAATTGGTCTGAGCTGAAGCAGGAGAATAGGGTCGGAAGGCAGGACACCTAAGGCTGATTCACGCTGACTTCCTAGAACTAAATCAAAAGGAAAACCCCAACTTGTCACACCTAAGTAACAAAAGGACCAAAGGTTACTCCCTTTGCAAACCTCCCCCATTTCTGCCTGGCAGATGGAAAGTTGAAAGTACCTTTGATTAGTTGCTTTCTGCAACCAATCAGATGTTTGCATAGGAGCATAATTTTGTGACTTCACTTCAGCCTCTGATTGGTTGCAGAAGGCAACTCCTTGACGCATGAGGAGAAGCACAGACCAAAAACAAGGCTTTCTGCAACCAACCAGACTGATCACAGGCCACTACTTCATTTGCATGGGGTATATGCCAAGAGCTCGATGGAAAACCTCTAGAGGGTATTTGGACCTCAGAAGATCCTGTAACCAGGGTCCTTGAGCCACTGCATGGCCCGCTCCCACTCTGTGGAGTATACTTTCATTTTCAATAAATCTCTGCTTTCATTGCTTCATTCTTTCATTGCTTTGCTGTGTATTTTGTCTAATTCTTTGTTCAAAATGCCAAGAACCTGGACAAATTGCAGTCAAGACCCTCTGCTGGTAACAGAGCCACTCCTAGGACCTGTGTGAGCCCTTGCCTGGGGAGGTCCTCCCAAGGGCAGACAAAACAGTTCTAGTGTAGGGTGCAGTGATGGTAAAGGATGGAGCTGTAACAATGTGGGCCTGGAGAGTTCACACATGTGGTAGGCCTCCCAAAGACATCCACATCCTAGTTCCCAGGGCCTATGAATATGTTACCTTCTATGGTAAGGACACTTTACAAATGTGATTAAGTTAAGGATCTCAGGATGGGAAGTTTATCCTGGATGATCTGGACAGGCCCAATGTAATTACAAGAATCTTTCAAGAGAGAGGGAGGAGGATCAGAGTCAGGAGTAGGAGATGTGGTGATGGAAGTAAGAGGTTGGAGTGATGAGATAAAGGGGCTCTGAGCTAAGGAATGTAGGCAGCCTGGAGCAGAGGGAAAAAGCAAGGGAAGACATTCTCCCCATAGGGCATCCAGAAGGAATGCAGCCCTGCTGGGACCTTGATTTTAGACTCTGATCTTCAGAACCACAAGATAATAAATTGGCATGGTTTTAGGCCACTATATTTGTGGTTAATTTGTTACAGCAGCTACAGAAAACTAATACAGCTTGATTGCATGGGAGTCCTGCCACAAAGAGCCAGGGATGGGAAGGGAAGACAAGGTGCAGGGCTGCAGGTTCCATCTGCCTCTTGCCTCGGGCACCCTAAAATATTAATTGATAACAATAAAAGCTCAAAGTACTGTTTTAATAGAAGACTTAAACCAAAGTCTACACATGTATACTAATTTTTAAGTGTCACGTCTGTGCAATGACCAAAATTGTAGGTATTGTTAGCATAATGGCATTTAATTAATCCTCATATTTATGTATTTGTTATAAAATCATTCAGGAGTGTGTTACAAAGAATAATTTAATCCAATCATGATAAACTAGATGCAAGCAAGAAAAATATTTTATTGGGGCTTGATTTCATGTATCTTTTTGACAAGCTTCAAACCAAATTTCTGTCTCAAATTTCTCAAATACTTACATGTGTTTTCTGTTCCCAGGAAACAGACACCATAATATTTTATTTTACAGTTTGAAAATTGAGGAAATTAAAAACAGAAAATACACTAGTTCATGAGCATGGGCACAATACTAACTCACCAGACGAAGAGGGGACTCAATTAGGTGTTGTGTTCTTTCCAACTCAGCCTCCCATCACTCTCTTTACTTCACATACTTAAAAATTTCCCATCACAAATATAATGACTTCAATAGTCTAGATATAAAGAAAAATGACTTTTTTCCTTACTAAAGAGCAGTGTTAGAAACGAGTATTTCAGAGAATGGACAGAACAAATACCTAATAAGAAAACCTTTTCCCATAGTTTCTGTCTTATCTTAGGGGATTCTGTTAAAGTTTGATTTGGCTGTACAGGTACTCACCAAGATCCCTTTGTTCACATAAAGTTCATATGAAACAAATAAACAAGAATAAAAATCACATAAAAGAAAGTGCACTTAATAATCTTTTTTTTGTTGTTCTGGTGATTTAAGTTGTTACTTTGTTTGAACCATTTCAGGAACCAGGCAAGGGTAGCAAAGTGGGCTGTGAAACACTTTAACTCAGTGGCCCACACCCATGCAGTGAATTCCCTTCTGGAAGAGGCCAACTCATCACTGCTGCTGCTGAGACTCATGTATTCTACACAAAGGTCTGACTTACTCAAAGCATTGACATAGTCTTGAAAATTCTGAAAAGTGAAAGATGGTCTATTTGTTTTGTTTTACTGGGGGCAAAGATCTGCAGAAATAGGATTTGGCCCACAGGTCAGCCTCTACAGAGACTCGAGAATAGAGAAGAGAAAATAAAGAGGGAATGAGGAAACAAACAGTATCTACCAAAAAGGTTCAAAAAGGGTTCAAGGGACTATGCTCTACCACCGCCCCCACCCCCCCCCCCCAAAAAAAGAGAGAACGTTCATGAGTTATCTAAAGAACATCTGGTCGAAATTGACCTGAAAAAATGTAATTTTAGATGAATGTTCTCTCAAGTCTGGAAAGAAACCAAAACCTTATTATAAATATCCTAGTTGAGGTTCTAGAAAAACAGTGCATGAAACTGCAATTCATGTGCTCTGAGCGCAATTTAATTCTTAGGTTTTTCCTAAATTCATCCCAGGATACAGTAATTGATAGTATTCCTGGCGCAGCTTAACCAAGAGCTTCTTGTCTTTTGGCTGAATCTGTCCTATCTGCTGTATGGACCATACCTAGTTTCCTCAGAGCCTCCCAGTTCCTGCCCCCTTTTGGAGAGGATGGTAATGATATCAGCACTCCCTCTTAATGGGCACTATTTTTAAATAGAAAAATCTGGAAAGACACAAAACAATACAGAAGTTTTTTTCCAATCAGCCTTTGTGCAGCTGACTTGGCTCCTAACATACCTCCCTCCTCCTAATCAAAATTCTAGATTGGAACTCATCGGCTTTGACAGGGGCCCAGCACAATACATGCTAGAACCCAACACAGTTCCCCTCAACAGGGCTGGGACCATCTGCAGGCACTTACTTCAGCTGTGTGCCAGGGGAGATGTTCCCAAACAGAGATATTTTAATCCTCTGGAATTCAGATTTTCTTTTTTTTTTTTTTGCCATACCAATAGCTGGTTTTAATTTTTTTAGAGGAAATACTATAGTTTAAAAAAAGAGTTCCAAAATATTTAACAGAATTTCCAGCAATTATTATTTCTAAAATGTAAAGATTTGAAACATAATTTATACAAAACTAAAAACCAGAAGGATTCATTCTTGCTTTTCCTTTTCTTAAAGAAATCCAGACAATTTGTCACAAGAAAGTTCAGCATGTGATAGCAGCTGCAGCCTCAGTCACCCTTGGAATCGCTGTCCCTCCTCATGGGGACAGAGCTCTGCACTGAAGACAGCAATACACCTTCAATCGGCTTCTTAGGGTTTTCCTCCAAGTCCGTCTTAACTGCTCTAGATTCAGACAGTTTCCACCCCAACTCATCTCTGGTCAGGTTCATGCCGCCAAACACCAGAGGACCGATCAACTGAGCCTTGATGTCTCCTTCCAAGTAAACAAATACCATGGGCAGATTCCTATCAGGATAATTGGGTATGCAGGTGGTTGAATTGGCTTTGATAAATTTGACATCAGGAAACTTCCTGGCAAGTCCACTGAGGTGCTGATTTATCAGGGCACAGAGGGGAATTCCTCGTTTGCAAAGGTGCAAGATGACCCACAAGCCCTCACTGGCTTTGGTAACTTCTTGAACATAATACTTCCCTGAAATCTCCAAAACTTCTCCAAATTTATTCTTCAGTTTAATTGCTTTCCCCTCAGCGAGTCTCTGCCATCTGTACATTTCAATAGCATGTTCATCCTCCTCATTAAACTCGTCTTCATGATCCTCCAGCTCTTCCAAAGTCATATCTTCGTATGTTGTCACCACTGACTGCTGAAGGATGTGCTGCTCCTCTTCTGCCTTCTCTTCTGATTCTTTTATACTTTCCTTGGTGGGTAAGATGCCCTTCTTGTCTAAGATGTCATTCCACTCAGTGTCTGTGTTGGGGTCCTGCATCTTGTTTCCAATCGCTCAAGCCAATCGTGCTGGGGAATTCAGATTTTCTAAAAACATGTTTACAATTTAAATTTGGCTGACCCTTGCAGATATGTGGGCCTAAGTCAATCAAATCTATACCATGATAAAGGCTAAGTTCCTTCTCTTTCTTAATTAAGTATGAAAAGATGCTAGAGGAAGTCTACACTCATTTCTAACTCTTTCTCTCTGGTAGCCTTAGATCCACCTTTCATGCCAAAACTATATGTCATGGAGGAGCTAACCTGTTTAGAGCATGATCCCAATAGCAGGAAGTGTATTGAAGAATATCATACTTTGGGCCTCCAAGCTGAGCCCCTCTGTGTATCGAATCAGTTCTCACATCATATGAGAGAGAGACTCCGAAAGTCCAAAATGAGGAGGAAATGAGGATCTCTGCAAAGTCTCTTACCTTCCACTAATGCTTTGCTTCTGCAAGCAACTGCATTTCTCTGCAGTAGATTTCCCCACCACTCCTCTCACTTTTCTGCTGCTTTATTTTATTTCAGTTAATTGCTCTTTCCCTTCAGCGTGTTCCTTTGCCATTGACTTCTGTTTTTTAAGCCAGCAAAATACCTTTCTTTCTTCTTTCCAGCAGCCCTTGGCCTCTTGGGAAGGCTTAGTCATTTCTGCACTACATTCCAAATCAAAATAAAGTGAACAATCTCCAATGCCTTGGAAAGGGCTCCCTCAGATTTTCATTGAGAATGGCTTTTTCTTTCCTCCCAAGGTCTAAGATCACTGGAAGAAGGACACTCAAGGCGGTGAAAGCTCCAGAGCTCTGTCCCTCACCTTCATGGTGATGCTTCCCAAAGTGTGCAAGGCAAACCATTGGAATTACTCAAGACAGTTTTAGTGGTGCATAGTTATGGCGGATTATGGTTGTGTATTTATTTTCATGTGCTTTAGAAAAAAATATAGCTGGCATATCCAATTTCAAAGCTATTCACAGCTATAACTGCTGCTTAGGGCAAATGCAAGGTAAAATATAAAGAAGGAGTGGTTTAAAGAAAGACATTAAGTAAAAAATAATATAGATAGAATGTGATATAGTAAAAATCATGGAGATGGGACCTGAATGACAAAAGCCTGGGAAATGCTGCTTGATGGAAATGACTTGGACCTAGGAAGAATGGGACATGATGTCAGTTCTGGCTATACTGCCGCCCCCATTGCAAAGCCCTGAGCTTGGGGTAGATGGTGGGAAAGCAGCTGTTAGCCTATGAATCACCAGGCTAAGATTCACAATTTCACACCAGGGACCAAAAATACTCAGAAATGTTTCTGAATGGATAAATCAACTTCATATTATGCTACAACCAAGGATAGCATTGCCATTAAATTTACAATTAGAAGCACCCTGATCCAAAATTCTTTCAGTGTGGAGGCTAAAGCCTACAAAGGTCACATGATTTGGCCCAGTTTCACCCCAGGAAATAGTAGCAGAACTAGAACTTAGACCTCAAACATGATTCCTTCTAAATCTTTCTACATTTTGCTGCTAGATGTATTTCATATGCCCCAACAGTCTTATCTACTCCTGAATATATCTAGCTAGATTTCACAGACTAGTAGGAGATAAAATCAGAGAGGTAACTTGGGGTGGGGGAGATTGTGTCAGAACTTGAAGGCCCGTTTGAGGACTTTCAGGAGGTTCAGCCCAAAGGTGGAGCTGATAGCTGTATCTAGACACTAGAGAATTAGCAGTAAACAAAAGAGACAACAAACTTTTCCATTGTGAAGGTTTACATTTTAATGGAGGAGAAAATCTAGAATCTGAAATTGCAAATCACCTATGTCTAAATATCAAATAAGTAATGGCCCACGATAATAGGATCCACACTGGGAAGGGTTTCCATGGGTTATCTGGCCAGCTGGGCTGTGATGGCCTCTTTCAGCATTTCCCACACTTCTGCTATATCCCAACAACCAAAGGCCCCCAGTCGAACAGCTGCGTTTTTCTTAATCAAAAAAAAATTTTTTTTTCTGAGACAGGGTCTCCCTCTGTTGCCCAGGCTGGAGTGTAGTGGCACAATCATACCTCACTGTAACCTCCAACTCTTGGGCTCAAGTGATCCTCCTGAACAGCAAGGACTACAGGTGTGCACCACCACATCCAGCTAATTTTAAAAAATTTTTTTGTAGAGACGAGGTCTTACTATGTTGCCCAGGTTGGTCTCAAATTCCTGGCCTCAAGTGATCCTCTTGCCTCAGCCTCCCAAAGCACTGGGAATAGAGGTATGAGCCACTGTGCCCAGCGTCTTACCCAATTTTTAACTCCTCTCCTCTTCCTAAGTAGAACAGGAGGGAGGGGTATAAGCGGAAAAAACAAACTGGCCAGAAAGAGAAAGGAGAGGAATCAATGGAAACAATGATTCTCCTACAAAGTATTTTAAGTCCTGAGCTATGCAAGACTAAGTATGTTACCTATGTTAATATTTTATTATTACATCATTAAATTGACAACATAACTGCATAATAATAATGACTAGCCAGTACTGAGAGTTTGCTATGTGCCGGGAAGTAGTCTAGACAGTCTGACCAACTTGATCTCACTTATTCTTTACCACAACACTATAACACAAGTACTATTATTTTTCATTTCACAGATGAAGAACTGGATGATCAGAGAGGTAAAGTCATTTGTTCCACATCCCACAGCCAGTAAATGGCAGAGTCCAGACACAGATGTCAGGATGCTGGACTCCAAAGTCCTGGCTCTTCATCCTGTTCCGGGAGCTCCCCTCCTCAACAGGAGGCAACAGCTAGCTCAGGCTGTCCAGCCAATGCACCATTCACACAGGATTTCCCTCCTTGCAAGTATTCTTCTCAAGAATAGGCCCCCTCACTGACCCTGTCCCTTTCATCACTTCATTGTCCTTTTTTCTAACCTCTCTGCTCGGTGCTCCGTGTCCCCTGGTTACTGGGGTAACAGATATCTCGATGGTTTTTGCTAGATTTCCATGACCATTGTGGTCTGTCTCTCTTTCCTAGCACTTCTCAGCCTTTTAATTCTCTCCTCATTATTGAAGCCAGCATGGAGCAATTTTTCAAAACGTCCAATTAGCAAGTGCACAGAAGGAACTGGATCCATAATTAATTAATGATTCTAAGACGCAACAAAGCAAAAGCAAAGCCAAGGACGTGGAAGGCACCAAAAACCGAAACTGCATGAGGAAGATGTCCACATTCAGGACCCCTCCCTGGGAAGGACAAAGAATTAAACAAGCTGCTCACTGATTCAAATCCCTAAAGAACCTCCACATGTCCTGGAATTGAAAAGACATCAATCACTGGATAACAATCCCAAGTGGAACATCTCTCCTCTCCAGGATGAATGGCTGCCTCTGTTGTAGTAGTGAACTGATTCTTTCTCTATTGTTTTTATGAGAGAAGCTTGGCCTCTCTTTCCTCTCAAAATTGTTCAAATCTTTTAGAGACAGTCTTTCTAGCTAGATGGTCCTAACCTCTGGGATTTCTTGCTCTTCCCCAGGCAGAAGTCAAGTTAGAATACCAGGATTTAAGAGGTCAAGCTAGGATGACTGTGGAGAAAGAAAAAGGGAAAATAGTAGAGGAATGCCCAGATTCTCAGATGTATAGTTGCTATTCTAATTTGGAGAAGAAAGGAGGGCTTGGATGGGAGTCCACCCAGATCAAATTTTCTCAGACATCAACTCATTCTCCAACACACAGGGTGAAGCATAAATGACAAGGCAGTGCTAGCACAGTTATTAGTCAAAGTGCTGTCTTTTCATTAGGAGGAAATAGGGATTATGTTTGCTTTTGATTATTATGAACACTAGTTGCTGCCTGAAAGACTGGAGACAACAAAACAAATAGCCTGAACAGTATTATAGCAAGTTCCTGCATCTCACGGGACATCATGATATACTTGCTGGTAGTGAAAATTAGAAGACTTATATAGACCATGACAGTTGTAGGCATCCTTTACTACTTTTTCTTACCTGAAGCCTAATTTCCTTTTGGTTCTATATTGAGCCAATGCCAGCTTTCAGGGCTGATCTCTGTACTTAAGGGAGTGTATCTAAACCCACTCTGCCAAGCCACAGACTAAGCATTTTGCTTAATACCATGGCAATGGATACAAGTAATGTTAGATGAGAAAGAAAATAAAATGTCACCAGGACATTTACAAGACATAGTACTTATTGCTGCTGCTGCTCAAATAAAATAATAGTAAATACTGTTATGCATGTTGCTAAGCAATGTTGCATTTTCAGTCCTTAATAACTGCATTAGTAACACAAGATGGGAAAAACTACATTTTGATACCAATGAGACGTTTTGCTTTCTTTGAATAATCAGCCTCAGCAACCGATGACTTCCAGTACAAAGCAAAAGTGGTTATCTTTTCTCCCCTGGCTAGGATATATATGAGAACTCAGTGGTAAATTTCCTATTGGAAAGACTAAGGGTTCTCTCTGCTAACCCACTCCCCCACAAAGTCTTTAAGTCTTAAGTAAAAAATAAACGAATTAATAAATAACATTCTTTCCCTGAAATGTCTCCTCTCAGCTATTGTATATGTAGCAAGTGCTAGAAACCTGTGAATTTTAAACACAGTTAAAGATTTGAAGTAAAACGCATCTACAAATATATATCCTTCTGATTCAAAGATAATACTGATTTAAAGGATCTTATGTGAGGATAATCAACATTGCAGCAGTCCCAGATTCCGTATTAATAACAACCCTCTGGTTTACAGATACTAGAAGGTTGCTTAGGGTGAGCTGCTAACTAATGACTTCTTGTACCTCTCCCCAGGTTACCCAGCATTCCCTGACTACCCAGAATTCCCAATTACCCAGCATTCCCCTATTATCCAGCATTCCTAGTTACCCAGCATTCCCTGGTTCCTAGCATTTCCCCATTTATCCAGCATTCCTGGCTACCCAGCATTCCCCAGTCATTCTGCATTTCTCAGCTACTACCTAAGCATTAGTCAGAGATAGTCTGCAAGAAAATAACCTTTTCAACAGTATTTTACCAGTGGAATTCTGGAAGCCTTCATCTCCTTACAGGAACAGTATTGCATAAAAGATACTATGTATGCTATAACATGGACCCTGGAGCCAGACTCCCTAGGAGAAATCCTGACTATACAATTTCCCATTTAAGTGACTTTGGGCAAATGAATGTCTTTTTGCCCCTTTTTTTCTCACCTGTTACTGCAATGATTAAATAAGTTGATATATATAAAGTACTTAGAGCAGTGCCTCCCTCTGGTTCTGGGGAAGAGCTGTTTGAACACCTCCCCATCAAAACAAGCAAATACTGCAGTTAGCAAAGGAGTAAAAAAGCTGACTCCAGAATGTACCCTTAGGATCTGTATTTGTATTACGTATTTGTATAATGCTTTTATATTTCAGAGGAAGCCACTGATCTAATGAAGCTAGAAAATACTAAATTTTGAACTCCCATAACATCAAACTGTTACTAATTATGGTTCTGGGCACATGCTGTATGTCCCAGAAATAACAAATGTTCCACGGAAAACTAAGTGGCCAAGGGTGGGAAAAACATATAGTAAATGTCCTCGTTTTTTCTTGGCTGTTAACATTAATATAATGAAGCATTCAGTGAAAACTATGAACATTCAACTGCAACTTCCTACCACTTCAGAAGACATTCTTGAACCACTGAAAGTGAGAGCTGTTATGTTCAAACAGCACTGTCATGTAATTTATTAAGAATCTTACATTTTAAACTTTGAAAAATGTTACTCTGTCCCATAGAAATTACATTGGTAGATGCTAAACTAACTCCATGTGATTCTCATTTTCAGAAACACAATTTCAGACTGTTCAAGAGTTTCAATGTTTCTCCCTGAGCTGCATAATAGAAAGCCATTTGGGTTTTAAATATAATTTTGTTTTTTACAGGGGTTCCCTTGTACAAGGAACACATTTCTCTCATACAGTCTTGCTATTTAAGAGGCTAATTGTTTTAGATTTCTTTTAAGCTTCATTTTACTTAAGTGAACTTGAAGAGAATTTTTACATCTAGTGAAAGAAAATTAAATTATTAATCAAGTGATCTTTACTTATAAGGAGGTCATACCAGCACCAAGAAGCTAACATTATTTTTTTAGACTTTGTATTAAAGAGCATGTATTTTAAAAATAAATCAGACTGATGATCCCATTTATTCTTATTTTCTGTTATAAGTAAAGTATGATGATCCCACAGGTGCTAAACAGTGATCAAGATCTAATCCAAGCTACTTTGGAGGCAGAAACTGCTACTGACAGAACCTCTGCATGTAATCAATGTGCTGTTATGCGACGGTCAATGCCATGTCCTATGATTACGATGATGAAAAAAAGCAGCCCTAGGTTCTGTCCTCATGGAACTTAGAGTCTAAGACAGCACCACTTAAAATGTGGTCTACGGATCAGTCTTATCAGACTTCAATAATGCAAATACAGATATTGCAAGTAGTTGTCAATAAACTTCTACAGGAGCTGGACATTGCCACAGCATCCAAATGTGTAATCAAGTAAACTCATCTCATTGAATGGGGTATAGAATGGTTTGGAGACTGCCAAACTTCCACGGTGAGTTTCCTGGGGTAGATTCTAAGTACTGGTGTGTCCGGAATTGGTGGGTTCTTGGTCTCACTGACTTCAAGAATAAGGCCGTGGACCCTCATGGTGTTACAATTCCTAAAGATGGTGTGTCTGGAGTTTGTCCCTTCTGATGTTCAGACGTGTTCAGAGTTTGGTCCTTCTGCTGGGTTCGTGGTCTCACTGACTTCAGCAGTGAAGCTGCAGACCTTCGCGGGGAGTATTACAGCTCTTAAGGCCGCCAGTCTGGAGTCGTTCATTTCTCCCAGTGGCTTCGTGGTCTCGCTGGCCTCAAAAGTGAGGCTGCAGACCTTCACTGTGAGTGTTACAGCTCATAAAGACAGTACAGACCCAAAGAGCAAGCAACAGCAAGAGCTGCAAAAGGGAAAAACACAAAACCACCACTGTGTGGTGGGACCTCAACGGGTTACAACGGCTAGCTGGGACAGCCTGCTTTTATTCCCTTACCTGGCCCCACCCACATCCTGTTGATTGGTCCATTTTACAGAGAGCTGATTGGTCTGTTTTACAGAGCACTCATTGGTCCGTTTTGACAGGGTGCTGATTGGTGCATTTACAATCCCTGAGCTAGACACAAAAGTTTTCCAAGTCCCCACTAGATTAGCTAGACACAGAGCACTGATTGGTGCATTCACAAACCTTGAGCTAGACACAGGCTGCTGACTGGTGCATTTACAATCCTCCAACTAGACATAAAAGTCCTCCAAGTCCCCACCCAACTCAGGAAACCAGCTGGCTTCCTCTGGTGGATCACCCTGCTAGGGCCGCAGGGCAGAGCTGCCTGCCAGTCCTGTGCCGTGTGCCTGCACTCCTCAGCCCTTGGGCGGTGGATGGGACTGGGCGCCGTGGAGCAGAGGGCTGCGCTAGTCTGGGAGGCTGGGGCCTTGCAGGAGCCCATGGTGTGGGGGGGAGGGGGGGCGGTGAGGGAGGCTGGGGCATGGTGGGCTGCAGGTCCCGAGCCCTGCCCTGCTGGGAGGTAGCTGAGGCCCGGCGAGAATTCGAGAGCAGCGCTGGTGGGCCGGCACTGCTGTGGGACCTGGCGCACCCTCCACAGCTGCTGGCCCTGGTGCTAAGCCCCTTACTGCCCGGGGCCAGCAGCACTGGCCAGCCGCTCGGAGTGCGGGGCCCACTGAGCCCGAGCCCACGCCCACCCAGAACTCATGCTGGCCCACGATCGCCAGGTGCAGCAGCCCCGGTTCCCACTGGCGCCTCTCCCTCCACACCTCCCTGCAAGCAGAGGGAGCTGGCTCTGGCCTTGGCCAGCCCGGAGAGGGGCCCCCACAGCGCAGTGGCGGACTGAAGGGCTCCTGGAGCATGGCCAGAGCGGAGGCCGAGGCCAAGGAGGCGCTGAGAGTGAGTGAGGGCTGTGAGGGCTGCCAGCACGCTGTCACCTCTCACTGGTAGTCACAGACAGGACACCTATTGACTTGTGATGAATTGGAAAGTTTTTCAAAAATTGAATTCTCCCCCAGATAGTGTGAAAAGCACTAGTCTAGTGCTTCAAAGCATTATACAAAAAAAAGAAAGTTTAATTCCAACTAAGAAAATTTGAGAATGTTTTGTGAAATAAATGATTAAGAGTGGATTAGAATTTGAGGGGTAGAAATCACAACATGAGAAGTGCTATGGAGGCAGAAAAGTGCAAAGATGACCCGGGCCACCTCCTTCATTATGGCTGGAATAAGATATGGGGACAAGGCAAAGGGAGGTAATGGAGATAAATGTGAAAAGATTGATTGAAGCCAGTTACTAGAGGGCCTCGAATGTCATGAAAAGGACTTAGAACTTTATTTTTGAGATAATCAGAAGTCCTTAATATTTCTGAACAGCATCACGACACAAAAGAAACTCTATTTTACAAATAATATTGGCTCATTTGAACTACATGTGACACTTTAAGGCAGGAAGCCTTTAAGTGAGGTAAAAGATAACAGTAAAAAGGAATTTCACTTTCATAAAACCACCTAACGAAATATCTATTAAAATAAAAAAATACAAATAAAAAGGAATTTTATTTAAAAATAATCTCTTTAATGGTGTCATATATTACTACATGTCTAAGTACATTTTTGCAATTTGAAGTCTTCACTGCACCATAGCACAGTAAAATACCAGTTTAGAAGATCTAATCATGTATGATTGAAGTAATTTTGAAATACCATTTCTTAGCTTTACAGTGACAGAACACATTCTTCCCATTTTCAGGAACTTTGATTAAACCGCCGATAATATGGGAACATTAACCAGTATACTATTATAATAAATTACACTAAAATGTCAAACACCATCACCAAAGGACACAAGAGCAGCACTTTTTTTCTCTCTGTTATTCTCAGCTTCCTATAAAACTAGAATTGATTTCATTAAATGTGCCTCATTTATGTCTCATTTAAGTTTGGTGCCAAGGACCAAAAGGCCCTTAATTCTTGCAGCTGACTGAAGTGGAGTCTTTGTGGCATTAAGACTCTCATAAATGTATCTTCTTAAGAAACAATTAAACCACTAAGTTTTAAACTTTGAGGGTAAAATTTTCTAAGGCTTTAACAAATAAAACAAGGCTCCCAGAAAAACATATTATCACGTTAGAATTTCACATGCTTGGCTGAGTAAATATCTAATTATTTCATCTTATAATTCTGGTTTCATAATATCATCTTCAATTTGGATGTGAGAATTATAGAACTGCAAAGATACCATCCTGTTACAGCTACACATTTAGAATTGCACACATTTGTGATACAACTACAATACAAGGCTAAAACAGAGCAGTGTGAGTCATTGATTAAGATGCACTAAAGCAGGGGTGCTCAACTGAGGGTGATATTTGCCCTTCCCAGGAGACATTTGGCAATGTCTTCAGATGGTTGTCATGACTGGGGAATATACTACAGGCACCAGGATACTGCAATACATTCTATAGTGTGCAAGACACTCCCTTCCAGAAGAATTATCTGGTTCAAAATGACAATAGTGCTATGTTGAAAAAAACATACTGAAGGATCACGCTAACAACATGTCCATCATTCCTCCCAATTCTAAGATTCTTGGCATATGCTATGGTCTCAATGTTTGTGTCTGCCTCCCTCCCCACATTCATATGTTGAAGTCCTAACCCCCAAGGTGATTATATTAGGAGGTGGAGTTTGGGGCAGCTGATTAGGACATGAAGGTGGATTTAGTGTACTCATAAAAGAGACCCCAGGGTCTCTTTTCCCCTTCCACCATAGGAGGATACAGCGAGAAGGCACCATCTACGAACCAGGAAATAGGACCTCGACAGACACCGAATCTGCCAGCACCTTAATCTTGGACTTCCCGACCTCAAGAACTGTAGGAAATAAATTTCTGTTGTTTATAAGCCACCCAGTTTATGATATTTTGTTATAGCAGCCGAAGCAGACTAAGACAGCATATGTAGAAATAATCACTTTGATTCATACAGTAGGAAAGTCAGAAACAAGGAGGTTCCTGAAGATTAAAACAGATAATTATTATGCCTCCCTTTGATATAATGAATTACTTACATCAAACCCTCTGACTTTTGCAAACAAGACCTGAAGGTAATCCTCACTGGTGCCCTGGTGTAATTCCACTGATGTCAGTAATACTCTCTATGTAGCTATGCAAACATTGCATCAAGAAGTCTTCCAGCAGACCTTCATAAAAGACAGGCACAGTTGAAAACCTCAAATAAGTTTCCAGGCATGTATTGTTTTCTGTGTTGTAAGTCAGTAATGGCTTTAAGAAGCAATATGAAATAACAACTTTTGAGAATGTGAGAAAGAAATCCATCTCCTTAAATATGTACATTGATTCTAAGATGTGAAACTTTTCTAGATATGCTAAATGTGCAAAATGTATAAAGCATATTAAATATATAAGGTATAATAAGGTCTTTTTGTAAGAAGAAATAGAGGCCAGATGTGGTGGCTCACGTCTATAACTCCAACACTTAGGAAGGCCAAAACAGAAGGACTGCTTAAGGCCATGAGTTCTAGACTAGCCTGGGCAACACAGTGAGACACTCTGACTCGACAAAAAATACAAAAATTAGCTGGGCATGGTGGTGCGCACTTGTAGTCCCTGCTACTCAGGAGGCTGAGGCTTCAGTAAGCCAAGATTGCACCACTGTACTCCAGCCTGGGCAACAGAGTGAGATCCCATTTCAAAAACAAATAAAGAAAATAAAACCAAAGAAATAGACTCTGAAATGCTCTTCCGCTCAGCTCCTTCTCCATCAGTGTTAGACTCTGTGAGTTTCATTTAAGTCTTTGTATTGCTCCCTTCCTCCTCCCCTCACCACTCCAGAATGAGGCACAGGGAGGACAATGGGATCACTATTGTCTCAGAAACAAGAACAAATTAATACAAAGCCTGGTTTCCCTCTCGTTTTCCTCTCTTGAAATTTCTTCGAAGTCTTTGACCGTGATTTGGGTACTATGAAGGACATCTGTCCTAAGCATCCTCTTAGGTCTTCTAGAGTATATGCTGTTATTTAACTAAACAGAAGAATAACCACACTTACATGCAATACAATTTAGATTTGAAATCATGTTTAAATTCTATCTAAAGACCCATACTACTTACTTATAAGCAAAAACTTAGTATAAAACCTATATATTTCCTTATTGGCATATTATCTGCCTGTTCCACTAGAATTTCAGATCCATGGGAACAGGGATTTTGTCTTGGGTATATTGGCTGGGTGAGTAAATGAATATCTTCTCCCTATCAGCAGTGTCATTATACAATTGCAAACTCCTTTCATTTTTACAGAAGACCACAGGACTCATTTCCTGTTATAAACTACTCATGTTGGTTCATTCATTCATTCTCTACTAAAGTCTTTCATGATCTGGCTCCTGCCACCCCTCTAGCTTTCCCCCATAGGATGCCCGCCTTGCTCTCCAGCAATACTAGCTTTGGCTCAATTCTTAGTAAGCTGCATGTTCCCTTCTACCTTAGAACCTCTGCTCTGGCCTTTCTTCTGCCCATCTCCAACACCTTCAGATTTCTGCAGGGAAGCCTTCCCTGATCCCCACTGAGACTAGGTGTGGTACCTGCATTTTATAGTCTCATAGTTCCTTGTTTTTGCTGTTGTTGTTTTCTATCATAGTACTTAACACATTTGTAAAATGTATTTGTGTGATTATTTGATTAACTTCACTCCCAACCCCACTCTTCTCAGCCGCATGCCTTCCTATCCCTATTAATATCCCTGCCACCTAACACAGTGCCTGTCACATAGCAACTGCTCAATAAATATTTATTGAACAAATAAATGAATTATGCTTCTAGAAACATAATCTATTACCAAATATGTAAGTCCGTGTTATACCATATCATTCTTCTCTAGGGCTCAAGTTAGTAGGTACTTAGTCAACATTTGTTGGTTAATTGAAATCATCATTTATCTCCAGCAAACACCATTCTCCTATGTCTGTATGACACTAAACAATTTGTTGCAAAATTGCTGGGAAATAAACTACTCTCTATTTTTTTCTACATACTAATACAAAAGCAGTTTGTTTTTGTTTTTGTTTTTCACCGAATTTATTAGCTGTTTTGGCATTAAGAACGTGACTGGATGGAAAATAGTTGGCAGGGAATCAATTACTCGACTGATCAGTATTTGTCTCTGTGGCTATATTTGAAAACATCTGGAAGAACACTTTAATTATCCTCTGAATATTTGGTGTCTCGTGCTCTCAGCCTCTGAGATAATCTCTCTCCATATTATTCCTAAATGAAAGGTATTCTGTTGACAAAATCAATGTTTTTTGACAGAGGGGAATTTGTGGGACATTGAAAATACAGAATAATGGGCTCCCAGGCTAAAAGGGCTAAAACGCATTCATTCTTTTAAGAGGAGGAGCAAAGAAGTCTTTAGCTTAGAAAACTGCAGAAAAATGAAATTCCATGTAACATCCTATAACTAAGAAGCTAGTCACATAGGGAGCCTTGGGAAGAGTACAGATTTCTTGGGGACCCAGACAAAACCATCCTGACTTAAGGAGGCTAAAGAGCGATATCCAAACAACAGGAAATCAGTAATAATTATAAACCTAGAGTCTATTCATATACCTTGCTTTCAAATAATTTCTTTATATGTATTCTTCCCATCTATGGTTATCTGGATTTCTGCCACTAGGCAATTTTTACTAAATTGTCTGAAATTCTTGGACAAAATCCCAAACAGCCCAGGAAATTTGGGCAGTATTTGCTAAGTCAGGCCATTCTTATGGAAAGCCCCTGTTAGGAAGTTTAACCTCTGTTGAAGAAGCCATCCTCTTCCCTGCCTTGCCCACTACTCTCTCAAGCCCACTAGTAGTCAAGCAGGGAGTGGCTTCTTCACTGCCCCAAGAGCTTTTCTGTCAATTTCTCATCCAAATCATCCTCGTTTGGGTCTGGCAGATGCTGCAAACCTGCAGCATGAACTCTCGCAGTCTCCCTTTGCTCCATGTGAATGAGAGATGAAGTCTAGCTTATTTGGAGCTCACTCTAGCAAGGAATTACCTGCCCCTGAAACAATAAACACAGAGAAGGACCCAGGTGCTGCAGGAGGGACAGAAATGACTAGAAGCCAATAGCATCATAGTGATTATCCACACCTCCATGCCAAGGGGAAGTGTTCTTATGTTAAATCCTACTCAAGCTTTACTGTCTTTAGGCAAAAACACACATTTTCCTATTAGGCTTTAGCTTGATGTCAGAAAGAGCCAAGGAACTAAAGCAATGGCAACTGCCATGTCTCGGGTTGTGATATCCATAAATAGTTCAACCAAATTATCTCAAGAAGAAGGAGCTTCCCAGACTGCCTGATCATTACTAGTTACAATGCACAATTCTATCTTGGCCTCCAGGAGAAATGCAATAGGGCTGAGACTTAGTTCTCAATGCCATGAGGGAAAAAAAACATTAGATTTTGTTTAACGTGACTTCAAATATTTCATTACTCTTCTATAGATCTCATTAGAAGGACTGGACTACCAAATTTGGAATAAAAGCTTTTCACTTTCACTTTCTTGTTACATCCAGGTGAGTCATGTTGCTCAGGTAGTAATTAAACCATAAAGACTTAATGGGGGAAAAGGAAGTGGGATGAAAAGAGCTAAGTCTACTCAAGTTTCATTTGATATCAATGTATCTGCCCTGCCCCCATTTATTTTATTTTCTCCATTTGTTCCTCATACACAACTGTTTGACCAAGTAAATATCAGATTAATCTTCATGACTTTTTTCCAAACAGGCACAAAACATTACTGAGGTCTAAGCCATATGACTTTGCCTGCAATTCTTCACTAGCTCTCGTCTGGGGCCATTAACTTATTTTGAAAAGTTTCCAAGAAATTCAGTAGATTTCCCTTCCTGAAAAGCCAATTTCCTAACTGTTCAATGAGATGGCTTTTGAGACTCATATCAACAAATTAGGAAAGTAATAATGTTCCTATTCTAACAGGAAATTCACTATTGCTGGTGCTGCTGCCCTAATTATACTATAATAGAATTTCAAAAGAATCTTTTTTGAATTAGAAAACATCCCCTCTACTTGCTGCATAATATCCTCTTCGGTCCTCTATACTAAATGAGTCCATTTGGAAAGTAAGGAGGGGTATAAATTACCTTTTTTCCAGGAATCAACAAGCCAGGTTTTTACTCCATTATCATATGTCCTGTTTTGTTTTACTAAATCTCTTGTACTTAAATAAGGTTTCCGCTTAATCAGTCACCAGAAAAGAGAGCAGGATTTTTTTTTAATTAAAATGGGTGCATAGCTTTCTTTTCAGTAACATACACATTCATCAAGAGTTAAAAATGGAAATGGCTACCCCATGACAAAGCTTATTTTTCTACTTAGCAAATACAAATATATAAACACACACAAACCTACCTAGGATACAGCTTTGCATTTTGAATCGTAATTTACACAATTTAACCCTTTCAAGAGATTAAAAAACTAACTCACAGTATGCAGTCACTCAGTGCCTGGGATCTCGGGGCCTTCCTCGGTATCACGACAGATTTTAACACCAGGAGATCAGATGCCTTGCAACTGAGATCACTCATAATTAGCGAATATTGTACTTGAACATTTGACAGCTCTGTAAAAGTTTTGGTGAGACTGTCACTTTTATTTCTTTTGTAGTTGCCTTTGCAAACAGGAAACAGGAAACACACCTACAAGAACACTGACGTGTATCAGCCTAATTGGTTTTTGGTTCAAAGTACTCAGGAATGAGTCTTGTAACCCAGGAATAACAGGCACAGTCTCCAAAGAGTAGGAATCAGCTCTGAGCATCTCACAGTCCACTTCTCTGGACAGATGCTACGCAGGCAATTTATTACAGGGAGAAACAGGCATGCTGGGTAACATTCAGGCCTTATGGTCTTAATTCAGGAAGGATTATAAACATTAGAATAAATGAACTTAAATATAAATATATACATATACATATATATTAAATACATTATTTAAATATATATCAATTATTTAAAAGAATAATATGTTAAAATAATGTAATGTATGTAATTTTTCCTGGAATGTATATAGAAACTATCACTTAGGAATCATTTGGTTACAAGTAACAGAAAACCCAGCTCAAACTCACTTATACAAATAAATAACAAAATAAGGAAATGTTTGTTTCATTGAGCTGGGGAAAAAACCCAAAAGTAAGACTGGTTTTGGGAAACCATAAGTTTGTTGTATCATTTGATTCTAGACAATTCTCTTGGTACAGGTATTCTTTGTGAATTGGCTTCACCCTCAGGCTGCTCCCCTCCTGGCGCAATAAAAATGGCTGTAGCAGTTCAAGATCATATATCTATCATCCAAGAGGACAGTGTCAGCGTCATGGCAGTCCCAGTGAAAGTTCTGAGGTCATTCTGAGGGCCCATTGCTGAATCGGCCACTGTATTTTGGGGTCTCATATATCAAATGGCTTAAACTAGTCAAGGCTTATCCCTGGAGGTAAGAGTAGGGTCAATCCAAACAAACATCACACAGAGAGACATTGGGGTTAGAGGAAAGGGAAAGTGGGAAGTGGATCAGCAAATGTCCACCACAACAGTGCTTGACAATAATCTGAAGACTGATATTTGAGGATATGTGTCTATAAAAACCCTAGTACTCAGGTGATCTGCAGATGTCCAAAAGAGAATGAGTGGAAGTTCAATAGATATTGATGACCCAAGGCTCTATATTTAGCTGGACTTTCTTTTTTATTTATTTATTTATTTATTTATTTTTGCAGAGTTCGGGAGACAGAGTTTCACTCTGTCACCCAGATGGGAGTGCAGTAGAGCAATAATAGCTCAGTGTAACCTCAAACTTCTATGCTAAAGCAATCCTCCTGCCTCAGCCTCCAGAACAGCTGGGACTGCAGGGATGCCCCAACATGCCTGGCTAACCTTTTTTTTTTAATAGAGATGAGGGCTTGCTATGTTGCCCAGGCTGGTCTCAAACTCCAGGCCTCAAGTGATCCTACCACTTCAGTGTCTCAAAGTGCTGAGATAACAGGCACAAACCACCACACCCAGCCTGAACTTTCTATTAACATTGGATTTGCTCTCTGAGAAAATAGTTCAGAATATTTCCACTCTGTTTATTAAATACATTTTACAGTGTATGAAGCACTCTTCCATTTGATCTTCTATTTTGTCATGAAAACAACCCTGTCAGCAGTGGGCAGGCATCCCCACTGAAAGCTTAGACAGTGGGGAAGACATTGCCAGTTGCCTATCCAATAACAAGTCTACCCTTTTCCCTTACAGAATCTTGATTTTGTCCAGGGCAGGAATTTGCCATGTTATGATTCAGCTAAGAATGATGGCCAGGTGGAACAATTTTGTTCTGGAGATGCAAACAAGCTGAAGTTACTAGGTAGGGCTCCTGGAAAGGTACTTTCAAAGGACCCTGGCATTCACTTTTTGTTCTTTGCCCTTCTTCTTCATCATGCCTGCAACTCTGATGCAAAGCTGGAGGAAGATTTATCTCTTGCAGTCATGAAGTCACAAGCATGAAAACAAAAGCCACATGCTGTGAACGAAGCCTAAGCTGAAAGAAGGAGTCACTGCACTGGGCCTGGCTTGCCTGCTTCTAGGCTGTTACATGAGAAAAAGTAAATCCTATTTGGTTAAGCCACTGTAGAAGGATTCTTGTTACAGGCCACTGCACATAATCCTAACTGATAGGAAGAGGTTTCTCAACCAGGTGATGACAGATCAAGGCTTAAACACAAGCCTTTCGACTCCCTGTCCGGTGATATTTCCAATAAATTGCATTGCCTCTTTAAAAGCAGAACCCATACTCTGAATACTATACAAACAGGCATTTTAAATGTATGCTTTTTTTCTCAACAAATAGCTTATTTAAATGATCTGAGACATAGCTCAAATGGTGAGAGGAGATTCATTGCTTTTTGTTTGTTTTACTTTTTAACATGTAGCACTCAAACATTTGCAAAATTTCTAAATATCCTTGGCTACAGCAAAGGAAAGCTAGTTCATTTTACCAAAATTTATTTCGAGGCTACCTAAGGAAGAATTAGCCAGCTTCCCACATCTTGTTGTGAATGAGGGTTTTCTTCCTTGACTTTCTCATCCACCTGGCTATTACAAGATAACAGGGTTCTCATGAAGTGTGGAATAACTGAGCCAAAAGTAAAGGAGGAACTATACCCAAAGATTAATTCCAGAGGAATTAAAGATTTAGTTGTAAAAAGCAAAAGGTTTAAACTTTTAGAAGAAAATACAGGGAAACATCCTTCTGATCTTTAAATGGGAGAGAAGTTCTTAAGGCACAAAAGTGTTAACCATAAAAGGAAGGCAAAGTTGATAAATTTGCAGCCGTAATATGAAGAGCTTGCATTCATCCAAAGGTACAATGAAGAAGGCAAAAACACAAGCCAATATGTGAGACAAGTTTGCAACACTTGAAATGAACAAAAGACCAGTATTCAGGTTATAAAAAGAAATGTTATATATCAGTCATAAAAAGACAACACAATAGAAAAAACATAAGCAGAAGATCTGACAGGCACATCACAGAAGAGAAAAACATGAATGGTGAATGGATGTAGGAAAAGATGAGCAACCTCATCTTTAATTAAGAAAATGCAAATTAAACTGATAGTGGGGGTAGAAATTGATATAACCACTTGGAACAATTTAACCTTCTCTTATGAAGTAGAATGCTCTCATACCCTCCCTCTGAGCAAATCACTCCTATGTATATTCTCTAGTGCTATGGTTTGAATGACAGTGTCCCCTCTAAAATTTATATGAAAACTTAATCCCCAATGCAACAGTATTGAGAGATATGGCCTTGGGGGTGGTGATTAAGTCATGAGGGCTCCACCCTCACAACTGGGATTAGCACACTTATAAAAGGGCTCCAGGTTGAAGGGAGTGCCCTCTTGCCCCTCTGCCCTTCTGCCATGTTGAGGACATAGCATTTATCCACTCCTGAGAAGGCAACACTCTTGGAAGCAGAGACTAGGCTTCACGAGACATTAAACTTCCTGCATCTTAATCTTGGACTTCCCAGCCTCCAAAATGGTGAGAGATAAATTTCTATTAGTTATAAATTACCCAGTCTCAGGTATTTAGTTATAGCAGTACAGACAGACTGAGACATCCAGAGAAACTCTTGCACACTTTCCCAGAAGACATGCACAAACATGACTTTTTCGACATAGCAAAAAGCTAGATTTAACACAAATGTCCATCAACAAGAGAACAAGGAAATAACTTGAGTGATAGTCATTAAATGGAATATTAGATAACATGGAATATCGATAAACCACAGCAGCATGCAATAGCTTGGGTACACCTTAGAAACATAATGAATGAAAGAAAGCAAGTAACAGCCAACTACATACAAATGGTATCTTTTTCACATATAAATAAGCCCAAGAATAGCAAGAATGAACAATATTTGTGTTGAGGCAAACCCATATGTAATTTTTTTTTTACATTTCCACATTATTTTATCACATATGTACATCCATGTTACCACCACTACAATCAAGATAGAGAAGTGTTCCATCACCACACAGAACTCCATCCTACTACCATTTTATAGTTATACTCACCCCTTGTGCCCCCATTCCTCATCCTTGACAATCACTAATCTGTTCTCCATCTTTATAATTTTGTCATTCCTAGAATATTAGTAAATACAATCATACAGTATGTGACATTTGGATATTTTTCACTCAGCATAATGTCCTTTAAATTCATCTAAGTTGTTGCATGTATCAGTGGTGTTTGTTCCTTTTCATTGCTGAGTAGTATTCCATTGTATGAAAGTACTACAGTTTGCAGGGGAGGAGCCAAGATGGCCAAATAGGAACAGCTCCGGTCTACAGCTCCCAGCGTGAGCGACGCAGAAGACGGGTGATTTCTGCATTTCCATCTGAGGTATCGGGTTCATCTCACTAGGGAGTGCCAGACAGTGGGCGCAGGCCAGTGGGTGCGTGCACCGAGTGCGAGCCGAAGCAGGGCGAGGCATTGCCTCACTTGGGAAGCGCAAGGGGTCAGGGAGTTCCCTTTCCAAGTCAAAGAAAGGGGTGATGGACGTACCTGGAAAATCAGGTCACTCCCACCCAAATATTGCACTTTTCAGACCAGCTTAAAAAACGGAGCACCACGAGATTATATCCCACACCTGGCTCGGAGGGTCCTACGCCCACGGAATCTCGCTGATTCCTACCACAGCAGTCTGAGATCAAACTGCAAGGCGGCAGCGAGGCTGGGGGAGGGGCGCCCGCAATTGCCCAGGCTTGCTTAAGTAAACAAAGCAGCCAGGAAGCTCGAACTGGGTGGGGCCCACCACAGCTCAAGGAGGCCTGGCTGCCTCTGTAGGCTCCACCTCTGGGGGCAGGGCACAGACAAACAAAAAGACAGCAGTAACCTCTGCAGACTTAAATGTCCCTGTCTGACAGCTTTGAAGAGAGCAGTGGTTCTCCCAGCACACAGCTGGAGATCTGAGAACCGGCAGACTGCCTCCTCAAGTGGGTCCCTGACCCCTGACCCCCGAGCAGCCGAACTGGGAGGCACCCCCAAGCAGGGGCACACTGACACCTCACACGGCAGGGTATTCCAACAGACCTGCAGCTGAGGGTCCTGTCTGTTAGAAGGAAAACTAACAAACAGAAAGGACATCCACACCAAAAACCCATCTGTACATCACCATTATCAAAGACCAAAAGTAGATAAAACCACAAAGACGGGGAAAAAACAAAACAGAAAAACTGGAAACTCTAAAACGCAGAGTGCCTCTCCTCCTCCAAAGGAACGCAGTTCCTCACCAGCAACGGAACAAAGCTGGATGGAGAATGACTTTGACAAATTGAGAGAAGAAGGCTTCAGACGATCAAACTACTCCGAGCTACAGGAGGAAATTCAAACCAAAGGCAAAGAAGTTGAACACTTTGAAAAAAATATAGAAGAATGTATAACTAGAATAACCAATACAGAGAAGTGCTTAAAGGAGCTGATGAAGCTGAAAACCAAGGCTCGAGAACTACGTGAAGAATGCAGAAGCCTCAGGAGCTGATGCGATCAACTGGAAGAAAGGGTATCAGCAATGGAAGATGAAATGAATGGAATGAAGCGAGAAGGGAAGTTTAGAGAAAAAAGAATACAAAGAAATAAGCAAAGCCTCCAAGAAATATGGGACTATGTGAAAAAACCAAATCTACATCTGATTGGTGTACCAGAAAGTGATGGGGAGAATGGAACCAAGCTGGAAAACACTCTGCAGGATATTATCCAGGAGAACTTCCCCAATCTAGCAAGGCAGGCCAACATTCAGATTCAGGAAATACAGAGAACGCCACAAAGATACTCCTCGAGAAGAGCAACTCCAAGACACATAATTGTCAGATTCACCAAAGTTGAAATGAAGGAAAAAATGTTAAGGGCAGCCAGAGAGAAAGGTCAGGTTACCCACAAAGGGAAGCCCATCAGACTAACAGCGGATCTCTCAGCAGAAACCCTACAAGCCAGAAGAGAGTGGGGGCCAATATTCAACATTCTTAAAGAAAAGAATTGTCAACCCAGAATTTCATATCTAGCCAAACTAAGCTTCATAAGTGAAGGAGAAATAAAATACTTTACAGACAAGCAAATGCTGAGAGATTTTGTCACCACCAGGCCTGACCTAAAAGAGCTCCTGAAGGAAGCGCTAAACATGGAAAGGAACAACCAGTACCAGCCACTGCAAAATCATGCCAAAATGTAAAGACCATCGAGACTAGGAAGAAACTGCATCAACTAACGAGCAAAATAACCAGCTAACATCATAATGACAGGATCAAATTCACACATAACAATATTAACTTTAAATGTAAATGGACTAAATGCTCCAATTAAAAGACACAGACTGGCAAATTGGATAAAGAGTCAAGACCCATCAGTGTGCTGTATTCAGGAAACCCATCTCACGTGCAGAGACACACATAGGCTCAAAATAAAAGGATGGAGGAAGATCTACCAAGCAAATGGAAAACAAAAAAAGGCAGGGGTTGCAATCCTAGTCTCTGATAAAACAGACTTTAAACCAACAAACATCAAAAGAGACAAAGAAGGCCATTACATAATGGTAAAGGGATCAATTCAACAAGAAGAGCTAACTATCCTAAATATATATGCACCCAATACAGGAGCACCCAGATTCATAAAGCAAGTCCTGAGTGACCTACAAAGAGACGTAGACTCCCACACATTAATAATGGTAGACTTTAACACCCCACTGTCAACATTAGACAGATCAATGAGACAGAAAGTCAACAAGGATACCCAGGAATTGAACTAAGCTCTCCACCAAGTGGACCTAATAGACATCTACAGAACTCTCCACCCCAAATCAACAGAATATACATTTTTTTCAGCACCACCACACCTATTCCAAAATTGACCACATACTTGGAAGTAAAGCTCTCCTCAGCAAATGTAAAAGAACAGAAATTATAACAAACTATCTCTCAGACCACAGTGCAATCAAACTAGAACTCAGGATTAAGAATCTCACTCAAAGCCGCTCAACTACATGGAAACTGAACAACCTGCTCCTGAATGACTACTGGGTACATAACGAAATGAAGGCAGAAATAAAGATGTTCTTTGAAACCAACGAGAACAAAGACACAACATACCAGAATCTCTGGGACACATTCAAAGCAGTGTGTAGAGGGAAATTTATAGCACTAAATGCCCACAAGAGAAAGCAGGAAAGATCCAAAATTGACACCCTAACATCACAATTAAAAGAACTAGAAAAGCAAAAGCAAACACATTCAAAAGCTAGCAGAAGGCAAGAAATAACTAAAATCAGAGCAGAACTGAAGGAAATAGAGACACAAAAAACCCTTCAAAAAATCAAGGAATCCAGGAACTGGTTTTTTGAAAGGATCAACAAAATTGATAGACTGCTAGCAAAACTAATAAAGAAAAAAAGAGAGAAGAATCAAATAGACACAATAAAAAATGATAAAGGGGGTATCACCACAGATCCCACAGAAATACAAACTACCATCAGAGAATACTACAAACACCTCTACGGAAATAAACTAGAAAATCTAGAAGAAATGGATAAATTCCTCAACACATACACTCTCCCGAGACTAAACCAGGAAGAAGTTGAATCTCTGAATAGACCAATAACAGGATCTGAAATTGTGGCAATAATCAATAGTTTACCAACCAAAAAGATTCCAGGACCAGATGGATTCACAGCCGAATTCTACCAGAGGTACAAGGAGGAACTGGTACCATTCCTTCTGAAACTACTCCAATCAATAGAAAAAGAGGGAATCCTCCCTAACTCATTTTATGAGGCCAGCATCATTCTGATACCAAAGCCGGGCAGAGACACAACCAAAAAAGAGAATTTTATACCAATATCCTTGATGAACATTGATGCAAAAATCCTCAATAAAATACTAGCAAAACGAATCCAGCAGCACATCAACAAGCTTATCCACCATGATCAAGTGGGCTTCATCCCTGGGATGCAAGGCTGGTTCGATATACGCAAATCAATAAATGTAATCCAGCATATAAACAGAGCCAAAGACAAAAACCACATGATTATGTCAATAGATGGAGAAAAAGCCTTTGACAAAATTCAACAACCCTTCATGCTAAAAACTCTCAATAAATTAGGTATTGATGGGACATATTTCAAAATAATAAGAGCTATCTATGACAAACCCACAGCCAATATCATACTGAATGGGCAAAAACTGGAAGCATTCCCTTTGAAAACTGGCACAAGACAGGGATGCCCTCTCTCACCACTCCTGTTCAATATAGTGTTGGAAGTTCTGGCCAGGGCAATTAGGCAGGAGAAGGAAATAAAGGGTATTCAATTAGGAAAAGAGGAAGTCAAATTGTCCCTGTTTGCAGATGACATGATTGTATATCTAGAAAACCCCACTGTCTCAGCCCAAAATCTCCTTAAGCTGATAAGCAACTTCAGCAAAGTCTCAGGATACAAAATCAATGTGCAAAAATCACAAGCATTCTTATACACCAACAACAGACAAAGAGAGAGCCAAATCATGAGTGAACTCCCATTCACAACTGCTTCAAAGAGAACAAAATACTTAGGAATCCAACTTACAAGGGATGTGAAGGACCTCTTCAAGGCGAACTACAAACCACTGCTCAAGGAAATAAAAGAGGATACAAACAAATGGAAGAACATTCCATGCTCATGGGTAGGAAGAATCAATATCGTGAAAATGGCCATACTGCCCAAGGTAATTTATAGATTCAGTGCCATCCCCATCAAGCTACCAATGACTTTCTTCACAGAATTGGAAAAAACTACTTTAAAGTTCATATGGAACCAAAAAAGAGCCCGCATCGCCAAGTCAACCCTAAGCCAAAAGAACAAAGCTGGAGGCGTCACACTACCTGACTTCAAACTATACTACAAGGCTACAGTAACCAAAACAGCATGGTACTGGTACCAAAACAGAGATATAGATCAATGGAACAGAACAGAGGCCTCAGAAGTAATGCCACATATCTACAACCATCTGATCTTTGACAAACCTGAGAAAAACAAGCAATGGGGAAAGGATTCCCTATTTAATAAGTGGTGCTGGGAAAACTGGCTAGCCATATGTAGAAAGCTGAAACTGGATCCCTTCCTTACACCTTATACAAAAATCAATTCAAGATGGATTAAAGATTTAAACGTTAGACCTAAAACCATAAAAACCCTAGAAGAAAACCTAGGCATTGCCATTCAGGACATAGGCATGGGCAAGGACTTCATGTCTAAAACACCAAAAGCAATGGCAACAAAAGACAAAATTGACAAATGGGATCTAATGAAACTAAAGAGCTTCTGCACAGCAAAAGAAACTACCATCAGAGTAAACAGGCAACCTACAAAATGGGAGAAAATTTTTGCAACCTACTCACCTGACAAAGGGCTAATATCCAGAATCTACAATGAACTCAAACAAATTTACAACAGAAAAACAAACAACCCCATCAAAAAGTGGGTGAAGGACATGAACAGACGCTTCTCAAAAGAAGACATTTATGCAGCCAAAAAACACATGAAAAAATGCTCATCATCACTGGCCATCAGAGAAATGCAAATCAAAACCACAATGAGATACCATCTCACACCAGTTAGAATGGCAATCATTAAAAAGTCAGGAAACAACAGGTGCTGGAGAGGATGTGGAGAAATAGGAACACTTTTACACTGTTGGTGGGACTGTAAACTAGTTCAACCATTGTGGAAGTCAGTGTGGCGATTCCTCAGGGATCTAGAACTAGAAATACCATTTGACCCAGCCATCCCATTACTGGGTATATACCCAAAGGACTATAAATCATGCTGCTATAAAGACACATGCACACGTATGTTTATTGCGGCATTATTCACAATAGCAAAGACTTGGAACCAACCCAAATGTCCAACAATGATAGACTGGATTAAGAAAATGTGGCACATATACACCATGGAATACTATGCAGCCATAAAAAATGATGAGTTCATGTCCTTTGCAGGGACATGGATGAAATTGGAAATCATCATTCTCAGTAAACTATCGCAAGAACAAAAAACCAAACACCGCATATTCTCAGTAATAGGTGGGAATTTAACAATGAGATCACATGGACACAGGAAGCGGAATATCACACTCTGGGGACTGTGGTGGGGTGGGGGGAGGGGGGAGGGATAGCATTGGGAGATATACCTAATGCTAGATGACGAGTTAGTGGGTGCAGTGCACCAGCATGGCACATGTATACATATGTAACTAACCTGCACAATGTGCACATGTACCCTAAAACTTAAAGTATAATAAAAAAAAAAGAAAGTACTACAGTTTGCTTAACCACTCACCTATTGTAGGACATTTTGTTTGTTTCCAGTGTTGGGCTATTAAAAATAAAGCTGCTAGGAACAATTATGTACAGGCTTTGTGTAGATAAAGTTTTCACATTCCAAAGTTTATCTGGAATAAGTGTCCAGGAGAGTGTTTCTGGGTCACATGGTAAATGTATGTTTAGTTTTAAAGAAACCACTAAACTATTTTCCAGAGTGACTCTAGCATTTTAACCTCCAGCATTGCATGGTAATTCCATTTTTTTGCATCCTCACCAGCATTTGACATTGATATGGTTTGACTGTGTCCCACCCCAAATCTCATCTTGAATTGTAGTTCCCATAATTCCGTGTTGTAGGAGGGACCAGGTGGAAATAATCGAATCACAGGGGCGGTTCCCCCAATGTGTTCTCATGATAATGAGTGAGTTCTCACAAGATCTGATGGTTTTGTCAGGGGCTTCCCCCTTTGCTGAGCACATATTCTTCTCCTCGATGCCACCATGTGAAGAAGGACATGTTTGCTTCCCCTTCAGCCATGATTGGAAGTTTCCTGAGGCCTCCCCAGTCATGTTGAACTGTGAATCAATTAAACTTCTTTCCTTTATAAATTGCCCAGTCTCAGGTATGTCTTTATTAGCAGTGTGAGAACAGACTAATACAGGCATTATCACTATTTTTATTTTAGCTGTTCTAATAGGTGTGTGGTGCTATCTCATCATGGCATTCATTTGCATTTCCCCAGTAGCTAGGGATGCTGAACATCTTTTCATGAGCTTATTTGCCATCCAAATATCATTTACAATAAGATATCTCTTTTGCCCATTCCCTCATTGGATTTTTGTTTTTTTAAAAAAATGTTGAGTTTGGAGTTCTTTAATCTAGGTACGTGTTTTGCAAACATTTTCTCCTAGTCTATAGCTTCTTTTCATCCTTCTAACACAGTTCTTCATAGAACAAACATTTTAAATTTGGATGAAGTCCAATTTATTGACTTTTTTTCTTTTATAGATCATGCTGTTGATATCATGTTTAGGAACTCTTCAACAGTCCATAGGTATTGAAGATTTTCTGGTATGTTTTCTTTTACAAGTTTTCTAGTTTTATGTTTTATTTTAAGTGTATGATCTATTTTGAGTTGCTTTTTAAGTTGTGGGGTGATGAATATGTGACTGTTTTCAAGTTCTCTGTTCTGTCCTATGTATCACTCTCTTTGCTAATTCCACACAGTCTTGACTACGATAGCTATACTAATTTTGAAATTAGGTTCAGTGATTTCTCCTACTTTATTTTTCCTTTTTGAAATTATTTTAGACATTCTAGTTGCCTTACTTTTGCATATAAATTTTAGAATAATCTTATATATGTCTCCAAAATTCTTGTTGGAATTTTTATAAGAATTTCATTAAACTTGAATCTGAATATCATTTTGGGGAGAACTGACATCTTTACTAAGTTGACTCTTCCAATCCACAAACACAAATCCAATCCACATTTCTCTACTATGTAGATACTCTTTGATTACTTCTATTGGCATTTTGTAGTTTTCAGCATATAAATCCCATAAATGTTTCATTAGATATACACACATGTATTCCATGTTTTTGAGATTGTAAATGATATTGTATAATTAATTTTTATATTCATGTGTACATTGCTAGTATATAAAAGTGTAATTGATTTTGATATGTTTATCTTACATCCTGCAACCTAACTAAACTCATTTATTAGTTCTAAGAGGTTTTTTCTTTATAGATTCCATTGAATTTTTCTAGTAGACAATCGTGTTGCCTGCAAATAGGAATGGTTTTATTTCTTCCTTTTTCCTTTCTGATTTGTATGGATTTTATTTCCTCTTCTCTATTGCATGTCAAACTTTCAGTACTATATTGAATAGGAGTGGTGAGAGCAGTCATCCTTACCTGATCTTATGGAGAAAGAATTCAATCTTTTACTATTAAGTACAATGTTAGCTATAGGCGTTTTCATAGATACTCTTTATCAATTTGAGGGAGATTCCTTCTATTCTTATTTCTCTAAGTTTTTGCCATGAATGTTGTTTCATTTTGTCAAATGGGTTTCTGTACATCAATTAGTATGATTGTGATTTTTTCTTTAGACTGTTTATATAGTGAATTACATTGAGGATTTTCAAATATTGAACCATTCTTTTATCCCTAGAATAAATATATGGTTATGGCATATAATTACCTTTATATATTACTGAACACTATTTATCAATATTTTTAGGATTCTCACATCTATCTTTATAAGAGTAGTTAGTCTCTAGTTTTCTTTTATTGTGCTTTTTCTAGTTTTGGTATCAAAATAATTTCAGCTTCATAAAATGAATTGGGAAATATTTCCTCATCTTTTATTTTCTAGAAGAGGTTGTAGAGAATTGGTATTAATTATTCTTTAAATGTCTTATGGAATTTTCTAGAGAAACCATCTGGACCTGGAACTTTCTGTTTTGGGAGTTTCTAAATTACTAATTCAATTTCCTCAGTTACAAGACTATCAAAATTATCTATTTTATATTGTATGAATTGTGGTAGTTTGTGCTTTCTGGAAAATTGCTTAATTTCATATAAGTTGTCAAATGTGTAGAGTTATTTGTAGAATGTCCTTATTATTCTCTTTGATGTCTGCAGGTCTGTAGTGATGTCCCCTTTGTAATTCCAGATATTGGCAATATATATCTTCTTTTTTCTTTGTCAGTGTTGCTGAAGGTTTATCAATTTTCTTTTCAAAGAACTAGCCTGTTTATTTTCTTGTTTTTCTCCTTGTAGTTTTATTAATTTCTGCTTTTATCTTTATTATATCCTTTCTTATGCTTGCTTTGGGTATATTTGGCTCTTTTTCTAGTTTCTTAAAAAACTAGTTTCTTCAGATAGGAGCTCAGATTATCAATTTGAGACTTTCCTCTTTTCAAATGTAAGCATTATATTAGTGCTATAAATTTTCCTCTCAGAACTGCTTTAGCTGAGTCACATAAATTTTGATGTTGTATTTTCATTTTCATTCACTTTAACGTATTTTTTTATTTCTTTGAAACTTTCTTTTTGACCTACAGATTCTATTTGAAAGTTTGTTGTTTATTTCCAACTGTTTGGAGATTTTCCTGCCATCTTTCTGTTGGGGATATCTATCTTGATTTGATTATAGCCAGAGAATACACTTTGTATAATTTCAATTCTTTTAAATTTGTTGAGGTTTGTTTTATGGTTTATGGTATATTTTGGTATACATTTTGTTAGTCAATTCTTCTGTTGTTGGGTGGATTGTATAAATATAAATTAGATCTAGTTGATTGATAATGTTATGGTCTTCTCTATGTTTGCTGGTTTTCTGTCTAGTTGTTCTATCAGTTATTGAGAGAAGTGTGTTGAGGTTTTTAACTCTTATTATGAATTTGCCTATTTCTTTTTTCAGTTCTATCAGTTTTGTTTCACATACTTTGCAGTTCACTTTTTTGGGTATATATTTAGGGTTTGCATGCAAAATATGTATGTTTGCTATGTTGTTTTGGTAGATTGGCCCTTTTATCATTATATAATATCTCTCTCTGTCCTTGGTAATTTTCTTTTCTCTAAAGTCTCCTTTAACATTCATATAGCTATTCCTGCTTTTTAAAAAATTAATATTTACATTAAAACATTTTTTCATTCTGTAATTTTTACCCTCCTATATTGTTATATCTGACAGGAATTTCCTATAAACAGCATATAGTTGGGGTTTTTTAAAAATCCATCATGTCAAAAAAAAAATCCATTATGTCAATCATCTTTCATTTGTATATTTTCGCCACTTGTAGTCAATGTAATTGTTGATATACTTGGGCTAATATCTGCCATTTTTGTTGTTTCCTGTTTGTTCTCTACTTTTTTTCCTTTATTTTGATTTTCTAGACTTATTGTGGGTATTTAGGACTTTTTAAGAATTCCATTTTTATTTATCTATAGTGTTTTTAGGTATATCTCTTTATCTCACTTTTTCAATGGTTGCTCTCCTTATTATAATAAATATACACAACTTACCAGAGTGTATTGGTAGAATTCTTACCTCCCTTTACATTCCTTTACTTTTCCTCATCTATAAAATAATTTTCTTAAATATTTATCTACGTACATCAAGAACTACATCGGATAGTGTTATTTTTTGCTTTAACCATGAAATATAATTTAGAAAACTTAAGAGGAGAAGTAAACTTTATTGTACTTACCCCATTTTTATTCTTTGCATTACTCTTTTCTCTTCTTTTTTTTTTGAGATGGAGTCTCGACTTGTCACCCAGGTTAGTGTGCAGTGGCAGGATCTCGGCTCACTGCAACCTCTGCCTCCTGAGTTCAAGTGATTCTCCTGCCTCAGCCGCCCAAGTAGCTGGGGTTACTGGCATTCACCACCATACCCAGCTAAGTTTTGTATTTTTAGTAGAGATGGGGTTTCACCATATTGGCCAGGCTGGTCTCGAACTCCTGACCTCAAGTGATCCACCCACCTCAGCCTCCCAAAGTGCTGGGATTACAGGCGTGAGCCATCACACCCACTACATTCTTTTCTCTTGATAACACATGTTAGGTAGTTTTCATATTCCCATAGATCCGTGCCCTCTTTTTTTTCTTCAGCCTATTTGATCTATTGCTAAGATAGGGTAATTTCTACTATTCTACTTATAAGTTCACTGATTCTTTCCTCTGTCCACTCCATTCTCATGTTAGCCCATCCACTGAGTTTTTTTTTTTTTTTTTTTAACTTCATTTTCCTAGAAATTGGAAAAAATAATGAAGTAAGAAAAGAATGCAAAAAGGAAGCCAATACGTTTTTTGAAGTAGTAAAAAGAAACTTCTTTCTGCTTCCTAAGAAATGAATACACTCATGGGTTGGCCAGGGGTCCAGTGACCACGCAGGCTGATGTGACTCATATTTGGACTGGTCCTGCTCCTTTCAACAGCCCTCTGTTAGAACATGCCCTAGAGTTCCTCTACAGAGCAATGTGGCTGCTCTGGGCAAGGCTGCCTCCAGGTGACTGGACCGACAGCCAAGGCAGGAACAAGCAGTGTTGCAGCATTAAGCTGTAGCTTATCAGAGTGCTGCAGAGCTTTCCTCCTCTGGCCTTTTCAACGCCAGCCCTACTCATCTTACTGTCAACCTTCAGCTCCCTCAAATCCCGGACTGATGCCATGGCTTTTTTTACTTTTCTCTCCCCCAGCATGTGCTTCCTCCTAATTTCTGCTTGCTTACCTGGCCTCTGACCCATTTTTGCTTGCATTATGACATTGTGCACATGTGTGGATTCCCTGACCCAGCTCTTCAGCAGGGGCCCCTGACCTAACTAAATACCACCTAGACATTCTAATGGTTTCACTTTCACCAACAACTGTGTTGCTCTCCAAGGCTAACGGAATAGAGACCTTTCTTTCTTCTCTGCAAGGCAGGGGTGGAGAAGATCGATTTTAAAGGCTTACAGCCTCTACTCTCCAGGACATATTTCTGTGAGGTCACCAGCTGCTGCTTATGCGTGCTCCTTCCATCCCAAGCCCAGCACGTGGAGGCAGGAAAAGAAATGAGTGGGCAGACAAATTAACACTGAAAGGCTTGATAAATACTAACAGCAAATACTAAAAATAACTAGACAGCAGTGGTTTACTTTTAGGAATTTTTTTTTTTTTTTTTTGAGATGGAGTCTCACTCTATCACCAGGCTGGAGTGCAGTGGCGTGATCTCAGCTCACTGCAACCTCCGCCTCTCGGGTTCAAGTGATTCTCCTGCCTCAGCCTCCCGAGTAGCTGGGACTGCAAGTGTGTGCCACCATGCCCAGCTAATTTTTGTATTTTTAGTAGAGATGGAGTTTCACCGTGTTGGCCAGGATGGTCTCGATGTCTTGATCTCATGATCCGCCCACCTCAGCCTCCCAAAGTGCTGGGGATTACAGGCTTGAGCCACCACACCCAGGCTATGTTTAGGAATTTCATCTGTGCTTTTGTGTTGGGGCGAGAGCGAGGGAGAGAATGAGGACTGTAGAGAAGTTGGAAATGTTGCTGTTCTCTGGAGGTGGAGCCACTGAAGAGCTTCCCTGGGTAGACAGCACTCCTCCACCTCCTCCCTGAAATACCTCTCTCAGCCTTCCCAGGCTTCCTCAGTTCTACAAATGGCTCCTTCCTGTGCCACAAAGGCATCCCTGCTCTTACCAGCAGAGAGGAAAAGTGGCTAAGAGATTGTGGCTGTTTTCTTCCTCAGTCTCATCCTCTCCCATTTGCAGGAGAGCCTGGCTGCCTTTTGACCTCAGCTTCTAAAAGACAGAAGGGTGCCTGGGGTTAGTGTGTGTCTCCTGTATATCTGTGAGTCCCTGGTATGCTGGGTGTGACATGGCAAAGCCATTAACCCCACATGACACAATCTGCAGACACAGACTCCAGACTAGGAATCCCACACATTCCCCAAAATGCCCACTCCTGCGCTCCTGTAGGACTAGGGATGAGCATAAATGGCCCTGATCCTTTTAAGACCAGGGTCTCCTGGTTGAATAAAATGGAGGACAGTAAGCCTGTTCAGTTCTGTTTCTGTTATTTTCCCTTCCCTGGTGAGTAATTCAGCTATGCTGTGAATCGATAGGGATCTCTGGAGCTGGAAGAAGACACAAGAGGAGGGAAATAAATTGCTCCCAGTTGGATGAATTATAAGCACCTTTGAGTTCTTCATCAAATCTGTCCTGTGCAATCAGCAAAGAAGGAGTATTTTCAGCCTGAGTTCCCCCGCCCCCGCTCCCCTAATCCCTCCTTTATATCATGCACTCTCATAGCACAGTCTGAAAGCAAAAAGAAATAAAAGGTCTTCCTTCCCTACTCTCAAAATCACCACATCTTTTCCCATCTCCCCACTTCCTTCCTTTATGACTCCAATAAAGAGGGAGCATCCTTCATGGAAAGGTTAATCCCTCCGTTTATATCCTGGTCTCCCCTCCAGCATCATCCACATCTCACTCCATCCCTTCACCACCACCCCTCTTACATCTTCAGGATACCATCTCCTGGGCTCCTTCCCCAAGGCTGGAAAACAGCCTCCACCTCTGTGATTCTATAAGCCTTCCTTCTATTTTATTACCCTTTACAATTCTATCTCTCTCCTCTTCTCCATCATGCATCCCAAAAGAAGGGTCTGATTATTTTCATCACTCTTCCTATATTTACTCCAACTATTGCAGCCAGACCTCTCTCTGCTTCCTGCAAGGTGCCTACTGATTTCCAGGTTGCCAAACGCAATGGCTTTGAGCTTTCTGTTCTACCCTTCTGAAACCCACTCTGCCCTTTGATTCTGTGGTAGTGCAACATCCTGGTGCTCCTGGGACCAGGATGGTCTATCTGTCCATTCCTAGACCCTTCCAGTTTCCTCCTCTTTTGCCCATCCCATAAATGAGAGTAATCCCCACAATCAAAGGTGGCCACATTTAGCAAAAAAAGACAGAAAGCCCAATTAAATTTAAATTTCAGATCAATAGTTTTTATATTGCATGGAACATTCTTACACTAAAATTTTATTCTTTGTTGATCTGAAATTCAGTGTTAACTGAGCTTCCTATTTTTTAATCTGACAATCCTACCACAGTTGTTTCTTCAGAGCTCCTCTCCATTCTCTAACTTCTTCCCTTGTTGATGTTTTCTATGCCCATGGCTTCTATGATTATCTTTTCTCAGATAATTCCCAAATCTTTATTTCTAGCACCAATCTCTCTCCTCTCCTCTCTCTCTCTCTCTCTCTCTCTCTGGTGTATTTCTCTTTTCCCTGGGGGTATTTTTTTGACCCCCTACTTGCTTTTCTTCCCTTCTGGACTCTCTATTTCTTCCCTTCTCCAGCCTCCCAATCACTTCAACTCCAAAGTCAGGAGGCCGACCTCAGCAAGTGGCTGAGCACTTGTTGGTTTTACCCTAACCAACATTCTCTCAGATATGTCTTTCCTTCCATTTCCATAGATGCCACTGACTTGAGATCTTTGTCATTTCTGTATGTCTACAAACCATCCCACACTATTTAAATTGCCTTCTGACTAGTCCCCCAACTTCTACTTACATCCACCCTCTACCCCTCCACACACCACTCAATTAACATCCTAATTAAAGTGCAGATGTGGCCATGCCACTCCCTCGATAAAGGAAGCTTCTGACTGGCTACTGGTTAAAGTCGAAGCTCCCTAACCAGCATCCAGAACCTTCAATGAGCTTTCTTTCTCCAATTCTTTCCCTGTGGTCTCCTCTATGCACCCCAAATTCAAGGAGCATCAGAATATGATTCCAGGCCTCCCTATCTCTATTTGCTGACACTCAGACTTAGATGTAGACTACTTTGAAGGAGATTCATACAGTTTCTGCATAAATAGATGCTCCATAAATGCTTGCTGAATTAGTGAAGTAAGTCAATTTGAAATTGACCACATTAACAGAATGAAGTAATTAAATCCATGAATCATTTATGTGATTCATTTATGCAAATGAATGCAGTTTTTCACAAACTCATTGTTTGCTTACCATCAATTATGGGTGATGTCAAGTTCATGTAAGTATGTAATATGTCTATGATGTCAAATCACAGCTGGGCCCTGATGGAACTCCACAGGGCAGGGACAGACACAGACCACACCTGCTGCTTCTCTCGATTTACTTTTTGAACTCTAATCCCTTCCCCATTTCCCTCACTTCTTACAGATGATTCTTTGTAAACATCCTTGAATTTTCTGATATATAGTCTCCAAACAACTGGAAGTTCGAAATCACTGCCAAAACCACATTCTGATCCAAGAACATCTGAGTGCTTTAATAACCTAAATCAGAAGCCTGCAACCTCTTCCTGCAACACGCCACATGGTAAATATTTTTGGCTTTGCATACCGTTCGGTCTCCAGTTGCAATGATGACTCAACTTTGCCATTGAGGCACAGAAACGGCCATGGTTGACACAAAAACAAATGGGTGGGCCTGTGTGCCTATAAAACTTTACCTGCAAAGCAGCCAGCCAGGATGCCAGCCACCGTTTGCTGACCCCAGCCTAAACCAAGTTTCTAATGAATGATTTACTTTGTGTTCCTTCCAAACTATACCTTTCATTGCAGTCACTTGATTGGGAAAAACATCAGAATTTCAGTTGGTATAGTCTTTTCATGAGATCATAGTTAAACTAACTCAGGACTACAGAGTGGGTCAAGAGAAAATAAGGAGTGAATATTTGAAGGCCGCTTTGGGACTTTCCTCCCAGCCTGGTGGACATCACCCCAGAGCAAGGGCATGGAGAGGCCAGATAGGTGAGCAGCCCACTTTTAGGCGCAAGATTTAAGGTGGTGCCACAAAAGCATAAATCTACATAAGTAATATTTTAATGCAATGTTTTAAAGAAAATCAGAATGAATGAAGACATTCATGATGAATAAAATATCAACATTTTTAATTAAGACAGATTCGCTATTACTGATTTTTTCTCTTGCCCTGGGTTCCAGTGTGACTCTGCACAGCAATGTTATTGATCCTATTTTTATTTAAAATGTTGATCTTTGTCCATCATGGATGTTTTGCATTTGATTTTTGAAAAACATTGCGCTAAGTGCTATTTATTTTGATTATGGAGTTTTTGGCAACTTCTAATTTTGCACAAAAGCAAATGTCCTACTCACCTTCTCTAGTCTCAGCCCTGCAACAACCTCATCATCATCGTCAACATCTATGCCCATTATGGAGAATTACATGCAGCTATTTAATGTTCCCTTTGGACTAAATCTTTCCTCTTGGCTACTTTAATGCCATTTTCACTTACTTAGATCCACCCTATAAGCAGGTAAATTTGAAACATGTAGAAACTCTTGTGCCATACTCTCTAGAGCCACTTCTTAAAGGATATGTTAAAGAGAGAAATAATATGTTAAATGGAGACAATAAAATAAGAGGTTTATTAAATTTTATTATTTTATTTTATTAAATAATTTAATAAATTTTATTATTGTATTAAATATTTTATTAATTTCTTATTTAATAAAATAGTGGCACTTAGTATATTTTATTAAATTCCTACTAAGTGCCTAGTGGCTAAAGAACTTTGTATCCCTCATTTCATTTAATTATGACAACCCGCAGAGGGGACGGGACAGGAGGCAATATATCATTATTTCCAACCCAGTGCTAGGGAGAAGATAGCAAGTGCTCCACTTTGGAAAGAAACTACATTTCATGCTTCTCCAGGCAACTTCCAAGGAGTCATCAACCCATTTGAGAAGCATGTCTGGTATTACATTTCTGTAACAAGATGCACAGCAGGCACTTTCAAGCATTTAAAATACTTGAATGTGTAAAGTTTCACAGTTGGTCATAAGTTCATAATAGCTACGTGCCTCTTTTATTGGGGAGATGCCATGCCATGCTGGGATTCCACAAGGGAGTAGGGCTCCCCCCATTCTTTAAAATAGAGCAGCTCAAAAAACTCCTCTGGCAATTTTAACTACACAAGAATAGAAAACACCCAGGCAGAGTGTGAGAGATCAATCTTGTAAACAGCAGGATAAGCAAGGTGTAAACAAGAATGGAAAGAAAATATACAGCCTTTTAAAAAATCATTGCTTTTGACAAGGACAATAAGATAGGAATAAATTCAGCCCCGAATAGCATGGAAAAACAAAAGCTCAGAGAAGTGTTAAATCACATGCCAGGTGGCTGCAGGAATTCGCAATAATCCATTCCAATCTGCCAACCCGTCCCTTTTGGCATCCGGCTTGATTTTACACAGGCTCTTCTTCCAGTTTTATGTGCTTGGGAGTTTGTGGGGAGGGTGTTGTTTGGTTTTTTTCTCGTCAAGCAGCAAACCCAGCATTTTCAAGGCTGTTGCAACTTTCCTAAGTCACATATTTTTTCTCCTCTGACCCCACAAACAATGTTGTTTTGGAGAACCACAAACCACAATATTTCCATCTTTCATTTCACGGAACCATGTTCTTGCATGCAGTAAAAATATGTTCACATCCTTGTACTAAGTCTTAGTAAATGCATCATATGATCACGGGTGTTATTAGAAGACTTCATGCAATAAAACTCCTGCATCTTCTACCCTTTCAATAATTCTACCAAATATTAAGCACTGAGCATGTACTCATACTCATGACCTGAAGATAACAGGAATGAACTGTCAGATCCCTGCTTTGAGGACCACATAGTCCAATGGAGGAGAGAGACTTAGAAATAAACAGCTACAATAAGGGAGGAAGCTACCTTTATCCCTCAAGCTGTAAAGTGATAATGTGCATGGGTTTATTAAACAAAAATTTAGGGAAGGTCATTATTTTGGATTAGGCTCCTGCACTAGGCCCCAACAGACCAGACCAAATCAAAATGGAGTCACTTGTGCTAAGTGCCACATCATCACACTGAACTTTGAAATGGGCCAGTTTTCCAAAAATCAAGAGATTCATAGCAACCAATCAGAAGAGGCCCAGTTTACCTGAGCCAACATAATAAAGAAGTCCCCTCTGTTTTAACTCTATAAGGAAAGTGATCTTTTTCAAGGTGGTCTTTGAAATGACTGATCTGCTTTTTGTTCCCTGTTTCTGCTTTCTTCAGCCTTTTACTGCCTATAAGCCCCCTCTTGTTGAGCCCATCAGAGCACCCATTCTATTTTATAGAATGAGATGGTGCCTGAGTCTAAAATTACAAATAAAAGCCAATTCAATTTTTCGACCACATTTGTTGTAATTTTGTCTTTTGACAGGTTCCACTCATACTTTTCAGCACTCCTCAGCAGGTTGCTTCCAAGAATTGATCAAAGGATGAAGTATCCACCCTGTGCAGGTACAGATATTGGACAACACTCAGTGCTTCCCATGAAGCAAAGAAATGCCCTCCTGTGAAGCCCTTCAGCCTCCTCCACCTTCATCACTGCCTTGCTCCACACTCCTGTTCTCAGCCTCAGACTTCCACACTGCCTTCTTCAAGCTTACTGATGGCGCAAGTGTCATGCTATTTACTATATGCCAAGAATTGCATAAATTATCTCATATACTATCTCATATAATTATCTCATTGAATTTTCATAACCACCTCAGAATAGGCTTTGTTATCCCAGTGTTATTAATAAAGAAAATGAGCCTCTGAAATTTTCAGAAACTTCTGAAAAGTTCAGAAACTTGCCCAAGGCTAAACAGCTAGTATAGAGAAACTGAGGTGAGAACCCAGGATTATGTGATTAGAACACCTCTTAAACAGTACATTCATCTTTCTCCATGGGCATGTTTAATGTAACGCCCCTTAAGGTTATTTACACCTTAAGAACAGAGATTGACATTTCCGTTTTTTAATAGTTCCTAGACAGGGTAGACCCATAGCAAGCAACGTATGCATCTACCTATGTGATGTGATTTAAGGGAGGCTGGACAAGGATGGGTTAAAAATGTCTCCACTATTGCCTATCATGGTGCCTAGAATTTCACCATTGGGAGTGCATTATTTTGGGTGTGAAGTCTTTCTAGTCTTCAGGATCGCTCTCTTAGAACATGATTGCCCTAGGAGGGGCAATCCTACACTGAGACCTCAGTGAGGATAAAGATGTCAGAGAATGAGACACAGGAGAAATGCCCAGAAAGGAGCTAGGGACCTCTGAGATGGGAAAAGTGGTCCCAAGAAGAGGATGGGAGGTTCTAGGACAGGTGTGGAAGTTTTGTTTTGCTGGCCCCATCTCTGTGGCCCTGAGCACTGGGCAGGGCAAATGGAAGGTATGTAAGTTTTTATTTGACTTGAGGAAACAGTGTTTTGATCCGACATGAGAGGAGGAGGTATGAGGGATGGTGGCAGGTGGGCATTGAGTGCTGAGGTCGCCAGAAAAGGAGAGCTCAGAATGAGAGGAGGTAATTTTGGGGACACAGGGCCCCAAGAATAGTACCAAATAAAGAGAAATAACAAATGAGTTGGTGAATGTCTGTCTTCCCAGACTGCCACAGCCACGTGCTACCTAGGTACTCCCTAATAAGGAAATCCAATGTGGATTTAATCACCGTAATACAGAAAGGATGTTAGGATGATCTAGAAACAAAATGGAAAGACAGATATAATGTACAAAGATACTATTTATAAAATGCATTACTTCAAAATAAACCCAGCTCTTTTGACAAAAAGATCTAGTGGTTGTTCTATTCCCATAATAAATAGATCCAGAATTTTGGTAAAAGGTGAGTGTACCAGATTTCTATATTAAGGTACATGGCAAATATATCTGATAAAACCACTAGGCAAACCTAAATCCCTGGTGAAGCTCAGTTAAAACCATGAGAAAGAGCTCTGAAGACCACCACAGGGCAACGACCCTGAGAAATCCTAAGACTTTCCTAAGAATTTAGCCCTGATCAACAATCACTTTGCTCTATGACCTTCCAGCTAAAGATAAATGCACTTGCTCTGAGCTTTCACTGAATGCCTCCTTCACAAACAGGAAAGGTTACTTCTATTTACTCTAATCTACTTCCTATTTTCAAAAAAGACCCCTTTATTTAATTCCTACAAAGAAAACAACCCCAAGGAGGAAAGAAGGAAGCAGGTAAGCTCTGACCTTTATCTGCTAAATGAGTTATTTTACCAATAGTACAGGTGATCCTGTTCTCACAATGCTGAATAACAATTCTTTGTACCCCTTGGCATAAGAGGAACCAGTAGCTACAGCCTAAGGCTTATTGTGAATGAGTAGAGAAAAGAAAAATATAGGCATGTAGAGACTTGAAAAAAAAAAGAGGAGAAGGGGGGAGAAGGAGAAGGGGGCCACAGGAAATCCTTCCTCTTATGAATTTCTCTTTTCTTTTTTTTCTTTTCTTTTTTTTTTTTTTGAGACAGAGTCTCACTCTGTCGCCCAGGTTGGAGTGCAATGGCGCGATCTCGGCTCACTGCAACCTCTGCCTCCTGGATTCAAGTGATCCTCCCACTTCAGGCTCCCTAGTACCTGAGACTGCAGGCAGACACCACCATGCCCGGCGAATTTTTGTATTTTCAGTAGAGATGGGGTTTCGCCATGTTGGCCAGGCTGGTCTCGAACTCCTGACCACAAGTGATCTGCCACCTCGGCCTCCCAAAGCGCTGGGATTACAGGTATGAACCACCATGCCCAGCCCCTCTTGTGAGTTTCTTAATTAAATTACTGCAATATATATTTCCTTTTCATTTCATCTTGGCTACTAATGAGCTGCGTTTCCACGAATTACCTGCTTTCTTCATGGTGGCTGCATGTCTGAGACATAAATAGCAAAGGTTTCTGTTTCGGTCCCCTAAGAGGTTTGTAGTAACCTCTGTGGATATTCATAGACACAATGATGACATGATCCAAACCCACAGTTAGACACAAGGTCTAATAAGGGATCTTGTGCTTTATTTCCAGATGCAAGCAGAAACTTTGCAAATACACTTCAGATACCTAAATATAAGGGTTTCTAGACAGTTTAGTGTTATAAAGAACAATCAGGAAAAATATACATTTTTGAGGTCCTAAAAATCTGGGTGGTGATTACAATGCTGGAGCAAAACGGCCATGCCAGTATTTTTGTAATTCATATTTTATAAGAAAAGGATTCAGAACTCATAAAATTAGTGAAAATAAATATTGAATACATTTAAAATATAAAATTTACAAACATCATGTAAAATATAAAAAAACTAAACAGTATCACTGTATTAATAATTATTGGCAGGCAGAATTTTAAAACACAAGCATTAAAAAAACTAAGCCTGAAAAATGAAAAAAAAATTAAGTCATGAAAAGTTGAAAATGAGATCATGTTATTTGAACTTTTATAAAATGAGTTATTAAGGTGTACAGACATTGTTGCTATGGAGTTGAGAACATATTTTTGTGCAAATTTCCTCACTAAAAAAGAGAAAGTATTAGTCAGGGAAATGATGATGTATTTATGAGCAGTCTCCAAATCTTTTTCTCTGACTCCTCCATCTTCAGATAATCCTAATTCTCACTTGATAACTTTGAGGAGTATTTAGGAGTATTTTTTAACAACTTTGTTGGGGGCAAGAGGTGAAACCTATTTATTTACCTCGTGCTATAGTTTGCTTGAAAGCAAGAAGCAAGCATTTCTGATTTGCCTTTACTTTAGTTTGCTCATCTGTGGTGGAATCCCAATGCCCAGCCACTTGCATCTGTTTTGTAATTCTCCTATTGTAGAGGACACACCCTCAGGTGATCCCCACTGAGTCATGTCCTATGTAATCCCCTCCCACAGAGTGCAGGCACGACCTGTGACTTGATTTTCAGCAAACGAAATATGGCAAAGCCAATGCCTTCATTGAATATTTCACTACCTTGATGTCTTAGCAGGCTGCAATGGGAGTTTCTCCTGCAGACGTTGAAGGCATAAGCTGCCATGTTGTGACAAGCCTGTGAGATGCCACATGGGAAGAAGCTGTGGGTGATTCCTAGGACATGAGAGTGACCCAGGTGACTTCCAGAAATAAAGTGGGGACCTCAGTCCTACAATCTCAGCTGGATTCTGCCAACAACTGCATGAGCTTAGAAGAAAAAACTCAAGCTCCAGACAAGAACACAGCACAGTCAAGATCTTGATGACACCTTTCCAAGACCATAAGCAGAGGCCCAAGCTGTACTCAGACTCCTGACCCAAGAAGATGGAACACAATACTCATTGTTTTAAGTCACTATATTTGTGGCAATTTGTTATGTAGCAATACATAACTAACACATGTCATAATCCACTTTGAACTCAAATAACAGCCATTCTTGAAAAAAAGCTCTGATTTGCCAATTATTATTTTCTTTTGGCTGTTGAGGATAACAGAAATCTAGCAGAATGCTTTATACATGTGTATACCTTTATCCAATTCAAAACTTGAATGCAGAAAATCATTCTCCATGAGTGAGTCTTGAAACACAAATGAATCAGACTCAACATTTTTCAAAATATCAAAATTCTTTTATTTTGTTACTTAAAAATTGGAAGGTATACCTCCAAACCAGTTTTTTTGTTTGTTTTCATTTTTGTTGTTTTTGGTTTTGGTGTGTCTACTTAACTGTTTTGTTTTGCTTGTTTTGGGACAGAGTTTCGCTCTTGTTGCCCAGGCTGGAGTGCAAGGGCACAATCTCGGCTCACCACAACCTCCGCCTCCTGGATTCAAGCAACTCTCCTGCCTTAGCCTCCTGAGTAGCTGGGATTACAGGCATGCACCACCACGCCCAGCTAATTTTGTATTTTTAGTAGAGATGGGGCTTCTCCATGTTGGCCAGGCTGGTCTCAAACTCCCAACCTCACGTGATCTGCCTGCCTTGGCCTCCCAAAGTGCTAGGATTACAGGAGTGAGACACTGCGCCTGGCCTACTTAACTGTTTTTCAAATAAATGGTTTATTTTCAAAGTTTTAGATTTACAGGATTATAAAGATAATACAGAAAGTTCTTGTATACCCCATACCCAGTTTTCCCAAATATTAACATCTTACATTAGCATGGTACATTTATCACATTTGATGAACCAATGTTGATACATTATTGTGAACTAAACTCCATACTTTAATCAAACTTTCTTAGTTTTTACCTAACATCCTATTTTTGGTCCAGGATCCCACATTACATTGAGTCATCATGTCTCCTTAGGCTTCTCTTGATTGTGACTATCTCTCAGACTTGAGTTGTTTCTGATGACCTTCACAGCTTTGAGGGGTACTAGTCAGATATTTTGTAGCATGTCGCTCTACTGGAATTTGTCTTATGCTTTTCTCATAATTAGACTTAGATCAAGTATTTTGGGGAGGAAGATTACAAAGGCAAAGTGCCCTTCTCATCACATCATGTCAAGGGTACCTACTACCAATGTGACCTGCCACTGCTGATTTAACCTTAATCACCTGGCTTGAGATAGTGTTTGCTTGGGTTTCTCCATTGTGAAGTTACTTTTTCCCCTCCCTTTCTTTACTATACTCTTTGAAAGAAAGTCATTCTGTGCAGCCCCCAGGGAGGGTTATGCTTTACCCCCTGAAAGGCAGAGTATCTTACATACATTATTTGGAATTCTTCTACATTCTCTTCATTTATTTATTCATCATGTATTTATATCAGTATAGATATGTATTTTGTACTTTAAGTGATATCCTAATTCTAACTTCCTTTCTTTGCTCAAATTTTCCATCTTTGGACATTGAAAGTACTTTCGATTGGGTCCTGTATTCTTTTCACATACAACCATCATTGCGGATTTTTATTTTTTGCACTTCTTTACTTTATAGCACTACAAGATGCTCCAGGCTCATCTTGTATATTTGCTGCCACAGTCTTAAATCAGTCATTTCTCCAAGGAACCCTGGTTCATTTCATTGGAAAACAGTATTAGAAACCAAGATCTGGGAAACAGGTATGTATTGTTTGCTTCCAGACCAAACCAGTTTCTCAATCTCTAAATATGGGATCTTGGAATGTCCCTGTATTCTTAATTTATTTTAATTTATTTGACAAACATTTTTGCAGTGATTACCATGTGCCAGTCACTCTTTTAAGCACTTTGAAAATATTAACTCATTTAATCCTTGTAATAATCTCATAACAACAAAATATGGTATTAGTCCCATTTTATGGACAAAAAAAACAAGAAACAGATATTTGGATGTGTTCCATAGTCACCCAGATAGTAACTAACAGAGCCAAAATTGAACCCAAGTATCTGGATCCATATTTGGAGCTAACCACATTGGAGTTAGATTTGGAGCTAACTCCTACATTGCCTTGCAGTGGTGAGGACCTTGCAGAGCTGCCACACAAATTGATGAATTAATTCACCCACACGTTCATTCTCTAATACAAATCTGTTATGTGCCCATTAGGTGCCAGACTATCTGATATCTGTTAATTGGTGCTTAATGCCATTTGAGATACCTCTTGGAATATGACCCAATTTAACATAAAGGAGGATGCTGTTGTAATGTACCCCTTGAGAAGACTCTGGCAGCTGCCTGGGATGAAGATGTCATATAAAAACTACTCCACTGAGTGGTTGCAAATATACTTTATTATGCTGTAAGTAATATTCAAAGGTGATAAGCAGGCAGTACCTTATTTACTTCATTTCTATTTATTTATCATTTCCATAAATTTTTTAAATGGGCTTTAGTATCTTTTATATATACAAAACTCCCATTCATTATGCTACTATTCTTGATAAAACATTTGAACAGAACTGTCTCTTGTGAAAACTACTGAACAAAACTGAGATTTCCATTTATAGCTAAGAAGAACATTTTAAATATACACTTACTTTCTGACTGTCAGCAACGAGTGGTCCCAGGAGACCAAAGTTGAGATAATCTGAAAGAAAACATGCAAAACAATAATGGTAAATGCAAATATCTTAAAGGAATCTTTGTCCTGAGGTCATTATCCCACCTATTTTAACAGCAGAACACTGGGAGACTGACATCCCATGACATGATTTACTACTTGTTAATAATATGTTTTGGAAAAGAGAGTGCAGGTTGGGGTGGAGGTGAGGTTCAGCAAAATGGACTCCCTGAGAAAAGAAAGCAGAGACTGAAACAATGGGAAACCTGGAATGGACTTCTGGTTAATATTTATATCTCCTTGGAAGAGGATATGAGAGTTAAGTGAAGGAATACTCAAGAATGTGGGCCTTCATTTTCAGTTCAGAGCAAGCACCAGATGAGCTGCCTTCCAGATGTATCAAAGTTTAGGGATATTCAAAAAAGAACTATCCCACCAAATTAAGCTTCATAAAAGAAGGTTAAATAAAATATTTTCCAGACAAGCAAGTGCTAAGGGAATTCATTACCACTAGACCAGCCTTATGAGAGATCTTTAAGAAAGTTCTAAACATGGAAACAAAAGAATGATACTTGCTACCACAAAAGCACTGTTAAGTACATAGCCCACAGACTCTATAAAACAACTACAAAATAGAAACTACAAAGCAAACAGCTAACAACTTATGATAGGATCAAAACCTTACATATCACTATTACTTGAATGCAAGTGGTTTCAATGTTCCCACTTAAAAGGCAGAGAGTAGCAAGTTGGATAAAAGAATGAAGTCCAATTGTCTGCTGTCTTCAAGAGACCCATAGGCTCAAAGTAAAGGGTGGAAGAAAGATCTACCATGGAAACAGAAAACAAAACAAAAAAAGCAGGAGTTGCTGTTCTTTTATCTGATAAAACAGATTTTTAACACCAATAACAGTAAAAAAGGACAAAGAAGAGCATTATGTAATGATAAAAAGTTCAATTAAACAAGAAGACTTAACTATCCTAAATATATATGCACCCAACATCAGAGCACCCAGATTCATAAAACAAGTACTTCTAGACCTACAAAAAGACTCACACAGCCACACAATAATAGAAGGGAACTTTAACACCCCATTGTCAGATCATCAAGGCAGAAAACTAATAAAGAATATCTGGACTTAAATTTGACACTTGACCAATGAGAACTAACAGACATCTATAGAATACTCCATCCATCAAGTATAGAATATACCTTCTTCTCATCTGCACATGAAACATACTCTAAGATTAACCACATGCTCAACTGTAAAGCAAGTCTCAATAAATTTAAAAATATCAAAATCATACCAACCATACTCTCAGATTATAGTGCAATAAAAATAGAAATAAACTCCAAGATCTCTCAAAATTGCAAAATTACATGAAAATTTAACAACTTGTTTCTGAGTGGCTTTCAGTAAACAATAAAATTAGGGCAGAAATCAAGAAATTCTTTGAAATAAATGAAAACAGAGATTCAACACATCAACATCTCTGGGATTCTGCAAAAGCAGAGCAAAGTTATAGCACTAAACACCTACCTCCAAAATTTAAAAAGATCTCAAATTAGAAATCTAACATCAAACCTAGAGGATCTAGAAAAACAAGAGCAAAGTAACCCCAAATCTAGCAGAAGAAAATAAATAAAATCAGAGCAGAAATGAACAAAGTTGAGACCCAAAAATTCATACGAAGAAGCAACAAAACTAAAAGTTGGTTCTTTGAAAGGATAAACAAGATTGATAGACCATTAGCTAGATTAACAAAAAAAAAGATACAAATAAGCACAATCACAAATGACAAAGGTGATATTACAATGAATCCCACAGAAATACAAAAGATCCTCAGAGACTATTATGAACAATTCTATGCATACTAACTAGAAAATTTAGAGAAAATGGGTAAATTCCTGGAAACACACAACTTCCTAAGGCTGAATTAGAAGGAACTTGAAACCCTTAGCAGACCAATATCAAGTTTTGAACTTGAAGCAATAATTTTTTAAAAACCCTACCTATCAAAAAAACCTCAGGACTAGATGGATTCACAGCCAAATTCTAGCAGATGTACAAAGAAGAGCTGGTACCAATTTTATTGAAACTATTCCAAATAATCGAGGAGAAAGAACTCCTCCCTAACTCATTCTACAAAGCCAGCATCACTCTGATACCAAAACCTGGCAAAGACACAACAACCAAAAAAGAAAACTACCGGCTAATATCTCTGATAAACACAGAAGCAAAAATCCTTAACAAAATACTAGCAAACTAAATCCAACAGCACATCAAAAAGTTAATTCACCATGATCAAGTAGGCTTCATTCCTAAGGTGTAAGGTTCATTCAACACATGCAAATCAATAAATTTGAGTCACCACATAAACACAATTAAAAGCAAAAACCATATGATCATCTTGATAAACACAAAAAGTTTTTGATAAAATCCAACATCTCTTCATGATAAAACCCCTCAAGAAACTAGGCATTGAAAGAACATACCTCAAAATATTAAGAGCCATCTATGGTAAACCCACAGCGAATATCATACTGAAGGGGCAAAAACTAAAAGCCTTACCCTTGAGAACTGGAAAAAGACAAGTATGCCCACTCTCACCACTCCTATTCAATCTATTAATAATACTGGAAGTCCTAGCCAGAGCAATCAGGCAAGAGAAAGAACTAAAAGGCATCCGAATAGGAAAAGAAGAAATCAAACTATATCTCTTCACAGAGAATATGATTCTATACCTAGAAAACCCTAAAGACTCTGTCCAAAGGCTCCTGCAACTGATAAACTTCTTCAGTAAAGTTTTAGGATACAAAATCAATGTAAAAAATCAGTCACATTTCTATACACTAACAATGTTCAAGCTGAGGGCCAAATCAAGAACACAATCCCATTTACAATAGCCACACACACACACACACACACACACACACACACAGATACCTAGGAAAACATCTAACCAAGGAAGTGAAAGATCTCTACAAGGAAAACTACAAGACATTGCCAAAAGATATCAGAGGTGACACAAACAAATGTTAAAACATTCCATGCTCATGAATTAGGAGGATCAATGTTGTTACATTGGCCATATTACCCGAAGCAATCTAGAGATTCGATGCTATTCCTATCAAACTACCAACATCATTTTTCACAGAACGATAAATGAAATTCATATAGAACCAAATTCTATAATTCTAAAATTTATATAGAACCAAAAAGGAACCCAAATAGCCAAAGCAATCCTAAGCAAAAAGAACAAAGCTGGAGGCATCACGTTATCTGACTTCAAACTATACTATATGGCTATAGTCACCAAAACAGCATGGTACTAGTGCAAAAACAGGCACATAAACCAATGGAACAGAATAGAGAACACAGAAATAAAGCTGCACACCTACAGCTATCTGATCTTCAACAAAGTCAACAAAAAGAAGCATCGGGGAAAGGACTTCCTATTCAAAAAATGGTGCTCAGATAGCTGGCTAGCCACATGCAAAAGAATGAAACTGTACCCCTACCTTTCATCACATAAAAAAATTAACTCAAGATGGATTAAAGATTTAGATGTAAGACCTCAAACTATAAGAATCCTAGAAGAAAACCTAGAAAACACCATTCTGGACATTAGCCTTGGAAATGAATTTATGACTAGGCCCTCAAAAGCAATTGCAACAAAAACAAAAACTGACAAATAAGAACTAATTAAACTAAAGAGCTTCTGCACAGCAAAAGAAACTATCAACAGAGTAAACAGACAATCTACAGAATGGAAGAAAATATTTGCAAACTATGCATCCAACAAAGCTCTAATATCCAGAATCTATAAGGAGCTTAAACTCAGCAGGCAAGCAAAAGAAAAAAAAAAACAAAAAGGCAAAAAATGTGAACAGACATGTCCCAAAAGAAAACTACAAGCAGCCAACAAACATGCAAAAATGCTTCATATGCTTCAAATCACCAGTTATCAGAGAAATGCAAATCAAAACCACAATGGGATACCATCTCACACCAGTTAGAATGGCTATTATTAAGAAGTCAAAAAACAAAAGATGCTGGTGAGGCTACAAAGAAAAGGGAATGCTTACACACTGTTGGTGGGAATATAGATTAGTTCAACCCCCATAGAAAAGCAGTTTGGGGCTGGGCGTGGTGGCTCATGCCTGTAGCCCCAGCACTTCGGGAGGCCAAAGTGGGCAGATTACTTGAGCCCAGGAATTCAAGACCAGCCTGAACAACATGGCAAAACTCCACCTCTACAAAAAATACAAAAATTAGCTGAGTGTGGTGGTGCATGCCTGTAGTCCCAACTATTTGGGAGGCTGAAGTGGGAAGATCACTTGAGCCCAGGAGGTCCAGGCTATAGTGAGACATGATTGTGCCACTGCACTCCAGCCCGAGTGAAACAGTGAGACCTTGTCTCAAGGGGGAAAAAAAGAAAACAGTTTGGAGATTTCTCAAAGAAATATTCTTTAAGAATTAAAAACTTTAAGAAAGTTCTTAAAACAGAACTACCATTTTACCTAGCAATCCCATTACTGAGTATATATTCAAAAGAAAATAAATCATTCTACCAAAAAGACACATGAAGTCACATATTCATCACAACAGTATTCACAATAGCAAAGACATGGAATCAACCTAGGTGCCCATCAATGGTGAATTAGATTAAAACATATGTGGTACATATATACCATAGAATACTATGCAGTCATAAAAAAGAATGAAATCATGTTCTTTGCAGCAACATGGATACAGCTGGAGTCCATTATTCTAAGTGAATTAATACAGGAGCAGAAAACCAAATATCACATGTTCTCACTTATAAGTGGGAGCTAAACATTGGTACACATGGACATAAAAATGGGAACAACAGACAGCAGGGACTACTAGAGGAGAGAGGGAGAAATGGGGGAAGAGTTGAAGGACTAACCATTGGGTACTATGTTCAGTACCTGGGTGACAGAATCACTGATACCCCGAACCTCAGCATCATGCAATATACCAGGTAACAGACCTGCACATATACCCACTGAATCTAAAATAAAAGTTGGAAAAAAGGAACTAACTGACGCAGTCCATGTAATGTGACAATAGGAAATTACGATAAAATGAGTCAATAAATAGGAATATTATATTGGTTAGACTCATAGGGAAGGAGGGTATCAAAAGAACTGAATGATTAGTTAGCCTGCGAAAGGACTAACTCAGCATGTCCGATTGAGAAGGCTTCAAGGAAGTGGGTGTTATCTATTAGATCCCATTACTAATGGGCACAAGGAAGGAGTAGTCTCTCAGATTTTGTGTCTGACATAAAAAGTGCATTTAAGTACCTCTGAGAGTGCCAGTCTAAACAATCTAATTAGTCTGTCAAGTACAATTTCAAAGCTATTAAGAGGACCAAAGCCCTTTTCAGAAATGTGTAAAAAAAAAAAAAAATCTCAAATTATATTATTGAATTCTTAAATATCAAAGTATCACTTTTATTAGGAATAAAATATCAATAAATATGCAATTGTTTGGATTTCTAAAATCCTTTTTTATTAAAAAATTAATTATAATAATAAAAGAAGAAAAGGTATCCCAACTGACATGTTAGGAAAACATTAGAAAAAGACGTAACTACCAATTTCTGTATATTTGGTGATGTACCAATAACTACAAAATGCACCTCAGTCAATACACCAAGGACTCATATTCCTCTAAGCACTTAATGGAGAATTGAATACTGTTAAAGCAGAAATCAGGACTTTACCAAAGAGTTAGTAAAGGTGTCCCTTTAAACATAGACTAGAAGTGGTATATGTCAGTGGTAAGGACTTCATGCAAGCTATTGAACCTTGGAATGTTCCACAAATTATAGCTATTAATTTATTTCTAGTTCCAACAATCTAAGAATTCTTATCTAAGACAGATTCTTAATTTTTTCCTTACTTATAATAACCTGTACATTTTAATAATATAGATACTATAGAAGATGTTTGGTTTAATAAAATGTAATCTTTCCAAGTATGATTTTTTAACTGAGAAAAAATCTGTGAAATAATTTTTATGTATATTCCTTCATCTCAAAGTTATATTTTTGACACCCAAACATGATACAACTTGAAAAGTACATTTTTTTTTTTTTGAGACAGTCTCCCTCTATTGCCCAGGCTGGAATGCAGTGGCACAATCTCAGCTCACTGTAACCTCCACCTCTGGGGTTCAAGCAATTCTCCTGCCTCAGCCTCTAAGATGTGAAAACATGTTAAAGTGAATTTAAAGTGTTTTATGATTTAAAATATAATTAACTCAATTTTAGACTTTGAGATTTTACTGAAAAAAAAAAATGGTGTCTCTGGAAATGATGATGCTTCATGAAAAAAAAAAAGTGCTTGGTTAAATGACAAGATAAATAAATGAGCAGTGACTAGAGCTGACCTATGATAGAACCCTGACAGATTTCTGTAGCATCAGAATGGACAGCCCATTAAATACCAAGCTACTTGGTGATGTGTAAGACAACTGGGTGAGACCAAGAGAAGAAGAATTCTGTCTATTTTCTACATTATTGGACACGTTTCATTGACCTGCTCACAGAAGCACATTGAAACACATCCTATCTTACCTATTTGTTCCCAGCAATTAATGAGAAAATAGTGAAAATGGGATTGAAAGAGCAGGAACATGTAGGAGCACAAGAATAATAACAACAGAGTATATATTTCATTCTTCATATAATAGCTGCTTTCATTAAAATATATATGTAAACAAAACCATTCTACAGATTGCTGCCATGGCTTGAATTTTTGTGTCTTTACAGAATTTGTGTTGAAACGTAGTATCTCCAGTACAATACAGTTGTGCCCTATTATCCACAGGGAATATACATTCCAAGAACCCCAAGTGGATGCCTAAAACCTCAAATAGTACTGAATTTGATACATACTATGTTTTCTATATATACTATGTTTTTCTTCTATACATACATACCTATGATAAGGTTTAATTTAGAAATTACACACAGTAAGAGATTAACCACAACCAATAATAAAATAGAATAACTGTAACACTATACTGTATTAAAAATCACATGAATGTGGTCTCTATTTCTCTCTCTCTCAAAATATCTTATTGTAACTGTACCTAGGAAAGTGAAACTATGGACAAGGGGGGACTACTGTAGTATTAAAGGTGGGGCTTTAAGGGGTTGATTACATCATGAGGGCTCATCCCTCATGAATGGAATTAAGGCTCCTATAAAAGAGGGCTTCACATAGCATTTGGCCCTTTTTGTCCTTTTGTCCCTTTCACCAAGTGAGGACACAAGAAGAAGCACCATGTTGGAGGCAGACAGCAGCCCTCACCAGACACATTTGCTGGCATCTTGATCTTGGACTTTCCAGCCTCCAGAACTGCAAGAAATAAATTTCTGTACTTTATAAATTACCCACTTGTGAGTATTTTGTTATAGCAGCATGAAAAGACTAAGACAACTACAAATTTATCTTGCTAATCTATCTCACTCCCAGGAGGCAAGGAGGTAAGATAGAAAGAGCACAGAAATGGAAGTCTAGGGTCTAACCCCACCTTGGCCACTTATTAGCAGATAAGTGACCTTGGAGCAGTCACTCACTATCACTAGCTCTCTATACGCAGAAAATGATGTGTAATTGTTGTCAAGTCCCTTCCAGTTCTGACATCTATGTCAAGTTGGTCCTAACTTTTCCTTTAAGATCTCTATCAAGAAATGTATGGCTTATGAAAAAACAAATAAATGTAGCTGGCCGAATTTGCTTTCTCAGTAGCCTGGAGAGAATCCTTTTGTAATAGTGATAATGGTTACAATACTTTATATATTTTGGTTTAATTTCAAGGTTTTTTTAAAGGGACTTTGTACATAATTAAATGTTTAAAAATAAGTTCTTTCTCTTATATTTAGTGCTGGGGTTCTATTTGCATTATTAAAGGTATTGACTAGCATCCCATTTTTTCCTTTGTTTCAAATAGAATATGTAACATGGAATATTTGAGCTTGACTATTTTAAACCTTTATTAACATATTTATCAGGGCTGATAATGTTATTAGAAAGATAGTTTCTTTTTTATTTCAACTTGTATTATAGATTAAAGGATACATGTGCAGATTTGCTACATGGGTAAATTGTGTGATGCTGAGGCTTGGAGTCCCAACAATCCCATCATCCAGGCCATAAGCAGAGTACCCAATAGGCAGTTCTTCAGCCTAGGCCTCCCAACTTCTTTCCCCATCCATTGATCCCCAGGGTCTATTGTTCCCATCTTTACCATCATGTGTATTCTTGCATCCTTGGAGATATGAAACTCTGAGAACATTTAGATAAAAATGGCTTTGAAAAGTTTTAATATTATATAAAGATACTATATAGTCACCAATACCATTTAGCCATTATTTCTAACCATCCTATCAGTCAGCCATATCATCCATTCACGCTAATGGTGAATGAAATGGTTTCTGGTCTGTCAGCACTGGTATCTAATCTTTCACTCAAAACATGGCATTTTCATTGAGCGGCACAGTATATTCCGACAAGTGCTTGTAAATAGAGTCAACAGCACTTTACATTTGGTTTTAATTCGATTTAACAAGTTTGGCAATTTGCAGTTCAGAATCCAACCCTAACTTTCCTCAGGAAGTGGAAAAGGCTTAGTATATATTCATCTGGAAAAAATCTACCATGTTCCAAATCATAACTAAACTGGAAACAGATCATATTCATCCTCTCAGGGGCACTTAGCATAAGCTAAATATACACACAACACAGCTGACCATTTATAAACACAGCTACCATCGGGACCAGAGAGCTGTGTCAATGGCCGTCATTTGTTGGTCTGCAGTGAAAAACCAGAGATCTTGCTAAGATGGAGGCCATGTCTGAACAGCATGCAATCCACACTGCTCCATTTTACACAAATGTCGAAAAAATATTTTAAAGCATTCCATTGTCTTGTTGTCTACTTTTAGATTGAGTCTTTAAATAAGGATTCATCTAGTTCTTTCCATTTTCATAAACATAGACATTAAATATAGATTTAAGAGGATTCAGGCTTCCCTTAAAGGACCTTTGTTATTGCCGTTCTCCTGAGGTTCCTTCAGATGCTGTGATTCATTCCGATGTTGATTCTGTGACTTCAGTTGTGAGGGATGAATATTTTCCTCATTTATATCTCAGAGTTGGTTTTAAATTCAGAAAGCATGTATGACAAAAGAAAAAAAAATAACACAAAGAAACCAACCTCATTCCAGAGAAGAGAGATTGGCTAAATGAGGGTTAAGTCAATCAGCCAGCCAAAAACATTATAGAGTATCCAAGAGGGCAGAGCCAGGCATAATTCTCCCTTCTGTCCATGTCACCTGCGATGCTCCCCTTGGAAGAGTGGCTGGGTGCCTCACATGCAGAAAAATACAGACATCTGACAGCCAGACTATAAGGGGTGTATTTATCCATTCATTGAACAAACATTTATTCAGCATCCACCAAGAGGCAGGGGTAGGGTACTTTAAGGTGCTCACTTCAGAAGGCAGAAGCCAGCTAGTGATTTATGGCAGACAAGTAAAAATATAGTAATAAAACGGGATCAGTTGAAGGATAGACACATATAAACATGAATAACCAGTGTGAGCAATACCCCCTCACATTCTACACTCATTCCCCCTCTCATTAGCACTTGGCTCATTAGCACCATTGCCACTTCGGGTTATGTATTTATTTATTTATTTATGGCTGTCTCACAGACACATTATTTATATGTTAAATACATATATAACATCAAGTGGCAATGGTGCCAATGATGTCCTTGAGGGCATGGGATTTCTTTGAGTCATTGAGCTAAACCAGCCCCTAGAACAGAACCCCATACCTAATAGGTGCTCAATAAATATGTAATAAATATGTTCCTATAAAAGAAGCTTCACACAGCATTTGACTAAATGAATGCATGAGTGAATCAACATTATAGACATCATTCAAAAGAAGGAATGATTGATTGTCTGGAAAGACAGGAGGAAATGATGGTGGGCTATGATTAAAGGCAATTAAATGTTGATAAGTAAGAAGCTGAAAAATCAGGCAAGAGACGTTCACTGGGCAGGTCCTCAGGAGTCCCCTGCAATGGGTCTATGGAATCCAGGCAGTTGTGTCTACCCGGTGTCCCGTCCTTGTGGAACTGTCTTCCCAGCTCCATGTGGCTTTGGTGGGGCAACCAATCCCAGACTTCAACTCCTCTGACCACAGGGGAGAGCCCCAGCCCACTGCAGTCTGTCTGATTCTCCCTCCTGGGCATTTAAATCTGCAGCCAACAAGAACAAGAACACCAGCAGCAGAGCCATCAGCAGCGGCAGGACCTTGGAAAGATGGCTCATGAATTCCTGCTTCTGGGACCCCCCAGTTCCCTTGGTTCTCAACTTTCCCGAGGCCTGTTTGGTCAGCTCTTCCCTCAGTTCTTTAAGCTATTAATAGCCTTCCAATAAACTTTTCTTTTCTGGCTCCAGTAGTCTCAGTTTATTTCTGTTGATTACATGCTAAGCTTTCTACAACCACAGGGGCTGATTAGAAGATAATTGTGGCTTGGAAGGACTCAGGAATAAATTTTTATTTGACACTAACCATGTACAGGTACTGAGCTAAGCTCTTTATATGAGTTATCCAATTTAATCTTCAGAACCATCTCTATTAGTGACTATTTCCGTTTTAAATAAGTCTAAAAATTTAACCTCTTTAACTTAACTTAAATAAGTTAAATAATATGTCCAAGCTGACGATCTACCAGGTGGCAGAGCCAGCACTCAGCTTCAAAGACCACAGTCTTAACAATTTCCCCCCACTCTTCTCCCCACTTAGGCTCACTGAACCCCTGGGAAACACAAGTGTTAGCATGTCATAAACAACTAGAAATGCCACTTGTATCATGGCCAGGTAGGGTTAGGGTTAGGGATAAGGAGGTGGTGGGTCTCCCTAGGGAATAAGTGGCGTTAAGGGAAGTGGCAGTAGTTTCTGTGGCCACTTTCCAGGAATGCTTTTCTCATGTTCTGAATTGTGTTATGGGTTATTATTTTTTGTTCCTATACCATACAAAGAAATTAGAACATCACTGTCCTATTGAGAAGAGCTAAAACAGATGCCTGAAACAAGTGGCCCCAGAGTCTCTCTTCAATTAACAGACACTGGCCCTGTTCTCCCGTGGCTTCCTCCTTCACTCTGAGTATTGCTGGTTTGCAGTCACTTCCCACCAGGGACCAGATCCCAGCAAGTTTATTTACCCACTAGCATGATCCTCACCTTGCCATCCTCCATCACCCACCCTCACACCTCCTCCCACCTCATTTTACCTCTTCACCAGTTTATTATTCATTCATTATCAGTCATTCAGAAAACATCTCAGGGCCTGAATGTGTCAGCCTCTGTGCCAGGCACCAGGAGTGTCCCACCAACAGAAGAGCAAAGTCCCCGATCTGGTGGAGCGTACAGTCTAGATGGGGGGACGGATGGAATACAAGTAAACAAACATATCCATACAACAAGCCTGCACTGTTGTCAGGGAGCTGCAGCAGAGAAGTCAGACCTGAGATGCAGCGTAGCAGAGAAGGGTCTGCGTGTGATGAAGGTGTCTGAGCAAGGATCTGCTAAGTGCAGGAGTGAAGGGTAAGGAGGAGCCAACCTCGCCAAGAGTCAGGGAAGAGCAATCTAAGCAGAGGGAACAGCCCGTGCAAAGGCCCAGAGATGGGAAAGGGTGTGGCACGGTCCGACATCCGCGCAGTGGGTACAGAAGAAAGTGGCATGAGATGAGGCCCACTGAGGCAAGAAGTGGAAAAATTAGGCTAGAGAAGATTGCAAGGAGCTCCTTCCAATGGGTCTATGAAATTCAGGCAGTTGTGTCTACCCAGTGTCCTGTCCTTGTGGAAGTGTCCTCCCAGCTCCGTGTGGCTTTGGTGGGGCATCCAATCCCAGACTTCAGCTGCTCAGACCACAGGGGAGAGCCCAAACCCAAGCCAAAGTCAGGGCCTGGGTGGAATGTGGATTTCATTCTCAGTGCAACCTGTTCTCCTATTACTCTCAGGGAAAACATATTTTTAAAAAACCTAAAAATAACAGAAGAGAAAATATTTTAACAAATATTTTCATGTCTATTTAATGCCTAAATGACTGATGAAGTGCTAAACTCTTGCAACATTGGAAATCTGTCAGGACTGCAATTTGAATGACAAGCTGGGAACTAACTGAAAAATGATCCTGCAAAAAAGCCTCACACAGCAACTGTATTATAAATCCTTAACAGAACTTAATTAAATAACTAATTAAGATTGTCCAATCTCTCAATGATCGCGCGATGTAGAGATTATGATGCTCATCTTCTAGGAAAATGAAGCTTGAAAAGTTCCCACAGCTAACCCGGTAGAAGAACTAGGATTTATGGCCAGGCTTGTCCCACTCCATATTTAGTCTTAACTATTATGCTGTACTTTCCCCTAATTCCATTTAGTACAATACCATCTTGTTTGACTAATATTACTCAAAAATAATGTATGCTACAGAAGTAAGCCTCTTGGACCACAGAGATCCTGTTAAAATGAAACCTTTAAAACATACACCTCTTTGGATGATAATTTTTCAACTTTTTGCCTTTTATATACCAACTCCACACATTAACCATTATGAACATCAGAGATTCCATGATGCTGCCCTCAGGTACTCTGAAGTGCAAATACCTGCTCGCCTCTAAATCAAATGGGCTCAGGCTATGGACACTTTTTTTTTTTTTTAAGTTTTCTGTGTTTTATTTTTTTCCTTTCTCTTCATTAACTTTCAGGAGTTTTTTCCTTTATTGATCTCCTGTTTATTCATTTTCAGGACTTCTTACAACTTTCAGTGTGGTTGCCTCTTGCAACTTTTCTCTAAACGTTAATGCTCTAGTTGTTCTTTAGTTTAGATTGAGAAACCTGATGATTTAGCATTTTGCATTTATTAGCATTTGTAGTGAAAGATGAATAAAGAGAAGCTGAGTCAACAGTATTAGATACAAAAACACTGTGCTGTAAAATATATTGTGTACTGGGAGGACTGACTTGAAAGGGAGGCGTGCAGGGTGTCAGGGGAGGCGAGGGGTGAGCCTGAATGGTGAGGGGAGGCCAGATCAGGTAGAGACAGTGTTATCCAGAAGGCCTTCCAAGTGGGCAGCTCAGAACTCAGGACACACTCTTTTGTGGGTATTCCCATATTATGTGATAGTCGGGCTGTCAAATCATTCTGTAAAATCTTATTTAATCCATCATATACATAAAATGTTTTCCCCTCGATTCTGAGAATGTGAACAGGAGCAAGAAATCAAGAACCCAGGTGAATATTGCAAAGTTCTAGCCCCTAAAGAAGGGGAAGAAGGAGGAGGAGGAGGAGGAGGAGGAAGGGATGGAGGAAGGGATGGAGGGAGGGAGGGAGGGAGGGAGGGAGGAAGAAAGGAAGGAAGGAAGGAAGCAAGCAAGGAAGGAAGGGAGGGAGGAAGGAAAGGGAATGGAAGGGAGGAGGGAAGGGAGGAGGGAGGGAGGCATGGAGGGAGGGAGGGAGGAAGGGAGGGAGGAAGGAAGGAAGGAAAGGAGGGAGGGAGGGAGGAAGGAAGAAAAGAAGGAAGGAAGGGAGGGAGGGAAAGGAAAGGGAAGGGAAGGAGGGAGGGGGGAGGGAGGGAGGGAAAGGAAAGGGGAGGGGGGAGGGAGGAAGGAAGGGAAGGAGGGAGGGAAGGAAGGAGGCAGGGAGGGAGGGAGGAAGGAAGGAAAGGAGGGAGGGAAGGAAGGAGGCAGGGAGGGAGGGAGGAAGGAAGGAAAGGAAGGAGGGAGGGAGGGAAGGAGGCAGGGAGGGAGGGGGATGAGAGGGCAGATCCAGGTTTGTGGGGTCTGAGCTTATACAAATACAGACCTCTTTATTAAAAATACAAATTATGGCCTGTAATTCCAGTACTTTGGGAGGCCTAGGCAGGCAGATCACTTGAGGTCAGGTGTTCGAGACCAGCCTGACCAACATGGTAAAACCCCATCTCTACTAAAAATACAAAAATACAACCACATCGCCCAGTGTGGTGATGGGTGCCTGTAATCCCAACTGCTCAGGAGGCTGAGGCAGAAGAATCACTTGAGCCTGGGAGATGGAGGTTACAGTGAGCCAAGATCACACCACTGCACTCCAGCCTGGGTGACAGAGTGAGACTCCATCTCAAAAAATAAAAAACAAAAATATATAAAAATTATGCTTACAAAATTAGATACAAATATGAGTATTTTTTAAAATGAGAAAATTACAAAAATTATAAATTTTAAAAACTAAAGAATAGCTTAGCATCACAATAATCCAGAAAAATAACATATTTTTATTAACTACCAGATGCATGTATACATGGAAGTGACTGTAAATTACATAAATATATCTCATTAAACCCAAACAAAATGTATCCCCAATTCAGCTTCCCTTTAGTCTGATTCCCAAAATGCCTCTGGCTACTCCAACGCCATCTCCCTGCTGATCAATGCTACAGAGGGTAAGGGTAAGTCCTACAGGAAGAGACAATGATCTTAACCAATCATAGGCAAAATCTCTTTATTTTGAAAATTTTATAAAAATGTGGCTATGTGAGCTCAATGCCAGGGTGCCTTGAGCTCCTGAGCTCACAGTGCCTCCGGCGCAGCACTTTTCCCTCCTCCAGCTCCTTGACCACAGGGTCCTCTTCCTCCCTCGTCACCCTAAATGGCAAGCAGGAGAAGGCCTATGCTCCCAGTTTAATAAATTAGGAGAGCTCACATCTCCTGTTCCACACAACCCATCAACACAGAGCGCACACAATGGAAACTGCAGCAGAATGAGTAAGCAACATTCATCCCACTGGAATTGTATGGGGTCTTGGCTCTAAAATACTTCCCAGAGATAGCAATCCAGATAGCAGCATTCAAACCAATCCTTTGCCAGCATGAAGTGAGTGTGTGAAAGTTGTGGGGGAGTGTGTTCCTCTGCAGCCAGCACATCAAGTGCCTGGGTCATTACCTTGACCTTTTCTATTCCAGGGAAGTTGTGGCATTGCTAGTCTGTGAGTTGTTATTTGTTTCTATGGCAAGGCTTATACAATTCCTTTTTTGGAGGGGTTTGCTAGTGATTCTGCTTTCTGAACTAGAAGCTCCTTATCAGTACCATATAAGCAGAGGCGAAAGCTGTGTCACCAGCACCACTGTCCCTGGTGTCACTAAGCCTGATGTCCGCCAGCGTGGACCACTCCATTGACTTTCTTTATGGGCCTTGGGGTCACCAAGCCTATAGTGAATTAAGTACTCATTATCTGGGTTCCAAGAAGCAGGGAACAAGCAAACATCCACCCCAGGTGAAAAAGCCATTTGCTGCCAAATGGTGATTTGGACTTTACAAAAGAACATGGTTAATGATCTGAGGCAGTTCACTTATCATTCATTTGAGCAAGAAACCAAGGCTCCTCCAATAGACAAATGTCTGGCCTTTTTCACAAGGCTGGTGAGGACATACTGGTGGCCCTAAAATAACCCTGTTAACAACATCAGATATACTGTGTATCTGATGCCACAAATTCTACCAAGGCAATACCAAGGACACAGAGTTGGCAGAGCAGAAAGAAGCCTGGACTGGACACTCAAGTAAAACGTGTGCATGACTCCATGTCCTGAGCCCTGAAATAGTTGCAGACATCATTTAGAAAGAAATATGAACACAGGCGACATATTTCCTATAACAGATGTCTCAAGTGTCAATCACCTTCCTTTTTTTTTTCCTGTTTCTTTTCCTTTCTCGTATTTTCTTTGTTTGTTTGGGTTTGGTTTTGGTTTGTTTTGCTTTTGCTGTCCTTTTCATTTTCCTTTTAACACAACTACTCTCATGTATGGGTGTAGTCCTGTCCCAGTGGCCCTGCAAAGCACTCTATACACATTATCTCTTTTATTTCACAAAGCAGTCCTAAAAAGGAGATGCTGTTGTTCTCATTTTACATATGGAAAAACAGAGGCTTGGCTAGGGAGCAAATGTATTAATGGGGTGTCTCACTCATAGCCCAGGCCCTTAGGAGCCCATATCTGTCTTACTCATAGCCCAGGCCCTTAGGAGCACTTGTCATCTTTCCCTTCAGAAGCAGGTGGCCATCACAGCCCATCATTGCCACACTACCTACCATTAGAGAAGGGATTCTTCTGTAGCCCTCACCTTGAGCTCCCTAAGCTACATCCCACCTACCCCTCTGTTTTCAGTGGCAGTTGGAAGGCAGATCGAGGTGAGTGCAGGCTTCTCTAGGGCTGACAGTGCTCTGCCAGTTGTGTCCAGGGCATGTTCTGTCTTTCAGCCTCCAGGCCCCCTCCCCTGCCACAGGGACTTGCAGTCCACAGATGCAGCCAGGCAGCAGAGGAGTAAAGCCCCTGAGGACAGTCCTCAGCCAATGCTGAGTGGTAACTGATGGATAAATACCCACCTCCTAACCCCCAGATACAACTCTGGGAGACATTCTGCATGTCCCCCAAAATAATCACATCCCCATTCGCCTACCCAAATTCATTATTAAAAATCTGCTTCCTGGGGAAACCAAACTAAGCCATCTCCCAATAACCCTTTCCATTCCCCCTGCCTGTTTCAGCAGCACTTCTGCTTCAGGGTGTGTGTCTTTTATATGGCCAAGGCAAGCTGTGCAAATGAAGGACTTTCTTTCCATTTTTTTCCCTTAGCCAATTATTTCCCTTAACCACAGCTTTCTTTAAAGAAAAGAATACAAGAGTACACGAGAGAAAAAAAAGAAAGAAGCAAGGTCTAATCATTCTTCTCTTCCTTTGCGCAGAGTCCTTAAACCCAGCTGCCTCACATCTCCATTAAAAGGAGAGCTCATTAGAGGTACTGAGCACTGAACAAAGCCCCCTGCTTTGTTAAGGTGGGGAAAAGACTCCTGAGCACACTGTAATAAAACAAACTTAAATGACAACAATCTAACAAGTTAGTTAGCTAGAGAATATTATTTTGCTGTCAAGTATATATAAATTATAGGCAGTTCAGATAAATGACTTTAAAGTTTATTACTTTTACACACACACACAAAATTTAGAATTTTTCCCCTTCACATTGTTTGTTTTCTATTACCTAGAAATAGCATTGATAGCAACAATTTTTCTTCCCGGATGCACACATATGCACATATACACATACCTGCTAAAAATCAAATATTCTGGATCTCCTTTTGCTAAAAGTAGTTTGCTTGTGTTTCTACCCTGACCTAGGATCATGGTCTACCCTAACCTAGGATCGCTGTTGTAGGCTGAATAATGGCCTTTCAAATATGTCCATGTCCTAGTCCCCAGAATCTGTCAATGTTACCTTGTAGGAGAAAAGGGACATTGCAGATGTGATTAAGTTAAGGATCTTGAGATGGAGAGATTATCTGAAAGCACCCACTGTAATCACAATGTTCCCGAGTCAGGAGCCATCAGAGTCAGGGGAGAAAGCACTGGGATGATGGAAGCGGAGATTGGCAGGATGCAGCCAGGAGCTGAGGCATGCCAGCAGCCTCTAGAAGCTGACAAAGGCCAGGAAATGAATTCTCCCTTGAGAGCCTCCAGAAGAAACCAGCCCTGCCACCTTCATTTTAGCCCAGTAAGACTGATTTCAGACTTTTGACCTCCAGAACTGCAAGAGAATAAGTCTGTGCTGTTTGAAGCCTCTAAGTTTGTGGTGATTTGTTACAGCAGCAATAGGAAACTGATACAACTACCTCTCATCCTGCAACTGCCTTTCCATGCTGACCTCACCTCCACCCAACTTTGCTCTTCCCTGACAACCTACACATTATATTCAAATGAGGGATTTGGGAGTACCCAGTCCTCATCGATCCTAAAGGACCTGTCTTGGGGGTTGGAGGCCTCAAGGCAGCAGAATCTCTGTGCCATGAGGACAAGAAATGATTGCAAGCAATGGGATAGGATGTGCAGGAATAATCTGGAGTTCAGGACAGTGGTAGGGGCTACAGAAAAGGATTTTGGAATCATTAGCACGTAAGTGATGGTTGAAGTTAACCCACAGAGAGACTTCATAAATATATGATAGTGGCTTGGATAGGACTAGGAAGCAGATCAAGGGGATTTGATATGCAAATGACATGTATATCAGAGATACTACAGAAAGTGTGATCCAGAGCATAATTTTTAAAACTTTTTCTTGAGCTGAAATACAATCTCAGTTAGATGATGAAGAGGATTACATATCATTCAGAGGAAAGCAAGCCTCAAAAACAACCTCTTGAGTTCTGTACTAGGTGCAGGGATACAAAAATAGTCATGGTTTCTGTCCTTAAGAAGACTGCAGATAATTTTTATTACCACATAATGTGTGATATGACAATGGTGTCAACCAGTGTACTCAAGGGGCAAACAGAGGAGACAGTCCAACCTAAGGACTGAAGAAAACCTTCCTGGAGGGAGTAATAGCTAAATGGGTTTTGAAAAATGAGTGGGGAGAGCAAGAAAGGGAAGAATTCCAGGTACACGAAATAGCACAAAGTCAGAGGGGCTAGTGAGTGGATAAGCTCCCGCAAGAAGATTAGGCATAGTGAGAAGAATGGAGAAATAAAAACAGAGCCCTGGAGGAGAGTAAGGGTTAAAGAACAAGCAGAAGAAAAGAGACCCATAAATTAGTCCAGAAAGAAAAAGAGGAAAGTCTAGAGAAAATGGCATCATGGAATCTAAGAGTCGGGAGCTTCAGGAAGGAGGGAGTTCAGTAAGACAAGTACTGAAAGGGACAATAGAAAGAAAGCCATGAGTGAATTTCCTGAGAGCAGTTTTATTAGATATGACAGGAAAAAAAAACAGATTGCAAAAAACCTAGAACGAAATGGAAGTGAAGAAGTGGAGGCAGCGTGCTGCACTTTCAAGTACCTTGGTTGAGAAGGAAATAAGAACCATGCCTACTTGTCAGGTTTTTAAACTTTAAAGACAAAAATAGGTTTTACAAGCTGCCACTAAAAAGAAGAGATAAGATTTAAATACACAAAGAGAATATAAGAATCAACTTGGGCCATCCTCCTCAGACTTAGGCAAAACTAAAATAAGTGAAAATATCACCAAAGAACAGTGGGGTAAGCTGGCTGGGAAGAAGAAAAACATTGTAAAAGTAGGAGACTATATATAAAAAACTTGTCAAAGAAGTCTCAAATTAAAGATCACAAGAAGAATTAAAGACATCTGAAAGCAGATGCGCTAGAGAAAGAAGTGGGAATAGTCAGAAAAATTTAAGACGAAGGAGTAGCCTCTACATCAAAAAGGCAAAATTAATAAGAGAAAATGTGAAAATTACAAGGCAAAAAAAAAATATAGGTGAGAAATTTCAGACGATTAATATATAATGATGAAGTAGGAGACAGGGGAATAGGTACTCCAAAAACCTGGTTTCCACAGTTAATCCCGAATTTTCCAAACAATTCCTAAGCACTGACCTAAAGGATAAGATTTTATTTACATCATAAGGAAATTTGATAGCAATAGACATGAAAATGAAAGTTGAGTTTAAGTAAGATGTTAAAATATTCTTTTTATAAAATGAAGCAGCCAGATAAGATTTTGATGGCTCTATCCTATAACTAAAGAGTTTACAGTTTACAACAGAAAGCAAATGGTTAAAATGGTAAAGGCAAATAAAGAACAAAAAGGGAGTAATCCGTGATGTCCAAAGCTGTTGAAAAGTTCAGCAGGATGAGATCTAAGAACTGATCATTGGAGTTTGGTAATGTCAAGGTCACTGGGGGCCTTGACAAAGTCTTTGGTGGAGCAGTGGGGAGGTAATTCTGAGTGGAGTGGGTTGCAGAGAGAAAGTGGGGAGAGGAAGTGGATATGATGAGTCTGGACAACTCTTTTGCCATTAAGGGGAATAAGGAAATTAAGCTATAGCTTAGAGGATCAAGAGATTCTTTTTTTTTTTTTTTTTTTTTTAAAGATGGAAGACATTATACTATGTAAGATGATGGAAATGATGCAGGGAAGACAGGAAAATCAATGAAGCAGTGGTGATTGGCAGCCAATTGCAGAAGCCAAGTCCTAAGTAAGAGAACAGATGAGATGCGGAGCACACGATTAGTGCTGGCTTTAGTAAGAGCAGGGATGATTCATCCTAGTTAATAGGAGTGAAGAGTGCACAGGTCCAGATGCAGGGAGGTGAATAGATTTTGTAGCAGGAATCTGTGGAAGTTCTTTGATTGCCTCATCTCCATGAGGGAGGCAAGGCCATCAGCTGAGAGTGAGGAGGGGGTTGGTTTGAGGTTTGGTAGAGAAGAAGGGTGCAACAATTATCTATAAGAATGAGAGTAAATTGACTAAGGAGATTTAGTAGGATTCTAACATGGCATTTTCTACCTGACATTTGCAGTCATGAATTTTCAGTAAGACCAATCAGCAAGTTTGCATATTCTTCTCCAACCACATTCAGTCTCTCTTAGATTTAATAATCATGGTTAGGACTTGTCAGGTGAGGAGGCGAGGTACTGAAGGCATATGCAAAGCAGTGACTACTAGAATGGAACCATGAAGAGAAATGGGGAAATGAAGGGAGAAACAGCCAAGAGGTGGCAAAGTCAATGGATCAGAGGTCCTAGAAGGCAAAAAATGTTGCAGTGGAGTTATTTAGAAATATAGAAGGTAATAATCAGAAAGTAGAATGCTAGCAACAGATTATAGAAGGTATGTAGTTATTGGTAAGAGCAAAGTCAGGGTAGAGGTTCTTAACCCTATTAGATTTGCTAATATATTAGAATATTCAGATCCTTCCCAAAACAAACTGAGTCAAAATCTCTGATGGTGAGGTCTGGACATTAGTATGTTTTTATTTGCTTGTTTGTTTGTTTACCAGTGCTCTGGGAGATTCTAATATGCAGCCAAGGTTGAGAACCGCTGGTCTAGGGTAGGTTCATGTTTAAAAATCTACCACGATATAGTGTTTTAAGCTCAGAATATTGTGTGGCCAGTTAAAACCCAACTCTCTTCCACATGACCTCCTGCAGGACCTTGTCTCTTGTATCCTATCTGGGAAACTGAGTTTTAAAAATCTAATAAACATAGGCATTTAATTTTTTCCTCTTAATTCCTTCAATCTTACTGACTTAAAGTTTGGCTTATTGAGATAATTTTAAATTTTGTTTCATAATATTTGCTACATCTTCCAACTTCTGGCAATCACAGAGATGACTAGCAAGCTTTCTATGTTTTCTTGTGAATGAATAAACCATTAAATGATCCTAACCAAGAAGAACCTAACAAAGAAGTGATGCTTTAAAACAGACATCATTCTAGGGATCCAGTGCTCTTGGGGTCACATCTCTTTTTTAACTTTTATTTTAGGTTCGGGGGTAACATGTGAAGGTTTGTTATATAGGTAAACTCATGTCATGGGGGTTTGTTGTATAGATTATTTCATCACCCAGGTACTAAGCCCAGTAGCCAATAGTTATTTTTTCTGCTCCTCTCCCTCCTCCCACCCTCCACCCTCAAGTAGAACCCAGTGTCTGTTGTTCCTTTCCTTGTGTTCATGAGTTATCATAATTCAGCTCCACTTATAAGTAAAAATGTGGCATTTGTTTTTCTGTTACTGCATTAGTTTGCTAAGGATAATGGCCTCCAGGTCCATCCATGTTCCTGCAAAAAACATGACCTTGTTCTTTTTTGTGGCTGCATAGTATCCCATGGTGTATCACATTTTCTGTATCCAATCTGTCATTGATGGGCATATAGTTCATTTCCATTTCTTTGTTATTGTGAATGGTGCTGCAATGAAATTCACAGGGTCACACCTTTTGACCAGCCAAGAATTTTCTCATTTCTTATTCATTCCACAAATATTTGAGGATTGCTGGCGATGGGCTAGGTCCTGTATGAAGTCATGGGATGCAAATGTGATCAAGACAGGCATGGTTTCTGCCCTCATGGAGCTTACACTCTTGTAGGGAGACAGTCAATAAATAAACAAATGAATCAGCCAAATAATTAGATTAGTGGTATGTGATAAAGGAAAACAAACAGAATGTTGTCCTGGAGAATATTGAGAAAGATAACTGAAAGCTATGGTCTCCAAGTCACGTACTAGCCCCAAATTCTCAGTTGTCCATAGGTTACTATGAAAGACTTAGGAAAGATGTTTCTGAAATCCACAGACTCCAAGTCTAGTGCATGCTCCTGCTCTAACCATGATGCGCCATGACTTGTTCTTTATGAGCCCCTACTGCTTCTCTCTCTTTCCAAAAATTCCGATAAACCTTCTGCTTAATAATCCATCCTAAAATTTAATGAACTCAATAAGCAATTGTTTCAAGAATCCATTATTTTCTCATTTTGACATAATATTAGCCTCATTAGACTTCTGGTTGTAATGATAAATCACCACTGTTTATTTTATATGATACATATACATATTTAAAAACTCATTTTATGTGCTATATTGCATTTAACCTTTATAATACTCTTATGAATACACTCTTATGCCCACTTAAGAGATAGTGAAGCCATAGCTCAGAGGTTTGGAAGTCCTCCACGGTTACATAGTACTTCAGTGGAGCCATGGAGATGTGAATCCAGACAGTCTGACTCAGAGCCAGAGCTCTTAACAATTATGTTCTACAGAGTCTAGTAACAGTCTTGTTCTCCAAGATAAACAGCTACAGTTTTCAGATCACATATATCGGGATAATAATGCGAAGACAAGATCAAAATTGTAGCATCAGGATGGGTAGGATAATCTCAGTCTTATTATTTCTAATTATTTCTTAATAATGCAACAAACAAAGAAATAATGGTAAAAAAAAAAACTTGTAAGTGGCAATAGAAAGATGCAACAAATAATTTCATCCAAGAAAATGTTTTAATAATGATAATTACCTATGGTGTATCCTCAAGCCTGAAGCTGAGGTCAGACCCTCAACCTGTACTGAGCACAGGGACATGACCCCATGTATCCCTGATAATTGCAAAGTGATCACCAGCATCTGTCTGGTGTTGTCAAAGGGCTTGCCCTCCTTGTATTCACGTTTGGAAATCAAACAATTAACTTTTGCCTCATGTGTATTCATTCAAAGGATGGAATATAATGTGCAATAAATGTCATTATTAAATACCTTAAGTCTGAGATCTATCAGTGCTTGGATCTGATTGGAATTTCCATATAAAGGAAGAAAGCACATTTTCACTATTAGGAAAGGCAAGATTTATCGCTGTAGCCTGAGGCCAAAAGAAAAAGTCTTCTACTTTAGTCAATGAGTACCCACAGTCCTTGATGTCTTTCAATAAATGTCCAATAAATTAATGAAGGGATAGGAAATAGGAATTGCACTGATAGTATAAATTAGTACAAGTGAATGAAGATCTTTCCCACAGCTTTGGTGACCAATGGACAGCACTTTACCTCTATTCAATGCTCTATTTTTTCAATGCTAGAGAAATTCACAGATTCAGATTCATTGAATGAAAAGCATATCTTAATTGATAAGATGTCTGAAATATGGACTAGTTTTAATGAGGCACACCTTTGTAAATCACACAGAAGCCAATTGTACATGAACCCGTGGCAAGCATTACTAAGTAGGTTGTCTCCCCAATCCTTTCAATGACTTAGATAATGATTGTTTTTAATTAATTCTTTCTCTTTATCTGCAAATTGGAGTTTCTAAAAGCTTTAAGTAGCTTAACTTTTCTTCTTATCTCCATTCTGGTTGACAGAAAAATTTGCTTGGCTAATCCTTTCTTCTTAGTAAAAAAAATAAATAAATAAACTTCAGCTCAACCCTATCCAAATAGCTACAAATTCTGATGTAATTAATGAAACTTTATAATAATTGAATTCAGTGTACTGATCAACTTATTACATAACAGTCACATTGCATTGACAAACCTGGCTAAGAGAAATGAGCATTGCGGAATGCCTACCATTGGTGAGGTATTTCCCATCTGATAATGTCTTTTGATCCTCCCAACAATTCCATGAGGCCACTACTATTAAGAGATTCTGAGAAGTTAAATAATAGTCTTAAGATCAGACAGCTAGTAAGTGGCCATGTGATCATAGGTCAGTCTTCCTTTAAAGCCCATGGGTGCTTTTCTCATCATACTATAAAAGACCAAAATCTCTGAGAGCCAACTCAGCATATAAGAGCGGCTTTTAAGAGAGTGGCAATTAGCCTGCCTTTATTCCTATTTGTTTTTATCATGTATGTTCTTTTCAAGGTTAAAGTTGTACTTCTTTAAACATTTGTCCACATCTTGAGCATAGTGAATTTTGTTCCATTTGCAATCTTGAGAAGAGGAGTACCTAGAAGAATATTCTGCATGCAGCATGTAGAAATGAATCTCAAATACTTTTAGAAAGGTAATTATTAGAGCAAAAATTCAAGGAAAATTGATTCCCTTAGGTGGCAATAGGAAGAAACTGGGTTAGATATTGATAAGAACTTACTGACTAAGGGAGATAAACACTAAAGCAAACCAAGAAAATTTAGCGACACCCTTATGTGGACATATATAACAATCAGTAATTCATCATCCGTCAGAGGAAATGTGTATGGAAGCAAAAGAGGAGTCCATTTTAGATAGCCTCAACATGTCCCCATCAACTGATGACACCAACAGGTAAAGCAGAAATATACCAAACAGCACTAGATATTTGAATCTGGATAGAGCTCCCACATCTGTCTAATCTTCAGTGTGATGGCTTTTTTTCTCCCACTGAGCCTATACAAACAGCAGCTGGCACAGCAGGTTTTGGGAAACTCAGAGGGCAAACACAGTACAATGAACACAGCTGTTAAGCCAACAGACAACCTAAACCCAGAAGGAGACAAGCTCTAGGTTTGGACAAAAGACACTATAAAGCATCACAACATATTGGATAAACTGCACAGAGCCTAACTGGCCAGCCAATGAATGAAAAAAACAGAATAAAAATGAGTGGTTTCTAAGCTAAAGGTGCATCACACAGAACAGCTAAATCTGCCCTTGCTACAGCTAACACATTTAGATGGCTCCACAGGCTTCCAAACAGGACCTTGAGTTGATAGAACCCACCGTCAAAGCTATAAAATAATTTTAAGATAAAATTAAGAATGCTTATTAAAAGGATTTTTTAAAGAGGGTAAATACCAACTTTTCACCAAGGAACAAACCCAACACAGCTAAGATTTTAATCTAACCTGAAATAATAACAAATGTAATGGAGACATTTCATCAGATAAATTTCCCTCTGCAGTCTAGGCTATAAGACATTTTAAACAACAAAAGTAGTCTATGTTTCTCTATCATAGACCAGTGGTCCCCAACCTTTATGACACCAGGCACTTGTTTCCTGGAAGACAATTTTTCCATGGACCAGGGTGGGAGGACATGGTTTCGGGATGAAACTGTTCCACCTCAGATAATCAGATCATCAAGCATTAGATTCTCATAAGGAGCATTCAACCTAGATCCCTCGCATGCAAGTTCACAATAGAGCTCACGCTCCTATGAGAATCCAAGGCCACTGCGGATCTGACAGGAGGCAGAGCTCAGGTGGTAATGCTGGTTCACCTGCTGCTCACCTCTTCCTGGGCAACCTGGTTCCTAACAGGCCATGAACCAGTACCAGTACCAGCCCGGGACCCCTGACACAGACTACTTTGAATCAGAAATCTAATATAACATTCATTCATTCACTATATGTATATAAACTAGTGTTTATGATTCTTCTCATGCATAACAAACTTATGAACAAGATTCCAAAAATAACTTCTGTGCATCTTTCCAACTAATATGACAAACAAGGACTCATATTGGGTATTTTGTGGTACATTTGTCATATGTAGGCACCTGCAAAAATGTTTATGGGGGAGTAGGGATGACAGGCTGACATGGGGTATTAACTAAAAGCACCATCAGTCTTAACTACAGCAATTTCGAAAATAAGATTGTTTGATATCAGCTATTTTACAGTCATTAATATCTCACAAGCACAAGCCAAATGGCTTCAAATTAGAAAAAGGTATATGTCTGATTGCATAAGGAAAACCAAAACCAGTAAGTGGTAAATTATGATTTCTTTTCTTTTTCTTTTTTCCCCAGGATTTTGGTTAGCCATCACCTGAATGACTCATCTTTTTCTCAGAGGAAACAGTTCTTCATGGTGGTAGAATTCCATTTGGAGTCAAGGGTATGAAACCTACTTTGAAACCAAGCAAACACTTTATTTAAAGTGAAGTGAAAAGGAGAGAATCCAAGTCTCACTTAACATCATTCATTTCCAACACTGTATATAGCTTGTCTAGAGAATAGGTGACACCCATTCTCGGAACTAGAACTCATGTTCTGACTGCACTTGGTAACCCATATGAGACAATGAGGAGAGGCAGATGCACTGGAAGAGTCTTAACCCGTCTGCTGCTGGCCTCTCGCTGCACCAAGAACTTCACAGACAAGTTATTCAACACCAATCTTGAGGCCAAAAACCTTTCTGTGCTATGGCAACTTTTCATTTTAATGAATATCAAATATTTACTAATGATCTATTCTTGCCTGTGAAGAGATCACAGTCCAATAGAGAAAACAGAATCCAAACAATGATAATTCAGTATGAAAAATACTATTAGAGGTATAATCAATATACTAGGAGAACACAGAGGAGGCACAACCCCTCTCTGGCATGTTGGGCAATAACAAATAAAATGCAACAGAACATAAGAACTACCCCAATTACATAGGAAGAGCTGAGTTTGGGGCAAGCATAATCCCAGATGATTACGTGTTCTACCTAACTAATTCTTACAACTCAGTGAGATAGAGAATAATAAAGTATAACATTCATTAACTTATTTAATTCTCACAACAAATTTGTATACATCTTACTACCCCCATTTTATAAATGGAGAAACTGAGGCATTGAGAGGTTCATTAGCTTTCCCAAGGTCACATAGCAAGTAGGTGGTTGAGCCAGCATTTGAAACTTAACAATCTGGCTCTAACATTCACATGCTTACCCACTGTGACATACAGCTTCATCCAATTACCATCTCATATTTAAAGATGAAGAAGTTAAGAGCCAGCTGATGAGTGGTGGACTAGATATGACATGCAAGTGGCTGACTGCAGAGCCTCCTTCCCTAAGCACCACCTCATGAGAAGGGGCATTTGAGCTGGGACTGGAAAGATGAGAATTTTGCAAGATGAAGGCAAAGGGGAAGTGTGTTCTGGAGCGGGAAGCAAAGAGTGTGTACAGAGAACCAAACATTGTTGGGGGGTTCTGGCATTGAGAAATGGTTTGCAATGGCACAGTAAGTACTCTGGGGTTGCCGCACTCACTGCTCTTGAAGCAGGTGGCAAAAAAGAGACTCCCCATCCAGGGAGAACAGGCACTCGAAGAGAAAAGCATCCCTGCCACCCACCAAGGCTGCCATCCTAGAACTTTACCAACAACCAGTTGCTATCATTTTTTAAAACTCAACTTTTAGCATAATCTAAAATGCCAGAAAACAATCCTTTCCTATTTGCAGGAGGTTTTACAGGGCTGATTAGGACTAAAAAGGCATTATTCCCCGTTCCTCTTATCAGGAACCTCATTGACAGAGGCATTTACTTTCTATGAATACAAATGACTATGGCTATTGTGATTAGAAGCAGAAGAAAACCAGCTCATGAACCAGACCCTGAACACAATATCTGGGGGCATGACAGATATCCCAGTCACTCCTGGAGCAGGGGAGAGAGCTGAAGAGGCATCACGTTAAGAAGACGCACCAGTGCTGGGCACATTTGGTGAATCTAATTAACAGGGGCAACTTGTCGGCTGGGCGCCGTAGCTCACGCCTGTAATCCCAGCACTTTGGGAGGCCGAGGCGGGCGGATCGCAAGGTCAGGAGATCGAGACCATCCTGGCTAACATGATGAAACCCCGTCTCTACTAAAAATACAAAAAAATTAGCCAGGCATGGTGGCGGGCTCCTGTAGTCTCAGTTACTCGGGAGGCTGAGGCAGGAGAATCACTTGAACTAGGGAGGCGGAGGTTGCAGTGAGCCGAGATCACACCGCTGCACTCCAGCCTGGGCAACAGAGGGAGTCTGTGTCTCAAAAAAACAAAACAAAAAACAAAAAACAAACAAACAAACAAAAAAAAACAGAAAAAAACAGGGGCAACTTGTCCTGCTTACTCTAATAGTAAGCATTAGCTAGTCCCTTCCAGCAGCCTAGTATTGATATTATTATCCTTCATATGGGAGGATGGTCACCACTGGAGTGGAAGTGAGGATGACCATGTACCAGACAAGCCATGCAAGGTGGCTTCCAATCAGACTGTTTCCTCTGAGGAGTTCGTCTCCTATCACCCTTTTTGAGAGAGTCTTTGTCACGGGCAAGTCCAGCCTGCTTTGTAGCTAACTGGACCAAAGACAGGTGCCCCACCTAAAGGTAGTTTTCACAGGCTGCTTATGTGTACCCTGTCCAATATCAGAGGGTGACACCATCAGATTTTCTCTGGAAGAGTTTGAATGCAAGACCTATAAAGAACAGTAGAAAGGAGAGTGGCAGAGAAGCAAGAAAACAGAGAGATGCTGTAAACTGAAGTCAAGGAACAGCAGGTGCCTGCTCGACTGGAGTATGTGTGAGCAGCATGAACTTGATCACAAGTGCCTCTCTCTGCAAAGAGAAAATCACTAATAGTAATGGCACATGCTGGCTTTTCTCCTGCCTTCCAGTGCCCCAGAAGGCTGACCTCTATGCCCTATACCTGTATCACCTGAGATCCCTTTTCCCATTGGGCAGTGCCAATTGGAGACCATGCAGGAGATGAAAGAGCAGGAGGAGAGTTTACAGTATTTCTTCCTATTCCCTCTTTGCCTGACAATGCGCTTCCAATGGTGATGGCAGCCCTCTTTAACTATGGCTCCCATCCATGGCCCTGTCCACACCTCCATTCTCCCAGGCTCCAGCATTTCCTGTCAGGCCCAAGAGTAACAACAGCTTCTCACTATTGCTAGTCCCCGCGTGCTTCAGCAACCCATCTGGTTCTTCTGCTCTTGCCCACACCTCTATAAATAATCCCTTCATTAAATTATCTTTCAAATCCCAGCCTGTAGCCTTTCCTTTTAGTTGGGGCTGATGTGTGACACAACACAAAAGAGAGAGCAACTGACATAAAATCAGTGGAATGACAGCTGGCCTATCAGAGCAATGTTCGTGTCCTACGTGACATCTGTTAAGAGGCCTTCTTATTCTTCTTGTTCCTCTGTTACAATAAATCAGTAACCCCAGCAAGACTCTCTGGAGAGCCTCAGTAATGTATGCAAAAAGCCAGGGAGCCACTGCATGACTTTCCTCATTATGGTGTTCATTCAACCAGCCACTTTTCCAACAAGCATTTATTGAGCCTCTACTATGTGCCAGGCATCATGCTAGGCTCTGGGGATAGAAGATCAAAATAGACACAGTCCCTGCCCTCATGGACCTTACAATGGTGGGTGGAGATGAAGGTGGGGGACGAGGAGAGGAAGGGGCTAAAATGCGGAATGGAGCAGAGAGTAAACAAGTAAAGCAAACAAGCTTATAAACACAAACCGTGACAAGTTATTCAAAGGAAAATGGAAAAGAGGTAAGAGAATAATAGAAGGTCTCATGTAGAACTTCATCTCTATTTAATGACTGGAGTTGCTATCAGCCAAACTCTCCATCTTATGGATGAAGAGATTGATACAGAGGAAATTAAACCACAGTGAGTACGGAAAAGAGCATGAGATAAGCTGTTTAGGTAAAAATGCTTATGCTGGCACTGCGAACCCATGTCACCTCCAACAATGCATCTTCTACTGAAGACAGACAATGCTTGGTTTTGATAGATGTGTCACGTGGAAGACAAGTTTTATAATGGCCAACGTTAGTCCAGACATTGTCCTCAATCCCTGCTTTCAAAGGTTCCTAAGCTTCTAGAGAACCTATCTCCTGCCAGGCAAGAATTTTAGTGTTTGAAGAGTTGGTAAACGAGGCTAAATGGTGTGCCAGTCACACCCTTTGTTCCATTTAGAAAAAAGTTCTCAATGCTCTCCTTTTTCTGCAGGCACAAAGCATTTAGAAACGGGCTCCAGAAGCCCTCCCACCTCATCTATGATTGTCTCCTCACCATATTATCGCTTCCCTAGGAGTACAAGCATCCCAGTTAATAAATAGGGCATCAGAATTTCTGAAAAAGAGATGGAGGAAAATCTGCCTTTTACTTTCTTTTGGTTCCCAATGTCTTGAATAAAGCAAAGCTCCGTCTTCAGTTTGCCTTCTCACTTAGTGATCTATGAAAAAAAAGAGCATGAATTTTTGGGGGTCTTACTTTGAGAATGGGGTAATTTACAATCTTTGATGTTTTTATATAACATTATTTAAATATTCAAGAAATGATTATTGAACTCCTGTTATGTGCCAGGCATTGTGCTAATCTCAGGGGATACAGTGATGAGCTAGACCTACATGGAGCATGCCTTTAAGGAATTTACAATGTAGCCAGAGAGACAGGCAAGTAAGAAACCAATTGCAACAAATTATAGCCAGTGTCACATAAAGGTAAAACTGAGTCTTCAAAAAGTTTATGGAAAATGCATATTATTTTAAAAACTATAAATGGAGCTCAATTTTTTTGCACCAAAATAAACTCATACTAACTTTTTATAACATGTCAGAACGGTATCTAGTTTGAGTCACTAAAAAGGATAAGACATCATTTTCAATTGAGCCCTATCAGAGCAACAGGAATTCTACTAATATTGCAGCAAGAACAAACATCAAATTTATGATGAATCTTGGGTGGAGGAATGATGAAATCGTTCACACTTTATGAAAAGTTTATGGGGACAATGTCCCAAAGAAACCAGCAGTTTACAAATGAATAATACATTTTAAGAAGGAATGAAATAGCATTGAAAACAAAGCCCTCAGTGGAGACTATCCACATCAATTAGCAAAAAAAAAAAAAAAAAAAAAAAAAATCTTGTTTGTGCCCTAATTGAAGAGGACTGATAATTAATGACCCAAATAATAGCCAACACCATAGACATCTCAACTGGTTCAGCTTGCACAATTCTGATTAAAAAATTAAAGTTGAGCAAATTTTCCACTTAGTGGGTGCCAAAACTATTGCACCCAGGTCAGCTGCTGCAGAGAAGAGCAGAGCTTTCAATGGAAATTTTAAACAAGTGGGATCAAGATCTTGAAGCATTTCCTCAAAGAATTGTAACAGGAGATGGAACATGGCTTTATCAGCACAATCCTGAAGACAAAGCACAATCAAAGCAATGGCTACTGAGATGTGGAAGTGGTCCAGTCAAAACAAAAGTAGACCAGTCAAGAGCAAAAGTCATGGCAACAGTTTTTTGGGGATGCTTGAGGAATTTTGCTTGTTGACTTTCTGAAGGGCCAAAGAATGATAACATCTGCTTATTATGCGAGTGTTTTGAGAAAGTTAGCCAAAGCTTTGGCAGAAAAATGCCTGGGAAAACTTCACCAGAGAGTCCTCCATCATGACAATGTTCCCACCCATTTCTCTCATCAAATAAGGGCAATTTTGTGAGAGTTTTCATGTGAAATCATTAGGCATTCACCTTACAGTCATGATCTGGCTCCTTCTGACTTCTTTCTGTTCCCTAATTTAAAAAAATTATTAAAGAGAACCCATTTTCAGTTAATAATGTAAAAAAGACTGCATTGACATGGATAAATTCCCAGGATCCTCAGTTATTTGGGGATGGACTAAACAGCTGATATCATCACTTACAAAGTTGTATTGACCTTGATGAAGTTTATGCTGAGAAATCAAGTTTATATTTTTTATTTTTCTCTTTTAATTCCATTTTTCCATGAACTTTCTGAAGCCCTCTTGTATAAGGCACTTAACAAAGGCTAGAAAAATCAAGGAAGACTTCTCAGAAAAGGTTTCCACTTTCAGTTAATGCCTGAAGGATGACAAGGAGCTAGACATAAAAGTGTAGTGGGTGAGGGATTAAGACTGTTCTAGGCAAAAGCAACAGCTTCACGTGCAAAGGTCCTGAGGCAAGAGAGAGGTGCATAGAGATTCTGAAAGAAGTTTACAATGGCTGTAGAAAAAAGATGTAAGAAAAACTGTGTTGAAATCTGAGGGTAAGCAGTAGGATGTGGCCAGGTTATGGCCAGTCTTGGAAGCCAAGTTAAGGAAGCTGGCCATTATCTAAGGTCATTAGGAGTCCTTGAAGAGTTCTAAGCAGGAAAATATGTGATGGGTTTTATATCTTGAAAAAGTCCTGTTGACTGCAATGTGAGATAACTACTGAGGGAGGGAAACTGTTTGGGGAAGACGTTGCAATAATTTAGATAAGAGATGGCCCTGGCCTGGACTAAGGTATTGGCCCAAGATATAAAGAAACAGACAATGTTGAGCTATTTAGGTGACCAAGTTGACAGGACTTAGATATGAGCTGGATGGATATAGGAGGTGAAGAAGAAGGAGACCCAAGGATGATCTCAGGACTCTTCCTACCTACCTCGGTGAAGGGTGCTCAGAGACTGAGGAGAAGGCTTAGTGGATCGGAAGAAAAATCAGGAGTAAAACTTTAGATATGAGGAGTTGGAGGTGATTTTAATGTATCCAAGGCAAGACACTTAGTAAGCAGTTGAATAATCCCTCTGGGAACCAGGAGGGAGACCAGGGTTGGACACAGATGTGGAAGTCATTAGCATATAGATGGTGATTAAAACCATGGATAAGTAGCAACTGCTCAGGGAGAGGGTACTGAGATGAGAATAAAGCCTGAGTGAGAACCCAGAAGACATTAACATTTTGTGTCCCACCAAAGGAAGAAGAGCCTAGAAAGGAACAGTTGAAAAGAATAGGAAATGTGCATGGCGGCCATTTCACAACCCCAGAGTGCAGGGCGGAGGTTACCCTGAAGACCCGGAGCCAGGCTGCCTATGGGGAAGTCCTGGCTCCATTAGTAAGCAAGATGAGCTTCAGCAACTTACTTAGCTTCCTGGGCCTCAGTTTCCCTCATTTTAAAATGGTGATAACAACATCTGTAGAATCTGCCTTATAGAGTGGTTCTGAGGTTCAGATGACTTACTTTGTATACAGTGCTCAGAACAGGACCTGGCATGTACCAAGAGCCCATCAGGTGCTTCTTGTTAAGTGTACCTTACAGAAAACATCTTATAGAGTTCATTTAGTCTGCCAGGTGCCACGTGTTCCAAGTAATAAAAAGTGCATAAAAATGAACTGCTTACTACCTACCCACCTTGTATAAGCTACTTATATTCATAACTATCCCCAAATAAGACTTGTATTTGCATAGAACTTTCATTTAGCAAAAAGCTTTCATTGATCCTTTAATTTACCCCACAATCCTGTGAGGAAAGAGAGCTGTTTTCTTATCCAAGAGATCAAGAAAACTACCCAAGGTCATGCAGAATGTAAGACGCACACTCAGGATTTGAACCCTAGTTATCTGGTTGAAGGTTCACTAGTCGTCACAGGTCAGTCTCTCTTCTTTCTCTGCTTGGAAATACATTTGTAGGTCCTTGTCTCCATAGCACTCCAAAAATGTTTCCATTCATTTTCAAGATGGCTTTCACCTGCAGAACTCCTGCTATGCTAGCAGTACATATCTGGTACTGTTAGAGAGGCTGTGGGTCAAACGACATCAGGAAATAAATGTTAATAACTCGGCCTCCCCGTCTGTCATATGGTAAGCTCCAATGGTCAATCCACATTTGAAAGACACTAAACAGCTGATCAAACTCTCAGTTACAGAGTATCCTTCCCAGCCCCATCATTTCCAATGGGCTGATAGAAAATAACTGAAGGCCATCCAAATAGACCAAGTGGTTATGTTTTGTATTCTTTAGCAATTTAACTTAAGAAAATCCAGCAACTGAATGATCCTTATGCCCCAGGTTGAGACAAAAAAAAAAATCAGGTGATATTATGTATTCAAAACTCTGAAGAGGTGGTTGGTTTCTTAAAATCTGTGTTTGTGGACACAACATTGAGTCAGAAAGGGTTATTCTGCAGCTGACATTGTGTTCCAACAATCATCCAGACTGAGAGGTGAGTCACCATCCATCAGGCACTTCATCAAAGTTCTTCCACTTGGTTGTCACCAGGCAACAAGGGGCTCTGAGCAGCACGTAATTAAAGCCGGAGCAGCTGAGAGGGAAAGGCGGCTGATCATTTAGACGTCAAGAAAGAGCCAGGTTGACAGGATGATGGATTGAAAACATGCATTTAGCCTTGCTCTCTCCCCAAACCCCACAAAAATGACAGTAAAAGGATTTTATTACAGGCATAAACCCACAAGGACAAAGAAAATGTGAAAAGAGACAACAGTAATGAAATTTTGGAAGCTGGAAAGCAGATGGGCAAGTGGTGACTGACTCAACAAACCTGAAAATATGAATCCTAAGGCGGTAGCCGGAAAGCCAAGAAGCAACCAGATTTACGTTGCATAATCCCCAAATGGCTCAGGAATTAGCAGGACCAGGCATTTCTAAAAGTAGGAAATGTGAAAAGAGACAACAGTAATGAAATTTTGTTGGGACCAAAAGCAAGAAGATTCATTGGATGTCTTCTTAAGAGACCATCAGACCCTCAGAGAGCCTTCCTATGCAGCAGTATAATAGATTGCATTATCTTTCCATTTCGTCAGCCCTCCCTCTGCTGTGTGATTTGTAGTCACTCCCACTAAAAGCAGAATGTATATCTGTGCCTCAGTGAGGTTATGCTTGGCTAAGAGACTTCCTTGGCCCGTGGAATGTGGGCAGAGTACAGTGAACAAAGCCTGAGCTTGGGCTATAAAAGACATTGTGTCCCCCCACTTGTTCCTATTGAAGGTCTGACACTGCACTAGAAGAGAATTCCTGTGTAGCCTGTTGGTCCAAGAAGAATAAGCCACATGGAACAGACCTGATCTAAGCCCACAGCTTGAATCCAAGCCCAACCAAGCTCAGACGACCTGCAGTCCCATAAGCTAGAAACCAGCTCTTGTAGCTGTAACAGGCCACTGATATTTTGAGGTTATTTGTTCCACAGCAGAGTTGACTCAGATGGCAATAGGTACCTACAAGTACTAAACACTACAGTGTGTAGTTTTTATTATAGCAGCATTCCACTTCTAGGTACCCAACTTCCTCTTACCCTTTGGTTTTGGAGGCCGCAGGTGCTAGACCAAGCCATGCAGGCAATGCCAACCAGACACGTCTCAGCCAGCCCTCCTTCTGGGAGAATCATTTCCAATGTTGGTCTTGGTTTTGGGAATAGGTCACAGGTAGCAATATATTATAACTACAACCTGTTGCAATATATATGTTTTCAGAGGCTAGAAAAAACGATGAGGACAGTATTATAGGAGGCTAGAAAAATGGTACCCCATGTTTTTTAATGGCAAAACGTTTGGTATAATTGTTACCTACAGTAACTTGGAAGATTGAAAATATACCTAATGAACTCAAAGACTTGAGCAGGGAGGTGTACAGGCAGCATGCTGATGGAGGCAACTGGAGCACCTTCAGCAATCTTAGAGTGAAGACAGTGAGGAGCTGGCGAAGACGGAAGAATTTAGAGAAGAGGCCATGCTCCACAAATGTCAGGGAGGGAGCGTACCAGAGGCTGGACTAAAGCTGAGCACAGACTTCCTGCTCAACTCTGCCTCAGATGGGGCTTGATTTGGAGGCACCTGGGTTTGACGAGGCCCCGTGCCTGCCATCAGTCATGACTGGAGCCTTCTGGAGCAGGTGATTCCTAAAACACTTCATGTGTGTATCATATTTTAACATTCCTCCCAGTGCCTGGTACTCAGCAAATGTTTCTTGAACAAATAAATAAATGGTCTTAAGTCATTCAACCCCCTTACTTCAGTTTCCTGGGTCTCGTTCAGCAATAAGTTTCCACGATGGATATCCATCCTGATCCTCAAGCTACAGAGATGCCTGAGAACTTCTGTGGTCTGTTTGTCCTGCTTCAGACTGTCCCTCAGGCATCCACAGGTAGGACCAAGTGGCCAGCACCCTCCATGCTGAGCCCCTGGTCCTCTCCAGAGCATGGAGTCCAATGTCAGTCAAGGCACAGCCATGCCTGGACTAAGCGAGAGAGAGGAAGGGGTCATCTGGCTAAAGTATTGTTTAAACACCTTATTTCTCTGATTACTTTTTTATCATGTCAACAAAAAAAGGAGCAAGTTCTTCCTAGGGCAGTGTTAGACCCAAGCTCCTCTTGGAATCCCTGGAAGATGCCGGGCAGGAGGGCAAGTGGGAACCGACTGCTGAGTGTATCTGGGAGGAAGCCCCAGAGAGCTGCCCTCCTTGTCCTCTGTTCCTAAGGGAACTGAGAGTGCTGGGTCTTGTCCACGCAAAGAATGCAAGTACAGGACTCCAAGTCTGTCCCATGAAACAACTGACCACTCACATCTTCTTCCTCGGCTCCCTCTCACACCAGACCCCGCTGAAATCTACCAGCCTTACAAACTGCCTCTTCTCCGCCAAGCTCTGACATCTCTTCCTGATTCCAGCACCTCCTCTTCCTGTGGCCTCATCTGCCATCCATCCTTGGCTGGCAGAACCCCACTTCCTCTTACCCCTGGTTTTGGGGGCTGCAGGCACTAGGCAAAGCCATGTAGGCAATACCCACCAGACACATCTCAGCCCTCCTGGGAGAATCATTTCCAGTGTTGACACCCCCAGGCCTGTTGTCCCCTGCTCATCTCTGGTCACAGCTGAGAGCACCCGTGTTGTCAGCAGGCTCTTAATGGGGCTTTCCATCAGCTCCCAAAGCCCACAGGGCCTGAAGGCAAATTTCACACCTAACACACCCCAGCTAAGGAGAAAGATAGAAACACAGTGGGAAAGATTTGAATGTTGTGATGATCAGAGGCCCTTAAGTGTGGATGGCACTGCATAGTTCCCTGGGACTAATTTTTTCCAGGGTGCTAAGGGAGCACAGGAGATCTGCAGCTTGTGAAGATGAGAGCAGAGTTCTCTGCCCGGCTTGCCAACTGCCTGTGTGGCCACAAATGCAACTGACAGAGCTGGCTGTCAGAGGCAATAGCAAGACTTCTTTTTTTTTTTTAAGAAGTAACACTTTCTGTTTCCCAGTGTTTCCTTCTATCTCCCTCCTTTCCTTCATCCCCACGGGTTTTGAGGAGTTTGGGTGGCTGCACATCCTAGATCTCTGCTAACAAGCCCAGATTTCTCACAGGAATGCTTCTGGCGCTGGCCCAAGACTCCAGTCTCTCACAGAGTGGAGTAGCTGTCAGGACAATCACATTCACATTTGGGAGAATGACAGCAGCCCTTCCAACCTGGGGCAGATGGGGCAGTGGCTCACCCCCGTCACCCATTTCATCTGTCACCAGATGAAGACTAGCCGCTGCTGACGGTGGCTCCTCAACCTAAGAGTCTCTCATTGCTGGTGCTTCCCAACTTAAAGAATATTGTAGGAGGCACAAAGTTGCCACAGTCCCTCAGAGGTCTTCATGATGTGAACCGAGGGTCAGCTGATGGCTGTTAGGACCTGACCTTATGCCAATCATCTTTGTAATAGCTCTCTTGCCTCCAATCTGGAGAGACATTAAGAGTTGAGCAAAAATCTACCTTGCACTAAATGGTGTGTAAAACAAAGATGACAAGCAATTATCAAACTGCCCTTTCCAAGATCCAAGAAAATCTCCCTGCAAGGGCCAGGGTTTAAAATGAAGGATCAGAGATCTCAAGGGGGTCCTGCAATAAAACAGTTTAAAGAGAACCAGGGCTCAGCCAGAGCCTTGCTCATGACAGGCACTTGATAAACGCACACTGCATTCAGTGAGATGGAAGGAGAGTAACTTAGGCCAAGGTGCTATTATAAGATGATCATGTGGATTTTAGAGGGCACAGCCATCTCTGTCATACAGAATTGTGACTGCGTCACCTTTTGTTGAATGAAGTAAATTATCAAAACTGAGGGGGTAATGGGAATTCCCAAATTTGTAGCCAGTTGGTCAAAAGTGCAGGTGGCCTGTGGGCTTTGGGAGCTGATGGAAAACCGCCATCAATCCCAGAGCTTGTGGCTAGTGTCTGAAATAAGAGAAGTCTTGTAGAGGGCAGAGCCCTTGACCTAACTCCAGGTAGTCAGCAACAGAATTGCACTGCAACTCTCACAGACTCTGTAGACACCATGGTGAGAAAGAGAGACACAGTCCTGGCCTTCTAAGGGCTTAGCATCCAGCCGACATGGCAGACACTCATAGCAAGTACTGTGGGAGCTGCATTTGAAGTGCACTCCAGGGTATGGGCCGTCCTATGGCAGAAGGAGCCTCAGCACCTAGGGACCTCAGGAGCAAGCCTGTCTCTTACTCATCCATATTTTGGATGGCAACTCATGATGGTGACTTGGACATCAGTAGAATATGACAGGACTTTGTTCAGGCCAGAACGTTTTCTCCTTTGAAAGTTCCTCGGTGAGTGACCCCTTCTCCCTTGCCCAGATGGGTCATGCCACATGGAAAGCAGAAATATTCCCAGCCCTGAGCCCGAGGCCCTCCTCATTTCCCCTGACCTCTCCTGGCTTCCTGCTTTCTGCTTTTCTTTCCCTTCTGAACCCACCTCTCATACTTCTCCCCTCTCCCTGATTCATTCTCTCTACCTCTAATCAGAGAAAAATACTCTTACCATGAGGGAAACAATCGTCATCCTCTTTCAATCGAAAGGATGACTGCATTGTTCTGCAATAACAAACAAGAGCAATTTGGACATGAGGGCAAAAGAGGAGAGAGAGGAGAGGACAAAGGGAGGAGAAGAGAGGATTGAGGCCAGAGTTCTCTTTCCACAGCACTCCAGGCAGACCCTACAAAGTGATCCAGTTAGCACTCGAGACAAAACTGACTCGCCATTCCTGGCAGTGTAAATAGACTAGTAGACTATAACTTATGCTAAAGATAATATAGAAATAAGAATCATCATTATCATCATCATAAATGCCATGCATGATTCTAGAATCATAATATTTTCATGAACAAGTATTGCAGAGCTGGGACGAGGAGTCTTGCCTCTGATAGATGATCTATGGCTTCCCCCAAGTCCTTGATCCTCTCTGAGCCTCAGTTATTTATCTGCAAAATGGAGCTCTGACCCATTTTGGCACACAAACAGCCTATAAGAGAGCCAGGATTTGGCTTAGTTCATGTCACTCAGAACCCAGAGATCTTTCCTCCATCCCATAGCCGCCACTCTCCCCTTCAGATCACTGCTGTCTTGCCAAGTGAATAAATGGCAGAAGCAATGAATAAGGCGAGAGTGAAGAAGAAGCTTAAAGAGAAAGTATCGCCAAATGCCTCACAGTCTTAATTAAATGAGAATATAGGGATAGAACAATAAGTCCCTAGACCTAGTTTTATATTTTAGAAGGGGGGAGGACGTTGGCCCTAGGGAAACAAAAGGGAAGTGCCTTCCAGAGAGTCCACTAACTATTCTCTTTCGTAGAGAGGGCAAATGTGAATATATAAAATCTCACTAAAAAGTAGACTTACTGGGCCTATCTTGGAGCCTAGAACAAGGCAAAAGCTGAAGCCCAAGGACATGACTCTTCTGAAAAAATAAAAGTCACAGATCATTAATAATTAGGAAGCTGAGACATCTGGGGTCTAAAATGTGACTCTTACCCATTTGCTCATTTTGCAAAAACAGGCAGTAAGTTAAGGACTCTAGGAAATACAGTGTTTAACAACATAACAGACTCTGCCCTTAAGTGACTTGGGCTCACATATTTATAAAAGTTTCCAGTAAAACATAAATTAGTACTTTAGAAACAAGATAATTCTTAATCTATTTTCGGTTTAATTAAATACAATAAGGAGGGGAGAAATGGCTAAACACAGAGGTAGCAAAATCAAAACTCAGTGTTTTCAAACATAACTGATCTTAAAAATAGTTATAGAAGATATTGAGACAATTGACAAAATTTATATATAGACTGTAGCTTAGATACTAGTATTGTAGTATCTAATTTCCTAATATTGATCATGGTAATGTGGTTATGAAAGGAATATGCTCAATCTTAGGAATACACACTCAGGTATTTAAGGGTAATGGGATGTGGTATCTTCAAGTTACTTCCCAGTAGTTTAGAAAAAAACGTACAGAGAAAGAAAGCAACAGAAAATGATGGAAAGTAAACAAGCAAAAATGTGAACCCATAGGAGAATCTAGGTAAGGGAATTAGAATAAATATTTGTACTATTCTTGACATTTTTCTATAAGTTTGAAATTATAATTTAAAGTAACCCCATACTCTCATGATTGATATAATGAATAAATCATGGATGTAAAAGGAACATTGCTTATCCACCCCCAAAGAGACTTCATTTGGCCAGCACTGAATCTGAATCATGGTTTTCCTATCTTCTGCAGCCAAAACACAAGAAAATCTCAGGCTGGTTACATGCCAAGCATGGAAAGGTAACATGTTTTAGAATGTGAGGCCAATGACTATGTTTAAATGAATCAACTCAAACCAGTTTCTCCAAGTTTACCCAAACATAGCCGGCAGAAAGAGACACCTAATCAGAGTGAGACTATCCAAGTCACAGTAATCACTAATCCCCAACTGTCTCTAAGCCACAAATGCTACTGCAAACACACACCGAAGGCAAGTGCTTTGAAATTTTATAGCAATATAGGTACACGTAAGTATCTACATATATTCTGAGGAAGGAAGCGGTTAGGGGAGAGAGAAAGAGGGATAGGGAGAGGGAGGTGGAGAGAGAGAGAGACAGACACAGAGAGAGAGAGAGACAGACACACAGAGAGAGAGACTATCTACTCTGGACCATTAAATAATGCCTACTTGGATGACAGTCAAGAAATTATATGTACAACAAGGTAAAAGTCCCCTACATAACCTCACAAAACTGAGTAAGAAAAATGATTGAAAAAAGAACACCCTTCATAAGGCTGAAATCCCTTTTACCTAGCCCACACCATTGTGCCCAGCTGGAAGTATACAATCATGTAATGGTTGCACTTCACTTTCATTCTCAAAATGCATTCTACCTGAAGTTTACAATTTAATAAAATATAGAGATACCAATTAGGGAAAAGTTAAATTCTGAAAATGCCATATTTAAATGAAATGTTAATCCCCCCTCCCAAAGAAATAAATGAAAACAGGAAAGGTTTCTTCCTTAATGGAGCTCAGAGATAAATTCAGACCCTGTCATTAACCCACTGGGATGCTTGAAAGTAATTTTGATTCTTGCTTTGTTGAGAGGGATCTAGTTCTGGCATACCATAAATTCTAATTAAACAAAAAGGGAAAAACTTTAAAAATGAGCAATGCAATCAATTATAAACATTCTATTTAGAGTAATGTTAGCATAACAAGTAAGCTTAAAAAAGGAAAAAAGAAAATAATTATTAAACAGATGGGTAGTAAAAAGAAAAGTTGGGGTTTTTTTTTTTTTTTTTTTTTTTTTAGCACAAAGCCTTAATCTGAAGCCAAGCAGAGATGAAGATAAACAAGAAGTTGCCCTCCGCAGCCAAAGAGCATAATACCCAGGAAATCAAATGAAATCAGTCTAAAATACTGACTGCAGTTAACATGAACTTAGCATCCTGATGCCAAATGAAAGATTTAAGCAAGTTCCCTATTTTTAGGGCTTTGTATCTTGGTAGCTGTATAATGAATCAGGATGTGTCTTGGAAAACTCGCTGGCAGCCTGGAGGATATTTGTTTTCCTACCAAAAATAGTTGGAGTCTCCTAAAATGTGAAAGGGACACAAAGTGAACAGAGCACTTGAGGAATCTGGCTCAACCGTTGAATCAGAAGAGATCAGTCAGGAGTCCAATGCTAAGGCCTGACACCTTGTCTGGTTAAACAAGAGCCTGAAGGAACACAAGGATGGCAAGTAAAAGATGAGACAGTGCTTTGTCTATGGTGTGAGACATGTAATGCAGATCTCCTAAGAAAAACTGGGAGATTTCAGAGCTGAGACCCTACCAGGCTGTTGGAATGGAGCCCCCAGGCTGGGGTGTCATAGATCGAGGTACCCCACAGCAGAGGTCCCTTACTTGGAAACTAGTAAATTCCTACCACCACCATAAAAAGATGTGCACTTCTCCTCCAGAAACACTTTTTCTATTGGACCTCAGCATCGCCCATACTATTTTACTTCTGTGTCAGCGTAGCTCAGGGTTCAAACTCTGATGGTATGATCCCACCTGGGGCATCCTTCACCATGCAGGGTCTCAGTCCTCTCACCTATAAAATGAGAGGGTAGAACAAGTAATCACTGAGGTCCTTTCCAGTTCTAGAAATGGAATTATAATGAGCAATTCTAAATTCAGAGAAATTAACTTTTGGATCTCCATAGTCTTGGCTGTGGGCACTTGTAATCGACATGTTTTTGTCTGGTCAAATCACACAATTACATCTAGTTGGCCAAGGATGGACCAACAGGCTTCCTAAGAGCTTTTAGGAAAATCTTTAACCCTGTTACCTTAATCTCATAATGCTTGTAGGAATTTACTCGTACAGCATAATTGGTCACATAAACTGAAGCTTCGTTATTACATCACTGATGTAGGGAGGAATCGAGCCCAAGGAGAAAACTCCTTGGAGTTCGTTCAAGGGAGCTGTGTTATTAAAGGACTGAGGGGGCTACATTACATAGATGTTTTACCTGCTTACGAAATAATAAGAACAATATCTAAGAGATGTTGACTGTTTGCCATATGCCAGAACCTGTTCTAGGGTCTTTGTGTGATTGTCTCACTAAAATCTCCTATCAATCCTAAAAAATGGGTCATTATCCCTCAACTGCTCTAGCAGAAGAGAAAACTGAGGACAAGGAGGCTAAATAACTCACCCAAGGACACTCAGAAATAGGATTTGAACCTGGATACCTGGTTTCAGAGCTAGCATGCTTCACAAGGTTTCAGTATAAATACAACTGGACAGTATATGAATGATGCCAATTCCTTGAACTCCTAGCCCACTTTTATTTTATATTTTAAATGTATTATTTGGAAACAATTCCAAATATACAGAAAAGTTGCAGAAACAGCACATTTGAGCCGTTTGAAAGTAAGTTGCTGGTATTTTTCCTTATCATTCCATGAATGCTTTACTGTAGTAATCCTATAACCACAATATGAACATCAAAATTGTGAAACAAAATACTGAAGCAATACTACTATCTCATCCTCAGACCCCATTTATGTTCATCCACTAGTCCTAACAATGTCTTTTCTAGCAAAAGGAGGCAGTTCTGAGTCACTGGTTGCATTGAATTGTCATGGCTATTTATCTTCCTTCAATCTGCAACAGATTCTTGTCCTTGACATTCATGAACTTGGCATTTTTGAAGATTACAGGCTAGTTATTTTTTTTTAATGGCCCTCAATTTGAGTTTTTCTGATGTATTCTCACAATTAGGTTCAAGTTATGCATCTTTGGTGGTAACATCCCAGAAGTGATGCTGTGTCCTTCTATCTGGACTTTGCAGGTGGCACAAAATTTCAATTTGTCTCATTCAAGGTGATGTTAGCTGGAGAAACCTGGCAGACACACCAGAGTAAATTACTCATTTTTCTTTTGTAATATGTAGGTATTTCATAAGAAGGTACTTTGAGACTGCATAAATATCTCAGTCCTCAAAAAACTTTCCAGTTATTTGTTAATTTATTTATATTACTGTGAACTCAGATTCCTGTCTCATTCACTGAGTTATAATCTGTTATCACTCTTCTTGATATTCAGATTATTCCAGATTTAGCCAGTGGGAGGTCCATCCAGCAGGCTACTAGGTCCTACAGAAACATCCCCATCATTCTTTGAGGCTTACTTTTTGGCACAACATGTTGTTGCAGGCTCAACTTGTACTTTGCCTGCCCTAGTTCTGAAATCTGTAATTTCTCTAAAGATCACTAGTTTCTTTTAGTGGAAAATGGTATTTAGGAACCAACATCTGGGCACTAGGTGTGCTCATAGCGATGGCTCACTGCTGCTGATACCCACCCACCCTCCCTACTGCAGACACCTTTTCACCCCCTCAGGCTTCAATACCTTAGGATTGTACAGACACCTCTTCATCCCACTTGGGCTCCAACGTCCTTCCTGAACCACCAAAGCATCCCTCTCCTATTCCACAATACCTAGGCTGAGTGAACACCTACCTTCTTCAGCCCTATCTAATGGCTTTTGGGCTAACATGGTCCAGAAGGATAGAAGAGGACTGAGCCTGCCTTTAGATGATGCCATTTGCTAATTCTTTCAGGCTTGCAGGAAAGGACACTAAAGAGCTCCCACATTATTCGTTTCTATTTTCTATACATTTTCTGAGATGCACCAGAGCCCACCATACCATTCTGGTGCATTTGGCCAGTGTCCAAAAGATAATGGCAGCACCAATCAGACAAAAAACTCATTGAAGTAGCTGCTAGAGGACTTTTAAACATCAGAACTTACCCAGGGAAAAAATAAGTTCCCTCGGTAGAGTAGGATGCAGTGAAGAATGGAGTAGAATGCAGTGAAACACACTGCCCCCAACCCATTTTTCAGGAAAAAATAATTGTATCAAAAACTTCAAATCAAAAAATTTCATTTAACATGATGGCATTACTGTTTTACAAGTAGGAATAGTGTGGCTAGTGGAGGAGAAAACTGGTATCGGAAAAAATGGAAACAGCTCAGCATGGGATTTGGAGTTATTTGAATCAGATCTGGTGACACCTGTGCCACTTAACAGCTGGATGACCTTAGGCAAGTCACAGAACCTCTGTGAACCTAGACTTCTCACTTGTAAAATGAGGAAGTGATAGAAAAGGAACAATAATAACCATGAATTGGATCATTTTGCTCCTTTGCTTTCAAAACCCTCCATAGGCTTTCCACTCCCTTAGCAATTTGCCTTGGTTTTGAGGACCCTTTATTTCACTTTTACCCTCACCAATGTAGTCTGATCACTCTGATTGATTTCTATTCTTTGAATATACCGGCTCCTTCCCTCCGTGGGGCTTTGCATTTGCTGTTTCTTCTGCCTGAGACACTCTTCTTGTCACTTAGGTCTCTACCCAAATGTCACCTCCTTAATTTGAAGCCATTCTCTTACTCTTCAGGCACCCACCATCATCATAACAGCCTGTTTCATTTTCACCATAGCACTCATCACTATCTAAAGGATCACATTTTGGCTTATTTAATCATTGTCTACTGTTCTCATTAGAAAGAATATGAGTGCCGTAATGCTGATTGTATCCCTAGTACCTCGGACAGTGGCTGGCACATGGTAGGTGTGTAATAAATATGTATGGCATAAATGAATAAATGAATGCTAGCTATTACAGATGGTTTGATGAGAATCAAATGAGATAATATAAGTAAAATATTTAGCACAGAATCTGGTAGATAATAAGTCAATAACATTGTGGTATAATAAAAAATATCAGGGAAACTGAATTCTAGCCTTGGCTCTGTTTCCAGCAAGCAGGGTAACTTTGGGCAAGCCATAAAATTCTCTAAGCTTTAGTTTCCTCATCTATAAATCCTGCAATGTAAATTTGAGTATTTCTCAGGTATCTTCCAGGATTCAAGTTCAATAGTTTTTTTCTATCTCATGGTCAAAGTTTCCAGTCCTGTCCAACGATAAATTAGTCCTTTGTTGGTAAAAACTGAACTACTGTTGCCTAAGCAGCATCTCTGAAAGGCTGACTGTGGTACTGCTGGGGTATTTTGGATCTGGTGTCCATTTGCTAACTATACTTTTATTTTTTATTGACAGGGTGTCACTATGTTGTCCAGGCTGGTCTTGAAGTCCTGACCTCCAGATATCTTCCTGGCTCAGCCTCCCAAGTAGCTGGGATTATAGGTGTGAGCCACTGTGTCTAGCATGCTAACTACTACTTTTAATTCAAATTTACAAAGGACATTCTCGCCAACTCTACAGGGTCCCAGCATTTCCACTCTACCTCAACTCTCTCCCCTACTCTAATTTCCAAAGAAAAAACAGAGGCTGGCTTTAGCTTTACAGTCATTTGGCTTGGGCCACAGTGAAATATTTATCAAAACAGAATCCAGAGAAACCTCAGAAAAAGCAGTAAAATCTGGCATTTCACTCAGATATATTTAGTGAAATTTCAAAACCCTAGATGAAAATCTACAGTCCAAGAGACATCAGTTTATCTCAAAAGAGAGAGTTCCTAAAAACACTATTAAAGCAAAGGACCAAACTGTGGCTTATTCATTTTGTTATTTAAAAAAAAATGCAGAAGTCCATACTTAACCACTCAAAAACCCATAATAATCTCCTCAGTGACACCAAACTCAGTGACTTGGCAATAATTCACCCTTGAAAAATGACTCCTGGGCAACAAGTTTGAAAACAATGCAATGTGTCTTATAGACAAAGCTGTGTCATGGCACAGTCTGCCAAACTCCAGTTGCGAGTCTGTAATTCATCTTGTTACCTTGATAGTCCAATAAAATATATGATCTATCTACAAAGAAACAAACACAAAAGAAGGATAAACATCTCTTCCATTCAGCTTGCTTTCATTTCTTGATTTGCTAAAGCCATTCAAGCCAATCTGGCTGCTGGCCTATGCAGCACCTAGCTTCAGTCAAATTAGTTTTAATGCTTCCAACAGCCTGCTTCCTTTACCCTTTTCTCCTGCAACAGATTACAAATTCAGTGGCAGAAAGAGGTTTGGATCCTTGCTATTCAAAGTCCCTAGACCAGTAGCAATGGCATCACCTGGGATCTTGCTGGATATGCAAAATCTCAGACAACTCTTCAGATTTATTAAATCAGAATCTGCATTTATAGGATCCCCAGGTAATTAACATGCACACTAAAGTTTGAGAAGCACTAAGTTAGAGTTAAGCCTTTGAGGCATTTGAAATAAATAAACTTAGTCCATATTAATTTGGAATAAAGGAGAATAGATTATTAGGTTTGTTTCTCATAGAGCAATAACTTATAATTGACCCCATGGGGGTTTCTGTGATATTATTTTGGGCTTATAATTTATTTTTTCTTTCTATTTACTAGGATTTCTCATAATCCTGGGGCAGGTTAAAAACAAACAAAAAAAACAAAACAAAAAGATGTATTGCCAAATACCTGTGATGTAGTAGTAAATTGGCTTTATGAAGGGGAAGAGCCCTGATTCATACCTTTTGCCAATTTCCATGGTGTAAATACTTCTTCACAGTCCATTTCAGGCTGCCAACAGTTTAATAGCTGGCATACAAAATTCCTGAAAATTTAACAATTGGCTTTTATAAACTCTTATGAACTACTCTAACACATCACTGAAAGACCCTCAAAAAGGAAACCTCTTTTCAAGTCATGGCCACTTTTCACTAAAGCCTCTTCGAAATGAAATGGCACCAAGTTAGACCTTCTAAACATGATTTTCATTATGCCATACCTCTGCTCCAGAACCTAAGAAACTATTAATTACTGAGCACACATATCCAATCTCCTTTTCCTGGTTTTTTGACTTCCTCTCATCTCATTGCACCCCACTTATTCCACTTCCTTGTCTAGATCTCCTTAACATGGCACTAGACTTCCCACTTCTGTTTCCTGCAACCTATCAACTCCTGAAGTCATGACCAAGGAAGCATGTGACTCCAGTTGTTGCTGGCATCACTTTCCACAATGAGGGACAGAACTGCTGCCGGACAGAACTAGCACTGCAAATGGCAGATGACAGAATGGAAAGAATCTGGGTGTTGATAATATATTCGAGTTTCTGGATCTACCTTTTCCTGAAACTTGCTCTTCTTATGAGCTTTCTGTTATATGAGCCAATAAATATCCAATTTTTATACCTACAACTGAAAAACAAACCTAATAACAGTGGGTCTAGAAGGTAAGTTCCTTATTGGCACAACAAGCTACTGTAAATTCAAATGAGGGCATCACAAACACAGCCTATCAGCCCTGCAATCTCAGGAAGAGAGAAACCACCTGGAAAGATATTACTAAGAAGTCAATCATGATAATAGTGTGGTACAGTAGTTCACAGTCTCACTGATACGGAAAGGATCTTAATGGTCTCCTCTACTTCCACTGAAAAAAAATCCATGACAGGAAATGACCAGCCTCTTATACTTAATGGAACTTCATGTCCTTCCAAGGCAGTACATCCTATTATTTTAAATTATTTGTAATGAGCTAAAATATGCCTTTCTTTAATTTCCAGTCACTAGTTGTAATGATATTCTCTTAAGCCACGCATTTAAAAATCTTGAAATATACAAAAATATTGATCATGGCTCTCTTCTAACTATCTTATTCTCAAGTTTCCAGACTGCTCACCACCTCTCACCTATGAATAGAAGGACAGAACCCAATGGCTTGCCTCTAGACACAC